>NC_000004.12:17447916-18072916 GCF_000001405.40 Homo sapiens
TGGACCCAGAAAGGAAAGAAAAACCAGATACTGATAAGCTCTGGTACTGTCTCTTCTAAGGGTTTCACAATAACTTTTTTGTTGTTGTTTTTTGGACACAGGGTCTCTCTCTGTTGCCCAGACTTGGATGCCCAGTGGTACAATCATAACCAACTTCACTGAAGCCTCAACCTCTTAGGTTTGAGCAATTCACCAACCTCAGCCTGTTGAGTAGCTAACACTCCAGGTGTGTGCCACCACCCAGCTAATTTTTTTTTCTTTTTTTTCTTTTTTTTTTTTTTTTTTTTTGGTGGAAACAGAGTCTCACTATATTGCCCAGGCTGGTCTCCAACTCCTGGCCTCAAGTGATCCTCCCACTTCAGCCTCCCAGTGTTCTGGGATTACAGGCATGAGGCACTGTGCCTGGCTCACAAGGACTTTTATAAGTTAAAAATGTGCAAGTGCTCCACCCATCAAACCCATCCCTCTTGTAAAGCAGTGCCATGAACCACTACATGCACTTGGAAGGCAGATTAGAAGGGGCAGCTTGCTGCTCCCGCCAAAGATTTACCTAAGAAGACTAAGCCAGGACCAGTCTCCTCCACATCCCCTGAAGCAGAAACCTCCCCTGCACAGATCAGAAGGGGAAAGTGCAGCCTCCCTGCCTTTCTCACCTACAGTCTTATTTATGGGGTGGTGAGGGCGGGGGGCCTGTATGCCTATTTGTTTACCAGAGGTGTTTTAGCCTAATTGGTTAGGAAAGAAACAAAGCATTTAGACAAATAATTGGCCATTCCAGGACATCCACCCTTGAAGAGTTCCCTGACAAGGAAAAGAAGATTCAAGAGTAAAGTTTGAAAGGTTTCAGCTTTCTTTCCAATGTTAGAAGAAAAACCTTAGCCAAAGTAAATGTAACAGTTGAATTGAGCAAGAATGATTCATGAATCAGCCAGCCTCCAGAGCCAGAGTAGGCTCAGAGAGTCCAGAGCAGCCATAGGGTGGAAGAAGATTTATGAACAGAAAAAGGAAAGTGACACACAGGAAACAGAAGTGAGGTATACAAACAGCTGGACTGGTGACAGCTCAGGCATTTACCTTATTTGAACACGGTTTGAACAGTTGGCACCCTTTGACTGGCCAAAACTCGGTGATTGGCACAAGAGTAGGTTACAGTCTGTTTATATCTCCGTTTAGGTTATAGTTCATGATGTACAGAGAAATCTTTAGGCTGAACTTAAAATATGTAAAGAGGCAGCTCTAGACTAAACTATTTAACACCAAATTCAATAACTAATTTTATTTTAATATAATACTTCTCTTTGCTTATAGATATTGGAATTCAACACCTCCAACAAATATTCATTGAATACTTAGAATATACCTGACTGCAGGAAATAGAAGCCCAAATATTTTTCAAACAACTATGATGTTCCAAGTTCCAAACTGTATGTTCTTTTATTTTATTTATTAAACTTTATTTTATCCTTTATTAAAGGATAAATTACTTTATCCTTTTCGCATCCTTTGACGTTCTTACGATTGCTCCCATTTTGCAGAAAAATAAACTGAGGCTCAAAGAGTTGAGCAGTTTAGCCAAGTTCAGGGCTAGGAATAGTGGGAAAATGGGCATCTCAACTACATTGGTCTGGCTTATGATAATGGAGGCCCACATATTCATTCCAAATCAATTAAAACTTAGAAGTTGTTGGTTTAACAACCATTTTTAGACTTGGTATTACTTGAAAGTATAATCAAGGGATCATTTATTCATTAGAGTAACTACAGTTCTATTTGAATAAGCTGAATTTTTTTCATGCTAATTATGTCTTTTGTGTACTATCCATTATGGCATGATGATCTTTTCAACTTCATCCACTTCCCTTTCTCTGTAATAACTCATTGAACAGAATGCAGTTCTATAAATGGTCCAGGGATGTACTCCTATCCCAGGATTTAAAAAGATAATATTCATAAGGCACTTAACAAAATGCCCATAACTAAGTAATCAGTGTATAAAGATTATTTATTTTCTTTAGTAAAGTTGCAGAGCGTTGGTCCTTATGTCGTATAGTAAGTGAAAACCTAAAAAATAAAAACCCTAATACCTGATAAGAACTGTAAATATCACAAACCTATTAGAAGTGAGATAGAGATGGAGACCATTATATGTGTCTAAAATGACGCATCTTTAGCTTCAAACACACACTCATGGGGCTTAACAAGAGCAATTGTGTGTTCACTCATAGAAAGACAACAATCAAAACAAATTTAGAAATATTCTGAAAAGTTGGGAATCTGTTGTCAAAATTATGACTAAAAGGCAAGATATAAATAGAAGTTTTATAATATTTCTTAGCTTTTTTCTGAATGAACCCTCCCTTAATACTAGATAAGCCTATTGTTTAGATTTTCTTACATTTTATTTTATGCACATTTTCAGAAGCCATTTACACAAAATTAGGATACTGCCAGTGTGTACTTTTTTTACACAATAAGTCTACTTTGTTCACTGTCTCCCCAGTATCCAAAGTAGTGTCTGGCACACAGCAGGCTCTCAGGAGGTCCTTGATGAATAAATGAATGACCAGATCTACATAGGATAATGCATGTGACAAAGAGGAAAAAAAACTTCAAAAGCTAGAGCTGAATTCCCCTTAGGGAGATAGCTGCCCTTTTGTGGATAATCCATTGTGATGGTTAATTTTATGTGTCAGTTTGCCTGGGCCATTAGATGCCCAGATATCTGGTCAAACGTTATACTGGGTGTGTCTGTGAGGGTGTTTCTGGATGAGATTAACATTTGAATCAGTACACTAAGAAAAGAAGATTGCCTTCCCTAATGTGGGAGGACCCCATCCAATCAAATGAAGACCTTAACAGGACAAAAAGTCTGAATAAAGGGAAACTTCTCCTGCTTAACTGCCTTGAGCCAGGACATTGGTCTTTTCAGGCCTTAAGACTCATACTGAAACATCAGCTCTTTTTCTTTTTAGTTATTTATTTTTAATTTTTTTAATTGACACATAATTGTACATATGTATGGCATACTTAGTGATATTGCAATACATATGTAAGGCATAGTGATCAGATCAGGGCAATTAATATAACCATCATGGCAAACATTTATCTTTTTTTTGTGTTGGGACTGAGATGGGATTGTTTCCTTGACCTCGACCCCCTTTGTGGGCAGGAACTGGAGTGGCTCATTTCACTCAGCCTGCAGTCCATGGATGGCTAACTGTTAGCAGCTCAGTGAAGGGTCAGAGTGATAGCCTCCTGCACCTGTCCTTTTTGACACCTGAGTTCTTGTTCGGTATCCAGGAAGAATCAGGTCACATGAACTATTTGAAGGGTAGTGTATGTGGAGGATTTTACTGGGTGATAAAAGTGGCACTCAGTGGGATGGGGAATTGGAAAGGGGGTGGTATGGGAAGAAGATGATCTTTCCCTGAAACTGAACCATCTGAAGTTAACTGCGTCTCCATAGTCTCTGATGCTCAGCTGCTTGTATCCCCAAAGTTCACCAACTTGTATCTCCGAGGCTCAGCAGCTTGCATCCCCAACCACTTGCACCAGCCACTTGTGTTGCTCTGCCAGACGAAGTCTTTTTATGGGCACAGGATGGGGGTGGGGAGGGCCAAAAAGGCAATTATTTGAGCAGAAAAAATGAGGTCAGCTGCTTTCACTTAGGGCCCAGGTTCCAGGCTTGAGGGTGGAGGTTAGCCAGGACCCAGCAATTCTGTATCAGGAACATTCAATGCTCTCTTTCTAGCTATTTGAAACTATATAAATTATTGTTAACTATAGTCATTCTACAGTGCTGTGGTAAACTAGAACTTATGCCTCCTATCTAACTGTAATTTTATAACCTTAACCAATCTCTTCCTATCCCCCTTTCTCTTTACGCTTCCCACCTTCTAGTCTCCTCTGTTCTATTTCTTACTTCTATGAGATCAACTATTTTTTAGCTTCCACATATGACTGAGAATATGTGGTGTTTAACTTTCTGTTCCTGACTTGTACTTAACAACATAATTTCCTCCAGTTCCATCCATGTTGCCGCAAATGACAGGATTTCATTCCTTTTTATGGCTGAATAGTGTTCCATTGTGTATATATGCCACATTTTCTTTATCTATTTATCTGTTGTTGAACACCTAGGTTCATTACATATCTTGGCTATTTTGAAAAGAGCTGCAATAAACATGGGACTGCAGATGTCTCTTCAATACACTGATTTTCTTTCCTTTGGATAAATGGGACTGCTGGATCATATGACAGTTTTATCTGTAGCTTTTTGATGACCCTCCATACTCTTCTCCACAGTGGCTGTGCTAGTTTACATTCCCACCAAGAGTAAGAGTTCCCATTTCTCCACATCCTTGCCAGCATTTTTTCTTAATCTTCTTGATAATAACCATCCTAACTGGGGTGAGATGATACCTCACTGTGGTTTTGATATGCAGTTCTCTGATGATATGGTTTGGCTGTGTCTCCACCCAAATCTCATCTTGAATTGTAGCTCCCATAATTCCCGTGTGTCATGGGAGGGACCCAGTTGGAGGTGATTGAATCACGGGGGTGGATCTTTCCCACACTGTTCTTGTGATAGTGGATAAGTCTCACGAGATCTGATGGTTTTATAAATGGGAGTTTCCCTGCACAAGTTCTCTCCTTCCTGCTGCCATGTAAGATGTGACCTTGCTCTTCCTTTGCCTTCTGCCATGATTGTGAGACCTCCCCAGCCATGTGGAACTGTGAGTCCATTAAACCTCTTTTTCTTTGTAAATTACCCAGTCTCAGCCAGGCGTGATGACTCTCACCTGTAATCCCAGCACTTTGGGAGGCCAAGGCAGGCAGATCACCTGAGGTCACGAGTTCGAGACTAGCCTGACCAACATGGAGAAAACCCGTCTCTACTAAAAATACAAAGTTAGCCAGGCATGGTGGGGCACGCCTATAATCCCAGCTACTCAGGAGGCTGAGGCAGGAGAATCGCTTGAACCCAGGAGGCGGAGGTTGCAGTGAGCTGAGATCATGCCACAATCACCTGAGGTCAGGAGATCGAGACCATTCTGGCCAACATGGTGAAACCCCATCTCTACTAAAATACAAAAAAAAAAAAAAATTAGCCGGGTGTGGTGATGCACGCCTGTAGTCCCAGCTGCTCAGAAGGCTGAGGCAGGGGAATCGAACCCAGGAGGTGGAGGTTGCAGTGAGCCAAGATCGCGCCACTGCACTCCAACCTGGTGACAGAGCAAGACTCCATCTAATAAAAAAAAAAAAAAAAAAAAAAAATCTCCCATTCTGTAGGCTTTTTACTCTGTTGATTGTTTCCTTTGCTGTGCAGAAGTTTTTTAGTTTGATATAACAAAAGCAAAAATAAACAAATGGGATTGTATCAGGTATCAGCTTTTCTAGGGTCTTGAGCCTGTCAGCTCTCATACTGAAACCGCACCACTGGCTCTCCTAGGCCTCCAGCTTGCTGATTGCACATCTCAGGACTTTTCATCCTCCATAGTCACACGAACCAATTCCTTATAACAAATCTCTTTCTTTAAATACATATATAAATGTGTAGTTTTATATACTGTTCTGTTTCACTGGAGAACCCTGACTAGTACAGGCATTAAAGGGATTTTTATTTCCAGCAGGATGGAAGACCAGGTACTTCGAACTACCCTTCTAATGGAAAATCACTAAAATACGAAATGAAATCTTTTTTTAAACTATCTTTGAAATGCATCACTAAGTAAGCTGGCACAAATGTAAGGAATTTGCAGAGACAAAAACAAAGACAAAAGAATTAGGTCACCAAACTCTAAAACTAACTTTGACTATGAAGCTTTCTGCTGCACGCTAGAGACCCTGAAATTTGCTAGGTCATGCATTGCAGTGTGGGAAGGACTGGAAGACAAAACTAAAGGTCTGCACAAAGTGATCAACCCTTCTTGTTTTCACCCCTTTATAAGTTTGACTTCCAGTTTTTACTAAAGGCATACCTCCTTTTATTGCACTTTGCTTTGTTGCATATTTTGAAATTGAAGGTTTGTGGCAATCCTGTGTCAACTAAGTCTATTGGCATCATCATTTTTTCAACAGCATATGTTCGCTTCATGTCTGTGTGTCACATTTTAGTAGTTCTTGCAATATTTCAAGCTTTTTCATTATTATTATATCTGTTATTGTGATCTGTGACCCATAGTCTTCGATGCTACTATTATAATTGTTTTGGGGCACCACTAACCATGCCCATATAAGACAGTGAAATTAATTGATACATGTTTTATGTGTTCTGACTAGTCCACTTCCCTTTTGGGCTCCCTATTCCCTGAGACACAACAATATTGAAATTAGGACAATTAATAACCCTGCAATGGATTCCAAGTGTTCAAAAGAAAGGAAGAGTCACAGGTCTCTCACTTTAAATCAAAGGCTAGAAATGATTAAGCTTAGGGAAGAAGGCAGGTCAAAAGCCCAGCTAGGCCAAAGCTAAGCCTCTTGCACTAAACTGTTAATCAAGTTGTAAATGCAAAGGAAAAGTTTTTGAAGGAAATTAAAAGTACTACTCCAGTGAACACATGAATGGTAAGAAAGTGAAACACTCTTATTGCTAATATGGAGAAAGTTTCAGTGATCTGGATAGAAGATCAAGTCAGCCACAATATTCCCTTAAACCAAAGTCTAATACAGAGCAAAGCCCTAACTCTCTTCAGTTCTACGAAGGCTGAGAGAAGTGAGGAAGCTGCAGAGGAAAAGTTGGGGCCAGCAGAGATTGGTTCATGAGGTTTAAGAAAAGAAACTCTCTCTGTAACAAAAACGCAAGGTGAAGCAGCAAGTGCTGATGAAGAAGCTGCAGCCAGTTATTCACAAGATCTAGCTAAGATCACTGATGAAGGTTATTACACTAAGCAACAGATTTTCTTTTTTTTATTGTTATTATACTTTAAGTTCTAGGGGACATGTGCACAACGTGCAGGTTTTTTACATAGGTATACATGTGCCATGTTGGTTTGCTGCACCCATCAACTCGTCGTTTACATTAGGTATTTCTCCTAATGCTATCCCTCCCCCAGCTCCCCACCCCCCGACAGGCCCTGGTGTGTGATGTTCCCCGCCCTGTGTCCATGTGTTCTCGTAAACAACAGATTTTCAATG
This sequence comes from Homo sapiens, assembly GCF_000001405.40. NCBI lineage: Eukaryota > Metazoa > Chordata > Mammalia > Primates > Hominidae > Homo > Homo sapiens. The sequence goes on from NC_000004.12 coordinate 17,455,054, forward strand.
CAAATAAAACAATCTTATTTTGGAAGAAGATGCCAAAATAGGACTTTCACAGCTAGAGAGGAGATGTCAATGCCTGTCTTCAAAGTTTCAAAGGACAGGCTGACTCTCTTGTCAGAAACTAATGCAGCTGGTGACTTTAAGTTGAAACCAGTGCTCATTTACCATTCCAAAAATCCTGGGGTCCTTAAGAATTATGCTAAATCTACTTTGTCTGTGCTCTATAAGAAGGGGGAAAAAGCCTGGATGACAGCATGTCTGTTTACACATAATTTACTGAATATTTTAAGCCCACTGTTGAGATCTACTGCTCAGAACAAAATATTCCTTTCAAAATATTACTGCTCATTGACGATGCACCTGGTCATCCAAGAGCTCTGATAGAGATGTACAAAGTGATTAATGCTCTTTTTATGCCTGCTGAAACAACATCCATTCTGTAGCACATGGGTCAAGAATTCATTTCATAAGGCTCTAGCTGCCATCGATAGTGATTCCACTGATGGATCTGGGCAAAGTAAACTGAAAACCTTCTGGAAAGGATTCATCTATCTAGATGGCATTAAAGACATGCACAATACATGGAAGGAGGTCAAAATATCAACAATAACAGGAATTTGAAAGAAGTTGATTCCAACCCTTATGGATGACTTTGATGGATTCAAGACTTCAGTGCAGGAAGTAACTGCAAAAGTGGTGGAAATAACAAGAGACTACAATTCGAAATGGAACCTGTGGATGTAACTGAAATGCTGCAATCTCATGATCAAACTTGAATATATGAGGAGGTACTTCTTATAGATGAGCAAAGAATGTGGTTTCTTGAGATGGAATCTACTCCTAGTGAAGATGCTGTGAATATTGTTGAAATGACAAGAAAGGATTTAGAATATTACATCAACTTAATTGATAAAGCAGTGGCAGAGTTTAAGAGGATTGACTCCAATTCTGAAAGAAGTTCAACTGTGGGTAAAATGCTATCAGGCGGCATCACATGCTATAAAGAAATATTTTGTAAAAAGGAGTCAATTGATGCAGCAAACTTCATTGTTGTCTTATTCTAAGAAATTGCCAGAGCAACCCCAACCTTCGGCAACCACCACCCTGATCAGTCACCAGCCATCAACATCAAGACAAGACTCTCTGCCAGCAAAAATATTATGACTCTCTGAAAGCTCAGATAATCATTAGCTTTTTTAGCAATAAAGTATTTGTATGTAATGCATGTACCTTGTTTGTGAGATGTAATGCTGTTGTATACTTAATACACTACAGTATAGTATAAAAATAACTTTTATATGTAATGGGAAACCAAAACATTGTTGGCTCACTTTATTGTGAATTGGCTTTATTGCAATGGTCTAGAACCAAACCCACAATATATCTGAGCTATGCCTAAATTAGTTTTACCTAGATTTAAAGCTGGTACTCTCAAAGAACTATAACTCATTTGTAAAGGGGGACTAGACACCAATTTGTTGTTCAGAAGTAAAGTGTCTGAAAGAGGGGAGGAAAAGATGAGTGGAGGGAAGCCAAGCTCTCTGACCCCTCTTTCCACTGGACAACAAAGCCTCCTCACTTTCAGACTTATCCAGAGCACCTTAAAATTCTCAGTTCAAATAAGGCTCTTCCTGATTTATTGCTTTAGTTCAAGGATTACAAAGTAGAGCAGTGCCTTCATTTTAAGGAAACACTTAAACTTTATTAAAATTTTCTTTTCTTCATTAGATCATATACATACAGAAAATTATTACCTGCTTAGGATTCTCTCCACTTTATAGAAATCTGCTGCCATTGATTTCGGTGCAAAGAGCATGTTGCTTGGAGAAGCCACTAAAGTGGCAGTGAGTGAGCGTTACGACATCATCCATGGATTTGACATTGTGTTCAAGGAGTGTTTGGAAACTCAACCCCAAGTTCGGCAGAGAGTTTAATCACAATACTGGAGAAATGACATCTCTTTAAAAGCAAACATTATATTGATACCTCTAAAGGAAAAGGTGTGCAATTAAGGTTTCTTTTTAAATAATCAACTTGGTATAAACAATAGAGGAAAGAATTCATAAGGCAATGGGTCTCTGAGAGGGAATAAAAGAAGAGAAAATATATTTTCAAGAAGCACCATGAAAAAGCAGAACTTCACATTCAATTAGATTCTACATATATCTGTTAAGTATCTCCTATGTATAGGGAACAGAACTAGGCCAGAGCATTTAAAAAAAAAAAAAAAAAGGCCAGATAATGTCTGGATGCACGTACTCCATTCTAGTGCTACAATCAGTGATTATAATGTCCAATTCTCTTTTTTTAGTATATTTTCTTACTGAAGTAATATACACGGAAAAGTTTATGAGAGTACAGCTCAATCAATCTCAACAAGGTGAAAAAAATCTATGTAATCACTAGTCAGATCAAGAAATAAAATATTATCAAAATTCATTGCTGCTTTGGCTGTTTTCTGAGGCCTTCAAGTGCCTGTTTTTCATAATTTTTCTAGCTTGTATACTTCTGTCAAGGGTTAATCCATCACGAACTGCTCCCTCATCCTCAAGCAAAAGTTCATTATACACTATTGAATTCTCACAAAACCTTGTGGGGTAGTACTATTATCCTAATGTTCACATTTCAGAAATTGAGTTCCAGAGATACATCCTTTGCTCAAGAACACCAGCTGGTAAGGTTGGTAACCTGGAGCTAAGGTTTAAACTCCAGACTTGACTCCAGAGCTCCCACTTAACCATGATGCCATATTGCTTTCCAAATAAGACACAGTCTTGTGCATAAGGAGTTTACAGGTTTTAAGATATTGCTATAATTTGAATGTTTGTGTTCTCTCCAAAATTCATGTTGAAAATTATTCCCCAATGCTACAGTATTAATAGGTGGGGCCTTTATGAGGTGATCAGGCCATGAGCTTCACCCTCATGAATTGGATTAGCACACTTATAAAAGGGCTGGAAGGAAATAGCAAGGCCCTTTTTGCCTTCTGCCCTCTGCTGTCTGAGGACACAGCTAGAAGGTGCCATCTTGGAAACAAAGAGCAGGCCTCACCAGACATTGAGTCTGCTGGCACCTTGATCTTGGACTTCCCAGCCTCCAGAACTGTAAGGAATAAATTTCTATTGTTTATAAATTACCCAATCTCAGGTATTTTTTTTTTTAGACCAGCATGAACAAACTAATGAAATGGGAGAGTTCCCTGATTCCCCTTGCAACAGGGGCATGGTCGTGCAACAGGGATGTGGTCATGCTGTTTGGTCCCCCCACAGCTCAAACCCTTTACAGAAGGGAGGGCATGCAGATGGGCAGGTGCAAGAACTGGAGTAAGCACTTTTGGGCTCTGGCCCCACGGCAGCATCTAGGGGTGCGTGTCTGAGACTCCCAAAGCCCAAGCGGGCATGTGTTACACTGTACTCCTTTAGCTTTGCCGTCTGCAGACAGCTTGTGTATTAATCAGCTCAATGGACTCTCTGCCTTATAGCAAGGGCAGGGGGCATTGTGACAACCTTCTGTATCCCAAGCTCTTGCCCAGTGTCCCAAAAGAATTGGATCACACGCGGGCTTGAAGGATGAGAGCAAGGTTTTATTGAGTGATGGAGGTGGCTCTCAGCAAGATGGATGGGGAGCCAGAAAGGGGGATGGAGTGGGAATGTGGTTTCCTCTGGAGTTGGGCCCAGTGAGCGGACTCTTCTCCAACCACCTCAGGCTGAACTCCCCTCGGTGTCCAGACGTCTCTCCTTTTCTCTCTTTTTCTGCTGCATTGTTCCACCATCACTGGTCTGCTGGTCTGCTAGTCTGCTGGTCTGCTGGTCTGCTGGTCTTCTAGTCTGCTGGTCTGCTGGTCTGCTGGTCTCAATGTGCAGCCACTTGTGGGTGTGCCCTCTAAGGTCTCAGGTTTGTATGGACACAGGATGGGGAGTGTGGCAGGCCACAGTGGTCTTGGAAAATGCAACATTCAGGCTTGAAAACAGGAGCGCATCTTCTCACTTAGGTCTGTGGGCACAGGCCTGAAGTTGGAGCTTTTGCCAAGGACCCTGCCCTTCTCTATCCAGCACTTCCCTGCCCCACTCCCGTAACAGAGATATAATATTATATAGAGATTTGGTTACCAATCCCTTTATATATACATATGTATTATATATGTACAGATTATGTATACATATGTATTATATATGCACAGGTTATGTATACATATGTATTATATACGCACAGCTTATGTATACATATGTATTCTATACGCACAGCTTATGTATACATATGTATTATATACGCACAGCTTATGTATACATATGTATTATATACGCACAGCTTATGTATACATATGTATTATATACGCACAGCTTATGTATACATATGTATTATATACGCACAGCTTATGTATACATATGTATTCTATACGCACAGCTTATGTATACATATGTATTATATACGCACAGATTATGTATACATATGTATTCTATACGCACAGATTATGTATACATATGTATTCTATACGCACAGCTTATGTATACATATGTATTATATACGCACAGCTTATGTATACATATGTATTCTATACGCACAGCTTATGTATACATATGTATTATATACGCACAGATTATGTATACATATGTATTCTATACGCACAGATTATGTATACATATGTATTCTATACGCACAGATTATGTATACATATGTATTCTATACGCACAGCTTATGTATACATATGTATTCTATACGCACAGCTTATGTATACATATGTATTATATACGCACAGCTTATGTATACATATGTATTATATATGCACAGCTTATGTATACATATGTATTATATACGCACAGATTATGTATACATATGTATTATATACGCACAGATTATGTATACATATGTATTATATGCATAGATTATGTATACATACGTATTATACGTATATGTTATGTATACATATGTATTATATGTATATATTATGTATACATATGTATTATATCTAGGGGAATTATATTTTTAAATATATTATCTCATTTAATTAAGCATTACAATAATATCTCATTTAATACTTACAACAATCCTATGAGGTAGAAATTAATTTCCATATATTACAGATGTGGAAACTGAGGTTGAGAATGGTGAAACAACTTTCCTGAGCAGGCAGCCAGAAAGTAATCCCACTCCAGAGCACTGGCTCTTCCCACTCCTCCGTCAGGACCACCTATCTCTTGCCCATACTACCCATGTAGCCAATGAAGGTCTGTAGAATAAGAGAATAAATGACATCGACATCCATTTGTGAGTTAAAATTGATAGCACAAGAGGACAATACCATAGTCCTGAGATCATCCCAGACATAGAATGACATCTAATCAGAGGTGCTTAGAGTCAGTCCCAATGAGAAGAGACAGAATCCTTCCATTATGTTACTTCCTCATTCCTTATCATGGTCTTGGATGGGCATGACAATTTCCCTCGATATAATCCATTTCTTGCTGGTTTTATCCAAGTTGTTCTTTAGTCTACTAAGGGAGGTATTGTAACCACCCAATGGATTCACCTTGCCAGCTGCCTAGATAGAGCCATTTTATCAAGACAGGGGAATTGCAATAGAGAGAGTAATTCACACAGAGCCAGCTGTGCAGGTGACTTGAGTTTTATTATTACTCAGATTGGTTTCCCCAAGCATTCGGGGATCAAAGTTTTTAAGGACAACTTGGTGGGTAGGGGGAAGCCAGTGAGTCAAGAGCTCTGATTGGTTGGGTCCGAGATGAACTCATAGGGAATTGAAGCTGTCCTCCTGCAGCTGAGTCAGTTCCTGGATGGGGACCACAAGACCAGATGAGCCAGTTTATCAATCTGGGTGGTGCCAGCTGATCCGTCAAGTGCAGGGTCTGCAAAATGTCTCAAGCCCTGATCTTAGGAGCAGTTTAGGGAGGGTCAGAATCTTGTAGCCTCCAGCTGCCTGACTTCTGAACTATTTCTTTTTTTTTTTTTTTTTTTGAGAGAGTCTCCGTTTCCCAGGCTGGAGTACGGTGGCGCAATCTCAGCTGACTGCAATCTCGGCCTCCCAGGTTCAAGCGATTGTCCTGCCTCAGCCTCCAGAGTAGCTGGGATTATAGGCACACAACCATGCCTGTCTAATTTTTTTTTTTTTTTTTTTTTTTTTTTTTTTTTTTAGTAGAGACGAGATTTCCCTATGTTGGCCATGCTAGTCTCAAACTTCTGAATTCAAGTGATCCGCCCACCTCAGCCTCCCAAAATGCTAGGATTACAGGCGTGAGCCACCATGCCCGGCCCTAAACTATAATTTCTAATCTTGTGGCTAACTTGTTAGTCCTGCAAAGGCAGTCTAGTCCCCAGGCAAGAAGGAGGTTTGTTTTGGGAAAGGGCTGTTATTGTCTTTGTTTTAAACCATAAACTAATTTCCTCTCAAAGTTAGTTCAGCCTACACCCCGGAATGAACAAGGACAGCTTGGAGGTTAGAAGCAAGATGGAGTTGGTTAGGTCAAATCTCTTTCTCTGTCTGTTTTTTCAGTATTAAGACAAAGGTGGTTTCGGTATTAAGACAAAGGACACTAGCAGGTTACTGAGGGCTATGTGTATTCAGGACACTATACTAGATCTCTTAATGTAGTATTTCGCTTCATCCTCACAATAAATCTGTGAGGTTGAGGCTAGTGCCCCCATTTTACAAATGAAAAACATGAGAATCAGACAGGTGAAATAATTTGTCCAAGATCACATAGGTAGAAACTAAAAGATTTGAGATTTGCACTGTGCTGTCCACTCCACAATCCCATTGCAATTGTAGGTCTTCCTCATAGTTCTGAAATCTAAGATTCTCAAAGGCAGTGACTGCCAGGGTCTGGCACATAGGAGAACTTAATCAATAACTAGTCAATCAGTCTGTCTGGTTCTCAATGCCCACCACCGTGCCACCTCCCTACCAGCTTTATATATGTGCAATTCTGCCTTAAATTTACTTTCTATCCTAACAAGTTCTTGATACATTCATTCTCAGTACACATTTTCTTAAAACTCAAAGTTTTCTTTCTTCTTTTATCCTTCTGCCCCTTGGGAAAGCCCACTCATTTCCCTGCTCAGACAGCTGGTTTGGGAAAGTTGCACGCAGCAAACGGGAACAGCTTACCCACTGAACCACCATGCAGTAACAGGAGCTACATTTGGAATTCACAGTCCAGAAAAATGTCCAGCCTGCTTACAAAGCACCGGTAGAGGCTCAAAGGAAAACAGATACAACATAATCCTTTTCTTTTGCTAAATGACATCCTCATTTACATCCTCACCATATTAATTCTCTTTGTTTCAACTTAACTAAAGTCAAAGACAGCTTCTCAGGAAGTGTTATTCACATGTATTAGACAGCCTAAAATGACAAAATGTTCTAATTCCATTCGTGGATAAAAGTCAATTTGACACCAACACTAAGCTGTTATTTTTCAAATAACAATGGTAATGTTTAATTAGAATTTAACCTGGCTGCTTGCTTTCATTTAACAACGTACAGTACGCTGGTGGTTTCCTGACGAAAGCAAAGATTGACGTCCAATGTAAATGCTGCATTTCAAAAAAAGCTGCACACTACTAGTGTCTAATTATGCATAACACTCTGCCATTAATTACTAATATTTCAAGTGGCTTGGAGGGTTAGCTGGTCTTTAGCCCTTCCTATTATGACCACAGGTAAGCTTAAGTCTTTGTCAGATTATCACAATTGCTTTTAGTGATTACTTCTATAAACCAAGCCTACAAAAACCCTCCTAAATGTTTAATTATATTTCTTGATCTGTTTTAACTAAAAAAGATAATAGAAGAAAGCATCTACCATCATGCCCAGCACATAGTAGTTGCTTAATAAATAGTAGCTATTAACATAGTAAATAATCGGCTGGGTGCAGTGGCTCATGCCTATAATCCCAGCACTTTGGGAGGCCAAGGTGGGCGGATCATCTGAGGTCAAGAGTTTGAGACCAGCCTGGCCAACATGGTGAAACCCCGTCTCTACTAAAAATACAAAAATTAGCCAGGCATGGTGGCAGGCGCCTGTAATCCCAGCTACTCGGGAGGCTGAGGCAGGAGAATTGCTTGAACCCAGGAGGTGGAGGTTGCAATGAGCTTAGATCGTACTATTGTACTCCAGGTTGGGCAACAAAAGCAAAACTCTGTCTAAAAAAAAGAAAAAAAAAAAGTAAATATTCATACTTTTTTACTTGATCATTCATTACCAGAGTCCCGAGCTACTCACTGATGCAGTAAGTTTTCTTTCCTTCTTTCCTCTCTTAGACTCCTGCAGTCCATCGTCTCTAATATCCACTCACTGCTTCATTCATTCATGCCACACACACAGTCACAGAGCACTTGTTCTGTGCCAGGCATACATTTTCTCTAGATACTGATTCCTAATGAAATCTCCCTCTTGGAGACCCCCAATGCATATATTAGAGGCTCTGAGAAGTTTTATCTATCTATCAAATAGAGGATGGATAGATAGATGATAGATAGATAGATAGATAGATAGATAGATAGATAGATAGATAATGGATTAACTTTCAATATTTTCCTTACTTATGGACCTCTTTTTCCATGGACACCTATTACCATCCCAGCACAATGGTGTTCTAAGAAACACACTTTGGGAACAGTGCAGGACCACACCTGACACACTGTAGCACACTCCTGACCAAGATTCTGTCCTCGACCAAACTCTAGCCAGGGCCCTCTGAGCCCTTTCTCTACTAGACCTCAAGGCATGGCCTAGAAAGACTTGAGCAAACACTAACATAGTTTCTAACAGCTCAGCCATATCCCTAGGACAACTCCAGCTTCCTTAAAGTGCCTGCCTGAGAAAACTCCAGGTTGCCAAAAGAATGTACTGTTTGTTCCAGCAACCTGAGGACAGAGCCTGTCTCCCAGTCTCTGTGGGAGGGTAGGAGCCCACCTACATTCAATAAGAGCCAGGCAACAAACCCAGATGGGTTTCACATGGACCAATCTTTTCTTCCTACTTTTTGTAATTTGTCTTTTCTCTGACTCAAATGAGCCCCCAGTTGCCCCCACCCTACTCCAGTCTCCCTTTAAAATGCCCGGTCACCTCCGTACAAATCAAAGTTGAGTTTACACCTGACCTTCTTCCCTATTTCAATAGTATATAGTAGTTAACCCCTTTCTGAGGTTTTATGCTTTCTGGTTTCAGTTACCAGCAACTGTGATCTGAAAATATAAAAAGAAAAATTCCAGAAATAAACAATTCACAAGTTGTAAATTCCATGTCTGTTCTGGCTATCATGATGAAATCTCACACCATCCCACTCTTTCCTGACCTGGACGTAAATCATGTCTTTGTCCAGGGTACTCACGTTGCCTGTGCCACCCACCCACTAGTCACTCAGTAGCAATCTGGGTTATCAGATCAAAAAAACAGTATATAGGTGATATGGTTTGGCTGTGTCCCCACCCAAATCTCATCTTGAATTCCCACATGTTGTGGGAGGAACCCAGTGGGAGGTAATTGAATCCTGGGGGCAGGTCTTTCCCGTACTGTTCTCATGATAGTGAATAAGTCTCATGAGATCTGATGGTTTTAAAAAGGAGAGTTTCCCTGCACAAACTCTCTTCTCTCTTCGCCCGCCACCATCCATTTAAGATGTGACTTGCTCCTCCTTACCTTCCGCCATGATTGTGAGGCCTCCCCAGCCACGTGGAACTGTAAGTCCATTAAACCTCTTTCCTTTGTAAATTGCCCAGCCTCTGGTATGTCATTACCAGCAGCATGAAAACTAATACGATAGGGTTTGGTACTATCTGTGGTTTCAGGCATCCACTGGAGGTCTTGGAAGATAACCCCTCAGATAAGAGAAGACCACTGTATTACTGATTAATATCTGTCCATACCACATTAACTGGTGTCTGACTTTGTTTATCTTTGCCACTCCACCTAGTTCTCCACACATGAAAAGCCCTAAGGGAAGACTCATTAAAATTGATACAGGAGGATCTAGTTAATGCAATGAGGTCTAGGTGAGAATTGAGACTATCCTGTTTCCAAAAAGCAGGAAACAGGTATGTTTGTCCAAGACAACAAATTCCAGAACTGGCCTTAGAGTCCCACAGATGTAACTAAAATCCCAATTGGTCCATTGTGAAACCAACTTATCTGGGTCTCAGAGGTCCCAGTGAGGATTAACTGAGATAATGCTGAGGAAGACCAAAGCCTCCCCTGAGATATTTGCGATGCTTTACTCTCACAGTTGCCTTTGCCTATGCCTAGCTACTCAGCCTATGCATCACAGTCTGTCCCTCAAGATACAGATAAGGAAATCAGCCTTTCCTTTAATAGGAGGGAGCAAGGAGGCAGGGATAAAAATTTTAACCAGTGGGCCAGGCACGGTGGCTCACACCTATAATCTCAGCACTTTGGGAGACTGAGGCAGGAGGATCACTTGAGTTCAGGAGTTCAAGACCAGCCTAGACAACATAGTGAGACTTCCTCTCTACTAAAAATCAAGAAAATTAGCTGGGTGTGGTGATGCGTAACTGTGGTCCCAGCTACTTGGGCGTATGAGGCAGGAGGATCACTTGAGACCAGGAGTTCGAGACTGCAGTTTGCCCCGCTGCACTCCAGTCTGGGCAACAGAGTGAGACTCTATCTCAAAAAAAAAAAAAAAAAAATTTAACCAGGCCGGGCACAGTGGCTCACACATGTAATCCCAGCACTTTAGGAGGTTGAGGCGTGCAGATCACTTGAACTCAGGAGTTCAAGACCAGCCTGGCCAACATGGTGAAACCTCGTCTCTACTAAAAACACAAAAATTAGCTGGATGTGTAATCCCAGTTACTCAGGAGGCTGAGGCATGAGAATTGTTTGAACCCGGGAGGCAGAGGTTGCAGTGAGCCAAGATCATGTCACTGTACTCCAGCCTGGGCTGCGACTCAGAAAAAAAAAAAATTAACCAGTGGAGGCCAGTAATTTTTTCAACCCATGCATGCACAGGCACACACACACACACACACACACACACAGCATTTTTATAGATTTTTTCCAAGCATGAGATGAAACAAAGGAGCAGTTCCATGGCAAGAATGAAAATAACTCCAGATTAAATATCAGACACCCTGTTCTTTAAGAGTTCCTCTGCCTCCCACCACCTCAGCAAAGCTATGCATTCTCCTTTGCTCTCTCCTCACACTTTTATGCAGAGCCAGTCCGCTCTTTGTGGCCTCAACCCCCGAATTTGATTCCAGGTCTACCAGCTCTCCGAAAGACATTCCCATAGAAGCCCTCATGAACAGGCAAGTATGCTCTCAAATAGCAAAGTTTTCCTCTGCCTAAGCCTGCACCTACACAGATCCCAAGAAAGCCAACTTCAAGTCCAAAAATGGCCCATAAGGAGGCAGCTGGAGTGTAAAGCAGAACTCCCCAATCTCCAATCACTCAAACATGAGCTGCCTGAGTTTCCCCATACACCACATATTCATACCATGTCTACTAGAATGATAACTGCCGAAAGATGCTTGTGTCCTAATTCCCGGAACCTGTGAATATGGCACCTTACATGGCAAAAGGGACTTTGCAGATGTGATTAAAAGGATCTCGAAAAGGAGAGATTATTCTGGATTTCCTAGGAGGGCCCAATGTAATTATAAGGCTCCTTATAAAAGGGAGGCAGAAGGGTCAAACTCAGAAAAACCAGGTGTGTTGTGAGGATGGGGCCCTAAGCTAAGGAAGGCAGGCAGCTTCTAAAAGCTAGAGAAAGCAAGGACTCAAGTTCTTCCCTAGAGCCCTCAGAAGAAATGCAGCCCTGGCAACACCTTGATTTTAAGACTTCTGTTTTTGTTTTTTGGGGTTTAGTTTTTTGAGATGGAGTCTCGCTCTGTTGCCCAGGCTGGAATGCAGTGACACGATCTTGGCTCACTGCAACCTCCACCTCCCAGGTCCGTGCAATTCTCCTACCTCAGCCTCCCAAGTAGCTGGGACTATAGGCATGAGCCACCATGCCTGGCTAATTTTTTGTACTTTCAGTAGAGACAGGATTTCACCACGTTGGCCAGGCTGGTCTCGAACTCCTGAGCTCAAGTGATCCGCCTGCCTTGGCCTCCCAAAGTGCTGGAATTACAGGTGTGAGCCACTGTGCCCGGCCACCATGATTTTAAGACTTCTGGCCTCTGTAACTATAAGATGATCAATTTGTATTGTTTTAAACCAATAAGTTGGTGGTAATTTGTTACAGCAGCAATAGGAAGCTAATACACTATATACATTACATTATGTAGTGTATTCCTCAGGTAATGTTTATTTTTTATGCACTGTCTACTTATCCTCATCCTCACAATAATATCCATGTATTCATGGTTTTGATGTGGTTGCTATGTATTTTCCTAATACACATCAAAATAAACAACAGAGCGAGACTCTGTTGTTTATGATTATTAAATAAGAAGCGTTCACCTGTGTCCCTCCCCATACCCCCGGTACACCTGCCCCGAGGGCACAGTGTGGATCCCACTTTGGAAAATTCTGGTGCAAAGGGACGCTCAAGGCCCTCAAGATGGGAAACCAGAGTTCCACGCCTGGCTCTTCCACTGATGGCCTTGAGCGGGTCACTCTGAAACTCCTGCTCCCTAGCACTCTCCTCTGTACAGGGGTTCCATAGAATTTCTTGTTGGACCGCAGCCCTCTGCTGTCCACCAGGATTACCCAGGACAGTCGGTGGCTGAGCAGAGAGTCAGCCAAGGGTTTCCATTCCCTGGGCCCTTAAACCCATTCCTCTTACCTGAGTTCTCCAGCTTGAACCCCCCACGCCACCCCACCCTGTACATGGAGTCAGAAAGCTGAAGTTTAGAGCAATGACAACCTCTCTCCACTCCTCTTTTTCCCTCCGGAGCATCTACGCATCAAGCCTGGATGACATCAAAGAAAAAAAGCTGCTTCACGTCTCCCTCCACCCTCCGTCGGTCACTCTGAATCACACTCACATAGAGAGAGGATCAGCCAACCACTCCAGTGTGGTTTAAAGGCAGGAACACTACAGTAGAAGTTCAAAAATCTGGTTTAAATATGGCTTCATGACCTGCCAATCCGGTGACCTTAGCCTCTCTGATACTCAGTTTCCTCCTTTGTAAACAGGGAAAATCTGACTTAGCTCAAACTATGAGTATGAAGATTCAATGAAATAACATAGGCTCAATCTCACAGCACCAAGCCTGATACATGGTAGGTATTCAGCAAATGTCACCTGAGCCTAAATTGGAATCAATAACCATTTCCAAAGTGTGCAGAGGGGACGGACACTGTACAGGGACTCCTGATACGTGACGGCAGGGCACAGACCTTTTCCCATGGCTGGCGGACATACTGAGGTCTACACTGCTGTTGCGATGACTGTTGCTGTTTGTGTGCTGTTGTTTGAAGGTGGATTGGGCTTTCACGATGTTGCAAACTTGGCGATGTTTAGGAAGCTGCTACTATTACATTGGTGCAAAAGTAATAGCGGTTTTTGCTATTGCTTTTAGTGGCAAAAACCGCGATTACTTTTGCACCAACTTACACATTTTTGAACCTATTTCCACTTCTGTGAAGTAAGCCAGAGAAATGAGGGGAGAAAGGGTGAGGGGAAGAAGACAGGAAGGCAGGAAAGGAGCGAAAGGCAAAGTGAACAGCAGCAGGTCTCCAGTGCTTGGGGTGACTTATCGATCTCAGATCCACTCACAGGGCTGAGCAGAGGCCCCACTAGGCAAAGAAAACTGAACCAAGTTTCCCACGCTAGTTTTCCAAGACGAATTGTCTCATCGGCTGCCAATGCCTGCCCCCTTGCAGAAGTTCTTCAAACTGCTTGTATTTTTATTTATTTATTTATTTATTTATTTATTTATTTTTAATGCCAGGACACTTGGAAAGGCTCACAATGAGAAAATGTTTTAAGCTTCCAGAGGTTCCCCGTTGCCTAAAGATAAAAACCACCTGACAGAGATCCTTCATGATGCAGCCCCTGCCCACGAAGACACCTCTCCTCCATGCACTCCCCGCCAGCACTTTATCCTGTAATGATAACAAGCTCCATAGTTCCCCAATAATTAATTGAGTTGATAAGAGGCCAACTTGGGAATGAGATAGACCAGAGTTCAAAATTCTGATGCTTTTTCCTCTAGCTGTGTGGCTCTGGGTAAGTTATCTAACTCACGGCTGGGCACCGTGGCTCACGCCTGTAATCTCAGCACTTTGGGAGGCTGAGGCAGGTAGATCACCTGAGGTCAGTAGTTTGAGACCAGCCTGGTCAACATGGTGAAACCTTGTCTCTACTAAAAATACAAAATTAGCCAGGTGTGGTGGCACACGCCTGTAGTCCCAGCTACTCGGGAGGCTGAGACAGGAGAATCACTTGAACCTGGGAGGCAGAGTCTGCAGTGAGCCGAGATCATGTCACTGCACTCCAGCCTGGGCAAGACAGAGTGAGACTCCATCTCAAAAAAATAAAATAAAAGAAAGAAAAGATATCTAACTCTCTCAACTTGTTCCTCATCTTTAAAATGGGAATAATAACAGCACTTACCTCCTAGGGTTGCTCTAGAATTAAATTAGAATTAAATGAGGTAACGCATGAAAAGCATCTTCTAAGGGTGCTTTATGCCCCATGCACTTTAGCTGCCAAGGGTAAATGCAGCCTGTTCTTTCTTTTCTTTTTTTTTTTTTTTAATTATACTTTAAGTTTTAGGGTACATGTGCACAACATGCAGGTTTGTTACATATGTATACATGTGCCATGTTGGTGTGTTGCACCCATCAACTCGTCATTTAACATTAGGTATATCTCCTAATGCTATCCCTCCCCGCTCCCCCCACACCACAACAGGCCCCAGTGTGTGATGTTCCCCTTCCTGTGTCCATGTGTTCTCATTGTTCAATTCCCACCTATGAGTGAGAACATGCGGTGTTTGGTTTTTTGTCCTTGCGATAGTTTGCTGAGAATGATGGTTTCCAGCTTCATCCAGCAGCCTGTTCTTTCTACCCCTGAGCCATTCACTTAACAAGCGCTTATTATGCATTACTTGGATGACAAAGGAGGCATAGTCCCTGCTTTAAAGAACTTGTAGTTGAGTGAAGAGACAGAAATATAAACAAGTAACTATTATACTCTTAATTTGACAAAGGCAGTGTTTGAGTTAAATATAGCTTGTGTCCCTCTCAAGTCAAGCAAAACCTAAGATAAGGGATTGTATGAACTAATTTATTTAAGGAAGTGGTCCTCGGAAGCAGAGTTGGGGACTAGGGGCATAGGAAGAGTGAAACAGGGCAGGAGGGAAAGCCAACACACATTTTATTATGTTGGTGCAAAAGTGATTGCGGTTTCTGGTATTACTTTCAATGGTAAAAACCGCAATGACTTTTGCAGCAACCTCATACCAAGCTGCATCACGTTCTAAGTAACTGGGAATGATGCCACTAGAGGCTGTCTAAGGAGTGGTGAAGAGTGATGTGCCTCATTCTGACACATCGTCAGAAGGACAGGAGGGGAACATTCGTCCACCAGCCCGTCTCCCAGTGGTCAAGTGTGTTGCCCCTTGGAGCATTAACTCTCCACCCTCCCAGGTTTGCGCATGTGTGAGTGCCTGGCACATTTCTGCAGACATCCCATTCCTCAATGTCAGGCAAGCCCAGAGGCAGAAAGCGAGGTAGGCAGGACAGCCAGGGACATGCGGTCAGCTTGCACTTGCTCAAAGCTGGTGGCCCCAGCCATGACTGGAATAAAATGTGGGCAGGGAGGATGCAAGGCGAGGCACAAGAGGTGGCCAATGACGACACAGGAAACTGTCGGTAGGAGGGGCACCTGACCCAGCCCAGCCTTTGGGCAAAGGGATGGGATTTTATCAGATAAGGGTTCCTGGAACGGATGACTATGCCAGGTCTAGGAGGAGTTAGCTGAATCAAGGTGGAGAAGAGGAGAGAAATGGCTGGGCTAAAGCAATGGAGGAAGGTGGAGTGCAGAGGCAGGAGGAGGGCAGGTTCAAGGAATAATTAGGGGGTACAATTGTCAGGGCGAGGCGAGGGACGGGATGATGAGTGGGGAGTAAGAGTGGTTGTGGATAACGTGGTTTCTGACCCCCGTGTCTCCACTCAAGACAGAAAGGGAGGAGGAGAATGTGGCTCCCAGGATGGATACTGAGCTCTGATGCACCATGTTCAACTTAACTCTGCGATACTCAAGTGGAGAAGGTCAAGAAGCTCCCGGGTGCTGGAGTCGGATGCTTAGGAAGGCTTTAAAGTTGGCGTATGGAGAAATGGAACAGGATCTTGAAAAGGACTTGCTGTATCAGGTTTTCATTAATGTGCAAAGGCCAAGAACACAACAGGTACCAAGTCCCCACATTCCTAGGCAAAGTGTTAGGTCACTGGTGCAGGACCCATCAAGAGACTAGGAAGCCATTGTCAGATCCCACGCATACCCACCACCAGCCTTTGATGCTGGAGAGGTGGAAGAGGTAGAGAGACAATGTCTCCAGAGAGCTGTTGGAATCTTGCACCATTTCTCCTCTCCCTGCCCCTCTCTGGGGAGTGAAGAAGGAGGGCAAATGCTCATGTTTTCCCAAGGCTAGATGTGGGCCATATGGGAAGGAGCCAACCTCAAGCCATGTTGAAAGGAACACTTCCCAGGAGTTAGCCTGGAAAGACAAAGTGACCCTGCAGGGATGGGGGACCATGGAAGCCTAGAGGCTGAGGGGACCATGGAAGCCTAGAGGCTGAGGAGACCTGCTGGGGAAGAAGACTGTATGCTTCAGGGTTGCTGTGGTCAGAGGATGCAACAGGGTGCACCCAGCCAAAGAACCAACATTTAATAATCTGCCATGCCCAGACAGCACCTACATCTGGATATATCTGAGCCAGTCCAGCACATCCTCCCTGTCCTATACTGTTCCTGGATCCAGCTTGCCAGCACCCTCAGAAGTGGATCCCTCAGCTCCAGTCGAGCCTTCAGATGAAGGCAGCCCCAGCTGACATCTGACAGCAGCCTCACAGGAGACCCTGAGCCATAACCCCAAAATAAGTCACTCCTAAATTCCTGACCCACAGAAACTGTGAAAGATAATAAGTACTATTCTTTTAAGCTTCTAAGTTTTGGGGTGATTTGTTTACACACCAATAGATAACTAACACATGGCTCCACCCCACTACTACTAAATCAGGATTGGGAAAGTTTCCAGGAATCCATTTTTAATAACCTCCCTAAATTATTCCTTTGATAACCAACTAAATTTAGAGGAAGAAGACCAAAGCGGCATCTCTGGGAATCCTGACCTTCAGGGTTTCCATGAACTTTACAGTCTTGTGAGTGAAACTGACAATAATCCCACCAATGTTATTTAGTTGTAATTATGATCTGGGTTTGAAGGAAGTAGGAAAGGGTTTGGGCACCAATTTTAAGAGTCACTGAAACATCACTGGTGTAACTTGTAGCTAAGTAAGCCAAACATGCTTCCAGCTAAACTGACAGCTCCACCCAGTGGACATTTTGAAAACTTCTCTCATCTGAGTTTTTTTTTTTCTTTTATACACTTGGATTCACTGGCAGCTGAAAGCCCACTATCACCATCAGCTAAGATGCTGATTCAGATCATGTTTGCATCTTTGCTGCTTACCAGCTGTTAACTACCTAAATTGCAAGCCCTTTCATGCACCTCCGAAGGAGTCTGGTTTAGAAGATCAGAGAGCGAAAGTAGCTAAGGAACAAACACTACCAAAAAAAGTCGTGGTACAGGCAGGGCGCGGTGACTCACGCCTGTAATCCCAGCACTTTGGGAGGCCGAGGTGGGCGGATCACGAGGTCAGGAGATCGAGACCATCCTGGCTAACACGGTGAAACCCCGTCTCTACTAAAAATACAAAAAAAATTAGCCAGGCGTGGTGGTGGGCGCCTGTAGTCCCAGCTACTCAGGAGGCTGAGGCAGGAGAATGGAGTGAACCTGGGAGGTGGAGCTTGCAGTGAGCCGAGATCGCACCACTGCACTCCAGCCTGGGCGACAGAGCGAGACTCTGTCTCAAAAAAGAAAAAAATAAAAAAAAGGGCGTGGTACAAATATATTTTCAAAATGTTGGGTCTGCTTCTACCCATGGAAATAAATCAGATTTTTAAAAAGAAAGAAAAAGGAAGGGTGCAGTGACTCCTGCCTATAGTCCCAGCCCTTTGGGAGGCTGAGGCAAAAGGATCACTTGAGCTCAGGGGTTCAAGACCAGCCTGAGCAACATAATAAGACTCTGTCTCTACAAAAAATACAAAAATTAGCCAGGTGTGGTGGCACGTGCCCATAGTCCCAGCTACTTGGGAGACTGAGGTGGGAGGATCACTTGAGCCTGGAAGTCAAGGCTGCAGTGAGCTGTGATTGCACCACTGCACTCCAGCCTGTGTGACAGAACGAGGGCCTGCCAAAAGAAAAAAGAAAAAGAAAGAAAGAGAGAAAGAAAAGAATTCTGCATGAAATTTTTATTAACCAAAAATTCACTTCTGCACAGTAGATATTTTTAATATTTATTCAAAGAATCACCAAATTATTAGCCTTGCGCAGTGGCTTGCACATCCCAGCGAGGCTTGTCAGAGCCTCTTTGAGGCACAGCAGAGCTGCCAGACCATTGCAGGGATGAGGTGACAATGTGCTGATGGGGACCTGAGTGGGATATGGGAGAGTCCAAGGGATAAAAAGACTTCAACATCAAATTTACTGATCCTGATTTCTGTGCTGTTTCCCTGAAAGCAAACAGGCACTGGGCCCACCCATAAGTGTTGCTTCGCATGAAATGGACAAGGTCACAACAGAGAGATGAGCTGCAATTCACTCACTCAACAGCAAGGCCATCTTTGCTTGGCCTGAGTGCCTGTGTTCCTGTGCCACGCCAGTTTCAGTCCCTTACATGGCTCTGGCACAACACAAAAAAAGAGAGATGGCAAGAGGAGCTGGGCAGGGGACTGAATCCCCCAGGCCGTTACAATGGATTCAGTTCAAGCCAACCCCACACAGGTTCACAGCAGCCCATACTGCCCAGGGAAGACCGTGACCTCCTTCCCTCCCCAGGGCTCCTTAACATTGACTGAACACTTACTATGCTGTAGGCCTTGCTTTACAAGCATTGATTCATCTTCACAACTTTAACGAGGAAACTTCTATTATTATGTTCATTTCACAATTGAGAAGAGTGACACATAGAGAGAAGTCTGCCAGTTCAGCAGTTACTCTGTGGCCTTACTGTGTGCCTGGCACTGAGCTACATACTGGGAGTTGCAAGGATGAGTTTAAAAAACAGACAAGTTGGTCAGGCGTGGTGGCTCACGCCTGTAATCCTAGCACTTTGGGAGGCCAAGGCGGGTGAATTGCCTAAGCTCAGGAGTTCGAGACCATCCTGGGCAACATGGTGAAACCCCATCTCCACTAAAATACAAAAAATTAGCCAGGTGTGGTGGCACACACCTGTAGTCCCAGCTACTCGGGAGACTGAGGCAAAGAATCGCTTGAGTCCAGGAGGCAGAGGTTGCACTGAGCTGAGATCATGCTACTGCATTCCACCCTGGGTGGACAGAGCTAGACGCTGTCTCCAAAAAATAAATAAATAACAGACAAGTAAATGGCACTGCTCCTGTCTCATGGAATTTATTTCTTTTTCCTGTTTCATTAAGTCATACAGCAAAACTTGCATTTATTTTATTTTATTTTATTTTATTTTAGAGATAGGGTCTTGCTCTGGGACCCAGGCTGGAGTGCAGTGGCATAATCACAGCTCAAGGGATCCTCCCACCTCAGCCTCCCAAGTAGCTGGGACTAAAGGCACACACCACCATGCCCAGCTAATTTTTGTATTTTGGGTAGAGATGGGGTTTCGCCATGATGCCTAGACTGCTCTCGAACTCCTGGCCTCAAGCAATTCTCCCACTTTGGCCTCCCAAGGTGCTAGAATTACAGGCGTGAGCTGCCGCATCTGGCTCACATCTTACTATATCATAACATATATCATGCATGCTGTCTTTCACTTGACGCTGTACCGTGAGAATTTTCTCATATCACTAACAATTATTTGAAGATGTGATTTTTAATAATTCTTAGCACAACTAGATTGTGCTAATTAACTGTACGGCTTATTTGCAGTCTGGTATAATGTAGTAGCTAAGAGCGGTCTGAATACCTGCTCAAATCCTGACATTTGCTGCTTCCTAACTGTGTGACGTTGGGCAAGTAACTTCTCTCTATGCCACAATCTTCTCAACTGTGAAATGGACATAATAATAGAAGTGTCCTCGTTAAAGTCATGAAGATGGGTCAATGCTTGTAAAGCAAGGCCTACAGCATAGTAAGGATTCATTTGGTCAATGTTAAGGAAGAGAGATGGCAAGAGGAGCTGCGCAGGGGACTAAACCCCCTAGGCCATTACAGCAGATGCAGTTCAATGTCAAGCAGACCCCTACTGGGTTCACAGCAGCCCATACACCCCAGAAAGGATCTGGACCTCCTTCCCTGCCCAGGGCACTCCTCCCATTCAGCAGTTATTCTATGGCACAAATCATATTATATCATAATGTATGGTGATTATTTAACAATTCTGTGCTGCTAGTCTTTTGGATTGTTTCCAAGATTTCAGTAATGATGCAGGAATTTCATTTGTTATTTTTTTTGTCCTTGTTGCTGATTATTACATAACACTTAAGATATGGAATTACTAGATCAAATGGTATATTTGAGGGTTGTAAGACCCTCAAATTACTTGCCAGAAAAGTTCTGCTACTTGGCTGGCCACCAGCAGGGTTTGAAATTACACTTTACCAATTACCACCTGCATTTTAAAAATCATTGCTAGTTTGGTAACTACTATTAATGCTATCTCACTGTTTCCATTTGCAGTTCTTAGATAACCATTGAGATGGGATATCTTAATTCTTCTCTTACTCAGATTTTCAGTCCAAATTACTTTATCCAGAGCTAAAAAAATAATTTGCAAAAATGCAGTAGGAAATTCTGCCAGAAACGGAAAACTGAGGCAGAGGCCAGAAAGGGACTTGCTTAGTCCAGGAGTATCTCCAGACTATATAGAGGCTCGCTCAATGCTAAGAACATTCTAGAAAAACATTAAGTTTCAGACCTGGCATGGTGGCTCACGCCTGTAATCCCAGCACTTTGGGAGGCCAAGGCAGGTGGATCACCTGAGGTCAGGAGTTCAAGACCAGCCTGGCCAACATGGAGAAACCCCGTCTCTACTAAAAATATAAAAATTAGCCAGGCGTGGTGGCAGGTGCCTGTAATCCCAGCTACTTGGGAGGCTGAGGCAGGAGAATCGCTTGAACCCGGGAGGTGGAGGTTGCATTGGGCCAAGATCGCACCACAGCACTCCAGCCTGGGCGACAGAGCAAGACTGTCAAAAAAAAAAAAAAGAAGGAAAGAAAGAAAGAAAGAAGGAAGGAAGGAAAGAAAGAAAAGAAGGAAGGAGAAGAGAAAAGAAGAGAAGAGAAAAGAAAAACATTAAGTTTCTTCCAATAATCCCCTGCACAGAGCTCTAGGACAGCAGAAACCCCCGGCACAGTAGGATTTTCTGTCTAATGTGCTTTCTTTATCCCCCACGGAGCTTTGCTCCCCACCGTCTCTGTCTCTAAAATGCCCCCCAGTGGCCTTTATTTTACATCTAAGTGATGGTATTACAATAGAAATTGACCTGAAGGGGAAAAAACTTGGACTCAGCACCAGTTTCCTCCCATGGACAGAGCCTCCGAAACTGACCCTTCCCAATTCTTTTGCCAAGCCCCCAGGAGAGGCTGTCCGTCGCACTTTGAAAGGCAGCATGCAGCCACACCATTCACTTCACTTAGACGCTTTCTATTTCCTGAGATTTTAAGCAGCTGTGACTTAAAAACACTCATAGGTGACAGCAGCATATTGCCCAAGTCCCCAGCTAGACACAATCTGCCACAGAATGTGACCACACCGGGAACACCTCTCCCCAGGCCCCAGGCTATTCCAGAAGGGTGAGTGGTGATATTGCTACCACCCTATCATTGCAACAAGTAGAAACTGAAATTAAGAACTAATGGCTTTGGGGCAAATTAAAAATGCAGAAGTCAGAGGCACTGTTTCCCAGAGAGGCCCACTCTTCCCTCTGAAGTACAGAAAAAAACGGTAAATACTAACCAGCTGCCATCTCACTGAATACCCACAGCCACACCATAAGGGAGATGGTAGCACTCCCATTTTACTGATAGGACACTACATCGGTCAGGGACCAGCCAGAAAACAGAACCACTCCAACAGAGGAAATTTAATAAAGAGGATGGGTCATATCAGAGACGGAAAAATCCAGAATCCAAACAGGGGACAATGAAGCGACCCAGAGATGAGCAACAGTGAGAAGCCACTGCAACTCAAGGGCTGAGAATCAAAGGAAGAGCCGTGGGCAGGCCCTGGGGAGCTGCTTCCACCGAGGAAGGAGCCAGTCAGTGGGAGCGGGGAAAACAGAGGAGACGCACCACAGCTGAAGACGTCACCACTGCCCCTGAGATGCCACTGAGGCAGGAGGGGTAATGGGGATACTGTGCTTCTCCCCTCTCCCCATCCTCCCTTTCTCTACCAGGCCCCCAACTGCCTGACCCTACAGGAAGCCAGGGACAGGGGAGCCTGGAAAATGTGGTGCCTGACATGCAGACTGGGACTGAGAAGGGCAAGCAATAAATGTGAGAAAAGAGGCCAAAGGCTGGCCCATTGCTCGTGGTCCCATAACTACGGTGTGGCAGGGCCAGGTAGTGAACAAAGTGCACCTGTGTCCACCAACCTGCTGCATGGAGGAAGCCACCAAGGAGATGAGAGGCGGACAAAGCAGCAGATGGCAGGAATAAACAGGAGGAGATGTTACCGTCATGCCTCCCTAACCAGAGAATCATACAAACCACCAAGGGTGGCGCTTGGGTGTGGACCCCGGCTCCCTGACTCATTTGCATCACTTAGTAGGGATGTGCGGGATAGTAAGCTTCTCCAAGGCTGTTTCCCTGTCCACTCATTCAGCACTTACTCAACACTGAACAGGTGGAGAGGCACTGTGAAAAATAATGCTTCAGGGGGTAAGAGAAACTAATCTTCATCCCTTCTCTCCTCTACGTTCCTAACCCACCAGGAACAGACAGGAAGGTAGAGGTGAGAAATCAGTTCTGCATAGGCAAGAAGAGGGCAGGAGAGTGAGCAACCCACACAGCCCAAAGTCCATGCAGCAGACCCGCCCCTGGTCCATATGTTCCAGTCAGTCTTTATTTACAGTCTCTCCAATCAGATAAATCCGTCCTTCCTCCTATGGTGAGGAGCAAGTGAGGACCTCAAGAGAGGAAAAGATACATTCCTGCAAAAACCTTCCCATCCTGGAGGCTGAAGAGGTGAATGCCTTAAGGATATACAAGGAAGGATGTATGTAAAACCCCACACACACAGCAGATGGCCCATGAATGCCACATATCATTAGCACATTCAGGGACCAAGTGCCAATGTGCAATCTCTTTTTGTTTGTTTTTGAGATAGGGTCTGTATTAGTCCGTTTTCACGCTGCTGATTAAGATATACCCAAGACTGGGAAGAAAAAGAGGCTTCATTGGACTTACAGTTTCACATGGCTGGGGAGGCCTCAGAATCATGGCGGGAGGCAAAAGGCACTTCTTACGTGGTGACGGCAAGAGAAAAATGAGAAAGAAACAAAAGCAGAAACCCCTGATAAACCCATCAGATCTCGTGAGACTTATTCACTACCACGAGAATAGCATGGGAAAGACCGGCCCCATGATTCAATTACTTCCCCCTGGTTCCCTTCCATTCCCACAACACATGGTAATTCTGGGAGCCACAATTCAAGTTGACATCTGGGTGGGGACACAGCCAAACCAAATCAGGGTCTCACTCCATGATGGCTGGAGTACAATGGCATGATCACAGCTCACTGCAGCCTCAACCTCCCAGGCTCAAGTGATTCTCCCACCTCAGCCTCCCGAGTAGCTGGGGCTACAGGCATGTGCCACCATGCTGGGCTAATTTTTGTATTTTTTTGTGGAGAGGGGGTGTTACTATGTTGCTCAGGCTGGTCTCTAACTCCTGGGCTCAAGTGATCCACCCACCTAGGCCTCCCATAGTGGCTGGGAGCCACCATGCCCAGCCTTCCAATGTGCAAGCTCAACTCACACTTAGTATGTCCTGCACCCTGTCCATAAGGGATCTCACAGACTTCAGTGCAAATTCTGGCTTCTTTCTACACCGGCTATGTGGTTTGGGAAAATAACTTAAACTCTATGATCCTTAGTTCCCTCACCAGATATGGAACTAATATCTACCTCACTCAGGTGCTTAGTCCAGGTTCCCTAGAAAACAGCGAGAAACGAAAGCTTATGTGCAAATGGAAATCATCAAAGTTAAAAATTATGTTCTTCAAAGGGCACCATCAATAAAGTGAAAAGACAACCCACTGAATGAAAGAAAGGTGTGGCAAATCACTTATCTGATAAGGGAATTGTATCTAGAGTATATAGAGAATCTAAGAATTCAGTAATAAAAGGATATTATTAAAAATTGAGCAAAGGATCTGAACAGACATTTCACCATATGCAAATAGCCAACAAGTACATGAAAAGATGCTCAACATCATCAGCTATGAGGGAAATACAAATCAAAATCACAATGAGATGCCACTCCACACCCACTAGGATGGCTATAATCAAAAAGAGACAACCTATAATCAAGCAATCAGTGCCGATTTTTAAGAAAACCAAAATTAAGATACCAACTGAATTAAAAATTATGTAATACTTGTGGCACTCTGACAAATGAGACCTTGAGGTCCTTACTTGCTCCTCACCATAGGAGGAAGAGGATGGACTTATCTGACTGGAGACATGTAAATCAAGACTGACTGGACTGGACATGTGGAAAAACTAAAACCATCATACACTACCAGTGGAAATGTAAAATGGTGCAGCTGCTTTGGAAAACAGTCTAGTAATTGCTAAAATGGTTGAATATAGAGTCACCAACTGATATTCAATAACTCTACTTGTAGGCATGTACCAAAAGAAATGAAAATATATGTTCACACAAAAGGTGAGTTTTGCAAATGTTCACAGCATCATAACTGACTATGGCCAAAAAGCAGAAACAATTCACATGTCTAACAACTGATGAGTGGACAAATAAAATGTGGCATAACCATACAATGGAATATTATTTGGCAATAAGAACCGAAGTATTGCCACGTGCTGTGTGACATGAACTTTACTTTCCCGTCATACTTCCATATAAAATTAGAAACAGATAATAAGAATAACAACCAATACTTTCTGAGCACTTCTATATGCCAGTCCTTTTGCATGCATTCATTTGTTTAATCCCTGGAGATCATGATAATGTTCCCGTTTCTCATATGACTGAGATATGGAGATGTAAGAAATATTCTCAAGGTTCTACAGCAAGTAAATGGAAGAACTATGTCCAAATTCATGTGACCTGACTCAGGGCCCTTCTATAACTCTATATTGCTTCTAGGTGTAGGTTATACTCACACTGAAAGTTCCAAAGAAAAAGTCACAATTGTTTAATGGAACAGACCACAGCGGGTTCCTCCCCAGTACTCTGGAGGAGCCCCATGGCATGCTGTTCTATTCCTAGAAGCTGTGTACGCTCTCAGCTTCCAGGAACATGCAGGCTGACCTCCAAGCTGGTGACAGCCCATTTGGAAGGGGGCAGAAGCCACAATCTGGAATGTAGCAGGAAATTAGCACCTAGAGGCAAGCTGTCTTCAGGCAAGTTCGGGCTGAGGGAAGCTAAAATTCAATAAGCCAGGCTTCAAATTACATGTATCTGATCAATTCCCTAAGAAATGATTTCAGCTATAAAGCATACCTGTGAGAACAAACAGATTCAAAAACCTGGTAGAGTTTTCCAGATTCTGTTCAAGGATAAAGTTTAGAAGATTCCAACAAAGTACCTAACCTAAGTTAAAGTTGTCTGTACACCATTTCCTCTCCTCTCATGCTTTCATAACCCCACTCGAATATTCCCTACTCCCCATTACTCTACTGAACTGTTTGTCAAGATCGCAAGGACCTCCCCACAGCTGGGTCCAATGGTCAGTTTTTATAGCCCTTATCTTACTTGACTTCTCACAGCATTCAACACTGCTGCTCATTCCCTCCCTTCTTGATACTTTCTTCACTTTATTCCTGGGACACCACATTCTTACTTTTTCTCCTACTTTATTGGTTGTTCTCTTTCAGTGCCCTTTTGTTGATTTTTTTTCTCCCTATTATCAGAGAAATTATCTTCTTCTCTTCTCTTCTCACATATTTAGTGTATTGCCAGTTTCCAATTTATTTCCTCTCTGCTCCAAAGCCACCCTTCATTGACTGTTCTGCAATAATGGAACTGGACTCTGTAAACATTTCTCCTGCATAGCTGATACAATGTTCAGTTTTGCCAACACAGAGTGTTGGAGGAGGGGGCTTCCTTTCCTGGTTCTGGTGTGCTTCCATATGGTTCCTGCCACATGGTTACCATGTACATGTGAGGGACATCCAGCAGCACTTCATGCACCCTGGCAGGGTGCTTCCTGCTTCCCCAGTGGCTGTAGACCAACACAGGCCCAGGGAACCCAACAAACTCTGCTGTCCAGTGCCATAACTTCTCCATGTCCACCTCTCTATGTCCTACTCTATGTCCACCGCCATACCTTCTCCAATGAAGCTCAGGTCCCAGCCTTGGGGAGGGACTTGTCTTCCAAATTTGTTCCTCAAGTGCTGTCCCTCGGCACAAGAATATTCTTCAGAGTTCTCATTAGCCTTTTAGAATTAATCTTTGCTACTCGATAATTCTTTATATTACACTGACCTCATTCACAATACTGCATGGCTTCTGTCTTCTGGACCCTGGCCAACACATTCCCTTAGTGATCTCACCTAGTCTCATAACTTTAACTGCTTAGGACCCCCAGATCTCTCAGGACCCCTAGATCTCTCTCTCTCTCAAACACCAGACTTAATACAACTGCCCACTTAACATCTCCACTGGGGTATTAATAGAGTAAACCTCTATGTCCAAAACAACACTCCAGATACTCCCAATACTTGCTCTATCCACAGCCTTCTCTATCACACTTGCTAACTTAATCCATTTGCTCACGTGAAAAACTTTGGGAGACATCACTGACTCTTTTCTCTCTTACCGTCACATTAAATCCACCAGGAAATCCTCTTGAATCTGTCTTCAAAATATCCACCATTTCCCAATTCTCCTCTCACGACCTCCACTGCTACCACCCTAACCACTGTCATTTCTTGCCTGGATTCTTGCAAAAACCTCAGTACTATCCTCAACACAACAGCCAGAGCAATCTTTTAAAATATATCATGCCACTCTTTCGCTCAAAATCCTTGCGGTAGTTCCCAAAATCCAAAACCAAATCCTTAAAATGCCCAACACCCCCTTACATTTGCTATTCCCAAACTGTGCACCAAGGCACTCCAAGGCAGCATTCACAGGGACTCTACAGGGTACTTTCCATGTTCTAGGTCATAGAGCAATATCAGTCATATTACTACTATAAAATTGTTAGAACCCAACCACTTGTAAATCCAAATCATTAGTTAGTTTCTTTGATGTAGGGGCATTGTAAAAAATTACTGAGACACTAAGGGCACTGTGGGCCTAGAAAATTGGGGGACCCCTACCCTACACAATCATCTGTCTGATCTTATCTCCTGAAACTGCCCCTCTGTTTGCTCCATTCTCTGCCCCAGCCAACCCAGCCTCCCTGTGTTCCTCACCCCACCTGGTACACTACTGCCTCAGGCTCTTTGCAATGACTGGTTCCTCTGTCTTAAAATGTCCTTACCTCAGATGCCCTTGGCTGCCTTCTACACTTTCTTTCAGATGTGTTCAAACGTCACTTCCTCACGAGATATTCCATCACTGCCTGTATTAGTGTGGGCTGCCATAACAAAACACCACAGAGTGGGTGGCTTAACATCACACATTTATTTTCTCTGTTCTGGAGGCTGAAAGTCCAAGACTGAGGCTCCAGTCAATTCCATCTCTTGTGAGGGCTCTCTTCTCAGCTTGTGGACGGCAGCCTCCTTGCTGTGTCCTCACACAGACTTTCCTCAGTGCATGCGTGTGGGAAGAAAGTGAGAGGGAGAACTCTGGTGTCTGTCCTCATAAGAACACTAATCCTGTTGAATCAGTGCCCATCCTCACGAACCCATTTCATCTTAGTTACTTCCTTAGAGGCCCCATCTCCAAATACAGCCACATTAGAGTGAGGTCTTGAACATACAAATTTGGGGGAGACACCCACATTCAGTTCATAACACTACCATTTCTGAAATTGCAATCCCAATCTCCCCAACACTCCTTCACCCCCTTACCTTGCTCTCTTCCCCCCACAGTTCACCTTTCTCGTACTCTCCAATGAATTCATATTATGAATTCTATTGTTTATTATCTGTCACCCTCTCCCCCATCTAGAATAAAACTCAATGATTAAGGGTAGGAGTCTTTGTCTACTTGTTCTTTATGTGTCCCAGGCATCTAGGTTAGTGCCTTGTACACAGTTGGTACTCAAGATTAGCTGTTGAATGAATGAAGGAGAAAAAACATCTCCTTCCTGGCCCCTTTTCCCTTTTCATTCTCTTTGCACATCACCAGGGAAGGAAAAGAAACACACCTCAATAATCAATTAGTTTGAGGAGAGCTGGTAGTCTTCATTCCATTTAGAAACCAGATCTGGTATTCAATAATTAAAAATAATTAATAATTAATAAGCAGCCCAAATTTCCACCAACGGATGAGTAGGTAAACACCAGATTAAAAGACTTCCAAGCAGTCCATGATTCTAGCATACTCATCTATGACTGCTGGATATGAGATGTGATTTGATTAAAGAGACAGGCCAGGCACGGTGACTCACGCCTGTGAATCCCAGCACTTTGGGAGGCCGAGGCAGGCGGATCACGAGGTCAAGAGATTGAGACCATCCTGGCCAAAGTGGTGAAACCCCGTCTCTACTAAAAATATAAAAATTAGCTGGGTGTAGTGGTGCACGCCTGTAGTCCCAGCTACTCGGGAGGCTGAGGCAGAAGAATCGCTTGAACCAGGCAGGCGGAGGTTGCAGTGAGCCGACGTCATGCCACCGCACTCCAGCCTGGGTGACAGAGCGAGACTCTGTCTCAAAATAAAAAGGCAACACGATAAATGAAGTGCATTTATTAGGATAATCAACAGTTACCAGGTCCGGTTCTAAACGGAATGAAAACTACCAGCTCTCCTGAAACTAACTGTACCCTCGTTAAGTCTCTTAGTGTGTGGAACTGTTTCTTCATCTGAAAA
Source organism: Homo sapiens (assembly GCF_000001405.40). Lineage (NCBI taxonomy): Eukaryota > Metazoa > Chordata > Mammalia > Primates > Hominidae > Homo > Homo sapiens. The sequence goes on from NC_000004.12 coordinate 17,484,403, forward strand.
TTGAAAACAACAAGACATGCAAGGTACAGCATGAGGTAATGTGCTCAGGGTGCTTTCAACAGCTAGACTTGTATACTAGTTCCAGCTGCGCAGCTCTCTAGCTAGGTGACTTTGAACAAGCAGTCCAACCTTCTGAGCTCCCATTTTCTTTCCTGTAATAGTTGGATAAAATCACCTCGTAGTGGCAAGAATCAAGAGACTTCTCAAAAGTTAAACATAGAGGCCAGGCGCAGTGGCTCACAGCTGTAATTCTAAGCACTTTGGGAGGCCGAGGCAGGTGGATCACTTGAGGTCTGGAGTTTGAAACCTGCCTGGCCAACATGGTGAAACTCTGTCTCTTCCATCTCTACTAAAAATACAAAAAAAAAAAAAAAAAATAGCCAGGTGTGGTGGTGGACACCTGTAGTCCTAGCTACTCGGGAGGCTGAGGCAGGAGAATCACATGAACCTGGGAGGTAGAGGTTACAGTGTGCTGAGATCGCACCACTGCACTCCAGCCTGGGCAACAGAGCAAGACTCCATCTCAAAAAAAAAAAAAAGATAAACACAAAAATTACCATATGGTCGAACAATCCTGCTCCTAGGTATATATCCAAAATCATTGAAAACAGATACACAAACACTTATACATGAATGTTCACAGCGGCAATGCTCACAACAGCCAAAAGGTGGAAACAGCCCAAATGTCTATCAACAGATCAGTAAACAAAATTGCAGTGGATACATATAATGGAATATTATGCCACAAAAAGAAAGAAAGTACTGATACATGATGCAATGGGGAAGAACATGGAAAACATAAAGCTAGGTAGAAGCAGCCAGATACAAAAGGTCACATACTGATTCCATTTATACAAAATACCCAGAACAGGCCAGGTGCAATGGCTCACGCCTGTAATACCAGCACTTTGGGAAGACAAGGCAGGAGGACTGCTTGAGTCCAGGAGTTTGAGACCAGCCCGGGCAACATAGCAAGACCTGTCTCTACAAAAAACTTTAAAAAATATCTGGGTGTGGCAGCACGTGCCTGTAGTCTCAGCTCCTCGAGAGGCCAAGGTGGGAAGATTGCTTGAGCCCAGGAAATCGAGGCTGCAGTGAGCCATGTTCATGCCACTGTACTTCAGCCTGGGTAAGAGCAAGACTGTCTCAAAAAAATAGTAATACCCAGAATTAATTCACAGAAACAAAATGAAGATTGGTGGTTGCAGGGGTTAGGGAGCAGGAATGGGGAGGAACTGCTTAAAGAGCTCTGGTTTTTCTTTTGGGGTGATGGAAATGTTTGGGAACTAGACAGAGGTGGTGATTATGCACTACTGTAAATGTGCTAAATGCCACTGAACTGCTCACCTACTTAACTTTTAATACTTAAAATTAGCCTTAAAATGGCTAATTTTGGCCGGGTGCAGTGGTTCACACCTGTAATCCCAGCACTTTGGGAGGCCGAGGTGGGCAGATCACAAGGTCAGGAGATCAAGACCATCCTGGCTAACACGGTGAAACCCCGTCTCTACTAAAAATACAAAAAAACTTAGCCGGGTGTGGTGGTGGGCGCCTGTAGTCCCAGCTACTCGGGAGGCTGAGGCAGGAGAATGGTGTGAACCCAGGAGGCGGAGCTTGCAGTGAACCGAGATGGCGCCACTGCACTCCAGCCTGGGCGACAGGGTAAGACTCTGTCTCAAAAAAAAAAAAAAAAAATTATGTGAATTTCACCTCACTAAAAAAAGAAAGAAAATACGTGGTAAAGGCCTTTAAAAACAGCAACTGTCTGGTGACTAGAGATCTGGGCTTAGCTCTGCCAGTTACTGGCAACAAGGTAATGTCTCTCTGGGCCTCAGTTTCCTCATCTGTAAAATGATCGGGTTGGATTAAACCACTACTAGTTCTCAACCAGGACAGCCTACATTGGCCATATGTGGAGAGCTGCTTCTAAATGCACAGGGCCATCCCATCACCCCCAGATTTTGACATGTCCAAGGCAGAATCAGGCCTGTGTTCTTGTGTTGAAATATTTATTTCAGGATTTAAATCCACCCCCTTCTGAGAACATCAGATTAAAAGACCTCCAGCAATCCATGATTCTAGTATACTCATCTCTGACTGCTGTATATAAGATGTGATTTGATTAAAGAAGACAGACAACAAGTGCATTTATTAGGAACAACATTCTGAATACTCACGAGTAGTTATCTTGCACACTTAACCCTAGGCCAGAGGACACGGGGCAACCACACAGGAAAAGGATACCAGGACAGAGTCCATGTAGTTTTGCTTATACCACAAAAGGAGTTAAGGCAGTTTAATTCAAGGATGCGAAAACTACGTCTATGACATAAACATGACATTCAAAAATAACTCAGCCTTTAAAATGTCCCCAATACCAACAAATCAACAAAGTAGTCAAGATGACAGCCACTGTCAAGGACAGATGAACAGTCACAAAAGCGATCCAACATGACACCGCTATAGCAGGTGCTATGCAGAGCCCTCCCTATGCAGTTAACACAGATCAACGGATGCTATTTGCAGGCCACCAGTCTCGCATGTCTTTACTTCACATAAATGTATTACACTGTCCTAGGAGAGCAAATGCATATTATGTGAGAGAAAAATAGGACTCATTATCTCGTACCACAAACAGGGGTTACAGAAAACACAAGGCTGGACAAGGCCACACTGAGACAGGTTAGTGACTTTTCTGGCAGGCCCCTCATAGGCACTGAGATGAGGCCTAAAAATATGCTGGGGTGAGTTCCGTCCTTCCTTCTGTGGTTACCACCTGGATTAGGCTTCCTGAGCTCGGTCGGTTTTTCCCTGTGATCCAGTCATGGAAAGTTCTGGAACAGAAAATAAAAGTTTTTTTTATATTCTCAAAGCAAAAATCTGGGCACATGCTGACCTTCACAGTGACGGCTTGTGGGGTGGGGGGAAGGGGTGGCACAGCAGCGACTGTTTAAAAGCCACTAAGGGCTGGGCGCCATGGCTCACACCTGTGATCCCAGCACTTTGGGAGGCCGAGGCGGGCAGATCGCTTGAGGTCAGGAGTTCGAGACCAGCCTGGCCAATATGATGAAACCCCATCTCTACTAAAAATACAAAAATTGGCCGTGGTAGCACGTGCCTGTAATCCTAGCTACTCAGGAGGCTGAGGAAGTAGAATCACTTGCACCCGGGAAGCAGAGGTAAGCCGAGGTTGCACCATTGCACTCCAGCCTGGGCATCACAATGAGACTCCGTCTCACAAAAAATAATAAATAAATAAATAAATAAAAGCCACTAAAGGTCAGGCATTATGGCTCACCCCTATGATCCCAGCACTTTGAGATGCCAAGGCGGGCGGATCGCTTGAGCCCAGGTGTTTGAGGCCAGCCTGGACACAATGGCAAGATTCCATCTCCAAAAAATAATAAAAAATTAATAAAAGCCAGTAGGCATGATGGACACATACCCAGGCCCCCAGTGAGTTCAGTGGTGTACTCATTCTAATCTCTGAGTGGCAGGATTTGGCATAAGTTTAACTTTCATTTTGGTATTTTTCTACATTGTTGGAATTCTTTTGTGATTTTAAAAGATTCTAATTTGGCCAGGCGTGGTGGCTCACACCTGTAATCTCAGCAATTTGGGAGGCTGAGGCAGGTGGATCACTTGAGCCCAGGAGTTTTTGAGACCAGCCTGGGCAACTGGGTGAAACCCTACCTCTAAAAAAATACAAAAAATAGCTGGGCATGGCACATGCCTGTAGTCCCAGCTACTCAGGAGGCTGTGGTGGGATGATTGCTTGAGCCCCGGAGATCAAGGCTAGGGTAAGCCATGATCGTGACACTGCACTCCAGCCTGGGTGACCCAGTGAGACCCTGTCTCAAAAAAAAAAAAAATTGTTTTTAAAGATTTTAATTAGTTCATTCAAAGAGAGAGACACATGCACAATACTTTGCTATATTACCTTCTCATAAATTTATGAGAGAAACAGATGCAATTCATTTATTTGGCATTTTTTTAATCAAACATTTATAGAGTACCCACAGCTGCACCAAACAATGGAAAAAGAGATAGAAAAAAACAGACTATTACAATAAAATGTTAAATACAGTAACAGGGCCTTTCACAAATCTGAGGAGAGGAGCAACTGACCCCACTTGCAGCAGTCAAAAAGACCCTCTAAGAAGACAGGAATGAAAAAGGGCAAAAGAAATTCACAAGAAACAAGAAGTAGATGATAATTCTTTAACACAAAACATTTACATTTGAGTACATCATCCATTTTGACAATTCACCAGCTGAGACTTCGGACCTTCATTAACTAAAAAGTGCTCAGCATTTCCTTCCTGGGAGACTCCCAGTGCCAATCTGTAACCTTCTGGGCCAGCGCTGATGTGTAAAGGTCCAGTCATTCAGGCCCCTACTCTGGGGTTTGAACAAGCTCATATGAGCACATGGGCTCAAAAAACAAAGCGTTGCTAAAACTCTCTAAAGTACTGTCATGTCATGGCCTCATCTCTGGGGACAGGGTAGGGCTTGGTGAGGGAAGGCTCTGAAAGAGACCAGTGCCGTTTGGTTGTGTAGGGTTTTGTGTGTTGGTTACACATGTTTTTTTGTTGTTTTGTTTTTTTATACTTTAAGATCTAGGCTACATGTGCACAGCGTGCAGGTTTGCTACACAGGTATGCATGTGCCATGTTGGTTTGCTGCGATGCATGTTTTAAATGGTTTTACTTCTTCACCCTCATCTGCAGCGTGGATAGGTGAGTGAGAACGCCATTCTAACCAGGGATGGTAGAGGAAGGATGTGCTCACAGACATCTCAAAGCAAACTTTATGCCAGCTTTTCTGAGAGTTTTCAAATACCACAAATGGGTGGATGTGATCTCTAGAACAAAAGGGGGCCTGTGACAGCCCGTCCTCTGTGGGTCTGTGGCTCAGCACGAGTTCAGACACAAGATCCCAGATGTTCCATCTAGAGTAGGTCTTAGATCAGTATCTCAAGTGTGGTGGGAGTGTCGGCCTTTAAAAAGAAATTCAAACACAAACACAATTCAAAGCTTGATTTCCTCTACAACTTCAATTTTTTTCCTGCAAATCAAGCATGAAGCATGATTCCTGGCATAGACAGAAATAACTGTCAGCACACCAGTTAAGACCATAGGTTCTGCAGCCACACCACTTGTGTCAGATCCCGGCTGTGCTGTGTGACCTTAGGCGAGTGACTTAGCCCCTGCCATCCCTCCAAGTCTCTAAGCCTTAAATAAAAATGACAGCTCCTCCCTCAGAGTTTGCTATGAGCATTAAATAAGAGTTATGAAGTGCTTAGAATGGTGACTGGGACATAAAAAGTGTTCTGTAAGTACACATTTCAAACATAAAACGCAAGTCCCAAATTTCTCCCGATTTAATTTAAATGAGATTGTGACATCAGGCCAGAAGCACACTGCTAACTTCACAAACATCTCTTATAAACAGTCGTCAAAGCAGTTTACACAGAGGCACTACTGGGTCAGGCTGTCACCTTGACCCTCTCGGCACCCCTGCTCCCTGTGGGCAGGGATCCCATCTTTGTCCTCACCGTGACCCCAGAGCCGAGGGCAGCACCTGGCCCATAGTGGGTGCTCGATGAACACATGCTTACTAACTAGAGGGGCTTGAGGAACTGATACCTAAACAAACACAAAAGAGGAATTCAGCTCTCTGTCCCATGAGCGTTCAAATGCCACCCATATTCACAAATGGGCAAAAAGGATTTCGGAAATTAAAGGGCACTTTCTGTGGGTCTGTGGCTTGACACAGATTCAGATATGTGCCCCCAGGCCATCTACGTGGTGTCCCCCTCCCCCATGGAGTCTCCTCATCACAGCAGTAAGGACACAAACTGCAGCTGGGGATCACTGAGCACTTGTTATGGCCAGACACTGTGTTGAGTGCTTGCCGCACACTATCACGTTTAATCCTAACAAGCATGATGGACCTCATGATACAGGTGGGGAAACTGAGGCCTCAGCAGGTCAATAATGTGCTCAGCATGGCCGGTGGTGAGGGAGCGAGCCAGGATTCATGTCGGCACTACCCATTCTGCCACTGTGCTGCCTGTCTCCAAGTCCAGCTACTCTGAGATTCCGTCTGATGTGCAATGCATCCTCAGAGTCCCAGAGACCTCCCAAGACCACCCGGATTGACGATCTCAGGGAACACAGACTTGTCCTCTGGACCACAGCAGGCAGAGAATAGGGGCTGGAAGCTGCTCAGTCATGGACATGTCTGTAATACTCACTCAACTAGGAATTCTAAGGGTGTCCAGGAGCTGAAGTCAGCCTCAGGCATTGATTTCCTGTTCATCGGGGTATCCAGGGTAACCCTGCAATGGACACAGATAAGCACGTCATTCATGTCGCTCCTTTCTAACAACAGGTGCCCAGTCCCCCTTGGCCAGGAAAACGCAAACATACAGCAGGACAACCTAGAGCCTCTGGCACTGAGGGTGCTATTTACATGGAAAGATCAGACAGAAAGATAAGCAGAGAGAGAGCAGGAAGCTGTCCCCGCTAGCAAAGGCCAGATCTGAGCATAATTCAATAAGGTGCGCTGTGGCTCACCACTTAGGCAGATAAGAACAAAACAGAAGGAGCCACATTTTGCCTTTTTAAAAAAGAGTCTTCACTGAATTAAACTGCTTTGTTGCTGTGTCTTTATTCACTCCCTAACATGCAGCACACTCATTTCTAAGGATTTAAGATAGTTATATGCCTTTAAATATGAGAATACTAAAATACTAAAATTTTAAATATGTGGCTATTTTCCACAAAACCTTAAGATTTTTGGCAGAATAATATAGAATTCAGATATGCATGAATCTCCCAAGAACATCAAGGCCTCAGGAATCATTCGAATCATTCAAAACAGCTGTGGGAATCATGTCACAGAATCACAGAACCTCACAACTAAAAGGGAACCAGAAAGTCAATCAGTGCAGTCCCTACAGTCTCAGCATCCCTTTATAGGACCACAGGCAAGAGGCAAGCCTGCTGGTGCTGGAAGCCTTCCAGCGAGAAGGAGTAGCCTCCCTCCAAAGCAGCTGCCTCTGCCTGGGACAGCTGATGGGGGACAGTCCCCCGATGACCAACAGAAACACCTCCAACAGTTTCCCATATTCTCTCTCTCTCACACATACATACCCCATATAATGACTTGAAAGACAGAACTACATATAAAAAAGTAAAATGTGTAGTCTAATTTTAAAGGAAGAAATGAAGGGAGAAAAGAAAGGGAGAGGAAAAAAAGAGGCAAAAAAGACAGACCCATCCAACCAGCCAATCAAACATTCTGGACAGCCCAGGAGAACCCAAAACTGGAAGTATTGCTATGGTCTGAATGTATCCCCCTCAAACTCACATACAAAACACAAACTGCAACATAATAGTATTAAGAGGTGGGGTCTGCAGGAGACAAGTGGGGGCCTTTAGGAGGGGATTAGCATGCTTATAAAGGAAGCTGGAGGGAGCCCATTTGCCCCTTCCACCGTGTGAGCACATATAGAAGGCGCCATCTATGAGGAATGAGCCCTCGCCAGGCACCAAATCTGCTGGTGCCTTCATCTTGGACTTCCCAGCCTCCAGAACTGTGAGCAATACATTTCTGCTGTTTATAAATCACCCAGTCTAAGGTATTTTGTTAGAGCAATTCAAACAGATTAAGATAATAAGTATCTTAAGAGACTTTGGTGTGTTTCAGAACCAGAGGTGAGAGCACACCCAGGTCGCCTGTGGAAAGCTACAGTCAGACAAACGGTCACCTGCAGCAGTGGGGCAGAGGTGGGCAGCAGCCAGGGAACCCCAAGCACTTACGGGAGCACAGCGATGGCGGCTGCCCCGGGCGGCATGCCGCTGTTCTTCCCAGCCAGGCTCTGGCAGAGCTGGTGAACAGCACCCTTGGCCATGCCGTACCCGATCATACCTGGGAAATGGGGAGAAGATGGCTCAGTGACCACTGGCGGCCAGGGGGACAGCAAGGACATGCAATCTTCTCTTGAGATCTCTATTCCCTAAAAACTTTATAAATAGCTGCATCTGGCCTCCTCCTTCAGGTCAGACGCCCTCACCAACCCCCATCAAAAAATGGCAGAGAGCCACGAGAAAGAGGGGATGGGAACACGTGGGTTGGGAATTATGGCCTCTGGCCAGTTTCCAAGAACACACAGGCTTCACACAGGCCACCGGTGCATCCAAGCTGCAGCATTCCAGGGTCCAGAAGAGGCCAGGAAGAAAAGATAAATGAACATTTATGGAGAGAAAAGTGGAGGAGACATGACATTTCAGGTGTACTTACTATTCATCTAACACTTAACATTTATTACAAAAGCCAGAAGGTTGATCTTATTTTTATTCTTAGGAAACCAAGACTCAAGACAGGTTGAGTACATGCCAGGCTCACACACAGACTTGTGCCAAAGCTGATGGAGAGGTTAAAGCCCAGGCAAGAAATGGGTTCTGAACCTTTTGATCACTAAATGCTTGTGAGCACCTGGCACACAGAGGTACTCAATGGGACAGCAAAATCAAGCAGTCACTTGGAGTATAGGACTTAAAGTCAAATTACACACATTCAAATCCCAGTTCCTCCACTTACCACTAAATAAATTCTGGGAAAGTTCCCAAAACCTCTCTAATCCTCAGTTGCTGCATCTGTAAAATGGGTTTGAGGTGTTTTCTAACACAGTCAATTCTCTAAGTCTCCAGACACCAACTGGGTGTCTGACAATTCAATTAGAACTCCCAGCTAGGTGTGGTGCCTCGTGCCTTTAATCCCAGCACTTTGGGAGGCTGAGGCAGGAGAATCCCTTGAGCCCAAGAGTTCCAAGACCATCCTGGGCAACGTAGTGGGACCCCATCTCTACAAAAATTAGCCATGCCTGCTGGTACATGCCTGTGGTCCCGGCTACTCGGGAGGCTGAGGTGGGAGGTTCACTTGAGCCTGGGGGAGGTCAAGGCTGCAATTAGCTATGATCACGTCACTGTACTCCCGTCTGATTTAAGGGCTCAGTCTCACAAGACCTACCCTACTTCAGATGGCAGTCACAAGTCCTGGGCCACTTAGACTTCTGACCAACAAGCTTAATCAGGGGTTTGCACAACCCCCTCTTCAGGTGCAATAATTTGCTAGAATGGCTCGAAGAACTCAGGCAAACGCTTTTTTTATAGTTACTGGTTTATTATAAAGGATACAACTCAGGAACAGCCAGGTGGAATGACACAGAGGCAGGGTAGGAGAGGGGGTGGGCATGGAACTTCCACGCCTGCTCCAGCCACGCCACCCTCCCAGTGCCCTCCATGTGTTCAACCCAGATGCTTATCACATCTGTAAGTTTTTATAGAGCTTAATCTCCAGCCCCTGCTTCCTTCCAGGAGGTCGGTAGGTGGAGCTGAAAGTTCTAACCTCCTAATTGCTTGGTCATTCTAAGAAGTAGCTCCATCCTGAGGCTGTCTAGGGGCCCCAACCTACTAATCACCTTATCAGTATAAACTCAGGTGTGATCCAGAGGGGCTCATAACGACACACAGGAATAGAGTACTTAATTGTGAGCATACCCTTAGCACAGGACAGGCACTCAATGAAGGTTTCCCATCAAATCAATAGAAGTAATGTGCCCTGGAACCCGACTACCTGGCTTCGTGTCCAGGCTCTGCTGCTTGCTAGTGACTGACACTGGGAGAGGCTACTAAACCTTGGAATCCTCAGTTTCCCATTTCGTGAAATGGGAATGACAATCCCAAATCCTAAGGATAATACAACAATCAAATAAAATACCATGTACAAGTGTAGCAGACAGGGAGGGTCTCCAAGGACTATAGGAGTTTCATCAGCTTGAACAATCAGCCTGTTTCACAGGCTCCTGCCCTTCAGCCTGGTTTTTCCCACAACTTGCATGGAATGCAGTCACCAAGTCAGGTGAAACCAGCAACTTATAGAGATGATCCCAAGTGGACTTTCCTCATTACCATGCTACAGTCTCCACCCGGGAGGAGCTACAGCTTCATCACCAGAACATGTGACTATGTGCTGGCGTGATGACTCACTGCATCTGTGCCACTGGGACCCCTCCTCCACATGCAATGACACACCCTTTCCCCTCTCCATCACCCCATGAAACCCTCCTGGGAGAGACGCTGCTTTGGAGAATACTTCCAGCATCCTCCTTAATTATGTCAAGTAATAAAACTCCATTGATTGTTTTTTTTCCAGGTTAACAAATCCCCTTTGTACAGTACTGAGCACAGAGGAACACTCAATCCTGGCCATTATTGTCATTCATGACTCTCAGCAGGTCACTGGCAACTCTTTTTCCTCGGACAGCAATAAGGAATTGCAAAAAGGGTCATCAACTTGGAATTCAAAAAGTGCAGCCCTAACTCCTGTTTTTCCAGCCACCAAAAAAAATCACAGGTTCTGTGGGCCTGCTTTTCCATCTGTCAGTGGGAGTGGTAACTCAGATCACAATTTATTCACAAGGCTCTGCTGAGGATGGAAGGAGACTGCATCCAACAAGGGCCTTGGAAACCATGGAGGGCACGCACAGAACCCGATCAGGGCGGAGGGAGCCCAGCCTGGTGTAGGAGGGGCTTTGCTCAGCACCTTGCCAGGGAGATGTTCTCCCAGTGACTGCGGCAGGGAGGGGGTGATGCTTCTCCCACTCTCCCAGCTCATCATTATTCATATTATCATAGATGATTCCTCTCCAGATCAAGCAGTCATCTGCGGCCCATCCGGGGCATTTCCTTCCTTATCAGCAGTGGAAGGACTGTGGCATGACGGGGATGGTGACAACTCTGGCCTTAACACCATCAAACCAACCTGCCATCACTCTGCTGCCTGTAAAGCCAGAGCCTGGAAAGGGGCTGCCAGGGTCTGCCTGCTCCCGGGCATCAAAACCCACTTACCCCACCCCATGTCATGGAGCCTCTTCTATGTGGGAATCCCTAGGCTCAGTGTTAGAAAGACGAAGAAGCACAAGGCAGCTCCCTGGCTCCCAGGAACGGCACAGCACACCAGAAAGAACCCAGAATCTGGACTTCGAGGCCAGGGGTTGGAACCCAGGTGATTCCTCACCACTGTGACTTGGGCGAGCAGCTCTTTCAGCCTCTGGTTCTTCCCTGCTAAATGGGATCCAATGCTAAGCTAAATAGGCTTTCCTGAAAACGACATGAAACGTGACACATCTCATAAACTCGAAAGGGCTCTTTCATTCCCAGAAGAATGTAAGTTCCACAGAGGCAGGGATTTTTATTGTTTTGTTCACCAATGTATCCCAAACCAAAAGGTGGCAATCAATAAATACTTTATTTGGCCAGGTGAGGTAGTTCAGGCTTGTAATCCTAGCACTTTGGGAGGCTGCGGCAAGTGGATCTCTTGAGCCCAGGAGTTTGAAACCAGCCTGGGCAACATGGTGAAACCCTGTCTCCACAAAAAATACAGAAATTAGCCAGGTGTGATGGCGAGCGCCTGTAGTCTCAGCTACCCGGTAGGCTGAGGTGGAAAGACGGCTGGAGCCCCCGGGAGGTCGAGGCTGCAGTGAGCCAAGATCACGCCACTGCACTCCAGCCTGGGTGACAGAGCCAGACCATATCTCCAAAAAAAAGGAAAATAAATAAATAAATAAATAAATAAATACTTTATTCACTGCTTTCAGAAAAGAGCAATAGGTGGGTTTCTCAAAGGAGGATAATGGGGCTTAATCAAATGGTGGCCACTCAAAAACTGTGGGAATGAAAAAACAAACTGGGGCCAGGTGCGGTGGCTCACGCCTGTAATCCCAGCACTTTGGGAGGCCAAGGCAGGTGGATCACCTGAGGTCAGAAGTTCAAGACCAGCCTGACCAACGTGGGGAAACTCCGTCTCTACTAAAAATACAAAGTTAGCTGGGGGTGGTGATGCATGCCTGTAATCCCAGCTGCTCCAGAGGCTGAGGCAGCAGAATTGCTTGAACCAGGAGTCAGACGTTGCGGTGAGCCAAGATTGCGCCATTGCACTCCAGCCTGGGCAATAAGGGCAAAACTGTCTCAAAAAAAAAAAAAAAAAAAAAAAAAAAAAAGAACAAACTGGTAGCTCTGTTCATTAAAACTATGGTAGGTGATTCTCAGTAACTCGTGAGTTTCTCAATATTCCAGACAAACTAACTTTTAAATTATTTAATCTATGATGAAGTGAAAAGAATAAGGCATGGAAAAGCCTCTATCGAGTCATCAAATTATGGTGCTTTTCTTTTTTTTTTTTTGAGACAAGCTTACTCTGTTGCCCAGGCTAGAGTGCAATGGTGCAATCTCAGCTCACTGCATCCTTCACCTCCAGGGCTCAAGCAATCCTCCCACCTCAGCCTCTTTTTTTGTTTGTTTGGAGACAGAGTCTCACTCTGTCACCCAGACTGGAGTGCAGTGGCGCAATCTCGGCTCACTGCAACCACCGCCTCCCAGGTTCAAGCGATTCTCCTGCCTCAGCCTCCTGAGTAGCTGGGATTACAGGTGACTGCCACAACAGCTGGTTATTTTTGTATTTTTTAGTAGAGATGGGGTTTGACCATGTTGGCCAGGCTGGTCTCGAACTCAGGTGAACCACCCGCTGTGGCCTCCCAAAGTGCTGGGATTACAGGCATGAGCCATCGCGCCCTGCCAAATTATGGTGCTTTTTAAAAAGTATGTGAATGTGACATGGGCACACACTAGAATGGGCACAGAATGCTTCCCAAAGGACACCTGAGAAGCCATCACTGTAGTTGGGCCTGGGAGGGAGTGCCATAGAGATCAGCGGTGTGAGTAGGAGAGAGTCTTCCTATTCATTGTGTTTCTTTTAGTGCCATGTGAATTTTTACTACATGCATTGGTTAGTTTTCCAATTTAAAAACTGATTAAATTATTTAAATAAAAACTAATACAGTGCCTTGTCTTTTCCCATAAGCTCTATTTGTCAAAGCAAGTCCTTTTCCAAGACCCTGTTTGAATCAGCTCCCTCAACAAAACCTTTTCAGAGGTGGACTCACCCCCACCAAGAGCACTCCGCTTAGACCGTAATGTAGCCCGGTCTCACACTCACACCACCCGCACCCTTGCTGCCGGAGGAGGCTCTGAATATAATTATATTATCTCTATATAATTATATTATCAGTAATTGCTATAATTACTGATTATAATTATATATTAATTACTGATCAATGTATTACTCAGACCAATCTGCTACTAACTAGCTAGGTTGTCTTAGACAAGGCACCTAAAATCACTGAACTTTTTTTCCTCCATAATCAAGGGAAAATAATAGGACCTACTTTACAGATACCTCTGGTGATGAAATAAGATCAAGCTTAGCCCAACAAGCCAAGCACCCAGAAGACAGATGCCTAAAAATATTTCTTTCTTTTTCGCCAAGTCTGTTGAGGTATAACTGAAACACAATAAACTTAAACACATTTAGGGTGTACCATTTGAGCAAATTTTGACATTGTGTATACCTGCTACCTATTGGTCTTCCTTTCCTCCCACTATTCGATGGATATTTGCTGACAGAAGCAAGGGATGTCTTTTATTAAGGTAGGTTTCCCTCTGCCCCGCAGGCATGTGGCAGGAATGGAGTCTTTCCTCTTTATGTTCCCCCACTGTGCCCAACTGTAGCTGCTCACTAAATGCTGCTATCACAGAATAATGATAGCAAGAAGGAATGATGAGTCACTGTAAACTTCTCCACCTTCTGAAAACCACTATTTCTTCTAGAGGTCATCAGGCTCCCTAAAATCCTCGGCACACACACTGTTTAAGATGTAATTGCTGTGGAGGCATCGCAAGTCCAGCGGGAGGTGGGGGGATGACAGCCCAGCCAAGGGACCAATCACAAAACTGCTTCAACAACTACCTCAAATTGCAAAAGAGGGTCAAGGTCTCAAAGAGCTATTTGGAAGCACAAGAAGAATATTTCGCCATCCTTAGCTTCTCTGTTTAATCAGGGGGCATAACAAACTCTTCAGTGATTAAAATAAACCAGGGCATAAGTGCTCATTAACCCAGCCCTGGTCCTCAAAATCCCAGAGCTCTCTCTTGACTCCATTCGAACAACACAACACAAGAGCAGGGACTCTGACAAAGGAAAGAAACAAGCAAATAGCAACCGTAATGGCTTAATTCTAAAGAATGACCTTTCCTTGGGGACACAAAAGGGGTTATTTGCAAGATATGAAAAAAAAGACATTTCACTAAGAAGGTCAACACTTCCAAATTACTGAATGATCAGTGTGGTCCCCCAAAACTGATTTCCAATCACAGCACAGATCCTTTAATGGTAAACAAAAGTGAACACCATTTTAATACTGTTTGTCCTACAGAAGACAGTCTAGAAATACAAACTTGGAAATAGGAGGGTGAGGTTTTCTCAGTATCCTTCCAAGTGAAAAACTTCTGATGTGCAAACAAATCTTCTTGAGTTTGAGGGACTACTAAGCCTGATTCATCATTTACTTTCAAATTGTAGATCTATTTCCCCAGATTTTTCTGAGGTCTGCAGCATACTTAAAAGATCTCATGACTCAAATTATTAATAGCTTAACAAAATCTAACTTAAGAGGTTAAAGATGAACAAATTCATTAACATCTGAGGCAGAACAGCTGGGCAGAAATAAGCCTGGAGTAAATAATAATAATGGCTCACACTTACTATTGACTCTCTGTAATACCTTTCTCATCCATTTAGATCCATTGAGACATTTACAAGGTACAACCACCATATATATAAAGGAGACACTATTTTATCTTATTTTACAGATGACAAAACGCAGACTCAGAAAGGCGAAGTAACTTGCCGAACGTGTCACAGTAAGTGGCAGAGCCTTAAGAGAAGTCCAACGTGCACAGTTCCAGAGCCTGCAGTCTTAACCACTACCCAAAATGTAATCAAAGGATACCTGCAAACCAAAGGAAAGTAGGAGACTCTTCTGTCATTTAGAAAAATCAGTCTTTTGGTCCTAGGGTTTTGTTTTTTAAAATGTCAAGCTAAGACTCATTTCTCTGTTTACTTTCTACTGCCTCTGTTCCGTGTCATCTTAAATAAAAATCAGATCTCAACCAACCAGACAGCTAACATTTACACAGCTTTAATGATTGCTATAGCCATGGACTTGTAACATCACATGCTCTAAGAAATGGAAGAAGAAAATGAGAGGGAAGGTATTGCTAGTAGTCACAGCCTCACAGTTCAGTGAGTTACATTAAAATTGAGAAGGGGCCTGGCGTAGTGGCTCATGCCAGTAGTCTCAGTGCTCCGGGAGGCCAAGGCAGGAGCATCACCTGAAGCCAGGAATTTGAGACCAGCCTGGGCATCATAGCGAGACCCTGCTTCTACAAAAAATACAAAAATTAGCCAGGCATGGCAGTGTGTGTCTGCAGTCCCAGCTACTCAGGAGGCCGAGGCAAAGGATTGCTTGAGCCCAGGAGTTCCAAGCTACAGTGAGCTAGATCATACCACTACATTCCAGCCTGGGTGAGACCCTGTCTCTAAAAAAATAAACAACTGAGAAGGGTCCCAAGGTCTCTACCACTTACAAGAGAGTCAAAAAGAGCTCCCCCCACCTTTTTTTTTTTTCTTTTGAGAGGGAGTCTTGCTCTGTTGCCCAGGCTGGAGTGCAGTGGCGCGATCTCGGCTCACTGCAAGCTCCACCTCCTGGGTTCACGCCATTCTCCTGCTTCAGCCACCATCACGCCTGGCTAATTTTTTGTATTTTTAGTAGGGACAGGGTTTCATCGTGTTAGCCAGGGTGGTCTCAATCTCCACCTCATGATCCACCCGCCTTGGCCTCCCAAAGTTCTGGGATTACAGGTGTGAGCCACTGCACCCGGCCAAAAGCTCCCATTTTTTTAAAAGAAGAGTTCAACTTAGGTAGTTGAGGTAGACACTTTCTGCCTCCCTATGCTGCCCCTTTCTACCCCTGCTTAAATTCCTTTAGCCCTATCCCACAGGGAGTGTTATGGGCTGAAATAGATCCCCCCAACATTCGTATATTGAAGTCCTAATTCCCAGTACCTCAGAATGGGACTGTATTCGAAGATCTTTAAAGAGGCAACAAAGTTAAAATGAGCCCATTGAGATGGGCCCTAGTCCAATATGCCTGGTTTCCTTAGAAGAGGAGGAAACGAGGACAGACACACAGAGGGAAGACCACATGCAGACAAAAGGAGAAGGCAGCCATCTATAAAAAAAGAGGATTCAGAAGGAGCCAGCCCTGCAGATACCTTGATCTCCAGACTTTTAGCCTCCAGAGTTATGAGAAAATAAATCTCTGTTGTTTAGGCCACCCAGTCTGTGGCTACCCAAACAAACTAATACAGGTCATAAAAAATGCAAAAGAAATGACATAATGGAAAAAATACACAGTTGGTAGATGATTAGGGTTTTGGTTCAAGTAAGTCTGCAACTTACTTCCTGCACAAACCCAGACAAGTTACTTAACTCTCCAAGTTTTAGTTTCCTAACCTGTAAACTGAAAAAGATAATATTGATGAGATTAAAGTGAGAATATATGTGAAATGAAAAGAGTGACTATAAGACCTACCATTTATTGTGAATAACAGTAAGACTTGCCATTTATGGGTGCCTACCATGTGCACTTTCTACATAGCTACACCTCTACAGTTTTACAGTACTCTTCAAGTTAGATGTCACTGTCACTATTTTACAATTAAGGAAACTACAGTAGACATCTGGTCAGAGACTGAAGAACTGGTTCAGGGTCACACATCTAGGATAAAGAATCCACCCCCAACCCTCTCACTCTCTTTTTGTTTTCTAATGTAGAGATAGGGTCTCACTATGTTGCCCAGGCTGGTCTTGAACTCCTGGGCTCAAGCAATCCTCCTGCTTCAGCCTCCCAAAAGTGCTGGGATTACACGTGTGAGCCACTGTGCTGGCCAAATGAACCTCTCTCATTTTAAACTTATGCTATTTCCAGCTGCTAAGCTGCTTCCCTGGAACACATGGATTCAATGTGATAATAATAATCCATGTTTATTAATTAATTAATATCCACTAAACCATTCATTCCAGTGTAGATCACAGATAAATAAACTAAATGGGGGTTACCAGATCATAGCGTTCCTTACCACCACCATAAACATAAGGACAGGCAAACAAAAGATCAGAACTCTTCTCCCTAAAATGATTCAGGCCCAAAAGAAGACAAAATCCATCTATCTGTTAAGCAGCTTAGAGGGTAAAGGCTTTAACAGTCCTCATCCCATGAAAGTGCCCAGCAGCCCCAGCAAGCAAGGTAAGCAACCCCACTCCACAGATAGGGAAATAAAGGCTTACCAGGAGTCCCATCCAGGGCAGCCTTTGCGCCAGCCAAGGTCAGGAGGCCTCCTTCCTTGAGATGCTTGGTAGCCAGATGGCTGGAGATGGTCGATGTCCATATGCTCTGCTTCCACATCAGGTCACAGTTCTTAAAGAGAGCTGAGTGAAAAAAACATGTGGGCTCAGCATTCCCAGGAAAGAAACCAAAAGGTGAGCTCAACTCATGCAGCCCCACACTCAGGGAGGCCCTCCCTCCTGGTCCCCAGGTCCCTATCTACAGCAAGGTCTAACACAAACAGCACAGGGCTCAGTGGTCAGAGACACAGGTTCAAATCCAGGCCATGGGATTGCCTGAGGTTCAGCTTCCTTACCTATACACTGGCAAAATGTTGGCCAATAAATTTTACAAAATAAACCTGGAGTTTACTGATTTGCTGGACTGGCTTTAATTCAAAGATTGTTTTATTTTATGAATGGTATCAGATTTGTAATAAGAACCTATATGTCTACGTCAGGTTTTCTCTGTGATAAAAATCCAAGGGCCTATTACTGTACAGCTATAAAGAGAGCTTTTACTGAGCTACATATTTTATGTCTGAAAGTTTAATGTTAGCTTTAAAGACTCTTCAAAAGAAAGCTAAAATAACAACCATTTTACACTTGTTTTAACTCCCCGGCCTTGCCAGAGACATAAGGAAGAACAAATGGTAACATATGTCACACCACCAACTGGGCAACTCGAAGGGCATGTGGTACCTGGTGATCAAAAAAGGATGTCCTCCTGATATAGGAGGGGTTGGTAGGTGATAAACAAGAAATTGCATTTCCCCACTAAAAAAGACTAGGAAAAAAACCTGATGGATCCACATTTATCATTTCTTGCTCCCAAAACATACAAAAAGGTTATCAAGCTGTTTTGCTAACCTGATCACCTCACAAAGCACCACTCTCACATTGACATGTGGGTCACAGAATGTCAACGTCTTTTTAAATGGCTTTGGCTAATAAATGTAGAAGGGATGACAGAATTAGAAAACTACCATTTTCCAACCCCTGAATAAGTGCTTCAGGCAGAGATTATCAACGAAGGACTAAAACCACTGGGTGAAAAGTATAATACTTGGGAAACAGGACATTCACACACAATACCACAATACCACACATCCCACAGATGACTGACTTACTGCAAACAGAAAAAAAGTACCTTTATAATGGAAGTCTGGCAGTTGCCATCTCAACCAAGCATCAAATTTGGCATCCCTAAGGGTAGGGCAAGCTGCCATGCTGAGCTTCCCAGGTGATGTCATATAAGGTACACACCATCACTCAGGAAGAATTCGCACCACAAGAATGTTTATGCTAAATCTAACTGAGTCTCTAGACCCAAATTCCAGTTCACGGGGAATACCAAGGATAGAGGAACAAGTCAAACAACCCCTTAAAGAAAAGTTCAGACAAGTTCAGAATGTGAGACATGCTATATGAAAACTCCCAAGGACTTGACAAAAAGTCTTATCACAGGGGATTTTTTTAAAAATTCTAGATTTTCTAGATTAAGAGACTAAAAACAACATAATGCAGTACATAAACCTTGAGTGGAATATGTTTAGGGAAAAAGAACTATAATAGACATGGAATAAACTGGGGAAATTTGAATATGGGCTCAATATCATTAATCTTAGATAATCACTGTTAACTTTCTTAGGTACAATGGTACCATAATAATGTAGGACGGGCTTATTCTTTGGAGAAACACGCGGAAATATAGTGAGGTGTAAACTTATTTTCAAACAGTTAACAAAAAACAATGCACAAAGTACACAGGCACAAGAAAACAAGCTCAACTCAAGTACAGCAAATGTTAACAGTTACTGAATCTAGATGGAGCATATAAGGGTGTTCATTGAACTGTTCTTTCAACTTTTCTGGTATGCTTAGAAATGTTCATAATGAAAAGTTGAAAAATGGGCCAGGCGCACTGGCTCACGCCCGTAACCCCAGCACTTTGGGAGGCTGAAGGGGGTGGATCACCTGAGGTCAGGAGTTCAAGACCAGCCTGGGCAACATGGTGAAACCCCGTCTCTACTAAAAATACAAAAAATTAGCTGGGCTTGGTGGTGGGCACCTGTAATATCAGCTACTCGGGAGGCTGAGGCAGGAGAATCGCTTGAACCTGGGAGGCAGAGGTTGCAGTGAGCCGAGATTACACCATTGCACTCCAGCCTGGTGACAGAGCAAGACTCTGTCTTAAGAAAAAGGGTAGGGGAGTAGAGGGGAGGGGAGGGAAGGGAAGGGAAAAGAAAAGATGAAAAAAGGAATCAGCTTTAGTAAAATCTCAAGTTTGACTTCTTCTGACTTTCTAAATGATCTCTGCACTTCCTACACATCCTCCAATGCCTGAATAGCACATGGCCTGGGGCACAGGCCATGCTGATTTCATTCTGCCTCTACTTTAAACTCAAACTCAATGCCCCCCGTCCCCTCACGTCCTCCAGGGGAAGCTTCTTCTTTATCCGTAAAATGGATTAAGAGCATTAATCACTCTCTCCCCGAGCAACTGTAAAGATTCCGGGATATACACAAAAAAACAGCTGGCCTGTCACCTAGTGCAAACCCAATCCTTGTCAGCTGGAAAAAGAGCAGAGCAGAACAAATGAGTGACTCAGGAAAGGACTCACACTTGGATTTGGCATTGCCCCCGGCCCATCCTCCAGCAACGCAAAGAATTGCATCCACCTTCTCTTCACCCAAGAGCTTTCCAACCTCAGCAGTCACCTTCAACACAAGAACAAAAAAATGTATAAACTGTAAGGTAAGCCAACACAGGCTAGCATCTTTACGGATACTCAGTTTCTTTTTCTCTTCTTTTTAAGCCAGTTTACAGTACCTGGCAATTAATGCTTTGAGAATTAGACGGAAGACTAAGCTCTGATGAGCATTTTAGACATTGAAGCCCAAGTACACTTCAGTGTGATTTTTAAAAAACAATCTAGAGTCTCTGTGTATACATTCTGAAAGGTAGAGACATGAGCATCCCTTGAAATACAACAATTAATAAATAAAAGTAGGGAAAGGTTAAAAAAAAAAGAAAAAAGCACCTAGAGCTTCACTGCCTGCACATAGTTAACATCCTGGTGTATTTCTTTCCAGACTCTCTTCACAAATCACAGAATTATAATCCAAAAAGAAGATCAACCCTGTTTTCCCCACCCCAATCCAAAAATCCCTTTAACTGCAACTCTGAAAAAAATGCCAACGAAAAATTGTAAGAAAAATCATGAGCCAAGAAAAAATACAGTCAATAGCAATATGTTGGTAATATTAAGTACATGGGGGTTCACTTTAATGATCTCTCTGCTTCTGTTTGTTTGAGATTTTAAAGCATTGAAAATATATGTATGCCCTCTTGTTATAATTTATGAAAAGAACAGTCTGTCAGGACAGGCAATTCTGGCCATCCACCACGACTCTTCCGTATTTCTCTGGAATGGCTGAGATGACAAATCCCAATTGCTTCATTAAGATCAATCTTCTTAAGATTTCTTTTTTTTTTTTTTTTTTTTTTGAGATGGAGTTTCGCTTGTCTCCCAGGCTGGAGTGCGATGGCGCCATCTCGGCTCACTGCAACCTCCACCTCCCCGGTTCAAGCGAATCTCCTGCCTCAGCTTCCTGAGTAGCCGGGATTACAGGCGCCTGCCACCACACCTAGCTAATTTTTGTATTTTTAGTAGAGATGGGGTTTCGCCATGTTGGCCAGGCTTGTCTCGAACTCCTGACCTCAGGTGATTCGCCTGCCTCGGCCTCTCAGAGTGCTGGGACAACAGGACTGAGCTACCACGCCTGGCCCAATCTTCTTAAGATTTAAATCAGGCTGGGCACAGTGGCTCATGCCAGTAGTCCCAGCACTTTGGGAGGCAGAGGCAGAAGGATCACTTGAGCCCAGGAGTTCAAGACCAGCCCGGGCAACATAACAAGACCTCATCTCTACATTTAGTTTTTTTTAAAAAAGACTTAAATCAACACCCTGTGTCTCTCCCAGTAGGAACATTTCAGTTGATTACCTCTTTCCCCAGTTTCATGACAAAACTGAATGTTATGCTGTTTGTTCAGAAATTCTTAAGGTTGGGGGTATGGTGGAGAAGGTACTCCTCTTCCTTTGGTGGAGTAGTAGAAGAAGGAAGAGATTTTCAAAGAAAAGTTTATAAGCACAAACGCATCTCTCAATCTCTGTCTTAGAGATGCACTCTACTGCCAAGCCTTGGGTGGGGACAACCTCCACATTCAATCTACAGGGACATTAGAAACCTATAATTAATCAGAGCAGAAGAGACACTGAAGAGACACCAATTACAGAGACCCGCACCTGGCAGGGCTGCTGCTCTCCAAGCCCAGGAACCGCCCTTCCATTTAGTTTTGGCTTTTATTACTTTATTTTTTGTTTGTTTTTTAGAGAAGGTTGGGCTCTGTTGCCCAGATTGGAGTGCAGTGGCATGATCTCGGCTCATTGCAACCTCTGCCTTCCAGCCTCAAGCCACCCTCCCACCTCAGCCTCCCGAGTAGCTGGGACTACAGTTGTGTGCCACCACATTCAGCTAATTTTTGTATTTTTTTGTAGAGATGGGGTTTCGCCATGTTGCACAGGCTGGTCTTAAACTCCTGGGCTCAAGTGATCCTCCTGCCTCAGCCTCCTGAAGTGCTGGGACTACTGGCATGAGCCACTGCACCCAGCCATTTTGGCCTTTATTACTTTATTCACATGAAACTATTTTGCTTTAAGGCAGCTTAGCATAGCAGTTAAGAGAACAGCCGTCAGACCCCCACTGCCCATGTCCAAATAGTGGCTATGCAACCTTTTATCTGTTTGACCTTGGACAAATACCAGGGCCTTTCTGTGCCTCAGTTACCCCCATTTAAAAGGAGGATAAAATTAGAAGCTTTGTTTGGGGATGTAATGAAGACTACACGTGTTAATGAAAATAAAGCACTGAGAATGGTGCCTGGCAACTAACAATGATGCCATGTCAACTTTCACTATTAAATTCACTAAGGTCAATCTGTATGACTTAGGTATGGGAACATTGAGACCACAGTGAGAAAAATAAGAACAACAAAAATGAAGTGCTAAAATAAGTCATCTGGCTTTTACATTCCAATCTATGTCAAACTGACACTTTAGAAAGAGCAAATGAGTAGCAGAGTTGTGCTCACAGTTTTATGTTCAAAATGTATAGATTTATACATGTATATTTTGGAGAGACAGACTGGAAGGAAATATAAATAAATGATTAACTATATGGTAGAACTATAAATGATTTCCCTTTTCTTTTTGCTTATTTGTATTTTCTATATCATACATGCATCACTTCTAAAATTTTAAAAATTTGTTATAAAAACCAGATAAGGATCATAAAACATCAGTATTGAGATTACCAAGGAAAGTGCAACTAAATGAAAAGCAGACCCACGTACAGACCAAGTGGCACCTGAACTTATTAAAGTTCGTATCTGGAGACCTATGATCCTGACTCCACCACTGAGTAGCTTGTTGGCCTTGTCACTTAGTCGCGCAAACTTGTCTTCACAGCTGTAAAATGGCCTGCCTGCCTGCCACACTGAGTGGTTGGGAAAATAAGGCGCTTCACATAGTGATGTGAAGTTATCCTTGGGAATGTGGGCTACAGCACTAAAAACCATTAAACACAGAGTCAGCTGCGCACAGTGGCTACTCAGGAAGTCCCAGCTATTCGGGAGAATGAAGCAGAAGGATCCTTTGAGCCCAGGAGTTCCAGTCCAGCCTGGGCAACACAGTGAGAACCTGACTCAAAAGTCATCCAGGCAGCTCACCAGAAGGGCTTCTCAAGAAAGTTAAGCACTGCTTAAGAGCATCAAAGATTTTTCTTTCTTTTTTTTTTTTTTGTTTTGAGACAGAGTCTCACTCTGTCACCCAGGATGGAGTGCAGTGGCACAATCTTGGCTCACTGCAACCTCTGCCTCCCAGGTTCAAGTGATTCTCCTGCCTCAGCCTCCCGAGTAGCTGGGACTACAGGCGTGCACCACCACGCTCAGCTAATTTTTGTATTTTTAGTAGAGACGGGGTTTCACCATGTTGGCCAGGATGGTCTTGATCTCCTGACCTCGTGATCCGCCCATCTCAGCCTTCCAAAGTGCTGGGATTACAGGTGTCAGCCACTGCACCCAGCCTAGAGCATCTAAGATATTTATACCAGGATATCCATCAAACTGTTAATAGTGCATCCTTCTGGGAAATGATACTATGATGGGGAGAAAAGGGACAGTTTCACAGTTTATTTCTATATTTACGTAGTTTTGTTGGACTTTTGTTTTATAATATGCATATCATTTTATAATTAAAAATAACCTGTTTTGTTAGTGTTCCTGCTGTGAACTGGGTAACTCCACTTTTTAGAATGTATCCTAAATAATCAGATATGTGGGCCAGGTGCAGTGGCTCATTCCTATAATCCCATTACTTTGGGAGGCCAAGGTGGGTGGATAACTTGAGGTCAGAAGTTCGAGACCAGCCTGGCCAACATGGCAAAAACCTGTCTCTACTAAAAATACAAAAAAGTTAGCTGGGCATTGGGGTGCATGCCTGTAATCCCAGCTACTCAGGAGACTGAGGCACAAGAATTGTTTGAATCCGGGAGGCAGAGGTGGCAGTGAGCTGAGATTGTGCCACTGCACTCCAGTGTCAACAGTAGAGCAAGACTCTCTTAAAACAAAAAACAATAATAATCAGATATGTAGACAAAGACGTTCATCACAACATTCTTGACAATAGTAAAACAAAAATCCTGCAAAAAACTCAAATGTACAATAAACAAACTAAATAAATTGTGGCCATTCCATAAAATGGAATATCACACATCTACAAAGAGGTTTTTTCAGTAATCTGGAGAATTATTTAAGTATAAAAAAAAAAAAAAACAAAGCTTACCATAAACTATAAAATACAAAATTACCTAAACTTGTAAAAGGAGTAACATACAATATGCATAGAAAAAGACAATAGGCCAAAATGTTAACAGTGAACTAACTCAAAATGATTATATAATTTATCTTTGTATCATTTTTCACTTTTTCCAAATTTTCCTCAATGAACACAAATGGCTTTCCTAGTTAGAGAAACAACAGCTTTAAAAAAAAGGAAGAACAGGCCAGGCGCGGTGGCTCATGCCTGTAATCCGAGCACTTTGGGAGGCTAAGGCGGGCGGATCACAAGGTCAGGAGTTCAAGATCAGCCTGGCCAACATGGTGAAACCCCGTCTCTACTGAAAATACAAAAAATTAGCTGGGGGTGGTGGCAGGCACCTGTAATCCCAGCTACTCAGGAGGCTGAGGCAGGAGAATTGCTTCAACCCAGGAGGCAAAGGTTGCAGTGAACGGAGATCATGCCACTGCACTCCAGCCTGGGCGACAGAGCAAGACTCCGTCTCGGGGAAAAAAAGAAATAAAAGGAAGAACATACAGCCAAAGGAAGAACATACAGCCAGTGGTCACCTCTCCCCAGGGTTCCCCTCACAATGTTTGGGGGCCTTTTTGAAACTACCTGGTCAGCCTGCTCAGTGAACGAGTCTGTCATTTTAACAATGATGCTAGCGCTGGCCTCTTCATTCTCCACCACATCAACGCTGGCAACCCACTGGAAGGAGAAAACAGCTTTGGTTAAGAGGCAGTGAGTTGTTATTCCATGAAAGAGTCACACATAGAAATGAGGGGAGTTGGCCAGGTGTAGTGGTTCACGTCTGTAATGCCAGCACTTTGGGAGCCAATGTGGGAGGATCTCTTGAGGCCAAGAGTTTGAGACCAGCCTGGGCAACATAGCAAGACCCAGTCCCTACAAAAAAATTTTAAAATTAGTCAGGTGTGGTGGCACATGCCTGTAGCCCCAGCTACCCGGGAGGTTGAGGCGAGAGGATCACTTGAGCTCAGTGAGCTATGATCGCACCACTGTACTCCGGGCTAGGCAACAGAAGGAGGCCTTATCTCCATTTAAATAAAAGAAAAAGAAAAAGAAAGAAAAATAAAGGAGCAGAGTGGAGACAGGTAAGAGGCTTCAATGAAAACACACCCTATATTGGGCTCCATCCCAGGCCCTCCTACCTCCAAACACTCTACTCCGCCTCCACATTCACCTCTAAAACACAAACCCTGCACTTCTAGAGACATCAAGGGCCAGCAAATTTTCTGTAAAGGGCCAGATCACAATTACCTTAGGCTTTGCTGGCCATATGGTATCTGTTGTTACTCAAATCTGCAATTGTAACAGAACACAGCAATAAATAGGGGGAAAAAATAAGTGCAGCTGTGTTCCAATAAATCTTCAGAGCTGAAATGTGAATTTCATTAATTTTCATATACAACAAAATATAATTCTTCATTTGATTTTCTTTTCAACCACCTGAAAATGTAAAACTATTCTTAACTCTTGGGCTGTACAAAAACAGGTGGCAGACCAGATTCAGCTCACAAAGGATCCCTGTCCTGCAGCAGAGAGGGATGGACTTTAGGATTGGAAATCAGACAGATCAGGTTTGAATCCCAGCTCTGCCAGAGTGGCTTTCTCACTCCGATGCCGGGCAGAGGTTCCCAACAAAAGAGGTTGTTTGTTGATGATTAACAGGGTCAGTGTAAGAATTAAATGAAATGGAAGATGCTAAAGCTCCTGGCACAGGGGATGTTCAGTCCTTACTCAGGGTCTCTTGGTCTGAAGTCCCCAGAGATAATTATCTCTACCTTAAGCTGTAAACACAGCATCTATTCATCAACATTTGTTATATTATTAATTAACTTGTTATCCCATGGGGGATACTGAAACAATGAAAAGTCTCCATCATCCTAGCCCTCCCTAAGATGGCAGGAAGAAGCTCGGAGGGGAAAGACCAAGAGCCAGAGGTAAATCAGCTCTCCAGATTCTGCCAAGACCAAGGTAAACCAAAGTGCCACCACCAGGAGAAAGCACAGCCTTCACCCTCTAACACATGACGCTAACAGGATCTACTGCCTTAAAGATATTGGGGGCATTAAGAGTCTATGGGAACTCTGGTACTGGGAACACAGTGCCTGGCCCTTGGCAGAAGTGCTGCCTCTGTCACCACCATGCATCTCTGAAGACCTGGGAAAGCGCCCTCATCAGTGTCCCCAAGCACTGAGCAGATGGGTGGCAGGAAGGGAGTGGTGTGACTGAATTCTTCAGAAGCATATTCCTGTACCAGATTCTGAGCAACAAGAAAACCTTGGTAAATGTACACTATTTGGGTGATGGTTACACTAAAAGCCCAGACTTCACCACTACACAACATATCCATGTAACTAAACTGTACTTTTGCCCCCTTCATCTATAAAAATTAGATAGTTTTTTTTTAAAGAAAATCCTGAAAGCCTTTTTCTGGTCCCAGGGGAACTCTTGCCCAGGCTGCTGTGCTGCTGCTGCTAACTAAGCTCCCAGAACGCTGCCGCTGGCAGTGTCTCCACCGGGAAATTGCTGAGGCCTGCTGAGCGGCTGAGGTCAAGGGTCTTTGGCCATGTATCAGCTCTGCTCCGACTTGCCGCCTCCTGGAAATTGACACCTGACTATGCAAAGTAGTTGAAATAGTCTTTGCAGAGCAAAGAAGCCGTCAGCGTTTTTCCGTGCTGAGCCTTCAAACTGTCAGATCCAATGGGGCTAAAAGAACAGGGGTGGGTAGTAATAGTAACATTAATAGACAGCATTTAAACAGTTTTTACCAGGCGTCAGGTAATTTATGTGCAACGACACCAATTATCTCATCTAATCGTCCCAACTCTCACTGTCAGAATCTCCGTTGTACAAATGGGGAAACCGAGGTCCTACGGCGTTAGGTAATCAATACGCGGTCTCATGACTAGTAACCGGGACTGGGCTGTCTCATTCTAGAGCCTTCCTTCTACACTCTCTCTCCGTCCTCTCACCCCTGCTCCCGTTCCTCCCCTTTGGAATTCTCTCCCGAGTCACGCCGGACTTTTTGGGTCTGGCGGAGGCCCACGGAGCACCTCCTTGCACAGCAAAGGCCCAGCGCCCTGGGACTGGCGTGCGCACGCACTCGGAAACAGGAATAGACGCGTAGACCTGTGCGCGCACGTGC
Source organism: Homo sapiens (assembly GCF_000001405.40). Lineage (NCBI taxonomy): Eukaryota > Metazoa > Chordata > Mammalia > Primates > Hominidae > Homo > Homo sapiens. Next base: position 17,511,825 of record NC_000004.12, read on the forward strand.
AAGCAACACGAGTCAGGGGGTGCACAGGGGCCCCCACCTTCCTCTAGACTGCCCCCCGCCGGGTTCCACACGAAAGCCCCCGGCCACCCCCGCGGAGACCCAGCAGCCCCAGCCCGCAGCATTACCCAGTTGCGGGCCCGAAAAGCCTGCACGCATCGAGAACCCAGAGCGCCCCTGCCGCCGTACACCAGCACCCGGCGCGCCTCGCCTGCAGCCGCCGCCGCCGCCATCCTGCTCCTGCCAGCCCGGCTCCCGCAGCTCCGAATGCCTCGAGCCGGAGCGCCGCGCCCCGCCCCGGCCGGCCAACCCCGCCAAGAGGGAACGCGCGGCGGCCGCGCCCCGCTCCGCGCCCGCTGCTGCCGCCTAGCGCGCTGCCACGCTCGGGGCGCCCCGCCACCCGGAGGGACTGTAACTTCGGCCAGGCCCTGCCCCTGGGACGGGGACATCGGCGAAGCCCCTCCTCCCACCCGCCAGCAAGTGCTGGGCCTCGGGGCGTGCAGCGAGCCGGGCTAAGGGCGAGGAGGGTGGAGAGCGGGTGTTTTACGAGCATTAATTTGTGAAGTGTAAGCATGTAAAATATAGTATAGTACAATTTTCGACCACTGTTTTGGCAATTTTTTATTTTTAATTGTGCATCAAAATAGAGATTTAAGTATTCCCACCTGCCAAAAAAACAGAAGAGGTCGCTCCGCTCAAGGAGCTGAAAGTCCACCGCCGAGACGAGACAAACCACACTAGGTCTTATTTCTTCTATCTAACCGTAAATTTATACCCATTAATCCAAATGGCCCTTTTACTATATGCCACCCATCGCCAGACACAGATCCTGGCATTTTCTCCCTTGTATATTAGTTATTTCTGCCCATGGCCTGTATCTTTAACACAGAGCCTCTCATCTACAGCACTACTGACATTTTGGGCCAGATAATTATTTGTGACAGGTGCTGCCCTGGGTACTGTAGGATATTTACAGCATCCCTGGCCTGCATATACTAGAAATCAATAGCAAACCCCTACCCCTCACTCATAAGAATCAAAAATATCTCCAGATTTAACAGTTGTCTCCTAGGGGCAAATTCATCACTGATAGAGAACCAGAGCTCTAACACTCTCATAACCTTCTTGATAGCAGAACCCTGTATTACATACATCTTTGTGTCACTTCCCATCCACATATAACCTTGTACACAGCAGACACAGATGTTTGTTCAGTAAACTTGTGCCAGGTAAAGCATGCAGAAATATGTCACTAGAGAAGAGGATGCAGCCAGCAGCACATTTTGTTGTCAGAAGCTTCATTATCAGAAATAGAACTGCTAGGAGGCTGGATGGAGAGGAGAGCACCATCTATTTAGTGCTCCTTATATCCAAGGCACTGCGCTAAGTGATCTGCCTGTGCTATTTCACTTTACTCCACACGATAATCCTATGCAGATTAGAAAGCTGAGGCATGAGAGTCACAGACACTTGTCTGGAAGAGTGGGAATTTGAACACAGGTCTTCAATAGCTAGAGTTCCACTTAACCACACCTTTGTTCAGCAAGACAAAGGCTTGTTGGGAATCAAGTGTTTCCCTTAGAGTTTTTCTGAAAACAATTGCTTAACCCTCAAAACACCAAAAGTTGACACAGGTCCCTCACTGACGGCAGAAATATGACTCAATGATATTTACGCAAGTCCTGACTTGTCAAAGCATGCTTAATGTTAAAATAAGAACGTGAACTAACATTATTGATCACTTAATGTGCCAAGCAGTCTTCTGAGCCTTTTATATGTATTCTGTTATTTTTTACCAGAAAAACATTTGCTGTTTCAAAGTCACTGGGATGAAGATGAGCTGTTGTAATTCAAAGACCTGAATTTCAGCCCCAGCACTGACATCCAGTTTTTCATGAGAGAAATGGCTGAAATCGTGCATCTCCTGTTTACCTTAAAGGGTTGCTGGAGCATCAGAGGTGAGCAAGCATATGGTCAAAGCATTTTGCATTTTGTACATGGTAAAGTGCCACTCATCTGTATATATAGTAAGAGACAGGATCTCACTCTGTTACTCAGAGTGGCATGATCATAGCTCACTACAGCCTTGAGCTCCTGGGCTGGAGCAGTCTTCCAGCCTCAGCCTCCAGTAGCTGGGACTACAAATACACGCCATCAGGCCCAACTATTTTTTTTTTTTATTTTTTGTAGAGATAAGGTCTCACTACATTGCCCAGGCTCAGAAATTCTCATTTTTATTTTCATTGTGGAGTGGCCACTGAAGTGAGCCCCAGTTGCGAGGAAGGAAACTGACATTTCCATTAATGTGTCCCTCTGCTTCCTTGACACTCTCCAAGTGAGATTCCTGGGACCCCTATTGGTTAACAGTGCAACTTCCTGAACCCCCCTTCAGGCTTCTGTGACCAACTAAGAAATTTTACTGCTCCACTTTTGCCCAACTTTGCTCCCCAGAGATATGGATAGAGTGACTGTTGCCAGTCTCACATGATGTTAAGTTGATATTCAGGAATAAGGTAAAAGTCAAAATGTCAAAGTCCACAGTATAAGATAGAAAGGAAAGAATATTTCATTCCTAGTATCTACAGATTAAAAGGAAAGCCTAGATCTTCCACTATTAGAAGAGATGAATACCCCAGCAGTGTGGCTACTATTTGCTAATACACTAGAAAAACACTTTTCTCTCCCATTTCAGATAACGTAGAAGGAGGGACGGGTGAGAGCAATGTTAAGTGTTGGATTCCAGGCTACCCCAACAGCCACAAAGTAATTCTAGTCACAGTTTACCCCCAGCAGATTCACACAGTGAGAAATTCATAAGGCCCTATTTACACATTTCAATATTAAAGCCCCAAGAACCGGGGTCATTTGATGGTATTAATAACAGTCCTAAAGATTCTGACAGCAGTGACATTTCAGAGAAAGAAATGCCAGGGCACCCATGCATCAGCGAGATCGACATTTGATACTGCGCATTGTTGGCAATATTCAAGTGCTAATCATTCTGTTTTTGTTTTCCTTCTAACACATGCATTTTTTGAGATTGGTTTGCGTCTCTTAATCTTCAGAGCTACCTGATTTTGCTTATTACTAACTCCTTTATCATTACGAGGTCCACACCAGGGCTATTTAAATACTTGAAACGAGGAACAGTTAAACAGTCTGCTGAAACATTAGTCTAGGAGGAGATATAAGGTTACTTCCTTCAGTAACACACTCCGCTACATAGTCAGGTGAAGATTGTCTCTGTAGAGGCTTCTGGATGTGGTTGTAGGAAGCATGGACTGTGCAAGCTTGCGCTGAAGGAGGACGAGAGGATGGACCTACAACCTTGAAACAGAGTGTTTGGAAGAGCTGACCTTGGAGCAGAGCATTGCCGAGTATCTGAAAGATGTCAATGACCCTCGCTGCTGCTCGGAGACCTTGGGGATGACCTGCACCCACTAGCATGCCTGGATGGTTCAAAAAGGCGTGGTATGGGCTGGCGTCTTTACTCAGCTTCTCCTCCTTCATCCTGATCATCGTTGCCCTGGTAGTGCCCCACTGGCTGAGTGGGAAAATCCTTTGTCAGACTGGAGTGGATCTGGTCAACGCCACAGACAGAGAGCTGGTCAAGTTCATTGGGGACATTTACTACGGGCTCTTCCGAGGGTGTAAAGTGCGGCAGTGTGGGCTTGGGGGCCGCCAATCCCAATTCACGAGTGAGTATATTGGGAGCATGAAAGCTGATTCTAGGCACTCATTTTTGTTAATGTGTAAGAGTGCTTATGTCTCATTGTGGAATTTGGCTGCTGCCTCAACGTCAGGCATAATGTCAAAGTCCACAGTGAGCCAAGGGTTCTGGATCCACATCAAAAAGATCTTTCCTTCCTTCCTTGCTTCCTTTTCTTTTTCTGTAGAGATGTATAGAAACATTAGAAATAAGGATTTGTGCATTTTTGCAGTTTACCTCTATTAATTATGACTATTAAAATATTGAGAGTTTACACGTGTCAGACATTGTAAGCACCTCACGCCACTTGTCTCCTTAAAGCCTTACAACAAAGTTATACAGAAGGAATTGTTAATGTTCCCATTTTCCAGAGGAGTACACTGAGGCTTGGAGAGGTTACATAACTTACCTGAGGTCACCCAGCCAGGAAACAGTAGAGCCGGACTCCAGACCCATGCCACATGACCACAACAAGTGGGTGGAGGCTGCCTGCAGAACTGAACCTTTGGGAAGCATGATGACCCTTTCCACATCTACTTTTGTAAAAGCTTCATAGTCTGAGAAAATGCAAAGGGGCACTGTGCTTGGGTTCTGGAATCAGACTACCCTGGCTGAAACCCCTACTGGAAAGTTTACTGGTGGGGAGACCTCAAGCAAGGCACTTGCCTGTTCTCTGTGAACGTGAGCGGGCACCGACTTTGGCTGGCATTCAGTGTAGCATCAGAGCTGCCCAGGATGTAAGCAGAGCAGTCTGCACAAACAGGAATCCAAGCTGGACTTAGGAACGGGCTTCTGGAAAGGAAAAAACAAAACAGGCAATATTCTGCAAGCCTTTTGAATCGATGAGATCACTGGTGAAAAGTGTCTGCACAAAACCGTAATTAATCAATACCATGCCAATGTAGGGTGATACAGAATTGTATTCATTCCTTGATTTCTATATTTCAGTATTGTAGTAGTTTATAGAAATCTGGCCAAGGTAAATGTCGTATTAAATTTATAAGGACAAAAAGCTGGAACCGTTGACAAATATAATACAAATTGTCATCATTTAAACACACAAAAATTTACATTTGTTATGTATATTCAAGATCAATATGTCTGGGCATATTTATATTTACCTAGCAATTAGATTAGACCCTGGATATTGAACAAATAGCTCCATCAAAATTATAACATAAAACTTGAAAACACACACACATAAACAAATAAAAAAAAGAAATGCTAAAAGCTAACCATGACAACTACATGGACTACTCGATTCTGAACTAGATGCTTTGCTATAAAGGATGTCTTCGGGACTTTAGGGGTCAAGAAAACTTCCCCTTTGCACTCTGAAGGTTCTCTAAACAATCTACTGACAAAAGGCAGATTAATAGGGAAAATGGCTTACACATTTATTAGCATGCATAGGGGAAAAATCACAGAGTGATTGTCCGCTATCTCAATGGGGTACAGGTGGTTGTATCCTCTTCATCTTAGGGGAAAGAGAGATGGGGAAGTGTGGATGATTTTAGGGGACTAGTAAATTATTTTTAGGGAAATTCAATGGGCTTAAAGAACATACAGTGAGCTGGGACAAAGTCTGTTGAGCCCACAGAGCAGACATTGGTTTGTGACAAAAGTCTGTCCAGCTGTGTTAACAGACTTTAGTCTTTCTTCCTGTGATATGGGTACAATTAATGAACACTCAGGGAAGGGACCAGAGGTCTTTTTCTTTGGTAGGTCTGGATGTAGGCAGGTAAGGGAATGTCAGAGAACAACCTCATCCTGTGCTTATGAGACAGACAAAGAATGGAGAGACACGAGGGAGAGGGGAGGCCAGAGAGACCTTGAGACTTCTTCACAAAGCTTCATATTTTAGGGGTGTTGGTTTCTGAACCCCAACAGGTAAATCGTTGAAACTTGAATGGGGTGAGAAGATTAAACAGCAGTCACATGCCAGCATTAACCTAATGACCAGACCCCTGCCATTCCCAGCTCACAGAAATGTAAACTGCTTCGAGTAGGAAGCTGCAAACAAATGCATATTTTGTTTGAGCCTTGGAGGAACTCAGTAAGTACTTCTTGCCTTCCTCCTTCTTCCTTCTTAGAAGGACACCAATGGGAAACATTCCCCTGGGTTCATCTAACGTGGTCTGGTCTGGAAAGCATCAGAACCCTGTGAGAAGCATAAAGGACATTTTATTCTTGTCCCTGAGTAGGAGCGTATTTGAGAAGGTTTTGTTTCCTGCTGCCCTGGGGTTGTCTCAGAGGAGGGTCTGTAAACATCCATTCGCAGTACCTTGGATGTGATTCTCTTTCAAAGCATTCACGAGGAGCCTGGGGCCAGGTTCCTCCTGTGCTTGGCTGGCTTTACCCCAGTACAGCTCAGGGACACTGATAGTGCCAGTCTAGTCTCCTTTAGATTTACAGCTTTTAATTCTAGCACAGTGTAACCTCGAGGCAGCTACGGGGTATATCAGAGCCTCCCACAACCAGGAGTCTGTTTCTCCTGGGGTCTCTTTCTGCCATTCACTATCCATCTGTAGAAAAAAAAAAAAATAATCCCCACAGTCGCAGATCAGTGTAGATGGGGACGTAAGTGAAAATGCTTTGCAAACTCTGGGATGGGGAGGTTTATTGGGTCTCGTTCACAAACAGCCACTTTTCTCATCACAGAGGCCTCCCCAAAAAATCACCCAGGGGAATAAATTCCCACGCCAATCATGGAGAAAACCAAAGAACTATCCATCGCAAAGATTAAGGTCCTTTTTTTATACCCAGGCCCTATGAAATAAAAACAAGTCAACATGGCTGTTTGGGTGGCTAGAGAAAGAAAAAGACAAACATTACTTTAGCATTGTCCACACATTCAATTGTACTATGGAGTATTTACAGACCAGGCTCTTAAGAAAACAGGGATGAACAAACCAGACAAGTACTTGCCCTAGAAAAGCTTAACATCTGGCCGGGTACAGTGGCTCACGCCTGTAATCCCAGCACTTTGGGAGGCCAAGGCAGGTGGATCACCTGAGATCAGGAGTTTGAGACCAGCCTGGCCAACATGGTGAAACCACGTCTCTACTAAAAATACAAAAATTAGCCGGGCGTGGTGGCAGGTGCCTGTAATCCCAGCTACTCAGGAGGCTGAGGCAGGAGAATCACTTGAACTTGGGAGGTGGAGGTTGCAGTGAGCCAAGATTGTGCCATTGCACTCCAGCCTGGGTGAAAAGAGTGAAAATCCATCTAAAAAAAAAAAAGAGAAAGGAAAAAGAAAGAAAAATTTACCATCTGATAAAGGAGAGGCAGATAAATATATACTAGGCACAGAACACAGTATCTGAAGCCATTGCCTTGTAGTTCATTTCCTTCCATTTTTACTATGCTAGAGAAGAGATTTTATTACGCCCATTTTACTGATGAGGAAATTAGAGACCAGAGAAATCGATACATAAAATAATTTCTTTAAAAGCACCTAATGTAATAGATTGCTTTGCAGCTTTTAGTTCTCTGGTTCCTCTCTACTTCCTGCCTCACAGGTATTCCACTAGTGGCCAGGACCTGGGTTTGACTTCAGATGTCCTGCTTTTCTTATTTGCCCTGCTGGGGCGAAAAGGACTGCCAGACCTCTCTGGGATTCGGAGCAAACAAATTATCTTAGATGCTGATAGATGCTGATAGATGCATCATATGCTGATAGATGCTGATAGATGCATCATATGCTGATAGAATGATGCTGATAGAATGATTAATCAATTCTGCTTTCAAGTGAGTTGCCTCTAATGTGTAGGAAACAACTATATCTATTCAAATTCAAAATGAGACCTCCAGGATTCAAAAGACTCTATGTTTAGAATTTTAAACCTCTACTTATCTGTGCTTTCTGATTTTTCTGCTCTAGCCCTGTAATAGAGTAGTTAAGCTGACACTTTTCTTGCTGTGGGAGCGTAGCTAAGCTATTTCACTTCTCCGAGCCTCAGTTTCCTCATTTGTAAGCATGAGAGAGGGTGTCCATGAGCAACAGAACAAAGAATATGTATAAAGCCACCGGCACATAGTCTGCACCCCATATAGGTGGCTGTTGTCATTTATCACCATGAATCGTGTTGTCATTTATCACCATGAGTCGTGTGTAGGGTCATGGATTTCAAGCTAGAAACTTAAATTTAATTCCTAGTGGGAGACATCTAAAACTCTTGGAACCTGGATTTCAAATGTGAAAGGCAAGTGAGCAACAGCTTTCCTAGGGCAGCACTGGGTGTCAGGCTAAGGCAGAGTCACCTCTCAGTGAGAAAGTAGAAAGAACTGGTGCATTAACACTCCTGAGAAATGATTTGAATTTCTACTTTTTTCTTCTTTTTTAAAAAATAATTTAATTTAGAGACAGAGCCTTGCTATGTTGCCCAGACTTATCTCCAACTCCTAGCCTCAAGCAATCCCCCCATAATGGCTCCCAGAAGTGCTGGGATTACAGGCATGAGCCACTGCCCCAGCCTCGAATTTCTAAATAATGACATATATTAAAAAATAATAAAATCTCTATTAAACATGAGGTCCTGAGCCCTGTGTTATGGCCCAAGAATGTGGGGGTTGAGTGAGATTTGCCCTTTGCCAATAAGTATTTTTTAATTATAGTTAATGCACTTCCTACTATGAAGGCCGAGGACTGGGCACTCTTTACCACCCTCTCCACATCACTCCACATTCCCCAAATTCCCTCTCCCCCGTCATCCTAATATGATTATTTCTCAATTTTTAAAAATCAAATCTGGATATGGTTTCAATCATTATGTGGATATAATTCTTTCTTTTTAAAAGATGAATTATATACATTATGGACATTATGGATACTTTATTAAATCAGTCTATTCACATACTGTTTTTTCTCCAATCTTTTGCTATTGTAATGAATATCCAATATTTGATCCACGCTTTGAGCACATGTGGGAGTGCTTCTGGAAAATAAATTCCTAGAAGTGAATTTGCTTTAGTAGATGTTGCCAAATTGCCCTCTAACAAGGTTACATGAATTAATATTTCTATGAGACTTGAGAGTGCCTCTTCCTTACACCATTGTCAACACGGTGTTTTAGCAAACATTTTGATCTTTACCATTCACATAGGTGACTGTTTTCTATTGTAAGAGTTTTGGTAAGCATTACTATGTTAGTCGTGTGTCCTAAGGATTGCCTGGTTAAGAAAGGGGATAATGAAACAATTTAAAAATCAGGCACAAGCGGCAGGGTCTGGTGGCTCATGCCTGTAATCCCAGCACGGGCAGATCACTTGAGGCCAGGAGTTTGAGACCAGCCTGGTCAACATGGTGAAACCCCCGTCCCTGCTAAAAATGCAAAAATTAGCCAGGCATGGAGGCGGGTGCCTGTAATCCCAGCTATTGGAAAGGCTGAGGCATGAGAATTGCTTGAATCAGAGAGAAGGAGGTTGCACCAAGCCGAGATGGTGCCACTGCACTCCAGCCTGGGTGACAGAACAAGATTCTGTCTTTAAAAATAAAAATAAATAAATATCAGCACAAGCTACTGTGTCTGAAACAAAAAGGGGCTGAGAGTTTGAAAAGAGAAAAAAAAAATCTAAGGGACATTAAGATGGGATAGAAGCACAGGGAAGAAAGACGCTTTACAAAGACAAACTCACTGGAAAGGAGCTCATCTTCCAGGGTAAAGTTTCCAATGCTGATTAGATAACCATAGGGAGATAAAAATAAATGGAAATTCAGAACTGGAAAGAAACATCAGAACGCACAATGTAAACGTGGAGTGCCTGAAAATGTGTCACCTAACGGGACACCTAACGGGAAAAACAAAAACTCTAGTTCTCAGGACTGGGAGACGCCAACCTTCAGTGACTAAGAGAGGCAGGTGAACCAGCAAAGGAACTAGTTCCATCAGGGTGGGTATTCAGCAGGAACCTTGGAGCAATTGCAGAGGAATGAGTATGCTCAGAAGTTCTGTAGCTTTCATAATGTTCAATTCTTCATGTAAAACTACTAAAGATCATGACTTGACACTGTTGATACCATACAGTTGTGAACAACAGTTCTCAGAAAAGGAATTTGGAGTAAAGAATTTATTCCAGTTAACGGTTTGCAAACCAGGGAAACACAGCCTCCGGTGTAAAAGGAAGGTGTATTCCAGAGAAGAAAGGGAAGGCTCAGATTTTATAGCAAAAGTTCCCACCCAGGTTTCCAGTCAGGTCTGTTTGGGTAAATAAAGGATTCAAATTCACTTAGTTCTGATTGGTGGATACAGCTGAACCCTGATTAGCTGGTACAGCTGAGCCCCGATTGGTCATTACAGCTGAGCCCTGATTGGCTGAGGCAGATCTCAAAGATAAAAAGGTGTGGGTTTTCAAGGAACTCAGAAGATGCGTGTGACCCCCTAGTCAGTAAATGGCCACTTGGCCCTACTTTAAATTTAGAGCCAGTTAACCACTCAGGACCCATCTTGAAGGACGGGCTCTTTCAGGGTCACATTTGTTCTCATAGTATATTGAACTATAATCTTATATAGAATTAAGAGTTGCCTTCCCCAAACACAAGCAATTAATGTCTCCAAGCCTGTGGGTATAAGGAGTTTATAAAATCTACCTCATGTCTTTGTCATGCACATTGAACAAGATGACGATGTAAAATGTTTGGCCCATGACTGCACTTAGTAAATGTTGATTATCCTCAATTCATATGCAGGGATTACTATCCCCATTGTACTGATGAAGAAATTGAGGCTTGAGAAGTCACATGACTTTCCCAAGACTGTCAAAATATAACAGCAATAACCACAGCTGCCATTTTTGAGAACTGACTTTCCCAGGCACTATTTGAGCTACTCTATTATGTTATGTCATTTCATCTTCACAGCTGGTACTGCTGGCAAACATAGAGAAAACAAATATGAATTAAGATTTCACTAACTTATTTTGCCATACTCATAAGGCAAATTAATATTTTAATAAAACGTTGTGCAACGTGAGAATTATGTGTCCTTCATACATGGGGATAAGCCAGGGTCTACCTTGCTAAGTCACTGGGGCCTGTGTGCATCAGTTCACATCAGATCCCAGAGCTTCAAGCTCAATGCAACTTAAATTGACAGCCAGGGCATATTTTGATTTTGTGTCCACTCTAAGGAACAGAGGCTTGTTGGTCAACTGACAAGCATGAATCTGGGGGCCATGAGTTCATCTCAGAAAGTCTCCCGCTGTTTGAAATCCCCACGCTTGCTGTCTTGCCCTCACCCCTGTCTGTCGAAGCCTTCGTGGTAAGCAAGCTTGGACTTCATGAAAGTGAGTCTAACTCTGACATTGAAATAGTGGCTGTGTCTTGTCTCCCCAGTCTTCCCACACCTGGTGAAGGAGCTCAACGCAGGCCTTCATGTGATGATTCTGCTGCTCCTCTTCCTGGCCTTGGCCCTGGCTCTGGTCAGCATGGGCTTTGCCATTCTTAACATGATCCAGGTCCCGTACCGGGCAGTCAGCGGTCCTGGGGGCATCTGCCTATGGAATGTCCTGGCAGGTAAGAAGTCCCTTAGGGAGAGAAAATTATGTCCACACCATCATAGGGCTGGGCTCCAAGTAGTTGGGCAGAAGGTGTGAAGGAACTAAAATGCCCCACTGGAGCCTTGACCTTCCTGGGTCTAAGACCTTCTTGATGGGCATGGAATGAATGTCCTCTTTTTCTTTTTCTTTTTTTTTTTTTTTCTTTGAGACAGGGTCTCACTTTGTCACCCAGACTGAAGTGCAGTGGTGCGATCTCAGTTCACTGCAGCCTTGACCTCCTGGGCTCAAGTGATCTTCCCACCTCAGGCCCCCAAGTAGCTGGGAGTACAGGCGTGCACCACCATGCCCAGCTAATTTTTTGTATTTTTTATAGAGACAGGTTTCACCATGTTGCCCAGGCTAGTCTCAAACTCCTAAGCTCAAGGGATCCACCTGTCTTAGCCTCCCAAAGTGCTCAAGAATTTCCTCTTTAAGTTGCAGAGTCTGTCACAACAAAGAAGCATCTTATTAGAGTACGTGAATGGCTGAGGGCTTAGAGCAGTGAAGAGAGATCGAGGTGAAAGAAGAAGCCAGAAGACAGAGAGCTGGAAGTAGGGAGAGGTGGGGGCCCTGAGATGGGAAAGAGATGGAGCTGGTGCTGCAGCTAAGGCTGGGAGGAACTCCACAAATGACAGAAGAGAAGGGTAGTGTGAGCAAGAGGCCATTCGTGAAAGGCTCCTCCATTCAGGCTCTGGGTTGAGAAGGGGAAGTGAGTGCCATCTAGTTGCCAAGGTCTTTGGTGTTCCCCCCACACACACACTTGGGCATATTAATGCAGACGTGGCTCACTGGCTGTCTCAACTCTCCCTCCTCTCACCTCCCCAACACCTTCACTGCACCATGCCCTTAAACTAGATGCAACTTACTGAGCAACCACTAAGGGCTGGGCAGGGACCTGGAGATTTTGCATGCATTGCTTCATTTAAATCTCACCACATCCCTATGGGAGGTATTATTAGACCCACAATTACAGATGAAGAGCCTGAGGCTCAGAGAAGTTAAACAGTCGCACCACAATGAGTGGCAGAGGTGGTATTCCAACCTAGGTGTAACTGATTCTAAGCTCTTTATTTTTCCACAGATCCATGCTCTCATTTATGACCATCATGACCTGTTTTCCAAGCCAAAAACTACAAGATGTGTGTGTGTGTGTGTGTGTGTGTGTGTGTGCGCGCGCATGTTGATTTGGGAGTATATTGATGCACAGAAATTAATTCACATTTAATTATGCACTTAACAAATCATCTGTAATGAAAATAACAGAATCTTGTGAAATGAGGGCTGTCACAGAAAACTCAGGTCAAATATTCAAGGTACCATTAGAACAATAATCCCTCGCTATGATTACCTTATACAAGAATAATATAAAAACAGGTAATGTTATTTTATTATGTATTATAATGTATATCAATCAATCAATTATTATGTATTTGCCTTTGTTTGCAGATGGTAGCCACCCTGTAGAATTGTTTACATACATGGCTTACCCTCATCAAGACTACAGGTGTCTTCCTCATCTGCATGAATCCTCACAGAGGCTGTCATGTAAAAAGTGCTCAACGCTGCTTATTAAATAAATATTTATCTCTGTCCATTCCTTTCCTTAGAGAGATAGCACTCTCAGACTCTACTGATGAGAGTATTAGCAACAGGCAAAAAAGCCTGGGCAACACAGCAAGACCCCATTTCTAAAAAAAAAAAAAAATTAGCTGTCCATGGTGTCCGGTGCCTGTAGTCTCAGCTGCTTGAGAGCTATAATCCCAACACTTAGGGAGGCTGAGGTGGGAGGATTGCTTGAGCCTGGGAGGTCCAGGCTGCAGTGAACCGTGATCATGCCACTGCACTCCAGCCTCAGCCAACAGAGCGAAACCTTGTCTCAAAAAATAAAAAATAAAAACAGGCAAAGCTTTATGTCTTTTGACAAAACTTTATTTCTTGCCACTGAGCTTAAAAAAACAACAACACTGTAGTGTCAGAAGGCAGAAAAAGGTGAATAGCCTTTGAATATCTTTTGACTAAACAATTCCATGTTTGAATTTATGCTAAGGAAATACTGGACAAGAGAACAAGGATGTACATAAAATGGTATTTGCTGTAGCACTTTATAATATCAAAAAATTAGAAGTAATCTAGACATCCAGAAATAAGGTCATACTTACATAAATTATAGTGTGTGACCTTATTTCTATAATTTAGTAGAGACTGTTTAGTCTCTACTAAAAATACTTACATAAATTATAGTGTGTAGTGCATAAAATACTATGCACTCATTTATAGTCATGCTGTAAGCCTGGCACGGTGGCTCACGCCTGTAATCCCAGCACTTGGGGATGCTGAGGCAGCAGGATTGCTTGAGCTCAGGAGTTCAAGACCAGCCTGGGCAACATAGTGAGACCTCATCTCCACAAACAAACAAACCAACAAAAATCAAAAATTAGCCAAGCATGGTGGCATGCACCCATGATCCCAGCTACTCAGGAGGCTGAGGCAAGAGGATCGCTTGAACCCAGGAGGTCGAGGCTGCAGTGAGCCGTGATCATGCCACTGCACTCCAGCCTGGGTGACAGAGCAAGACCCTGTCTCAAAAACAAAAATAAAAACAGACAATAAAGTCATTCTGTAACAGAATATGTAACAACACGTAAAAATGTCCAAGTGAGGGGAAAAAAATCAAATTTAAAATCAAAGTAAGAACACCATAATACTAATTTTCTTAAAGAGAAAGAAACATAAAGAAAAACACTAAAATGTTCAAAGGGTTCAAGCTGGCTTTTAGGATAAAAGTAAATTTGCTTATGATTTTCTCTGGTGTCCAAATTTTTCTTCGATGAAGATATACTAATCTTTTAAGAAGCATCATAAATGTGTTATTAAAAATATTAATTAAAATTGAAACCAGAGGAAGAGAGGGGGAGAGAGAGAGAGAGACAGATTCCTCCCAGAAAGTCAAAGTTTCAAGCAAAACATAGGGAAGTAGTTTGGAATTCTTCCAGTTTTCCCCTCCCTCCTTTCCTTTTTCTATGAATGGTCATCCTTATCCTTAAGCATGGAAGGAGGATAATTAAACAGGAGAGCAACAGTTTTTCTTACATCTTGCCACATAGCCTTCACGGTCTTCATAGAAATCCTAGGATATTTTAGACAATGAACTTCTCCAAACGTGGATCCTTAGGAAGCATGGTACTGGGTAAGGGGAAAAATTGGAAGAGTGGGCCGGGTGCGGTGGCTCACACCTGTACTTCCAGCACTTTGGGAGGCCAAGGTGAATGGATCACTTGAGGTGAGGAGTTCGAGACCAGCCTGGGCAACATGATGAAACCCCATCTCTACTAAAAATACAAAAATTAGCCGGCTGTGGTGACAGGCACCTGTAGTCCCAGCTACTCAGGAGGCTGAGGCAGGAGAATGGCTTGAACCCGAGAGGCAGAGGTTGCAGTGAGCTGAGATGGTGCCACTGCACTCCAGCCTGGGCAATAGAGCAAGACTCCATCTCAAAACAAACAAACAAAAATAATTGGAGGGGTGGAAATTCAAAGCTGATAAAGCAGATCCTCTCTTTCCCCGCACAATCCTGCCTTTCTCCTTCATACTGTGTGGGTTATCTCCTACTTTTAAAAGCAAATTAAAACTTATGTCTTCCTCATAATTTTGTTAACCCAAAGCAAGTTTGTCACACGTGGCACAGAAATGCCACCTCTTACAGAGTTGCAAAAAGGAGCCGTGAATGAGGGTGACCTTTTTGAGTTTCAGGCGGCGTCGTGGCGTTAGCCATCGCCAGCTTCGTGGCTGCGGTGAAATTTCACGACCTGACGGAACGAATCGCCAACTTTCAGGAGAAGCTCTTCCAGTTTGTGGTGGTGGAAGAACAGTATGAAGAGTCGTTTTGGATCTGCGTGGCCAGCGCTTCGGCCCATGCTGCAAACTTGGTCGTGGTGGCGATCAGTCAAATTCCCCTCCCTGAGATTAAGACCAAAATCGAAGAGGCCACGGTCACAGCTGAGGATATCTTGTATTAATAGCCTTCCCCTGTTCACAACCTGTCCTAAGTCAGTTCTGTGTGCGAATGGAGTCCTCATGTTTTTGCAGCCTTCCCACTCCATCATGGCTATGTTCTCAGCAGTAAGAAAAAGGATGTGAAGGACCAAGGCTGTTGCCTGGGCCAGAAAAGAAAAACTTGCCCGGAATCCCCAGCGTCCTTGCATTCCTCTCTCATGACCTTGGAGTTCAAGTTGCAGCTGGAGACTCTGCCACTTGCCGGCTGTGTGTGACATTAGACAATTCACTTAATGTCTACGTCTCTGTTTCTTCATCTGTAAACTAAGCACAGTAACAACTTCGCAAGGCTATTGTGAAATTTAAATGGGTGATGATATTGCCAGATTCTGCATTCTGTAGAGCACTTGACAAATATAAGATACTACATACTCCAATAAGTGTCTGTAGATCCCTGGTCGATTCCATACAATATTGGGCTGGTGAGTGGGGAAGAATTCTAAGAGGAATATGATACTGTTCCCGTTCCTGCCCTCCAGAAACACCTATCTTTCTACATGACACAGGACTTAGCAACGGTAACACTAAGAATGTAAGTAACTGCCATTTTTTGAGTGGTTACTATGTGCTAGACACTGTTCTAACTCATTTATTAACTCATTAGGTCCTAATGGCAAAAACAGCAATTACTTTTGCACCAACCTAATAATAGAACAGCCATAAGGGACCGAGGAGGGAATTAAATCTTGAGGATGGGATGTGGTATTAAAGAAAGTATCACAGCGTGAACATTTGATCTGAGCTTTGAAAGATGAGTAGACTTTTTCCAGTGGTGAAGGAAGCAAGGTTAAAGAAGGGCATTCCAGGATGCGTCAGTAAAAAGGCTGGGCACAGGGCATGAAATTACAAGGAGGGACTGGGCACAGTGGCTCACACCTGTAATCCCAGCACTTTGGGAGGCTGAGGTGGGCAGATCATGAGGTCAGGAGTTCGAGACCAGCCTGACCAATATGGTGAAACCCTGTCTCTACTAAAAATACAAAAATTAGCCTGCCGTGGCGGTGTGCACCTGTAGTCCCAGCTACTCGGGAGGCTGAGGCAGAAGAATCGCTTGAACCCGGGAGGTGGAGGTTGCAGTGAGCCAACATCACACCACTGCACTCCAGCCTGGGTGACAGAGTGACACTCTGTCTCAAAAAAAAAAAAAAAGAAATTTCAAGGAGGGCTTAGAAGCATGTGAGTACTCAATGGGATTAGAATGTCGCTTTAATCACCTGTTGGAGAAATTCGGCTGTTTTGTGTTGGGTTTTCCTAAGTGCCACTGGAATGATTAATTTTATGTGTCACTTTGGATGGACCACAGTACCCAGATATTTGGTCAAACACTTCTAGATGTTTTTTCAAAGGTATTTTTTGATGAGATTAACATTTAAATTTGTGTATTTTGAGTAAAACAGATTACCATCTGTAACTGGATGGAATTCCCTCATCCAATCAGTTGAAGGCCCTAATAGAAAAAAGGCCTCGCTCCCCTGAGGGAGAGAGAATTCTGCCAGTAGACTTTTTGGACTCACACTGCAACTGTCACTGTATCTCCAGCCTGCCCACCAAGCCTCAAGATCCTGGAATTGCTGGCCTCCTGAGTCACGTGAGACAATTCCTTAAAATATCCCCCTCTTTCTCTCTGTCACTACACACACACACAGACACACACACACACACACACACACACACACAGCCTGTTGGCTCTGTTCCTCTGGAGAACCCTGACTAACAGAGGTACACAACTCTATGAACTCATTTTCCCATGGTGCTAGCTTGGATGAATCTTTTCCCAGGTCCCCTATCTTCATGTCATGCAAAAGTTATCTAATGCGATCCTTTTGTAGTTCATGAGGATGACGATTGGGTTTTCGTGCACGTGTGTGAGATATGCTACCCTGGAACCTTGTTATGACATCTGCACATTACCCATCTGACCTGAAGAAAAAAAAAGGAAAAGGAATTTTTTTTTTTTAAACAGAGCTTCGCTCCTGTTGTTCAGGCTGGAGTGCAATGGCGCAATCTCAGCTCACTGCAACCTCCGCCTCTCGGGTTCAAGCAATTCTGCCTCAGCCTCCCAAGTAGCTGGAATTACAGGTGTGTGCCACCACGCCCAGATAATTTTGTATTTTTAGTAGAGATGGGTTTTCACCATGTTGGTCAGGCTGGTCTCAAACTCCTGACTTCGAGTGATCCACCCACCTCAGCCTCCCAAAGGGCCGGGATTACAGGCATGAGCCACCACGCCCAACCTAGGAATTTTTTTTTTTAAGTGATCTAATTCCCCAGATTAGCTCCATCTAAAATGACACCTGATTTGGTGACTTCAGGAAGTGCTCATGTCATCTCTCTCTTCTTTATAATTCCTTGCTGGGCTCACCTGCCCCTTTCAGCCCTCTTTCCACATCCCAGGCATAGCTTCAGCACTATTTAGTGGACTGATGTCACTCACCAAAGATGCAGATGGCACATGGCTAGAAGAGACAGTTATGTGATAGGAGACGGATCCAAAAGATAGTGACAGACTGCCAAGCTGTCTTGAAAACCAGAGGAAATGTCAATATCGTATCAAGTTTGAACACAAAGTCCTGCTGACAGGTTTTTTTAAAATCAACATAAATACAGAAAATCTGACAACAGTTTATATGACAAGTGTCTGAGGATCTTGGTACATTTATTCATTCAACAGTATTGATACTGATCTAGGTGCTGGGACTAAAGCAGTGAACTGACAAAAATCTCTGCCCTCCAGACATTTCATTCTCCCAGCAGCTGGGGATGATTCATACTGAGAAGGCTTGTGATGGAGCTATGCAAAGAGTTAGCACGGTGGACAGGTGTGGTGGCTCATGCCTGTAATCCCAGCACTTTGGGAGGCCAAGGAGGGAGGGCTGCTTGAGTCTAGGAGTTCAGCCTGGACAACATGGTGAGACCCTCTCTCTCTATTTCCAAAAATAAAAATAAAAATAAAAAGTCATCAGGACCATAGCCTTTGAACTGATCACTGCCTTCAGTCATATGCAGACCATCATGCCAAGAAGGGAGCAGAGTGGGCTGGGTGCAGTGGCTTACGCCGGTAATCCCAGCACTTTGGGAGGCTGAGGCGGGCGGATCACCTGAGGTCAGGAGATCAAGACCAGCCTAGCCAACATGGTGAAACCCTGTCTCTACTAAAAATACAAAAATTAGCCGGGTGTGGTGGTGGGTGCCTGTAATCCCAGCTACTTGGGAGGCTGAGGCAGGAGAATCGCTTGAACCCAGGCTAACATTGCAGTGAGCTGAGATCACGCCATTGAACTCTAGCCTGGACGCCAAGAGTGAAACTCTGTCTCAAAAAAAAAAAAAGAGGGGGGGCAGGGTGAATTCAGTTTTGCTTCTAAGTGTAGATTAGGATTGACTTTAATCAAGACAGTTGTGTTTCTTTTTTTTTTTTTTTGAGGCAGAGTCTTGCTCTGTCGCCCAGGCTGGAGTGCAATGGTAGGATTTTGGCTCACTGCAACCTCTGCCTTCCGGGTTCAAGCGATTCTGCTGCTTCAGCCTCCCGAGTAGCTGGGATTACAGGTGCTCGCCATCATGCCCAGCTAATTTTTTGTATTTTTAGTAGAGACGGGGTTTCACTATGTTGGCCAGGCTGGTCTTGAACTCTTGACCTCAGGCAATCCACCCACCTCGGCCTCCCAAAGTGCTGAGATTACAGGCATGAGCCACTGCACCCAGCCGGATGTGTTTCAAGAAGTCAAAGTGCAGGCTTTTGTACGCATGTGCATTTTTTCTGTGGCAGAGTCCATAGCTTTTGAAAGTGTTTCAGAAGTATCTATGACGTCTTTAAACCATGATCCAGCAGGTGGCAACCATAGTGTTACTGGTAATAATCTTAGTCTGAAAGACTATCTTTCAGGAATACTGTAAATGAGATTCCTATGTGGCATTTAGCAGGTTGAGAGTGGGGGTGGGAAGAAGGGAGATTAAATATCTGGGTCACAAAATTCACTTGCATTATTTTTCAAATGCACAGAGGAAAATGTAGCTCCTTTATCTTGACTATAATTAATTTGGTCACTCTATGAGTAAATAAATAGTAGCTTCAGGAAGGGGGCTGGTCACAGGAAAAGACCAAGGCAGGATTAGAGGGTTGGGACTTCCAGCCTCACCCACACCCATGACTTCTGGGACGAAAGAGGGGCTCAAGGTTAAGTTGATCACCAATGGCCAATGCTTAATCAATCATGCCTACATAATGAAGCCTCGGCAGAAAACCAAAAGAACTGGGTTTGGAGAGCTTCCAGATGGCTGAGTATGTGGAGGTTCCTGGAGGGAGGTGCACCCAGGGAGAGCATGCAAGCTCCGCGCTCCTTCTCCCATACCTTGCTCCATGCATCTCTTTATCTGTATCCTTTGTGATATCCTTTGTAATAAACCAGTAAATAGAAGTGTTTCCCTGAGTTCTGTGAGCTGCCCCAGCGAATTAGCCAAACCCAAAGACGAAGTTGTGGATTTGGCTAATTTGAGGCCAATCAGTCAGAAGTTCCAGAAACCCAGACTTGCGACTAGTGTCTGAGGGAGGAGGGACAGCTTTGGGGACTGAGCCCTCAGCCTGTGGGACGTGATGCTATCTCCACATGGATAGTGTCAGAACTGACTTACAGCACACCCACCTGGTGTCTGCTGCAAAACGGATTGCTTATTTGTTGATGGAGGGAAATTCCCCACATTTGGTCATAGAAGTCTTCTGTATTAATTGTTGTTGAGAGTAGTTTGAGAGCTCAGAAAAACACTGAGTTCTTTCCTCTCAGAGGTCACCATCTTGTGTGGGCCAGGCACTGTACACTTTCTCCTTAATTCTGACAATTATTCAAGATAAATAACATTATCTTTTTTTAACAGATGGGTAATTTTAGGTTTGGAGAATTTAAGGAACTTGCTCAGCCCCATTGCTAATAAGTAATGGAGAAAGACTTCAGCCCTCATTTATATGACGTCAAGGCCACCACTTTTGCAATACACCAAGATTATTGCCTTGAATCACTCTTGAGGCTTCTTCTCAGGATTTCTGCAAGTGGCTGTGCAGGTTGCACCCCGCCCAAGGGAGGTGCAAGTATAGGGGGTGAGGGACTAGCCCATGCGCCCCTGGCTTGTCCTGGCCTCATCCACAAAGGTGCTTTCTCCTAAAGGGGATGCCTTTTCCTAAGGCTCACAAAGGTGTCCAGTGGCCTGCAGTGCACTATCCCTTCCAGCCGACCAGTCCATGCAAAGTCAAAATGTTAGTCATAACATTATTTTATGACATTAATTAGAATGTGATGATGATTAATTTGCATATGCCCTTTAAAAATAATTATCCTATGCATACATTTGTATGCTTGCTAATGATATGATATTACTAATACTAACTGCAGGGGCCAAAGCCAATAAACTTTAGCTGCAATTAAGAAAAGTAATTTGTTACTGGTGAAAAGAAGTTCTACTCTATGTTCACAATATAAAAAATGAGTAATTGCCAGGGCCGGTGGCTCAAGCCTGTAATCCCAGCACTTTGGGAGGCCGAGTCGGGTGGATCACCTGAGGTCAGGAGTTCAAGACCAGCCTGGCCAACATGGTGAAACTCTGTCTCTACTAAAAATACAAAAAATTAGCCAGGCGTGGTGGAGTGCGCCTGTAGTCCCAGCTACTTGAGAGGCTGAGTCAGGAGAATCGCTTGAACCTGGGAGGCAGAGGTTGCAGTGAGCCGAGATCATGCCATTGCCCTTCAGCCTGGGCAAAAAGAGCGAAGCTCCATCCAAAAAAAAAATGAGTAATACGTGGTTTTCATTAATGAAAATACAACTAATAACATATACAATTTATCAAGACTTTTGGATAGCAAGGATCTTTCCATGTCAAATCAGAGCAGAGTTATATGTTACAAATATACTTCTCTCTCTTTCAAGAAAAATGTGAAACTATGAAGAGTAAATTAAACAACTCCTCACACTTCCAAAAGCATATAGTAAAAATGCTAACTCCTTCAATTTAAAAAATCCTGTTTTCTATATCATAAATAAGGTCACTGCAAAGAGGTTGATGGTTAATGAGAACTAACCCATGCTTTAGCAAAAATGTGCAACATAATCCAAAAAGACAATTGCATTGTTTTCCTAGGGTTCCTGAAACAAATAACCACACACTTGGTGGTTCAGAACAACACACATTTATTATCTTAAGAATTTCAGAGGTCAGAAAACCAAAATGGGTCTTACTGGGTGCTATGGTTTTGATGTGTCACCCAAAGTTCATATGTTAGACATGGCCCCTAATTCAAAATTGTTGAGAAGTAAGACCTTCAAAAGGTGATTAGGTCATGAGGGCTCTGCCCTGGTGAATGGATTAATTCACACTCTCTCATCGTGTAATGCTTCCCACTGTGTTATGATGCAGCAAGAAGGGCCCCATCAGATGCCAGCATCTTGATATTGGACTCCCCTGCCTTCAGATCTATGAGAAATAAATTTCTTTTCCTTACAAATTACCCAGTTTTTGGTATTCAACACAAAATGGACTAAGACACTGGGGTAAGTCAAGGTGATGGCAGAGGTCAAGCACAATGTCTCATGCCTGAAATCCCAGCGCTTTGGGAAGCCAAGGTAAGAGGATTGATGGAGGCAAGCCTGGGCAACATAGTAGTGACCCCCATATCTACTAAAAATTTAAAAATTAGCCAGTCATGGTGGCATGCCTCTATAGTCCTAGCTGCTCAGGAGGCTAAAGCAGGAGGATCACTTGAGCCTAGGAGTTCCAGGTTACAGTGAGTTATGATCATGCCACTCCACCCCAGTCTGGGTAACAAAATGAGACCCCCTCTCAAAAAAAAAAAAAAAAAAAAGAAAGAAAGAAAAAGAAGAGAAAAGGTATTGGCAGAATTGTGTTTCTTCTGGAAGCTCTATGACAAAGTTTGTTTCTTTGCCTTTTTTAGCTTCCCGAGGCCACCTGCATTTGCTAAGTCATGGTTCCTTCCAACAATTATATATTCCCAGACTCTGCTTCCATCATACAGGTGATGATGGCTCTGACCCTTCTGCCTCTCTCTTAAAAGAACCCTTGTGATTATACTTGGTCCACCCAGATAATCCAAGACAACTTTGGGGAACAGATTTCCACCCACCACAACAATGTTACTCAATGCCAGTATTTCTTGTTCTAACAATATTCATGAAAAGAACATAATGTTTAGATATAAAACTCATGAACAAAAGTATTAATTATTAATCATTATTAATAGATTAGCATCACAATTTAGAAAATACTTGCTGGGGCTGGGCGCTGTGGCTCACGCCTGTAATCCAGGACTTTGGGAAGCCAAGGTGGGTGGATCACGAGGTCAAGAGATCAAGACCATCCTGGCCAAGATGGTGAAACCCCATCTCTACTAAAAATACAAAAATTAACTGGGCATGGTGGCGCATGCCTGTAGTCCCAGCTACTCAGGAGGCTGAGATAGGATAATAGTTTGAACCCGGGGACTGAGGTTGCAGTGAGCCGAGATCACGCCCTCTGCACTCCAGCCTGGTGACAGAGAAAGACTCCATCTCAAAAAAAAAGAAAAAAGAAAATACTTGCTGGGAATGAAGTGCTAACCTACTTCCAGTACTTAAATATTAAGCCAGGTTCATCGCTGGAAGTCATAGAGGGGAAGGAGGCTACGCAAGACACAGGGAATCTCAAAGGTGAAATGTGAAATGTGATTTCCTGATGTGATACTGGAGAGGGACACAGCAACTCAGAGAAGTTACTGAGCCCATTTTATTTATTTATTTTGTTTTTATTTTATTTTATTTTATTATTTTATTTTATTTTAATTTCTTTTTGAGATGGAGTCTCACTCTGCCACCCACGCTGGAGTGCAGTGGTGTGATCTTGGCTCACTGCAACCTCCATCTCCCGAATTCAAGCAATCCTCTTGCCTCAGCCTCCCAAGTAGCTGGGACCACAGACATGTACCACCATGCCCAGCTAATTTTTTTTTTTCTGTATTTCTTTGTAGAGACGGGATTTCACCATGTTGGCCAGGCTGGTCTTGAACTCCTGACCTCAAATGATCCGCCCACCTCAGCATCCCAAATTGCTGGTATTACAGGCATGAGCTACCATGCCCGGCTTCCTGAGCCCATTTTAGATGAATTTCTACAGGTGAAAGATTTCTCCTATTCATTTCCTCATGATTCTTCGTTTCCTTTTGTTTTGGTAGTTTGGGTTGTGAAACCAAGAGTAGAGCTTCTTAACAAACCTATGCAACTAGGACACACATGAAATCCTTGCCAGATAAATTAGGTTGTCTGCTCTCTGTTTCTTACTTTCTTTTCTACGGCAGTGTCAATCATGAGTCAGCAATAGTCACAGCTTGACAAAAATAAGGCCAATCAATAACAGAGCGTTTGCCATATGCTAGGCTTTCTACTAATTTCCCCACATGCATTGTTTCATTTTCATTCTCATAAAAATTCTGAGACGTAGTTGCTCTTATTACCAGTTTTTGGGTTTTTGAACAAAAGTTCTCTGAAAAGAAATATGGAGGAAAGAGACTTTATTCCAATGAACAGTTTGAAAACCAGAGAGATGCAGCCTCCTTCTACCCGTGTGATTTTCAAGGATGTACCTAGCCTAACGTATAAGGATTTGAAGTAGGTGCCTACCCTATTCCCAGCCTTGCAAACCAAGGAGACACAGTTTGTAAACTGAGGAGATGCAGCCTTCAGTTTGTGAACACAAGTTCTCTGAAAAGGAATTTGGAGGAAAGAGACTTTATTCCAGTGAACAGTTTGCAAACTGAGGAAACAGCTTCAGTGTAAAACAAAAGTGCATTCCAGAGAACAAAGAGAGGGTTCAGGTTTATAGCAAAACGTCCACCCCAGCTTCCCAATCAGGTCTGCTTATGAAAATAAAGGATTCAAACTTTCTTAGCTCTGATTGACCAACACAGCTGAGTTCTGATTGGTTGGTAGAGCTGCACCCTGATTGGTTTATATAGCTGAGTCCTGATTGGCCAAGGCCGGTGAGCTCTGATTGGTTGGTTCAGGTGAGACCTGAAAGTCTCCAAGTTAAAAGGGTGTGGGTTTGCGGGGAACTCAGAGTGTATGTTTGACCTCTAATAAGCAAATGGCTCCTTGGCTGTATTCAAAACTTAGGCCCAGTTAGCCACTCAGGATCCATGTTGAAGGATTGACTCTTTCAGATTCACATTTATTCATTACATTTATTCACAAGTTAAAGAATTAGAAACACAGCTTTCTCATTTATAATATAACCAAGTCGCGTAAGATAATCTCTAATTTTCTTTCCCTCTCTAAAATGTTATGACTTTTAATGCTATATAATATATCCAGATTTATAGTGAATAAAGCACCTAACTATATGCCGGGCACTAAGCTAGGCATTTTCATGAATGCTATTTGGTAATAGTTGACTACCAGTGTGATTGGAGATGCTGTTACATGCACTGACAATTTAATATTGTGAGGATTTCAACCACCAATTCAACTATATTCTGAATATATTGTATATGCATTTCTCTGATGTTCGCGGCTGAGTTCTTGGTTAAATAAAACAAATGTAAAAACATGGCATGTAATTGTTTGCTTTATTGCTTTCTGTTTTGGAAAAAATAATAAGCAACACTAACAAATGACTTTGGAACCACAGTGATTTTTCTTTTGTCATTGACCTCTTGCGGAACAATAAATTGTATATAATACATTTTTTTCTTCTAACATAACAATTCTCTCAACCTTACAGATTTCAAGGGAGTAGGAGGAAGGAGGGAGTGAAGAGGACAAAAAGAATTCTTTCTATTGAAAAGGGGATGTGGCCAGGCGCACACACTTGTAATCCTAGTACTTTGGGAGGCTGAGGCTCAGGAGTTCGAGACCAGCCTGGCTAACATGGTGAAAGCCCGTCTCTACTAAAAATACAAAAATTAGCCAGGCGTGGTAGTTCGTGCCTGTAATCCCAGCTACCCGGGAGGCTGAGGCAGGAGAATCACTGGAACCTGGGAGACAGAGGTTTCAGTGAGTCGAGATCACACCACTGTACTCCAGCTTGGGCAACAGAGTGAGACTCTATCAAAAAAAAAAAAAAAAAGAGAGAGAGAGAGATGTTTGTAAGAGGCCCACAGAAGTTCTCAGCACCAGACCAGGTGTGGTGGCTTATGCCACCGTGCGGTAGGAGGCAGGAGGGAGTGAATAGGACAAAAGGATTCTTTCTATTGAAAAGGAGATGTTTGTCTATTAATATAATCCCAGCACTTTGGGAGGCCGAGGCAAGAGGATCAGTTGAGCCCAGGAGTTTGAGACCAGCCTGGGCAACATAGGGAGACCCCATCTCTATAAAAATATATTTAAAAAAAAAAAGAAAGGAAAAAAGTTCTCAGCACTGTTGAAGAGAGAAATGAGCCATCCTCGAGTCATTCTGTCTACTCTTGTTGAAGCTTCCCTGGGTACCACAGCTTAAGTGGCCCACCTGAGAGGTGGCTCCTGATATACCAGCTGTTTATTAACTATGTCAGTAATGGTGATTTCTGACTCCAAAACAAACTACTCAAAATTTTACTTTAGTTTTGAAAAGTAGTGTTCCTATGGTGAGTAGTCAGCTGAACCATTTTAAAGGCCCACCCTTCAGGGTTTTGCTGTAGTAGGTTATTCCTTGTAATGAAAACAATTTTCTTGAAAATTAATTAATCGTGATGTTTTAAATCTTGTTTTGTAAGTATGCCTTTGTTTCTTTAAAGCCCTCATCATGAAGGCCTCGTCTCTTTTCTCAGTCATCACTATGGCAAACTTTAACAAGTTAGTTAGAATTTACAAAACTGTGGCAAAAACACTGTTAGTTACTTCAGAAAGTAAAGAATGGGAATGCATGACTTTTTCAAGTTCCCTTTACATAGCACGTTGTATGCCTTTCAGCAAAAATGAAAATAATAATAATAATACATTGAAATAGGTAATATTCCATTTATTAAAGTTATACATTCACAAAATTTGTTTCTCCTTAAATTGAAGTTAAGCTTATAAATATTATTGTTCTGTTTTTTAGGTTAGCAAATTTTAGTGATCTCTTTTTAAAAGCTTTGGTTTACCATTTGGTCCCCTTTATGAATGTACTAAATAAACATCTTGAAACAGCCTATGTAACTTAATTTATTTTCCATGCACTTCAATTAACTGACAAAATTTAATAATTCTTCTAAGTCTAATGAATTAAAGTTAAAATGCTGTGAACCTTAAGTTATCTTAAAAATTCTGGCTGGGTGCAGTGGCTCAAGCGTGTAATCCCAGCACTTCGGGAGGCCAAGGAGGGCGGATCACGAGGTCAGGAGTTTGAGACCAGCCTAGCCAACATGGTGAAACCATGTCTCTACTAAAAATACAAAAAAAAAAAAAAAAAAAAAAAAGGCTGAGTGTGGTGGCAGGCGCCTGTAATCCCGGCTACTCGGGAGGCTGAGGCAGGAGAATTGTTTGAACCTGGGAGGCGGAGGTTGCAGTCAGCCGAGATCACACCACTGCACTCTAGCCTGGGCGACAGGGCGAGACTCTGTCTCAAAAAAAAAAAAAAAAAAATTCCAGCCCTGTATATAAATAAGCAAAACATGATTCCAAATCATTAGAAATATACGGCTGTCCTGTTTCACCAGCAGACCAGCTTCTCTTTCATCACCAATACATAAAATAATAAGGAAGTACAAATTTTAAAATCAAAAATATCAATACCTTGATTTTGCTTCTTTTAAGTATTTTTGTACTTAATTCTAAGCTTTGTCAGGGCAAAAAGACACTTACTCACAAAGTAAATGATTACATCATCTCTCACAACTTTAGGAATTGCCTTCCCATCTATTTTGGGAATTGACTTCTCAGGAGGTTTGAGGTTGCGTTGTGAACTTGAGTCTCGCCTCAAATTAAACCCAGTTTAATAGTGAAGCCTGCCTTATACCTTACCACTATTGTTCATCTTTACTACCCTGCTCGACGTTTTCTTTTTGCTTATCTTTAACATGCTAGATAATTGATATTTGTGTTATACTTACTGTATACTGCCTGTCTTTCTCCATGAGAATGTCATCTCTATGAGGACAGGATTTTTTTTTTTTTTTTTTACAGAGTTTCGCTCTTGTTGCCCAGGCTGGAGTGCAATGGCACGATCTCGGCTCACTGCAACCTCCACCCCCTGGGTTCAAGTGATTCTTCTGCCTCAGCCTCCTGAGTAGCTGGGATTACAGGCATGAGCCACCACGCCTGGCTAATTTTGTATTTTTAGTAGAGATGGGGTTTCTCTATTTTGGTCAGGCTGGTCTCAAACTCCAAACCTCAGGTGATCCGCCCACCTCAACCTCCCAAAGTGCTGGGATTACAGGCATGAGCCACTGCGCCCAGCCAGGACAGGAATCTTTCTAGGGCTTTTGCTCTTTGACAGATGTTAAGCACCCAGAAACTGTTCCTAAATTATTTAGAAAATAGGCCAGGTGTGGTGGCTAATGCCTGTAATGTGCCAGTTGGAATTTTGCAATATCTATACATATGTAGGTACAGTATGTGTGTATGTACCTATATATGTATCTATACAGTGTGTAGCCTTTTCAGACTGGCTTCCTTCATTTAGTAAAATGTATTTATGTTTCTTCCATGTCTTAGTACCTTGATAGCTCATTTCTTTTTAGCACTGAATAATATTCCATTGTCTGTGTGTACCAAAGTTTATTTATCTATTTATCTACTGAAGAACATATTGCTTTCCTCCAAGCTTTAGTAATTATGAATAAAGCTGCTATAAACATCCTTGTGCAGGTTTTTTTGTGGTCATAAGTTTTCAACTTCTTTGGATAAATGTCAAGAAGTGTGATTGCTAGATGATATGGTAAAAGGATCTTAGTTTTTTAAGAAACTGCCAAACTGTCTTTCAAAGTGGCTGTACCATTTTGCATTCCCACCAGCAATGAATGAGAGTTCCTGTTGCTCCACATCCTCACCAGTATTTGGTGTCATCTCTCTTCTGGATTTTGGCCATTCTAATGGGTGTGTATGGTATTTCACCATTTTCTTCTTACAAAGAAAAAAAATCACCTATGACAGATAATAAGCCAATGCTTACTTTTTATATTAGTAATTGGATTTACAGAAGTTCAGGAAAGAAGAGGTTGGTATAGGGATTAGTGAATAAAGTTTCTTGGGAAAGGAACTAGAGCTCAACTAAAAATGTTTCATGCTGGCCAGGAGGGTTACAGGGTGCATGCCAGGCAAAGGCAGAAATGGAGACAAGCAGAGTGTGGAAGGAGAGATGAAGCCCATGTGTTCTTTAGACCAGCGGTCCCCTGCCTTTTTGGCACCAGGGAGGTTGCAGTGGTCATAAGTTTTTTTTGCGGTCATAAGTTTTCAACTTCTTTGGATAAATGTCAAGAAGTGTGATTGCTAGATGATATGGTAAAAGGATGCACAATTGGAAAAATTGTGTGTTGGGGTTGGGGGTTAGATGGTTTCAGGATGAAACTGTTCCACCTCAGATCAGGCATTAGATTCTTAAAAAGAGTGTGCAACCTAGGTCCCTCACATGCACAACTCACAATAGGGTTGGCGCTCCTGCGAGAATCTAATGTGGCCGCTAATCTGACAGGAGGTGGAGTTCAGGCAGTAATGCTTGCTGGCCCACAGCTCATCTCCTGCGGTGCAGTCTATTTGGTTCCTAACAGGCCACGGACCAGTCCCAGTCTGTGTGGCCTGGGGTTTGGGCACGCCTGCTATAGACAATGGACAGATGTACCGAAAAGAGTAGAAGGTTGTATATTGGCCGATAAATTTTGTAATACCAGCTATCTTGCAGAAAGTATTTCCCACGTGCCAGCTACTGTGCTAAACACTTTATCTGCTTTACCTGTATAATCACATTTAATTCCCATGGCATTTTTTTAACTTTTTACTTTTACATAACCTTAAACTTAGAGGAAGTTGCAAAGAGAGTACAAAAATTTCCTAAATATTCTTTAGCTAGATTCTCCAAATGTTAAAATTTTATCACATTTGGGCCAGGTTCAGTGGCTTATGCCTATAATCCCAGCACTTTGGGAGGCTGAGGCAGGAGGATCACTTGAGTCCAGGAGCTCGAGGCCAGCCTGGGCAACAAAGTGAGACCCTGTCTCCGCAAAAAATGGAGAAATTAAAAAAAAATTTTTTTTAATTAAAATTTTTATCACATATGCTTTATCATAGTCTCCCTCCTTTTTCTTTCTCTATGTGTGTTGTGCAAACATCTGTGTGCATAAATTTTTGCTGAACCATTTGCAAGTAAGTAGCCAAGGACATCTTACCACTTTACCCCTAAATATGTCCATGTATATTTTCTAAAACACAATGTACAGCAACCACTGTACGATGATGAAAACTGAGAAATCAACACTGGCATAGTTCTGTTATCTAATCTACAGATTTTATTCCAGTTTTGTCAGTGGTTCCCTTTATGTCCTTTATAGTTGTTGTTGTTTTAATATTTTCTACTGCTGCAAGGTCCAGGTTGCACTTGGTCTTCATTTCTCTTTAGCCTCCTCTATATCAGTACAATCCCTCAGTGCTTGTCATTTATGACACTGACATTTTTGAATGACATGGGACATTCTTTTTTGGATCTCCCTTAATTTGAGTTTGCCTGATGCTTTTATTTATTTATTTTTTTTGAGACGGAGTTTCGCTCTGTCGCCCAGGCTGGAGTGCAGTGGCGCGATGTCGACTCACTGCAAGCTCCGCCTCCCGGGTTCACGCCATTCTCCTGCCTCAGCCTCCCGTGTAGCTGGGACTACAGGCGCGCGCCACCATGCCCGGCTAATTTTTGTATTTTTAGTAGAGACGGGGTTTCACCGTGTTAGCCAGGATGGTCTCGATCTCCTGACCTCGTGATCCGCCCGTCTCGGCCTCCCAAAGTGCTGGGATTACAGGCGTGAGCCACTGCACCTGGCCCTGATGCTTCTTTATGATTAGATTCAGGCACGTGCTTTCTAGGCAAGAATACCTGCAAGATGACATTTTGCCCATCTCAGCGCATCTCAACAGAAAGCGTGTGATTTTTTTCTCTCCCATTGCGGATGGTGTTCACTTTAATCATCTACGAAGTAGTACTGGCAGATTTCTCCACTGTAGTTTCTACTTTTCCCATTTTAATTAGTTAGTATCTTGTTGAGAGATATTTCTCATCAAATTCTCACCATTCAAACCATGATTTTAGCATCCATTGATGATTTTCTGCCCGAATCAGTTGTTACTGTGGTGATTGCCAAATGGTTCCTTTTCTAATCCCATTATTTCTTCTAAGTTTATTGGTTGGCATTCTACTGTAGGGAAGAGCTTTCCCTTCTCTCCCACTGATTCGTACATTTATATCACTATAGACTCATGAATTCCTATTTTGTTCCATTGTTTACTCTCCATTACCATCATCATTTATTTTGATACTCAAATTATCCCAAATTTGGCTGGTGAGGGCTCTTTCCAGCCAGCTCCTGTTCTTTTGACATGCCCACAACATTATCTGAGCACTTCCTCGCCTATGGCATGGCAAGAGTCTAGGCTCATTTAGTACTTTCCCCATCCCAGCCTTGGAATCAACCTGAGAGAGCTACCGTTTTGTTGTTGTTGTTTTTTAACATGGTAGAGTTTTAAGTCAGGTACTGTCATCGTTCCTATTTTATAAATGAAAAAGAGAAACTCAGGAAGCTGGATATGTGGTTAGAGATAACAGAAGAATGAAGGCAACTCAATAACATTTTGCTACCATGCCACACAAAACCATGAGGAAAACACCATTAAAATAACAACTGGGCCATGGTAGTGATTTGGGAAGACCAATTTAACTCCCATTTGAGATTAGGGACCACTGCTCCCTCACCCTGGAGCACTGGCTAGCATGCGAACTCTTGCCAACTTCATCCTTGACAAAGAAACAGAGAAAAAAGAGAAGAGGCCATCAGCAGCTGCTGCAGTACCTGCTAGAAAACCAAATGCACTCCACACTGGTGTTTAATTGTCAAACAGACAATGGAAATTTGATTGCACTGAATTTTGAATATCTTCAATTTTAAGATTTATCAGAAATACACTGTCTGGGTTTTCAAAAATAAATATTTATTATCATTGGTGAATGTGATGTATCCTTGCTGGATTTTTACTATGTGAAAATACATTTTGTATTGTTTATTGAAAATGTAATAAATTGATGCAATAAGACAATTTTTAAAAAAGAATCCTCTTTTCCCAATACCCCCAGCATTTTTGACAGCTTTATTGAGCTAGAATTTTTACAGCATAAATTTCAGCTATTTAAAATGTACAACTCAAGTAGTTTTCAGTATATTTACAGAATTGTGCAATGTCACCACGTTTTTAGAACATTTTTATTACCCAAAAAAGAAACCTTCTGCCCATTGGTAATCACTCTTCATTCTCTTCCCCATGCAGCCCTAGGCAACCACTAATCTACTTTTTGTCTCTATGAATTTGCCTGTGCTAGATATTTCATAGAAGTGAAATTATACCAGATATGGTTATTGTATAACCAATGACTGGTTTCTTTTACTTAGCCTAGTGTTTTCAAGGTTCATCCATGTTGTGGCATAATATCTCAACATTTTAACTTTTGTTTTTTTTGAGATGGAGTCTTGCTATGTTGCCCAGGCTGGAGTGCAGTGGTGCTATCTCGGCTCACTGCAAGCTCTGCCTCCTGGGTTCACGCCATTCTCCTGCCTCAGCCTCCCAAGTAGCTGGGACTACAGGCACCTGCCACCACGCCTGGCTAATTTTTTTTTTTTTTTGTATTTTTAGTAGAGATGGAGTTTCACTGTGTTAGCCAGGATGGTCTCGATCTCCTGCCCTCGTGATCCGCCCGCCTCGGACTCCCAAAGTGCTGGGATTACAGGCATGAACCACTGCGCCTGGCCCATTTTAACTTTTTTATGCCGTCATAATGTCCCTCTTCCCATGCGATACACATCAGACTTATTTTCCTTCTGCTTTCTTCAAATAAATATATTAAGCATGTCTTTATTTCTACAGAATTTTCTTCTTTGTAAGTTTTAATGTCTATACCAGTAGTGAATCCCATGACATCCCCCTACAGTGGAAATTTCCAGGCTTGTCATTTCAGACAATGCAGTCGTTCCTGTAATCCCTATGCATGCAGTCATTCAAGATGAATCTGTTTACAAAATCTGAGCCAAAGGATGACCCACAACAATAAGCACTTTACTACTCAACTGTTCCCTCTTGCAGCTAAATGAAGGTTTTGTCCTCGGGAGACGGTGACATCACCTCTAGGGCTGACAGGCCACAGCAACTGACCTCCTCATCTGGGCTTCTCCCCGGAAGAGGTGGAAGTCATTGTCATTGTTCCTCACAAAGGGCCGCTGTGCTGAAATGCAAAGTAAACAAGCAGAAATGACAGCCTGCTTCATTATAGAACTAGCACTTCCTTCTCACACTCATTTCTTAGTAAACAGACGTGGGTTTGTTTTCACTTTTTACTTTTTATTGGTGAATATGTATTTAATATGCCTAATTTATATATATATATATATGCATAGAAACTACAGTATTGCAGTTCTAGGTAACTATTATCCAGCTTCAATAATTATCAGCCCATGGCTAATTTTGTTTCCTCTGGACATTTACCTCCACTCTCCACCTCCATTAACAAAAGCTTCTTACTGAAAATTATTCCAAATAGTTACTTCATTGTCCCTGCCCTGTCATCCCATAGATCCAATTATTTTCATTTTGTTTTCAACAGATTATTTTGGGAACATTACTATGTGTTTGGCACAATGCCAGGTCCTGGGGATACAAAGATGAAGATGACATTGTTTGGGAAGTTTACAGACCAGGAACTAGAAACACAAACATTGTATTTTATGATAACATGAGGTTGGAGGATGGCCAGAGCTGATCCTGACACAGCCTGGATCAGGAAGCAGTGGGGTTTACAAACAAAACCATTAATAGTAATTACATGGCCCGGCGGGGTGGCTCACACCTGTGATCCCAGCACTTTGGGAGGCCAAGGTGGGTGGATCACCTGAGGTCGGGAGTTAGAGACCTGCCTGACCAACATGGAGAAACTAAAAATACAAAATTAGTCGGGCATGGTGGCACATGCCTGTAATCCCAGCTACTCGGTAGGCTGAGGCAGGAGAATAGCTTGAACCTGGGAGGAGGTTGCGGTGAGCCGAGATGACGCCATTACATTCCAGCCTAGGCAACAAGAACAAAACTCTGTCCCAAAAAAAAAAAGGTAATTACATGCTGGGGCGAGGGTAAGTTTACAGTAAATTTGCTAGTATGGAAGTGCTTATGTGCTATTATTTTAAAGTTTAGCTGGGGTTAAAGTAGCTACAGCAATGAGGTTGGAGTTGGCTAAACTGTGAAAGCAAGTTCGATGGAACCCTGGGTCCACTGTACTGGGTATGAATCACAATCTAGATAACCCAGAGTACTTACTGCAAAGTCAGCGATAGCTCTTCTGTTTTCCACATTGCCGCAAATTTCCCCTAAGGTGAGGCCTGCAGCTAGCTTGAATGGGGAAAGTCAGGGGGTAGGTATAAATTAATATCTTCATAAATTTGTATCAGCCTCACAGGTATGAATCTGTTAAATGTATATAAACATATAAAATATATATGTATCTCTATATAGCCAGCCAAAAGTGGGAAGAAATTGAATTGCCTCTGTATTAAGAGAGACATAATAAAACCAGACAGTAGCTTTGCCTGCCTGATGAAGGGAGGTGGCTCCTACAGGCCACCTGGCCTAGACAGCTGACACCCCCTGGGGTACGGGGACAGTTCTTTGGTGCAGTGATCAGCATGTCCTTAACAGACTGTTCCCGAGGTAATGCCTACTGCGATCTGCTCACCTGTGATCTGTCCACATGCCGTCTGCCTGCGCTGGGTTCTGTGCGTGCACGCAAGTCTCTCTGGTCCAGAAGCCAGAGCTGGGATGGAATTCAAGGAACCACAAAAGTCTCCCTCTCACTGTCAATTTTGAAGAATGAATAAGGGGTAGGCAGGCAAAGGCAAAAAACTCAGGGTGAGGGCATAAATAGAAGCAGAGGTATCGAGGCAGGAAACAGCACAGCCAGGTCACAGCAGTTCAGCACCCACTGGGACAAGCGCAAGACAAGAAGTATGGAAGGAACACAGGCAGGCGAGAAAGGTAGGGCCAGGTTCGAGAAGGATTCCTGCGTCCTGTGAAGGAACTGGGCTTCACTGAGGGCTGAGAAGCAGGATAGGTGGCGCATTAGAAGGAGTCCTCGAGCAGCATGTGGACAGCACATGGGAGCAGAGGATCCAGGCAGGAAGGTGGTGCGGCGTCAAGGGCAGAGGGAGGCAGCCTTCAACCAGTTCAGAAATGAACCAGGGCTGTCATGGGCAGGGTTATGCCCTGCACCGCCCCCCCAACTTATGTTGAAGTCTTGACCCCGGGTACCTCACAATGTGACATATTTGGAGACAGGGCTTTTATTTATTTTGTGAGACGGAGTCTCGCTCTGTTGCCCAGGCTGGAGTGCGGTGGCGTGTTCTCGGCTCACTGCAAGCTCCGCCTCCCGGGTTCAAGAGATTCCCATGCCTCAGCCTCCCCAGCAGCTGGGATTACAGGCTCGCTACCACAGGGCAGATCCCTCATGAGAGTAGATCTCTCAAGAATAGCTTGGGCCATCCCCGTGGTAACAAGTGAATTCTCGCTCTATTAGTTCACAGGAGAGCTAGTTGTTTAAGAGAGCCTGGCAGCTCCTCCTCCCCCCTTGCTTTCTCTCTCACCATGTGACAGGCCTGCTCCCACTCTGCCTTCCACCACGAGTAAAAACTTCCAGGTCGGGCGCGTTGACTCAAGCCTGTAATCCCAGCACTTTGGGAGGCCAAGGTGGGAGGATCACGAGATCAGGAGATCGAGACCATCTTGGCTAACATGGTGAAACCCTGTCTTTACTAAAATACAAAAAATTAGCCAGGTGTAGTGATGCATGCCTGTAATCCCAGCTACCCGGGAGGCTGAGGCAGGGGAATCGCTTGAACCCGGGAGGCAGAGGTTGCAGTGAGCTGAGATCACGCCACTGCACTCCAGCCTAGCGACAGAGCAAGACTCTGTCTCACATAAACAAACAAACAAACAAACAAAAAACAAGCTTTCTGAGGCCTCACCAGAAGCAGAGGCAAGCACTATGCTTTTTTTTTCTTTTTCTTTTTCTTTTTTTTTTGAGATGGAATCTGGTGCTGTTGCCCAGGCTGGAATGCAGTGGCACAATCTCAGCTAACTGCAGCCTCTGCCTCCAAGGTTCAAGTGATTCTCCTGCCTCAGCCTCCCAAGTAGCTGGGATCACAGGTGTGTGCCACCACACTCAGCTAATTTTTGTATTTTTAGTAGAGATGTAGTTTCCCCACATTGACCAGGCTGGTCTGGAATTCTGGACCTCAAGTGATCCACCCATCTTGGCCTCCCAAAGTGCTGGGATTACAGGTGTGAGCCACCACCCCTGTCCTACTATGCTTCTTATACAGAAGCATAGTATAAGATTCTGCAGCATTCTGTCTGCAGAATTGTGAGCGAAAATAAACCTCTTTTATTTATAAATTACCCAGCCTCAGGTATTCTTTAATAGCAACGTAAAATAGACTGACACAACAGCCATCTACAAGCCAAGGAGAGAGTCCTCAGAAGAAACCAACCTTTCTAACATTTTGATCTTGGACTTCTAGCTCCAAAATTATGAGAAAATAAATTTCTGTTGTTGAAGCCACCCAGTCTGTGGCAGCCCTAGCACTCTAATACAAGGGTACAATACGAAGTGGAGGAGGGTCAGGAAAATCAGCAAGACATCAGTTGCAAGAGAGGATAGAGAAGAAAGGATCGGGGAGGTCTCCCAGACCTCTTGTTTGACGACTGAGTAGAAGGCAGTGTCACTACCTGTAACGGGATCCAGGGATGAGGTGGATCTCAGGGCCTGTGGATGAGACATCCCAGTAAAAATGCGTAGCAGACAGTTGGATGTAAAAGTCTGAAGCGTTTCAAGAAGAGTGAAACAACCATGATTTTTGTCCCATTTCTGGGACCCTATTGCTCTGTGATATCTCTGAGCCTCAGTTTCTTCAACTGTAAAAAAGGTATATTGGCGGGGCGTGGTGGCTCACGCTTGTAATACCAACACTTTGGGAGGCCGAGATGGGTGGATCACTTGAGGGCAGGAGTTTGAGGCCAGCCTGGTCAACATGGGGAAACCCCATCTCCAGTAAAAATATAAAAACTAGCCAGGGGTGGTGGTGCATGCCTATAATCCCAGCTAGTGGGGAAGCTGAGGCAGGAGAGTCATGTGAACCCAGGAGGCGGAGGTTGCAGTGAGCCGAGATTGTGTGACTGCACTCCATCTCAAAAAAAAAAAGGTATACTAATACCTTTCCTGTCTACCAAGGAGAGTAGTTGAAGGGGCAAATGATAATAATACCATACATGTAAAAATTTCCTGAAAACTGAATAAGGCAGCATTAAAAAAAAAAAAATATATATATATATATAATTATATATAAGCTTTTCTGGGACGCCACTTTTAAAATCAAAAGATGATTTTAAAGCTTTGTTGAGTTCAGTTGAGGCTTTAAGAACAATTTGCCACAAAATGACAAAGCTCGTTCTGGGCATGATCATTTTATCAAATCCTGGATCTGGTAGTTAAAAGTGTCATTGTTTTCTTTTTTGTTTTGTTCTGTTTGTTACCAAAGGCTATAATTATTTGGTGGCAATTTGCCATTTCTGGAATCTTAATCATACTGGCTTATAATGTGGTCTGCTCTGAACAGAGCTTATTTATAACTACACAACTATGTGCATTTTCTTTAAGACTTAGGAGGAATATTATAAATCAGGGATAAATTGTTTCATAAGTGAATCAGAAAGAAACTAGAGAAGTAATGAGCTTTGACTGCCTTAGGTATTGTTGCTGTGATTGTTAAATGCATTAGCTAATAGTTTTACCATGGATACTATATAATACTATCACACCGTATATGTTTTAATAATCATATCAAAGCAATCCATGGTGCAAAATAATTTCTAAACTATGATTCTAAGGTTAAACATGTCTAAAAATGAAAGTGGTATGACCACCGTTTGCCACTAGGGGGAAGCAATCGATTGACCATAAACTCATCATGTCTCAGCGGGCGTGGGGCTGCCGGTTGGATCAAGGAATCTTGAATGATTCTTTCAGCTCAGAGTCACTCTGTGATTCCACTATGCTTCCAGTTTCAAGTTCCAATTGAGTAAGGAAATACCTTTTAATATTTTAGATAACGTTGCTAAGTATAACGAGGGTTATTTCTCAGCGGGGTGTTGCAGGACCCTAGGAAACAAAAACTGTTAGAACTTTAGAGGTCTTGACTGGGCGCAGTGGCTCACGCCTGTAATCCCAGCACTTTGGGAGGCCGAGGCGGGCGGATCACGAGGTCAGGAGATCGAGACCATCCTGGCTAACACGGTGAAACCCCGTCTGTATCAAAAATACAAAAAATTAGCCGGGCGTGATGGCGGGCGCCTGTAGTCCCAGCTACTCGGGAGGCTGAGGCAGGAGAATGGCGTGAACCCGGGAGGCGGAGCTTGCAGTGCGCCGAGATCTCGCCACTACACTCCAGCCTGGGCGACAGAGCGAGACTCTGTCAAAAAAAAAAGAATTTTAGAGGTCTTACATCCTACCAGTAACCTGTAACGTCACAGCCATAAAGGTTTTCTCTCTGGTCCTCTGTGTCAGCGCAGGGTTGTAAAAATCAAATTACTATACTTGATTAATAACTCATCAAGGATAAAATAGTATAATACATAGGCCCAGCAACTCTAACAAGTGACTGGCCTTTTTTTTTTTTTTTTTTTTTTTTTTTTTTTGTGAGACAGGGTCTCACTTCTCACCCAGGGTGGAATGCAGTGGTGCGATCTCAGTTCACTGCAACCTCCACTTCCCGGGCTCAAGCAATCCTCCCACCTTAGCCTCTCGAGTCTCTGGGACTGCAGGCGTGCGCCACCACACCTGACTAATTTTTGTATTTTTTGTAGAGATGGGGTTTTGCCATGTTGTACAGGCTGGTCTTGAGCTCCTGAGCTAAAGTGATCCGCCTTCTTTGGCCTCTCAAAATGCTGGGATTAGAAGCGGGAGCCACCACACCCTGCCCAAACTCAATTTTATATCTATAAAGTTTCATTCTTTTTAAAGATTATCACTGTAATAATATATATCAGAAAACTTAAAAAAATACAAAATTATGAGAAAGAAGATAAAGATGAAACCACTGTTTATATTTTATTTTCTTAAATGGTTTCCCAAATTACTGTATTTAATTAAGTCAACACCTTAAATCTCTTCTGGAATAAGGAAAGCAGGATGGGTAGATAGACCGACACAGATGTGAGGAATTATCTCAATAGTTTCCAAACCTGGCTGATGGTCAGAATTACCTGGTGAGCGTTTTAAAACTAAATCAGAATCTCTTTGGAGAGGGAGGAGAGGAAAGAAGGAAGCTAGACTCCAGAAAGAGAGAGAGAGCGAGCGAGAGAGGAGTGTGTGTGTGGTGTGTGTGTTTGGAGTTACCCAGTTGATGGTTTAGAGTTGGCATTTGCAAACTGCTGAGGTAAACAAGTTTGCAGGTGTTGCCACAGAAAATATACAGAGCTTCCTTGGTGTTCATGGGGATGTAAAAACAAAAAAAAAGAAAATATAAGGACCAGAATGGTTAAGAACTTAAATTCAACCCCAATAGTGAAGACCAAATTAGAATTAAATTATTTTACCAAAAAAGAAAAATTACTTTGTCATATGAAAAATCGTGGCAAGCATACATTTGACGTATTGATAACTGTAATGATACGTTTGGGTTTTTTTTCAGTCAGTGTTCTTTTATTAGAGAAAGGAGTTTATTGTAATCCTCAATACTGAGAACAGTTTGTCTCTGAAAGTATATGTAGATGAGCAAACTGCTAAACAAGAAAACAGTCCAGGCGCAGTGGCTCACACCTATAATCCCAGCACTTTGGGAGGCCAAGGTGGGCAGATCACGAGGTCAGGAGATGGAAACTATCCTGGCCAACATAGTGAAACCCCGTCTCTACTAAAAACACAAAAATTAGCCGGGCGTGGTGGCACATGCCTGTAATCACAGCTACTCGGGAGGCTGAGGCAGGAGAATTGCTTGAACCAGAGAGTTGGAGGTTGCAGTGAGCCAAGATCACACCACTGCACTCCACCATGGTGACAGGGCAAGACTCCATCTCAAAAAAAAAAAAAAAAAAAAAAAAAAGAGAGAAAGAAAGAAAAGAAAAGAAAACAAGAGTTCTCATTCACAAAGGACCTCTGCAGTTTAAAAATAAAAAAAGGCATCAGGATTTCTCAGGACAGTCACTTACATTTCAGGGACACCAGATTATTCTCTTTTTAATTTTGAGACAGAATCTCACTCTGTCACCCAGGCTGGAGTACAGTGGTGCCACCGCCGCTCACTGCAGCCTCAACTATGGGCTTGTGCCACCACACTCGGCTAATTTTTGTAGTTTTTGTAGAGACAGGAGTCTCACTATGTTATCCAGGCTGGTCTCCAAGTCCTGGGCTCAAGTGATACTACTGCCTCTATTTCCCAAAATGCTGGGATTACAGGTGTGAGCCACTGCTCTTGGCCCAGGGTAGTATTAAAGGAAGATCCCAGACCTGACAGAGGTGAAAATAAGAGAAAAGATGATTAGTCTCCTTTATTGTGGAAGCAGAAGAATGCCAAGAAATTCTTTAAAAGGCAAGTGGTTGGCCATTAATAATCGCCTGGGCTGGGAGTGCAGTGACTGTGGGACTTTGCATAATTTGAATGTTTATTTTATTCTAATATTTTTCCAAGAAGAAGCCATAATTTTATTTATGA
This sequence comes from Homo sapiens, assembly GCF_000001405.40. Classification (NCBI taxonomy): domain Eukaryota; kingdom Metazoa; phylum Chordata; class Mammalia; order Primates; family Hominidae; genus Homo; species Homo sapiens. Next base: position 17,552,039 of record NC_000004.12, read on the forward strand.
TAGAAACAGGTACAAATTTCAAACCAAGTTGCAGTTATTCTTTTGAAACACACAAAAACAGTCATTTTCAGGTGGTCACATTGTTAATTCTGTAATAGCAGTTACAATATGATTACTCTTGTTCTTCAAGGCTCGGACTTCCTTTGCTCTCAATACATTTGCTTGTGACATGACCAATTCTACGTCCTTAACTTCCACACCTGTATCATCAACCTTTTCCTCTCCAGTCTCGTCTTGTATAGTTGGAGTCTGTGTGTTTTCTTGAATGTTTGAGACAGCTCACTCTGTGTCTTAGCAGGTGCTACCCATGCTTGTTAAGATAAATCCTTGATCTTGGCTTCCCCAAAAACACACACATAGGTATCCGAAGCAGGATTCTTGTAGACATCTGGTTTTGTGATGACAAAGAAGATATTCTTAGATTTCCAGTAGTGACTGTAGTAACCCCTGTTATCTACGGAAGACCGAGTTTGGACATAGCCTTACGTGCCTTCTTTTCACTCTAACTCTGTTTTGCTTTACTGATTGACACTCATTGATTTCAGCTGCTGCTGCCAGCTGGGCTGCTTGTGTGGTATCTCTGTGGAATCCTGTTCCTCGAGCTCTGGTACTGATTTATCACTGTCAGCTTCTGTTCCAGACCCGGTCTCCACCTGGGGCTGTGGCAACTCCTGCTCTGTAGCAAGAATGGTTTCTGTGGCTTCACCAGGCATTTAGTGCAGGGAACTTGAGACCAGGATGGTGGCAGAAAGACAGCCAGCAAGAAGGCAACAGTTTGTTTTTTAAAAACTAAATGGGGCTGGGCGCGATGGCTCACACCTGTAATCTCAGCACTTTGGGAGGCCCAGGCAGGCAGATCACTTCAGGTCAGGAGTTCAAGACCAGCCTGGCCAACATGGTGAAATCTCATCTCTCCTAAAAATACAAAAATTAGCCAGGTGTGGTGGTGTGCACCTGTAATCCCAGTTACTTAGGGGGCTGAGGCAGGAGAATTGCTTGAGGCCAGGAGGCGGATGTTGCAGTGAGCCGAGATTGAGCCACTGCACTCTAGCCCGGGTGACAGAGCAAGACTCCCTCTCAAAAAAATAAAAATAAAAAATAAAAGAAAAAAGAAAAGAAAAAAAAAACAAAAAAAACTAAATGTACATCATATGACCCAGCATTTATGCTCCTGGGCATTTATCCCAGAAAAATGAAAACTTATTTCCAGATGAAAGCTTGTACACAAATGTTCATAGCAGCTTCATTGGGAATTACCAAAAACTGGAAGCAACCAAAATGTCCTTCAATAGGTGAATGACAGAAAAATAAAACAAAACAAAACTGTGATACATCCATTCCGTGGAATAATACTCTGCAACAAAAAGGAGTGAATTACTGGTATACATGAGAGCTTGAATGGATCTCAAGAGCAAATACTGGGTGAAAAAGTCAATCTCAAAAGTTCACATACATCCCAGCTACTTGGGAGGCTGAGGCAGGAGAATCAATTGAACCTGGGAGACGGAGGTTGCAGTGAGTCGAGACCATGCCACTGCACTCCAGCCTGGGCAACAGTGCAAGACTCCAACAAGTTCACATACGTTATGATTCCACTTATATAGCATTCTAGAGATAATACAATTATAGAGCTAGAGAACAAATTCGAGGTTGCCAAGGGTTAGGGATGTGAGGCGGTAATTGTGACCACAAAGGGGTAGCTCAAGAAGGATCTTTGTGGTGATGGAATAGGTTGGTATCTTGATGCCAGTGGTGGTTACAAAAATCTACACAAATGATAAAAGAACATTGAACTGTATGAACACCTTAGACCAATGCACCTTCCTGGTTTTGATATTACACTAATTATCTAGATGTAGAAGTAACCACTGAGGAAAACCAGTGAAGGGTAAGTGGAATCTCTCCGTACTTTCTTTCCAACCTCCTGTGAATCTACATATACATACATATATATATATATATATTTTTTTTTTTTTTTTTTTTGAGGCAGAGTCTTGTTCTGTTGCCCAGGCTGGAGTGCAGTGGCGTGATCTCGGCTCACTGCAACCTCCACCTCCCTGCAACCTCTGCCTCCTGGGTTCAAGAGATTCTCCTGCCTCAGCCTCCTGAGTAGCTGGGATTACAGGCACATGCCACTACGCCCAGCTAAGTTTTGTATTTTTAGTAGAGACGGGGTTTCACCATGTTGGTTAGGCTGGTCTTGAACTCCTGACCTCGTGATCCTCCTGCCTCGGCCTCCCAAAGTGCTGGGATTACAGGCATGAGCCACCGCACCCGGTCACCAATAATTTTTTGTAAATAAAAAAAAATTTTTTTTAAGTAAGCATATCGCTGTTCACCAAACAAAAACACATCAGCTGGTCAGGCACAGAGGCTCATGCCTGAAATCCCAGCACTTTGGGAAGTCGAGACGAGTGGATTACTTGAGGTCAGGAGTTCAAGACCAGCCGGGCCAACATGGTGAAACCTTGTCTCTACTGAAAATACAAAAATTAGCTGGGCATGATGGCTCATGCCTGTAATACCAGCTACTCAGGAGGCTGAGGAGAATCGCTTGAACCCAGGAGATGGAGGTTGCAGTGAGCTGAGATCGCACCACTGCACTGCAGCCTGGGTGATAGAGTGAGACCCTGTCTCAAAACAAAAACCAAAGCGAAACAGAAACAAAAACACATCACCTTCCCTAGACTCCACATTTTACTCTAGCTATATGCTAATACTTCCAATTGGCATCACTAGCCAGCATGACTCGCCTGCTCTCCAGACCCATATACCCAGCTGCCTATTGCATCTTTCCACTTGGATATCCCCAGGTTCCTCAAACTCAATTTGTGCAAAATGGAGCTGTCTTCCTTGCTGCCTCCTTCATTACCCTCACCACAATTGCTTCTGCTCCTGGGTCTTCAATCTCAGTTGAAAGCAGGATATCCACTGTGTTGCTTAAGCTAGAAGTTTAGGAGTCATCTTTAAATTTCCCCTTCCCCTCGCTTCAGATCCAGTCCATCACGAAGTCATCTTGATCCTACCCTCCAAGCAGCATGGCAATTTTCCACCTCTCTCCTCTGCTTCAGCTCCATATAGGACAAGCCACCATCAGCTTTATCCTGTGGCCTACAAAAGCGTTCAACCACTGGACCCTGCTTACCTGTCCAGCTCCATCTTCTCTTCACTATCTATACTGCAGCCACATCCCCCTTCTTCCAGTTCCGCGAAAGACCAGCCACATTCTTCTGCCTTTCCTCAAGCCTTTCACTCACCTTCTCTCCTCACCTGTATCAGTCTTGCTTTTCGTTCAGGTTGCAGCTTTACTGTTAATTTTTATGGGAGAACTTTCCTGACTCATGAATTAGGTAAGAGCCTTCTGTTCCATGCTCTTGGAGCACCGCGTACTCCCCTCTCACAAGCTTTGCTCAGCTCACACTGGTGAATTGTCTTTCTTCCTTTCTGCACGATGTTCTGAATAAAGGCAGAGGTTATGTCTCTAGTTTATCTTATAACCCTGTGTGCCTATCTCATTACCTGCCATATAGTGGGTCCTCAACGTATTTATTGTGAAGGAATGAAGCAAATAGATCAATGCTGGGGCTCATGAGTAAGTAAAGGAATTAAGCAAATAGATAAAATGCTGGGCTCAGGAGTAAGTGAAGGAATGAAGTGAATAGATCAATGCTGGGGCCCTTGTACCTCAGGACAGTCTTGCTCATCTTGCTCACCTGCTGTATCCCCAAGTGTCTATGGTACTGCTTGAAACAAAGCAGCCGTTCAATAAATATTTGCTGAATAAATGAATGGCTGCACATGCCGAATTTCCATCCCAGTAATCTGAGGAGGAATACATTACGCAGTCTGTGATACAGTTACACTGAGAACATCCTCTTAATTCTTAATTGACAAAGCAATCCTGAGATCAGAATACACAGGAAGGAAGAAAATATAAACAGAAACACGAAATAATATCTCAGGTCCTTACCCATGTTTTATTTACCTTCCCCCAAGTAAATCCATTTTTCACAACTTATTAGAAGACTAGATTTTCTTTCTAAAGGGGTTGAATCAGAGATACTCCAGATTTGGGGGCCCCAGACCCAGGTCAGGGAGGGGGAGACACCTAACAGAAAATAGGGAAATTAAGTGAAAAGCTGCAGACTGGATTATATGACCCCAGATATATTTCTCCTGATTTGCTCCCAAAAAAACTAGCAGTCAGGCTATTAAGACAGACGGGCAATTGAAGGATCCCCTTTAGGGGAAAGAGGAAGCCCAAGAAAAAAGCTTGCAGAGTTTGACATTTGGTGATGTCCCCATGAAATGGTGGAGTCCCACCTAATCACGCGAAAGTAATACCTACCAATTATCAGGTCTTTCCCATGAGCACGAAGAGGTTTCATTTGGCCTTTCAGTCCTCACTTTGTGTTTGTTTGCTCTTTTGTTTTTGTTTTTTAATACTTTCAACTTTTATTTTAGATTTGGGGGTACAGGTGCAGGTTTTTACATGGGTATATTGAATGATGCTGAGGTTTGGGGTGCAATTGATCTCACCACCTGGAAAACCACTAAGTGAACATAGTACTAACATAGTTACTTTTTCAACCTTCACCCCCTCCCCACCCCCAGTCCCTCACTTATTCAACAGCCAAAGATCACCAGGCATTGGAAGAAATCCTGCCAACATCAAAGTGAGAGACCAAAAAAACAAATAAGAAATCAGAACTCAGAACAAACAGGGCCAATTCAGAGAGCAGAAAAAAAAAAACTTCAGAGAAAGTGTAATTAATATCCACAAAAAGACAATAGTAACTATTGCATCAATGAGAAAAGAAAGCTCTGGGAAATTAAATTTTTTGGTACCAGAAATAAGAAATTCATAAACAAAAAGACAAAGAGATGAGAAATAGATCAATGTTTTTTTAAAAACATATGTTAAACAGATGTTCATGGCTCACACCTGTAATCCCAGCACTTTGGGAGACCAAAGCAGGTGGATCACTTAAGGTCTGGAGTTCTAGACCAGCCTGACCAACACGGTGAAACAACATTTCTACTAAAATACAAAACTTAGCTGGGCATGGTGGCGGGTGCCTGTAATCTCAGCTACTCAGGAGACTGAGGCAGGAGAATCACTTGAACCCAGGAGGTAGAGGTTGCAGTGAGCCAAGATTGCACCACTGCACTCCACCCTGGGCAACAGAGCGAGACTCCCTCTAAAAAAAAAAAAAAAAATACAAATAATAAAAAAAAAAGATGTTCAGTCTTTATTTGTGCTTAGTAGATGCCTAATATACAGTAGTAGCTGTTATCATCTCACTCAGAAGATAAATTTGCCAATGATCTTTGCACATGAGATTCCTTCTTTTTTTTTTCTTTTGAGAGACAAAGTCTCACTCTGTCACCCAAGCTGAAGTGCAGTAGTATGGTCATGGTTCATTGCAGCCTAGATATCCTGGGCTCAAGGTATCCTCCCATCTCAACCTCCTGAGTAGCTGGATCTATAGGCACACACCACCATACCTGGCTAATTTTTTTATTTTTATTTTTGTAGAGATGGGGGCCTTACTATGTTGCCCAGGCTGGTCTCAAACTCCTGGACTCAAGCAACCTTCCTTCCTAGGCCTCCTGAAGTGTTGGAATTACAGGCATGGGCCACCACACCCAGCCTGAGATTCCTTCTAATTGAAATACATCTTCTAGGACTAGTTTATTAAAACAAATTTCAAAGTTTCACAGATATTATTTTAGAACATTAAACTTAGATTTGTACATAGCCATGAATTTATTCAGCATTTGTAATATACAGTGCAATCGTATTGATTTAAACAGCATTAACAAATGCTGGTATTTGTTACTGGCAACAAATTAGACCAGGAAGTGGCATTAAAACAAGGATGAGGGGAAAATATGTAATAGATGCTCCTTGGCCAGTGATGATGAAGGCATGTTCAACAGGTTGGCCTCCGATTCATATAAGTAAGAAGGTCCATTACTAAAATTCAAAATACGCGTTGACTCAGCATTGGCTCAGATTTCAACCCCTCCCGAAAAGTCTTAAAGGGATATTAAGATAAGCTAGTGTAAACAAGAACACATGGGTAGTAGAAGGCCAACAACAGACACTGGGGCCTGCTTGAGGATGAAGGATGGGAGGAGGGAGAGGATCGGAAAAACTACATATGCTTATTCCCCAGGTGACAAAAATTATCTGTACACCAAACCCATGTGTCACACAGTTTACCTATATAACAAACCTGCACATGTGCCCCTGAAGCTAAAAGCTTAAAAAATAATAATAAGCTAGTTTTAACATCTAAATATTGTACCAGGCACAGGTTATATTTAGGAGTTAAGTTTCTAAAAAGTCTAAAAAACTATTTCTTTCCAGCTTTATACTTATCTAAAAAGACCAAATACGCTAAACCAAAGATGAAATTCAAATTTTTAAAAAACTGATTTTCCTCATATGGAATAGGAAAAATTGCAAAGTTAAATAATTCTTGGGTTTCTTTTCACTTCTAAGTCCGTTCTACCATAGTAAAATAATAAAATTAATCCTCATATTTAAATTAAAAAATTCACAAAACTAACTGAATTTATTAAACAAGAAATCAGGCACACGTGCTTTACAGATAGTTTAATTGTCCAGGAATTGAAGTGTCCTCTACTTCCTCCATAGATGGTCCTATTACCTGATCACTGCTCTGCTGGAGGAAAAATCAGTTGCCTGCATAGGCCCCCACATTGATCCAAATTCTAACACTCAACTTGCTTTGGATAGAGTTTAGAATTTCTCCCCCTGGGGAAAAGAACTAATATTCTAGTGCAAGACTGAAATTCAAAATACAGACAGTTATTAGAAAACAAACATGGTTAGGTAATTGTATTTGCTTATGTTGCTTTTCCATTGACTAATGGGTTAGAGCTGAAGAAGCCCTCCATTTGTTTCAATGAAATCTATCATTCACTGATTAAACATGCATTGAGCCAGACACTGTACTTTGCTCTACACTTGATCTTAGTTAAAAGGCCGAGAAGCAATCGTATTTGGCTCTAATAGTAACATGATGGAAAGAAAGACCATCAAGTAGTTGATGGTCAAGCCGCTTTAATGTAGGCATAGGCAGAACCTCATGTTGTTCAAAGCTTTATTTAAATAAAAAAGAATGTGAACAATGGTTCTTTCTGAGCCTTGCTATGAAGTGGTGTGGAAAAGTCCAGTGAGTAATCCCTACTGCTCATGACAAGTGCAAAGTTCTATTTGCTGCTTTAATGTCAACACAGTTTTTTTCTGAGATTTCTGGAAGTTCTGCAACTTAAGGGTTAAAGGTAGAGACCCTAGGGTTCAACAGGCCAGGGTCCAAATCCCTGCTCTGAGAACTGTAGCTTGGCCTTGGGGAAGATACTTTGTACCTCTGAACCTCACTAATTTATGAAGGTTAGATTTGGCAACATGTGACAGCCAGCTGAAATCAACAGTGACTGAAATGCACCAGGACTTAACACATTCCCATTAAAGAAGTGTGGACTTGCTGTCCTGGACTTGTATAGAATGTCCATGAAGCCACTATGGACCCAGGCTCCCTCCCCTGTCTACTCCACCATCCCTAGGGTGTGGCTTTGTCTTCACAGCCCAAGATGGCTCCGGAAGCTCCATCCACTGCATCTACATTCTACTACATCTGCATTCTACTACATCTGCATTCTACAGGCGGCAGGATGATGGAAAGGCCTGAAACATTGGTTTCTGACCCCTTCCTTATAGCAAAATGCCAGGTACTAAATGCAAACCCTTTTGGTCATTCATTCAACAAATATTTGTTGAGCACCTACTATGTGCCAGTGGCAATAGGAGGCACTAGAAATACAATGGTGAATAAGATAGACAGCGTTCCTGTCCTCATGGGCCACAGGGTATTGGAAGAGCCATAAGAATGATTTAATTGGCATGGCAATAAGCCCTGTGGAAAAAAAAATTGAGAGGTTAAAAATCATAGACGCAGAGGACCTGATCTAGGTGCAGACGTCAAGAAAATGTTTCTTTGGGGAACTAAATTTGTGCTTGGACCTGTGAGATGAGTAGTAATTACTACATAGGCAGAAATTGCTTGTTGCCTAGACAATATCCACACACACTCTCTCTCTCTCTGTCCTCCTACCACTGTCCCCCACATCCTAGACAAAGCCTTGCTCTCGTTGCCCATGCTGGAGTTCAGTGATGCAATCATAGCTCACTGCATCCTTGAACTCCTGGGCTCAGGTGATCCTCCCACCTCGGCCTCCCAAAGTGCTGGGATTACGGGCATGAGCCACTGCACCTAGCCGAGACTTTCTTTCTTTGCCAGTTTTAGAACCCAGATTTCATTCAGGATAGCAGCCCTCCTTCCAGACAGGGCTGGCCAGTGGAATGTAGGTGGAAGTTGTTGAAAAGTGTCCTTGAAAGGGAGTGACTCAACTAGGTGGGTGCCATTGGTCTTTCCCCTTCCTCCTGCCTAGCTGACACTGCAGCAACCACAGACCTTGAGGATGGAAACTATACACCGAATGTTGGGAAAGGCAGCCTCATTCACACAGCCCTTTGACCCCCTCCTTAGCCACATAAGAATGAGCCTGGGGCCAGCACCATGGCTCACGCCTGTAATCCTAGCACTTTGGGAAGTCAAGGCAGGTGGATCACCTGAGGTCAGGGGTTCGGAACAAGCTTGGCCAACATGGCAAAGCCCCATCTCTACTAAAAATACAAAAATTAGCCAGGCATGATGGCGCATGCCTGTAATTGCAGCTACTTGGGAGGCTGAGGCCGGAGAATCACTTGAACCCAGGAGGTGGAGGTTTCAGTGAGCCAAGATCGTGCCACTGTAATCCAGCCTGGGCAACAGAGCAAGACTCCGTGTCTCAAAAAAAAAAAAAAAAATTGCCTGGAGCATTTCCTAAGAGATAAAAGAAAAGATACAGAGCCTGGCCAGGTGCAGTGGCTCACGCCTGTAATCCCAGCAATTTGGGAGGCCACGGCAGGTGTATCATCTGAGGTCAGGAGTCTGAGACCAGCCTGACCAACATGGAGAAACGCCATCTCTACTAAAAATACAAAATAAGTCCGGCGTGGTGGTGCATGCCTGTAATCCCAGGAACTCGGGAGACTGAGGCAGGAGAATTGCTCGAACCCGGGAGGTGGAGGTTGCGGTGAGCCAAGATTGCACCATTTCACTCCAGCCTGTGCAACAAGAGCGAAACTCGCCTCAAGAAAAAAAAGAGATAAAGAGCCCACACAGCCTGGGCCCGGCTTGTCACCTTGTGTGGGAATGCCTTTCCCTGTTTCAGGCTCAATGTGTGCTCCTTTGTTCTGTTTAAGCAGGTGTGTTAATGGCCCTCAGGTATGCCCCTGGCTATCAGTGTTTTAGACCCCATAGGGGCAGGGAGGAGACAGGGTCCTTCTGCTGCAGCATGAAACAGGTGCAGGGGGGTGTGTCTGCTGTGAGGGGACTCACTGGTCATGGGAGACCGACATTCACTATTGAAGCTGATTTTTCTGTCTCTTCTCTGTGTGAGTAAAGCACTGTTCCATCCAGGACTCAACTGTGTTGTGCTCTCCTTGGTGACTCAGACACCAGGATGCAGTGGGCGGAAGGGCTAGGACTTCTGTTCCTGATAATAGGCAACAGATGCCACTTGCTTGACAGTTTGGCTCAGTGAGCAAGTCTCTATGAGACGCATCATGATGGGGTAGAAATGCAAGGGCTTGTCAGCCACATTGCCCCAGGGTGTTGCTGACTCTCTGGGGTGTAGAGGGGCGGGGAGGCTGGCCTCCCTCTGATCACAGAGTGATATTCCCATGGTATCCCAGGGGCCACAGACAATGTCAGAGGGAAGTTGGAGGAGCCCCTAGTGCAGAGAGTTTTACCTATCCCAGTCACTTGCAGACCTCAAATAAGATCTGGTTGCACTCAACACAGAACCACCAATGGCATTGCTGAAAACAGAACTGTGGAAATGAGGTCCTTCTCTGAGAATGAAACATAAAAATTGAAGGACAAATATGGACGAATGCCAGGGAAGTCTCACGCAGCCTGGCTGGCACATCTGTTCGATAAAGGGACAATATAGACCCAAATGTCTCTGGCCAAATGGCGCAGTTAAGGATGAGGCCAGTTGAAACAGGGCCCTTTGCAGCAGTAGCCTTGGAAGTTGTTCAATAAGACATGGACCAAATACTGCCTTTGCAACCTTTGGAGCCTGCTGGCCCCATGGAACTGCTAGTAACCCAAAAATCCATACATGCCAATTGGAGTCTGTGGCAGCAGGAAACTGCCACTAGAGGACACCAGCCTCTCCAATCTTGGACACATAAGTTGCCTGAGGCAGCCGCCAGATACACCCTTTTCAAACAGCAGCTCCTTGCTTGCTATTGGGCACTGGTGGAGACTGAGCATCTTATGGCTGGAGTGCTGCATGTGATGCTATGACCTAAACTACCCATTCTCACTTGTGTGTTTATGAATCCTATCAATAAAATTGGACAGGATCAATAGAGCTTAATCAGCAAATGGAAACAGAACATCCAAGATTAGGTCCAGTCCGGACCACGGGAACTAAAAGCCTCCATAAACAGTCAGCTTAGCAAAAGGGAAGAAGAGACCCACTGTGTATGCTTTGCCCCTCCAGTGGCGACCTGGGGTCCAAGATTCAAAGATGTACCTGCCAATGGTATGACATGGTTTACTGATAAGTCTTCGAAACAAAGCAAGTGGGGTCCCCTGGCTTGTGGCTACCATGTGGCCAGCAGATGGTCATCTTTTGACTTAGACTGGATATGAATGTTCTCCCCAATGGGCCAAACTGTGCAGTGGTGACGACCATGCAGGCCACACCTACTGCTATACCTTGCTACTTTTCACTGACTCATGGGCTGTTGCCAAGAGTCTAGCCATGTGACTCGGGAATGGCAGCTGAATGACTGGACTATTGAGAGATCCCCCATGTGGGGACAAGAACTATGGAAGCAGCTTGCTGACTGGGAAGGATGAATATATGTCACTCGTGGATGCTCATGGAAAAGGGCCTTTTGAGATGGATCACGAATGAAACTCATGCCTATCAAGCTTATGCCCTAAGAGTGACAACCGCCTGCTTGATACATCAACCCACTAGACATGGAAGTCCACCACAGATACAAGAATGGGCCAAGGCCTGAGGGACGATCCTGAAAGATGAGACTAAGGATGCAGTACAATCTTGTGATTCTTGCCAATGGGCCTAAATTGTTTCAAGAGGAAAATTAGGGCACATAAACTGAGGACTAGGATACACCTAGGTCTGATAGGTTGACCTCACTGGACCCTTGACCCCTAGCCATGGGCCTCATTGGTGCCTCACTGCCATTGACACCTACTCAGGCTATGGTGTTGCCATTCTAGTCTGTCCTATGGATGCTATAGCTACCATAGGTGCCCTTGAAAAGAACTTACGTTTTTGGATACCCCAAAAGACTTCACTTGACCAAGGAACCTCTTTCACTGTCCAAGCAACACAACAATTGGTGGACCCTTTCTTATTTTGAAATGGAGTTTCGCTCTTGTCACCCAGGCTGGAGTGCAATGGCACAATCTTGGCTCACTGCGACCTCCACCTCCTGGGTTAAAGCGATTCTCCTGCCTCAGCCTCCCAAGTAGCTGGGATTACAGGTGTGTGCCACTGACTTCCATGGAATATGATGGACTTTCCATGCACCCTATCATCCACAGGAACATGGAGCCATTGAACAGTGGAACATCCCACTCACACCGTCACTGATGAAAGGACACATGGCCTGCGAATGGTGTGGCACCCCTGTCTCACTAGGGCAATGTAGACAGTGAACACTCCATTCTAGCACAACAGAAACATGACACTGCAGCACGTATTGGAAAATACTGAGTTTGGTGGGAGTCGAGGTGGACCAGGGAACTGCCTGCTTACCTGCTTAGGCTGTGCCTGTGATATCTCAATCTCAGTATATCCAACAGTTGTGGGGTTTTTTTGTTTTGTTTTGTTTTGTTTTGTTTTTTTTTTAGAGCACACATCTTGGGGATGGTTTGCAGTCTGGGCCACCATAGTACTCACACAGGGCCTCCTGACTCTAATCTGGAGCTGATGTTTCCCTGGATGCCTTCCTTTTATGGGAATCCCACAGGGCTACAGGATGGGACCAAGGAGTACAAAGGTGCTAGGGTACCTCTAGTGGCTCTAGGGGAATCTAATTCTTCCATTCATGTGGGTGATGCTGCTGAACATGTCAAGTTTGTACAGGACATGACCTTCCCTCCTGGACTGGATGAATAAGGCCAAAAGGTCTGGCTCAAGCAACAAGGGCAATGGGTGCCCTGAGAGGTAGTAGCCTCAGTACTGGAACAGACAGCCTGGGTTGTCATATCTGGGCAGCTGATACTCCAAGTAATAGAAAAGAGCACCTCCGACCACAGGAAGCGTGAGAAGTGGGTGCCTAATCTTTCCTCCTCTTGTTTCTTCACAGTACATGGATTGAGAACATATCAGCGAAGATCATCCCAGCAGTAGCAGCAGTGAAAGACCGGAAGCGTTGCCAGGTCTTCCACTTGAGTATTGTGAGCCTATTCCTCCAGATTAATAGTTCACATGTGGCCTATTGCAAATGTGACAGGGGTCCCAGTGGCCATCAGTGGGTTCTGATCAGACAGTGCCACCCTCAGTCTGGGTTCAGATACACAGAATACATAATATACCCCATGAACGAAGCTTACCTTAACCATAGGTATAAAATAAGAGGTGGACTTTATTTTTATTTTTTTATTTTTTGAAACACAGTTTCACTCTGTCGCCCAAGCTGGAGTGCAGTGGCACAATCTCAGCTCGCTGCCACCTCTGCCTCCCGGGTTCAAGCGGTTCTCGTGCCTCAGCCTCCCAAGGAGCTGGGATTACAGGCACACACCACATTGCCCAGCTAATTTTTGTATTTTTAGTAGAGACAGGGGTTTCACCATGTTTGCCAGGCTGGTCTTGAACTCCTGACCTCAAGTGATCTGCCTGCCTCGGCCTCCCAAAGTGCTGGAATTACAGGCATGAGCCACCACACCCTACCTGACTTTCTTTTTTAAAAATAGATTTCAGAGTTAGGTTTAATTCTATGCTCACTAAAACATCCCAGCTGTTTTCAGAAACATGAAAAGTCCTAAGTTGCAGTGTGACTTTTCTTGGTGTCCATCCTGAGGGCTTAGTCTGTTCCAGATCTTTCCTCCTCTTGTTTCTTCACAGTACATGGATTGAGAACGTATCAGCGAAGATCATCCCAGCAGTAGCAGCAGTGAAAGACTGGAAGCGTTGCCAGGTCTTCTGCTTGAGTATTGTGAGCCTATCCCTCCAGATTAATAGTTCACATGTGGCCTATTGCAAATGTGACAGGGGTCCCAGTGGCCATCAGTGGGAGCCACACCACCAGACATCAGACGGGTTTGTGGAGGGTTGCTTTAATTAATCACCCTCCTTAAACTTGTCATTAACATAATGCACCCAGTCCAGAATCAGTTGCCAGTCAGACCTACAGCAGCCCCACCATGCCCACGGCACCCCTACATGCCTACCATGGGAATCCAGTTCTTGGCTAGCTCCTGGTAGCATGAACCCAGGAAACCTCACTCAGCATCGCTGCACCATCCACACCCTTAGGGTGAACCTGTCTGCCAGCCTGGCCACAATCCAGTGGTATCCTGCCACCTGAACCATGGTTAAACCAGACACACATTTTGTACAATTGGACTAGAGACTCTTAGAAAAACTGCTTCTTGGCCAGAGTTAAATATGTGCTCTCTTGGGTTACATATTCCTCTGTGGGGTGTAGTAGCTTGCAGAGTGCCTGTCCTCCTTAGATGGGGAATGTTGTTTGAGAATTTGGGGTCCTTCAGTGTTTGTGCAAGATGACACTCCAAATTGGAAGGGCCACATACTTCTGGCACATCACAGGGTTGCCTGAGTCAATTTGCCAGGAAAACAAACATGCCTGGTTCCACTCTGCTGCCCATGTCCTCATACACAGTATAGGCACACAGGTCCTGGATAAAGATGATACACATCTTGTCATTGACTGTGTGGAGATAGCGAATGCTACTGCCTGTGCTATTAAGGACCAGCGGGATGCATTAAACTCACTAGCCAAGGTGGTGATGGACAACGAAAGTTCTCAATTATCTGCTGGCAAAATGGGATGGCATTTGCATGACTGCCAACACCTCTTGCTGGGTATAAATCAATAATTTAGGCAAGGTAGAAAGTGAGCTAGAGAAGATTCCTGCTGAAGCGGGGTGCTGGTCAGCTATGCACACGCAGTGCCACCAAGACTCATTCTTTCACCTCTTTAGCACACTCAATCCTGGCCCTTGGGGGCTCCTGGTTGAGGACCATCCTCCAAGGACTGATCGTCCTATGGGTCTGGTTCTCCTAGTCACCCTGATGAAGGGCTGCCTCGAAATGACAAGGAGTCTCTACAAACAGACTGCATCCATATCAGTGGTTCACACCACTAAACCCATTTCTCCCTCTAGATTTAGGGTGGGCAATGATCCTACTGGATTTGATGTGCTTTATCTGCTGTTTCAGTGGCTAAGTGAGGGTCAGGGGTGGACCGTTGGGAAAGGAAGACTCAGGTATGAAGTCTTTTTATACCCCCTCCTCCGTGGACATGGCCACATAAGAATTGGCCATGGGCCCGGAACATGTCTTTACTAAGAGCCCACACAGCCTGGGCCAGGCTTGTTGCTTTGTGCGGGAAAACCTTTCCCTGTTTCAGGCTCAAGGTGTTCAGTGTGTGCATCAACGACCTTCAGACACGCTCCCCAGCTCTCAGTGTTTCAGACTCTGTGGTGGTGGGGGTGGGTGTAGGTAGTCGGGGCAGGGGTGTGTGTCAAAGGGTCATGCTGCTACAGCACAAGAGAGGTGCAAGGAGGCCAATTGCCCTGTGTCTGCTGCAGGGGGACCCATTGGCCATGGGAGACCAACTCTGACTATTGAAACTGCTTCTGCTCTGTCTCTTCTGTATGTGAGTAAATCATTGTTCCGTCCCATTCTTGACTGCACTTGAACTTCTGCTCCTGATAATAGGTGTCAACCGTAGATAATGAGATTCAGAAAATATGACTGAATATAGAGCTTATTTGAATGCAAATCTTGAGGATAGCCACCTGGGAAACACAGACTCCAAACGAATAGGGTCAGCATTCCAAAGTGGAGAAGTTAAGGTTTCACTTACATAGGCAGACAGAGAAGTTTCAGCAGGATTACATTTTTGATACAAGACCAGCACATATGTTATAATGATTTGCTACAATGATTTGTTACAGTGATTTGGTTACAGATTGCTACATGGCAAGAAAGATTACTGTGTTAACCCCTTAGGAATGATAATGATCTGAGGGTGTCTTCTCTCTGGTCCCGCTTGTTCTTCCTAATTACTTACAGGGAAAAAAATGCAGAAGATGCAGCTAAATGCCATGTGACTAAGGCCACATAGCCACATTCCTCTCAAGGCTCAGAATAATTTAAAATTCAAACAGCTTTAAGTTTGAATTATCTACTTTCACATAGGCAATAGTGCCACTTGCTCAACACTAAATATGGTAGAGCAGAGAGAAAGAAGCCCGAGCCTCTGATAACTTTGTGGAGCCACGGTATCATCTTTGGCTGTCTCTTCCAGCCAATAAGCTTAAGCCTCTGTTTAAGAATTTCTTTTTCTTTTTCTTTTCTTTTTTCTTTTTTTTTTGAGACGGAGTCTCGCTCTGTCACCCAGGCTGGAGTGCAGTGGCGCCATCTCAGCTCACTGCAAGCTCTGCCTCCCAGGTTCACACCATTCTCCCGCCTCAGCCTCCCGAGTAGCTGAGACTACAGGCGCCCGCCACCACGCCCGGCTAATTTTTTGTATTTTAGTAGAGACGGGGTTTCACTGTGTTAGCCAGGATGGTCTCGATCTCCTGACCTCGTGATCCGCCCTCCTTGGCCTCCCAAAGTGCTGGGATTACAGGCGTGAGCCACTGTGCCTGGCCTTTTTTTTTTCTTTTCTTTTTTGAGACAGAGACTCCCTGTCACCCAGGCTGGAGTGCAGTGGCGTGATCTCAGCTCACTGTAACCTCCACCTCCCGAGTTCAAGTGATTCTCCTGCTTCAGCCTCCTGAGTAGCTGCGATTCAGGCACCTGCCACTATGCCTGGCTAATTTTTTGTATTTTTAGTAGAGACGGAGTTTCACCATGTTGGCCAGGCTGGTCTCGAACTCCTGACCTCAGGTGATCCACCCAACTCGGCCTCCCAACGTGTTGGGATTGCATGCTTGAGCCACCTCACCTGGCCTTGTTTAAGAAATTCTTAAACGGTGTACAAAAAGCTACATAACAGTAAAAAATTAATGCATTGGACCATATTAAAATTAAGAACTTCTAGCTGGGCATGGTGGCTCATGCCTGCAATCTCAGCACTTTGGGAGGCTGAGGTGGGTGAATTGCTTGAACTCAGGAGTCCCAAGACCACACTGGGCAACATGCTGAGACCCCGTCTCTCAAAAAAAAAATGCAAAAATTAGCCAGGTGTGGTGGTGCACGCTGGTAGTCCCAGCTACTTGGGAGGCTGAGGCAGGAAGATTGCTTGAGCCTGGGAGGTCAATGCTGCAGTAGAAGCATGATCATGCCACTGCACTCCAGCCTAAGTGACTGGGCAGCGAGTAACTGGGATTACAGGCACACACCACCACACCCAGCTAATTTTTTGTATTTTTAGTAGAGACGGGGTTTCTCCATTTTGGTCAGGCTGGCCTCAAACTCCTGACCTCAGGTTATCCACCCGCCTCGGCCTCCCAAAGTGCTGGGATTACAGGCATGAGCCACCACACCTGGCCCGTCTCCTGACTGTTGAACTCTCCCAGTGAATGTTGGTATCTTCATCTCAAGCTCCTGCTGGACTTTTTTTTTTTTTTAATCTGCTTGTCCCGTTACTTCCAAGTCAACATTTATCATTAAATTCCCCATCATCGCCCAAATAACTTGCCTTCACAGCTTCTCTCTTCCTAAGCAGGAAGGGAGCATTTAGGGCCCTGAACAAGGCACTGGTTTATGTTCTGTCACACTCATAAACCTGTATCCCCTGATTCTGCATTTCATTTCCCAAATGGGGTCATCTAGCAAGTTCCATCAGAAATTCATGCCTTCAGCTAGCTTATCTGCTGTTCCAAGATAAGTTTCAAAAAAAGGTAAAACCATGACTCTCAAAGAGATATAAAAATGGGTCTGGGCATGGTGGCTCACACCTTAAATCCCAGTACTTTGCCAGGCCAAGGCGGGAGGATCAATTGAGCCCAGGAGTTCGAGACCAGCCTGGCCAACATGGTGAAACCACGTCTCTACTGAAAATACAAGTATTAGCCAGGAATGGTGGCAGACACCTGTAATCCCAGCTACTCAGGATGCGAAGGCAGGAGAACCACTTGAACCCAGGAGGTGAAGTTTGCAGTGAGCCGAGATCGCACCACTGCACTCCAGCCTGGGTGACAGAGTGAGACTCCACCACACACACACACACACACACAAAAAAAAAAAAAAAGAAGGAGAGATATAAATATGAACACATATTAAAGATTTTATGTAACTCATGAAGAAACCAGAAAATCGTTATATCTGGCTCAAAACAGAATTTTAAGATTGGATATGTGTGCCGGGTGTGGTGGCTCATGCCTGTAATCCCAATACTTTGGGAGGCAGAGGTAGGAGGATTGCTTGAGCTCAGGAATTTGAGACCAGCCTGGGCAATGTGGTTGATATGACTCCGATGACTAGAGGGACACCACGGTTCTTGGTCTCACGCCTATAGGATTAACAACAGGGACACACGTGGAGTGGTTTTAAGGAGCAAAAAGGCAAGAACGAAGGAAGGAAGGAAGAAGAAAACAGCTCCCCTGAACAGAGACAGAGGGAGGGGGGATTCAAACAAAGAGAAAACCCCGTGTGCTGCGGAAAAGTGGCTGCTTATATTGGGATGCTGGAGGAGGCAGTGTCTGGTTTCCACTGGGCCCAGGAGATTGGTTTGACCAGGTGTGTCATCACATAGTTCGTGGAAAAACTGGCCCTCCTATCCTAGCCTTTTAATATGCAAATGTAGAGTGCCATGATGTTCTACACACTTGGGGATATGTGGGGGTGGCCCTGTTGTCAGGCACATGTGAGCACAAGGGCAAGAAAAAGATGGCGGGAATCGCCAAGTTTGGGTGGACCCAGTTTCTCATGGCCTTCCTGTGCATATCAAAGCTTGCCAGCTGGCTCTAAGAGCCAGGGCTTTCCTGCTAGAAAAGAAATATTTCTGGAGCTGCTTTAAAAGAACCAAAAACTTCCCAAGGACCCCTTTTCCTCTCTATCTGCAGAAAATAATTTCTTAATAACTCCTATAACATGGTGGAACCCCATTTCTACAAAAAAATACAGAAATTAGCTGGGCGTGGCAGCATGCGCCTGTAGTCCCAGCTACTCAGGAGGCTGAGGTGAGAAGACTGCTTGAGCTGGGGAGGTCAAGGATGCAGTGAGCTGAGATCATGCCACTGTACTCCAGCCTGGGCAAAGAGCAAGACCCTGTCTCAAAAAAGAAAAAAAAAAGGATATATTTATAGATCAGGAATATTGAAATGAATGTGCAAATGGAGATAAAACTGGTTTTGCCACATGGGATGATGGGCTGCCAACTGAATGCCCATCAATCGGACAGGATAGCACATAGCACTTACATATCTATAGACAAGAGTTGACTGCATCTCATAACTGTCTGCAATTTACAGAGTTGTGAAAAAGCTTCCATAGAATCTTAATAAGATAACCCAAAGGAATTCCCTCAACAGTTTCTCTGGGCCGGGCATGGTGGTGTGCACTTGTAATCCCAGTGCTTTGGAAGGCTGTGGTGTGAGGATCACTTCAGCCCAGGAATTCGAGACCAGCCTGGGCAACATAGAGAGGCCCCATCTCTACTAAAAGCAAGCAAACAAACAAACAAACAAAAGCCAGGCCTAGTGGCAGAAGCCTGTAGTCTCAGCTACTCGGGAGGCTCAGGTGGGAGGATCACTTGAGCCCAAGAGTTCAAGTTTACAGTGAGCTATGATTGTGCCACTGCACTCCAGCCTGGGCAATAGAGCCAGATCCTGTCTCTAAAAAAAGGGTTTCTCTGGATGATGCATTGGTTTTCACTAAGGCACCACTCTTCCCAACACTGCTCAGTCTTTCTCCACCCTTGACTCCAGCGTCTACCAATCATAGTAAAATATAGCTTTCACCACCCCACCAGCTTCTGCAAAGAGTGTCTATTGACTCCCACAACCACAATAAACATCTCTTCCTGCCTTTCAAGATTCCCTTTAATCCAGCATCACTGTCTTTGTATAACCACCTCTTATTCCAGGCAGGCCTGATCTCTCCACCCCAAGCCAAGCCAACGCCCTCCCACACATTCTCCTGACCCAGACGTCCCCTCAATCATCTATAGCATTCTCATTCTGCTGGCTCCTTTCAAGCTTTCTTTTTGTTTTTGCTTCTACTATCTGAAAGCCACACATAGCACCTATTCTGTTCTTTAATTATAGATGCTACCTGCACTAGACCTTGATCATGAATTCATTCAAACATATTATGAGCACCTTGCATTCGTTCCAGGGACAGTCTAAATGCTAGATCTAGGCACTGGCTATGCAGAGATGAAAAAGGCATGGCTCCCTAGATGAGTGGGGGGAAAAAGACAATGAGAATGAAACCACCTTTGCAAATACTATAACTAAGAATATTATGACAGCAGGCCGGGAGCGGTGGCTGACGCCTGTAATCCCAGCACGTTGGGAGGCCAAGGCAGGCGGATCACGAAGTCAGGAGATCGAGATCATCCTGGCTAACATGGTGAAACCCTGTCTCTACTAAAAATACAGAAAATTAGCCGGGCGTGGTGGCACATGCCTGTAGTCCAGCTACCTGGGGGAGGCTGAGGCAGGAGAAGCACTTGAATCTGGGAGGTGGAGGCTGCAGTGAGCCAAGATCGCGCCACTGCACTGCAGCCTGGGCGACAAGAGTGACACTCTATCTCAAAAAAAAAGAAAAAAAATAAAGAAAAATAAAATTATAACAGCAAAAGAGATCTGACATAACTGATTCCATCTTGCTGCCCTAGCTGATTCCATCTTGCTGCTGCTGCTGCTGCTGCTTTCTTTCTTTCTTTTTTTTTTTTTTTTTGAGATAGAGTCTCACTCTGTTGCCCAGGCTGGAGTGCAGCGGTGCAATCTCGGCTCACTGCAATCTCCGCCTCCCGGGTTCAGGCGAATTCTCCTGCCTCAGCTCCCCCAGTAGCTGGGATTACAGGCGTGCACCACCACAGCCCACTAATTTTTTTATTTTTTTTGTTTGTTTTGAGATGGAGTCTCGCTCTGTTGCCCAGGCTGGAGTGCAGTGGCGCAATCTCGGCTTACTGCAAGCTCCGCCTCCTGGGTTCATGTCATTGTCCTGCCTCAGCCTCCCCGAGTAGCTGGGACTACAGGCGCCTGCCACCACGCCCAGCTAATTTTTTTTTTGTACTTTTAGTAGAGACGGGGTTTCACCGTGTTAGCCAGGATAGTCTTGATCTTCTGACCTCGTGATCCACCTGCCTCGGCCTCCCAAAGTGCCGGGATTACAGGCGTGAGCCACTGCGCCTGGCAATTTTTGTATTTTTAGTACAGACAGGGTTTCACCATATTGAACCAGGCTGGTCTTGAACTCCTGACCTCAGGTGATCCGCCCGCCTTGGCCTCCCAAAGTGCTAGGATTACAGGCATCAGCCACGGCACCCAGCTCAGCGCTTCTCACTTTCTGACCCACTACCCACCAAATTATCCTTAAAAACTCTGAACCCCAAATTTTCATGGAGATTGACTTGAGTAATAATAAAACTGTGGTTTTCCATACAGCCAGCTCTGTGTGAATTAAACTCTTTTTCTGTTGCAAATTCCTTGTCTTGATAAATTGGCTCTGTTTAGGCAGCGGGCAAGGAGAACCCATTGAACAGTTGCAAGAATACAGGTGATTGGCACTTTGAGACAGGTCGCTTTGGGAGCAGAGGGAGGGCACATAACCCAGACAGGGAAGGTCAGCAAGTATTTCTTGGAAGAAGTGGCATTGGTCAAGCAAAGAAGGGAGCAGAAGGAACAGGAGCATATGCACATATAACTCTGTGAAACACTGCCTTTTCTTTTTTTATAACAATATTTTTACAATCACCATATCTCTTGCCTCTACTAGATAATAGAGGACAGCAGAATATAAAACTTTGACATAAAGATTTTTTTGAGCTAAAGGCACTTAAAATACAGCAGATGCAAGAAGGGTACTCTGGCCTCTCTTTACTTCCTGAAAGCAGGAGATCAGCTCTCATGTGAATGCTGCCCTCCCTGCACCAGAAAGAAAGGAACATTATCACCAAAGAGGGAGAGTCAAGGCCGAGAGAAATCTGTACAAACAACTCTTGTTAGACTAACCTTTATTTCCTTTAGTTTTCCCATATAAATATACTTTTTCAAAATTACTATTTTTGTTCAACCTAGTATATGAGCACTTAGGCCTAACCATTTTGGGGGGTCTCGATTTTCCTGTAAGGGCTTCCAAGTACGTGCAAAACTATTAAATAAAATTTATATGTGTGTGTGTGTGTGTGTGTGTGTGTGTATATATATATATATATATGATTATTATTATTTTTTGAGACAGGGTCTCATTCTGTTACCCAGGCTGGAGTGCACTGGCACAATCATGCCTCACTGAAGCCTCAATCTCCCAGGTTCAAGTGATCCTCCTACCTCAGTCTCCCGAGCAGCTGGCACTACAAGCATGCACCACCACATATGGCTGTTTTTTTTGTATTTTTTGTACAGACAGGGTTTTGCCATGTTGCCCAGGCTGGTCTCGAACTCCTGGGCTCAAGCGATCCACCTGCCTTGGCCTCCCAAAGAGCTGGGATTACAGGTGTGAGCCACTGTGCCCAGCCAATTAATATGTTTTTCTCGTTAATCTGTCTTATGTCAACTTAATTCTCAGGCCCAGCTGGAGACCCTAAGATGGTAGAGGTTAAGTTTTGCCCCCTCTACAATAATAAAATCCTTGAAGACAGGGACACTGTTTTAGATTCTTTTTTATCCCATGATTTCTAACAGAAAAACATCTTAAGCACCTTGTAAACTTAGGGTTTGAAGGATGACTAAATCTTTCATCCCAAAGTGATCCACAATCCTGATTATTTGTAGACTGTGAAATGTACTTTTCTTTTGTACCATTAGGCATGTGAAAATGTAAATGGTGTGGTCCTTGAAGCAAAGAGAAAAGTAAATGATACACCAGAGTCTCAGGCTGGACCCGCAAGTCAATAAAACAGGTAATAAATTCAGCTGAGCAGATACAGACAAGGGTAACCTACAGCTCTGAGGCTTGGATGCCTCTGAAGCTCAGAGACCCTCTACTCACATACCAAGGAGGGGACAGGTTTTCGCATTCCATTTTTTAGTTTCAGAAACTGCGGCCTGATCTATCACGTTGGAAGGAGGGAAGAGCTGTAAAGTGAATGTAAAGATTTCGCTGTCTTTGGAGCAAATATAGATAAAATTTGGTGAGTTTATTGAGTTTATGATGCAACTCCATTTTAACTATCTAGAGAAGGTGGAAGCCAGAGTGGACCTACCAGTCCAACCCACTCAGCCTTCAAGAGAGGAAGATCAAATCTCTCCTCTGGAGTGTCTAGCTCTTGGAGAGTGAAATAGACATTCTTTCTTTCCTGCAACTGAGCTCAAGGTGAAGACTTTGCTCACTGCAGCTGGTGTAAGCCTCCCCACACCCCTGCACCTCAGCTAAAATTGCAATCAGATCAACAGTGGTGTAATTTTTTTAAAAAGAGATGGGGTCTTGCTCTGTGACCTAAGCTGGAGTGTAGTAGTACAATTATGGCTCACTGCAGACTCAACCTCCCAGGCTCAAGCAAACCTCCTACCTCAGTCTCCCCATTAGCGGGACTACAGGCACACATCTGGCTAATTTTTTAACTTTTTGTAGAGATGGGTATCTCACTACCTTGCCCAGGGTGGTCTTGAACTCCTGGGCTGAGTCGATCCTCCCACCTCGGCCTCCCAAAGTCCTGGGATTATAAGCATGAGTCACTGCACCCAGCTGGCTGGTGTCATTATTAAGAACAATTTTTGTATCCCTCCTCGTGCTTACCCATATTCTCCGAGTTGCATTCAGCTGTGTACTTTTTTACAATGAGAAATTTAAAACCAGCCGGGCGCGGTGGTTCACGCCCGTAATCCCAGCAATTTGGGAGGCCAGGGCGGGTGGATCACTTGAGGTCAGTACTTCAAGACCCACCTGGCCAACATGGTGAAACTCCATCTCTACTGAAAATACAAAAATTAGCCAGGCGTGTTGGCGGGCGCCTGTAATCCCAAC
The DNA here is from genome assembly GCF_000001405.40 of Homo sapiens. Classification (NCBI taxonomy): domain Eukaryota; kingdom Metazoa; phylum Chordata; class Mammalia; order Primates; family Hominidae; genus Homo; species Homo sapiens. Next base: position 17,575,499 of record NC_000004.12, read on the forward strand.
TACTTGGGAGGCTGAGGCAGGAGAATCGCTGGAACCCAGGGGTGGAGGTTGCAATAAGCTGAGATCACACCAGTGCACTCCAGCCTGGGTGACAGAGCAAGACTCCGTTAAAAAAAAAAAAGTAAAAAATAAGGAATTAAAAAAAACAAAACGCTTTACAGAAAATAAAAATATATAAAAATATTGAGCACTACTTGAAAACTTTCTATTGAAACCATCCCCACTGTGTTGACAAAAATTTCATGCCAAGTTCTAGGCAGAAATATAGTTATAATTAAGCATTAATCAGGCTGTACTTTGGCCCACTTCCTTGTTGCTAAAAGTCACCTAGCACTACATACTGACCATTTGCATTCCCATTGTTCCTATAGACAGGATCTCTGACATTAGAATCATAAGCTTTCTGTTTAAGGATCGCTTAAGATATTTTTCAGACCTTGAATTCCAGCTACCAGTTTGAAGATCCCCAGAGAGGAATGGGGTCAGCTTAAGAATACAGGTTCTTCAACGCCCTGTCCCATGACTTCACCCTGCACTCTTCAATCAACGATCTCCACACTATAGCCCTCTCCAAAACCCTTAAAAACCTTGACCCCAAATTCCTCAGGGAGATGGATTTGAGGTTTCCTCCCATCTCCTCCTTTGGCGACTCCACGATTACACCTCTTTCTCTGCTGCAACCCTGGTGTCTGGGCGTATTGACTTGCTATGTGCACGAGTCAACGAACCTAATAGTGTTACATCATTTTCAAAAACAGTATTTACACCGTTGCACCTGTGGAACAGATGAAAGGACACGAATAAAAATAACTCAGGCCAGGTGCGGTGGCTCACGCCTGTAATCCCAGCACTTAGCGAGGCCGAGGCAAGTGGATCACGAGGTCAGGACTTCGAGACCAGCCTGGACAACATGGTGAAACCTCGTCTCTACTAAAAATACAAAGAGTTGCCGGGCACGGTGGCTCACGCCTGTAAGTAATCCCAGCACTTTGGCAGGCTGAGGCGGGTGTATCACCAGAGGTCAGGAGTTCAAAGCCAGCCTGGCTAACATGGCCAAACACTGTCTCTACTAAAAATACAAAGATTAGCCAGGTGTGGTGGTGGGCGCCTGTAGTCCCAACTACTCGGGAGGCTGAGGCAGGAGAATCTGTTGAACCCGAAAGGCGGAGGTTGCAGTGAGCCGAGATTGCGCCACTGCACTCCAGCCAGGGCTACAAGAGCGAGACTCCGCCTCAAAAAAAAAATCCAAAAAAACAACAAAAAAACACAAAGATTAGCTGGGCGTGGTGGCGGGCGCCCCTAATCCCAGCTACTCGGGAGGACGAGGCAGGAGAATCGTTTCAACTAAGCAGCGGGAGGTTGCAGTGAGCCGAGATCGCTCCATTGCACTCCAACCTGGGTGACAGAGCGAGACTCCGACTCAAAAAAACCAAACAAACAAACGAAAACTCAGTGGGAGTGTCTTCACTATGCAGTCGTCTATTCAGCAACCTTGACAACAAGCTCTGGCACTCAGTTTCTATTTCCCGGGAGTTGCCCAGCGCTCCGCCCACGCCCGCTTGCAGAACTCGCCCCGCCTCCGCCCCACCCATCGTGTGACGTCACCATATCGGTCCCGCCCCTCTACTTCGCGTTGCTCCCGGGACTGTCAACCGCGTCCGGAAGCCCCGCCTTTTCGCCCCCGCCCGCATGCGCGGGCGCACACGAATGCGGGCGCACACGAATGCGGGCGCACACGAATGCGGGCGCACCCTTGAGTCCCCTCCACAACCGCGGTTTGATCCCAGCGGTCCAGTCGGCCGGTGCTGCCCATCCGTCCCGCCCCCTAGACGCACGTCCGCTCGCCCGGCGCCCGAGCCAGTCCGCGCGCACGCCGTCTGCGCCCCGAAAGCCCCGCCCCAAGGCGCGCCCGCCCACCGCTCTCCACGTGCTCGCTGGAGGGCGGTGCGAGGGGCCGAGCCGACAAGATGTTCTTGCTGCCTCTTCCGGCTGCGGGGCGAGTAGTCGTCCGACGTCTGGCCGTGAGACGTTTCGGGAGCCGGAGTCTCTCCACCGCAGACATGACGAAGGTGAGAGGCGGCGGCTCGCTCATGGTCCGCCGCTGGGGCCCTGCCCGTGGGCTACTGGGGCTGCGGGGCTGGTCGAAGCCGCGGTGTCCTGGGCGCCCAAGCCAAGTTGCAAAAATCAGTTTAAAAGAAAAATTCTCTCCTTGCGGGGATCGGCCTAGGCCGCTGAGGACCCCAGCGGTCGTATTGAGGGCGCGATTCCCCTGCTCGGGGCTAGGGGGTGATGGTTGTAGCCGCCCTTTACCCGGCTCCACTCGGCCGCGCACTTGCTCCAGTCGTCACCCGCGGTCCTGGCAGTAACCCGGGGAAAGACGCGGCGGTGGGGCTCCCATCCGAGCTTGGAGGAAGCCCGAGTTTGCCAAGGTGAAAGGGTTTCTGAGGTCCCAGAGTCACAGGGCTCCTTCCCCCGCGGAAGTGAAAGGTCAGGGAGTTAAGTAGCTTGGAAGGGTTTCTAGAGGAAAAGCATGCCTCTCTAGAGAAAAGGGCTTTGGGGAGAGACCCACGTTTCCCAGAATTAAGAGCATCTTCCAGAAGAAAAGTGAACTCCAAAAAATTACGAAGGTCGCTCTTCAGATGTGAAGGATCTGCAAAGGGAATGGCTCTCGGAACCAGCACAAGCTTGGGAGTCATGCCTAAGCACCAGAAAGAGATGACTGTCCCTGCAGAAGAACGTTCTAGGGGGAGCTTGAGCTCCAGTCTCCTGCAGGTATCTCAGTGGTGGAGGGACCAGTCGCCTGACCAGTGCTATCTCCAGTACTGTGCCACAGCCTACCCAGATAACAGTTGCTCAGTTGGCTCCATTGATTCCCGGGGAGTGAACAATCTTAGGGAAGTTAGAACCTGGCAGAGTTACCAATGCCAAGGAAGGCCGTTTTCTTTGGTGGAAAAGACCGAGAGGGCACTATTCTAAGTGTCTGTGTGGTTTTGTGGAAAGATCAACTGCTGGGCGGGAAGACATCTGGATTCTCACTCAGTCCTACCACACCACACAGGAGCTCCTGTCTCAAACTAGGTTTCAGTTTCCTTATCGGTCAAGGGGGATAAGGCTACTTGTTCTTTCCACCTCACAGAGTTGCCATGAGGCAGACAAAACATTTTTAAAGTCATAAATTGCCGTGCAAAAGTAAATACTAAGTATTACTAGGTTTGCTTCCTCATTTCTGGTATTTGAGACCTGAGACTTGTGAAGGAGATGAAGGGAGTGAGCCGCTAAGTGCTTAGCAGAGTGCTTCTACCCTCCCTAGGAAGTTGGTACTTCTCTTACAGCCTCTGTGTTGACCACAGTCCTTACGTGGCAACAGTCCTTACGATGGGAGGCACAGCCATTGGCTTGACTGGAACGGCATCCTAGAATATCTGGGATTTGCACTTGAGGATTGTAGGGGAGGAAAATCTTCCCTCTATCCTCCTAGGTTCTGTGGCTGGGCCTAAGAAAACTGACATAAGATGTATTAACAAGAGAAAAGGATACAGATTTTATTTACTATTTTTACGTGTACACAGGAGTCTGCAAGAGGAAAATGAAGACCTGAAGAAGCGTTGGGCCCAAAAGCTTGTATACCTTTTTAAACAAAGAACAATGCATTGTGGGGGTGTGACAAGACAAAGGGGCTTGGGTTAGTAAATTGTGGAATAATGACTAGGAAATCATATGGGGGTAACTAACAGAAGATAAGGGTGAGTTCAGTAGGTTTATTTGTACAGGTCCATTTTGGTGTTGACTTCCAGTTTCTGGTGATAAGAATGTTCTCCTTTTCCTGGTACAGGGAGATCACCTTTCTCATGGGAATTTGTGTGACCTGCTTTTAGGGAGAAAGGGAGGTCAGAGAGTACCTCTGCACCTGCTGTTTCTCAAGCGCCTTTGGCTGAAAATAACTAATGTGCCAAAGCGGTATATTTTGGAGTGGCATGTTCTGAATCCTTTCAGGGTCTATCTTGGTGACAAATAGATTTTTCTTAAACAAAACATCTTTCTGCTTTATTTGAAAGTGAAGCCGTCTCCTAGGAGTGAGCACAGAAACCCAGGGCAATGTCCAGGACGGGCAGTGATGGGTCTTGCTTTGGCAGGAATCTGAAACACTTGGGCAGGTGCACATGTAGCTGACCCCAGCACCTGCTTCTTTTTTTGCTTTCTTCTGTCCATGGGGAGGACACGGTTTGGGTGGAATTATTTGTTCCTTCTGGAATTTGGGGACTCCTGAGCCTCTCTAAGGGATCTACTCTAATTCTATTATATTTACGTTTTTTGCTTATTCCCAGGGCCTTGTTTTAGGAATCTATTCCAAAGAAAAAGAAGATGATGTGCCACAGTTCACAAGTGCAGGAGAGAATTTTGATAAATTGTTAGCTGGAAAGCTGAGAGAGACTTTGAACATGTAAGTGTTGCTTGTGGGCTCTAGTTCTTAAAGTGCCCCCAAATCGAAACAGTATTTTTTCTTTCTTTTCTTTTTTGAAACAGAGTCTTGCTCTGTTGCCCAGGCTGGAGTGCAGTGGCACGATCTTGACTCACTTCAACCTCTGCCTCCTGGGTTCAGGTGGTTCTCGTGCCTCAGACACCCAAGTATCTGGGATCACAGGCATGCCTCACCACTCCCGGCTTTCATATATATATATATATGTATTTTTTTTTTTTTTCAGTAGAGTTGGGTTTCACTGTTGTTGGCCAGGCTGGTGTTGAATCCCTGGCCTCAAGTGATCTGCCTGCCTTGGCCTCCCAAAGTGCTGGGATTACAGGTGTGAGCCACTGTGCCAGGCCAAGAATATTTTTCTATGCCTTTTTGTCAGAAGAGACAATGCCGGGAAGTGCTCTGGCCAGAAGCAGAAGTGAAAGCCTGTGTCTTTGGAATGCACTTTGGTACTTTCTGTTTCAGTATGGATGGGTCTGCAGTTCTGGGAAGTCAGGCCATTTCCAGCCCAATCAGAAATCTATTGTGAAAGACTGATCCAGAATAATCTGGAAAGTACCAGATTTCCTCAGCCCACCCTCCTGGCTCAAATTCACTTTCCCCACCCTCTTCCTCCCAGCTGCCTTCCCACCAGCCTCTCTACTTCTTTTAACTCCCCTTTTCTTGTGAGAGCAGGATCCCTAGGATAGTTAATAGCAGCCTAAGGGTTTTGCTCTTTTATTGCCTGCCTGAAGTTTCAAGGGCTTCTCAAAATTTAAAATATCTGTGAATCACCTGAGGATATAGTTAAAATACAAAAAGTCTCCATGGGGCTGGAGATCCTGATGGTAGGGAAACATTGTAACTGCATGCTGTATTTGGCAGACATGGAAGTATCCATGTAAACCACTGCAACTATGTATTATTCGGATTATAGATAGCCTATTGGAACCTAATAGATGCAGTCTAATAATTATAGTAACTAATAATCGGTTAAGAGAATTTGTATCTCCTCTCAATTTTTTATCAGTTCTTGTAGTACACAGAGCATTCTCAAGTGCATTGATTAATTCATTAATCCAAAAGCTAACCTGTGAGTACAGAACGCCTGCCTTGCTAATGGATGGCTGTCAGCTGCATTCCAGAGCATCTGTGCTACGGGCCTCTTATAGTCATGGATCTGTTTTGTTTGGAAATTGCCCAGGATAGTCAGTATCCGGTTCGGGTATCCAGTCTGTGGAGAAACCACATAGATATACAACCTCCAAGCCAACCACCACTTAGATTACTGCAGTGTTTTTGGTGTCTTGTGGCTTTTATTGAAAAAGGTTTGAGATTCATTCGGTTCAGCGTCAATCCGTGCTCAGATGCCTTGTGCAGCTGTAGCATTGCTTTCCATTGTTTTTAAATATGTTTGTGTTAGATCTAATCTGAAAGTTTGTTAAATAGTTTTTGAGCTAGAATTAGAAAGGCTACACCTAAGAAATCTGGGCTGGGCACGGTAGATCAGCAGTGTAATCTGTATTACACCTGTAATCCTAGCACCTCGGGAGGCTGAGGTGGGAGGATTGCTTGAGCATAGGAGTTTGAGACCAGCCTAGGCAACAGAGTGAGACCCTGTCTCTATTTAAAAAAAAAAAAAAGAAAGAAATCTGGCTTGAGAGCATTCTGTATTTGGATAAAAACATAAGTGAAAAAGACCATGGAAGCAGTTAGCAGAATAGTGTGATAATGCCGAGTATGTAAGTGTGCCTTCCCAAGTGAACCGAGCAAAATACTTGTTTTAAAACGACTATTTCCTCTTGTTTTAGATCTGGACCACCTCTGAAGGCAGGGAAGACTCGAACCTTTTATGGTCTGCATCAGGTATGAGAAGAACGTGATCATTTGGTAAACCCTCAATGAGCATCTACTGTACACCAAGTATTGGGGCTGTCTAGTCATACTAAACATTATGTGTTGGATTGTATGATTTTATTCCACTATTAAGCAGAACATTTAAGATTAAGAGGCGATTTGCTGTCAAAAACTACTGCCTATCTTATATTCCTCAATCTGAAGGCTTTCTTTATCCGGTTGTGGCTCTGGCTTACACAGAATTATTTGCAAGAGTATCCTCACTTACTCTGCCTCTCAAACCTATAAGTTATACAATTTTGCCAGGACACAAAGGTTTTAAGAAAAAAAAGCCACAACCAAATTTCACCGTGCGTTTAGCCCTGTTGCTGCAGTTAAAGTAATTGTGTGGGAGCTCAGTGAGTCTCCACATGTAGAATTCCTTGCTGGAAATGAATGCTTGAAAGAAATAAAGTGGTTGATTTGGTGTATCTGTGGGACAGGACTTCCCCAGCGTGGTGCTAGTTGGCCTCGGCAAAAAGGCAGCTGGAATCGACGAACAGGAAAACTGGCATGAAGGCAAAGAAAACATCAGAGCTGCTGTTGCAGGTTATTTCACTTTTTAAGTTTAAAGAATCCTGAGGATCCACTCTTTTTGATGACCTCTCTTTCCCCTTTTTGTCCTTTTACCAGTTGCCACCCCTTACCACGTTCACACAGAAATAATTCATCTTAACAAAAATTCAGTTCCTCTTGCTGAATATGGTTGGCCTTATGATAAATACAGAAGGTTAGCTAATGGAATTTTATTTTTAATATATCTATATCTCATTTGGGTGTTTTACTACCATTTGTTCGCTCTTGTCATATTAGAGCTGTGTTTTCCCAGAACCTGTAGTGTATAGATTTTTTGTAATGCCACCCTGATGCCTCCCGACTTTTAAATAACACAGAGTCATCAGATTTTACAAATAAAGAGACTAAGGAAGCAAAGCGTGGCGTGCTTGTTTATCACTAGCCAAAGGTGTGTGCCTGTCCCAGTATGTCCCAGGCAGGGGCCATTGAGTCACTTAGCATTAAGCAGCAGGACGGGCCTAATACCGTCAAGAGCCATGATTAAAGATGCTTTGTAAAACATTTCTGAAACAGTGATAATTGGCTTGATTACTATTTAGGCCTGTGTATATTATAAATGCTCATTAACTTTACTTCAAATATCATTGAAGTGGTTATTTAATAACTTTTGAGAGTTTTTGCTGACCTGATCTTAATAAAATGCTGTGTTAATAATGGACTTTGCTCAGTTCTTTGGATATAATTTCAGCGTCATCATTTCCCTGTCATTTTTAATCAGAGAAGCTCTTGGCAATTGGGAAGCTTCATCAGGAAATCATAGTGTTTCAGAAATAATCCTAGGAATAATTGCCACTTCCTGAGAGCCTGTACGGCTCTGGGAGGAGCTATTCATTCTCTCCATCAGCCTGTCCTCACCACCACCTGGGAGTGAGGTACTTGCTGTAAAATGCACTCACGTCTTCATTTTACAGAAGAGGAAATGAGGCTCAGAACATTCGGGTATCAGGGCTGGGATTTGAACCCCAGGGCTGTTTTCTCAGCACATCACATCATGCCTCTGCTGTCTGCTCTTTGAGTTGTCTTGGACTGACTCCAGTTTTCTGATTCCTCTGTCTTTTCAAGCGGGGTGCAGGCAGATTCAAGACCTGGAGCTCTCGTCTGTGGAGGTGGATCCCTGTGGAGACGCTCAGGCTGCTGCGGAGGGAGCGGTGCTTGGTCTCTATGAATACGATGACCTAAAGCAAAAAAAGAAGATGGCTGTGTCGGCAAAGCTCTATGGAAGGTGATGGAAGCAAATTAGGAGGAGGGTGGTGCTCCCTGGCGTTCTGACAGCCTGGCTTTTGGGATATGAGCTGCCTGCTTTTCAGCGCCACCCACAGCTGCGTGGCTTGGCTGTGACCTCCCCATTGCCTCAGCCATTTTAATAATGTGGTCAAAATTAAGCCCAAGCTCTGCTCCTGGCTCTCGGCATATGTCTGATTCCCCCATGACTCCCTGACCCCTCCCTGCTCTGATTACAAGGAAGCCATAACCAGGTAGCTCTTACCTGAGAGGGAGGAATGACATGACAGACATATCCCACAGGTTTCAACCCAGATAATGTTCATTCATTTACCTGGCACCTGCTGGCCTTGTGCTAAATGCAAGCACCACACAGATGAAGAGATCCTCTGGATGCTTGGTCCTTGCCCTTGTGGGCTAGTGGGGTCCCTGCCATCAGGAATAAATAAGATGAGACCTTCAGCAGATGGTGCCAAGCACAGTGGGGGCCCTGGCACTGGCCAAGGGTTGGCAGCTGTGGGGAGTGGGGGAGAGTGCGGGCTCTGCAGCCAGTCAGCATGGGCTTAAGTCCTGGCTTCACCACTTACTCGTTGGGGGACCTTGCTGGTTACGTGGCTGAAATCTCTGTGCTTCATTTTCTGCATTTGTTTACTAGAGTTGTAATACCGATTTCATGGGGTTTGTATCATCATCCAAAAGAGCACATCAAGTAGGGGGCATGTGGCAGGCCTTCTAGGCCATCTACTGTTACTCACCCACCTCTGTGCTGCCATAGGAAGAGCCAGGGTTGTGAAACACGTGCCTGTATCCTTTCTCTTCTAAAGCTGGTCCTGCTTACGAATGGGTTGGAATTTGGAGCCCCGACTTAGGTAAAAGAAAGCAAAAAGGTCTTCAGTTGCCACGTTAGAGCCATTGCCATACGCTTGCTTTGCAGTTAGCACTTGGGGCTGCAGCATTCCTGATACAGTGAAGGAGAACAAAACGGGCTTTTCTGTGGAAGCCTCTTCTCTTCATTTATGTGGTAGATTTAGAGCTTCAAAGACCCCACAGCACAGGCCCTTTTTCATGTAGATGAGGATTCTGAAGGGAAGTGCCTGACCGGATACCCTCTGGTTCTGCTTTGTGTGGCCATGTTTTCTAGCTTTCTGCACCATACCATCTGCTGCCCTGGGTCAGATCACAAAAAATGAATCCAGGTCCTGTGTGCCAATTGTTTTTGATTTGTAGTCTTCCTCTTTTGTTTTCTGTAAGGTAAGAGTGTCTCTTAGTTGGCAGGCAGTCAGCGTTCTTGAGAGGTTGTTTGACAGTCACTTTATCTTTCTTCTGCCAGTGGGGATCAGGAGGCCTGGCAGAAAGGAGTCCTGTTTGCTTCTGGGCAGAACTTGGCACGCCAATTGATGGAGACGCCAGCCAATGAGATGACGCCAACCAGATTTGCTGAAATTATTGAGAAGAATCTCAAAAGTGCTAGTAGTAAAACCGAGGTCCATATCAGGTAATTCAGGATTGTGTCACAGACTCGAGATGTTACAGCCAGAAGGAGCCCTTGAGATCCTAAAATCCAGCTCCCTCACTTTTTAGAGGAATAACTTGAGACCAGAGATTTGAGATGACCCACTTGGGTCCACATGGGGAGCTGGAATAGAGCTGAGTTTGAGGTTCTTTCTATCTTTCCTTGCCTTTGAGAGAGAGAGTGCCATGATATACTATGTATGTGTATATTTCATAACTGTGTTATTCAGACACAATTAACATGCCATAGAATTCACCAATGCAAAGTGTGCAATTCAGTGATTTTTTTTTTTTTTTTTTTGAGACAAGGTTTTGCTCTGTTGCCCAGGCTGGAGGGCAGAGGCATGAACATGGGCTCAATTTCCTGGGCTCAGGCCTCCCACCCTAGCCTCCTCAATAGCTGGGATTACAGGTGTGTGCCACCATGCCCAGCTAATTTCTTAATTTTTTGTAGAGATGGGTCTCCCGCTGTGTTGCCCAGGCTGGTCTTACACTCCTGGGCTGAAGCAATCTCACCTTTTCCTCCTAAAGTGCTGAGATTACAGCCATGACCCCGCCATGCGGCCTGGTATTTAGAATATTCACAGAGTTGTGCTACCATGACCACAATCAATTTTAGAACATTTTCATAACCCCCAAAGGAAACCCTATACCCATTAGCAGTTACTCCCTGTTTCCCATTCCCTAAAGCCAGCAGGGGATGGACACTTTGGTTGTTTTTACCTTTTATTTCTTTTTGGTATATGCCTAGGAGTTGAATTGCTGAATCAAATCGTAGTTCTGTTTAACTTTTTGAGGAACTTCACATGGCTTATTTTGGTGAATTATTCCTATCATCACTTTTGGACACAAATGAAGAACACAGCATGCCTAACTAGACATGGGATGAGAATTTCTGCCTCATAGATTCCCTTAGCCTAGACTCCAGCATTGGTGCTCCCAGGTGTCCCTGAATGCTGTGTCAGTGGGAGGCTGTTGGAGCTGAAAGCCTGCTCGTCCAGTTCCGTCGCTCTCTTGGGATCTCCAGCCCTTTAAGCAAACCAACTCTGAGCATTTGGGAATTTATAATTAAAACAAATGAACAGGTATTTGTTTGACCTAAAGAATTCTTTATTGTCAAAGTTGTTTCCCAAGGGTACTTCCATTTAAAAGAATTCTTTAGTACTTAATTGTGATTAGAGTTCGTGTTTTTCAGGAAAGCATCTATGGTTTAGACAGAGTGAAGAAAAATTAATAGTCTGTAGAAAGCACAGTACTTAGAGCTTGATAAAATTTCTGGAATGGTTAGTATATGTTTAATCTATAGCAATGTTTAGGTTCTATAAAAGTATCTTTTTGGTCACCAAATAGTGGTTATGACAGCCCCTCTGGTGTGCCTGGAATTTATCATACAAAGATGCATGAAGTGGTCCTTGTCCTTGCAGAAAGTGAGGATGTTGTAAGAAGGAATAGGGAGGTAAATGGCATTTGCAGAGGGTACTGCAGGATCAGAGGGATGAGGGGGACTGCCAAAGAATATGAAGCTGCTGGTGCGATTGTGCACACCTCTATTTGCAGCTACTCAAGAGGCAGGCAGGAGGGTCTGTCAAGTCCAGAAGTTCAAGGCCAGCCTAGGGAACATAGCAAGACCCATCTCTAAAATAAAAATTTTAATAAGAATATGGAGTCTAGGCCAGGCATGGTGGCTCATGACTGTAATCCCAGCACTTTGGGAGGCTGAGGCAGGTGGATCACTTGAGGTCAGGAATTCAAGACCAGCCTGGCCAACATGGCGAAACACCATCTCTACTAAAAGTACAAAACTTAGCTGGGAGTGGTGGTGCGTGCCTGTGATCCCAGCTACTCGGGAAGCTGAGGCACAAGAATTGCTTGAATCTGGGAGATGGAGGTTGCAGTGAGCTGAGATCGCACCGCTGCACTCCAGCCTGGGCGACAGAGAGACACTGTGTCTCAAAAAAAGACTGGAGCCTAAGGAGAGTCCTGCAGGTTGCTTAGAAGTTACAGTACAAGAGAGTGGGGCAGGACAGTTCAGGTGAGGAAGCTGCAAAACTTGTAGCCGAGCAAAGGGAAAAGAGTTCAGCAGAGACCAGGCAGGACGCATGGGTGGGGTATGACTCGTTAAACTGAGACATAGCCGCGCTAAGCACTCTCCATTGTAGGTCAGTGTATATCAGAGAAACACAGGCAGTTCTTCCACAAGGGCAGGACTTTAATCAGACATCAAGTACTGAGTTAATGATTTAAAATGCCCACATTGCACAGCCTTGTTGTTGTTGTTTTTTTTTTTTTTTTGAAGTGATTTTTAAAACTGTTTCATCTTCCGATTTAAAATTTTTTTCCCTTTGAAGTGTGCTGGTCATCCCACCATGATGCAGTCCTAGTTTAATCATTTTAACAAGTGGATGGCAAATGCCGGAGGAGCATTCCTTGGCTGTGGTTGTTGCTGGTCTGCAGGAGGATAGAATTTCTTTCTTGGCCTAGTTACCGTGGCCAGAAATCAATACAAAGCCCTTTTGTGCTCCTAGCCTAGAAAGAAGAGCAATATGGCATCAGTTTTCTAGTTTGAACTAAGGACTGTTTCCATTCTGTTACCCCACCGATCCCATGTTTATTAAGTAAGAACTAACTAGTTTTCTCACTTAAAGATGCCTCAAGCAACAGTTGAAACTGTGAGAAACAGTGTGTGACAACATTAAAAAGATAGAATTCAACAGTTCTTAAAAAGCAAATAAATAGGATATTTTTTTTCCAGTCATTGGGATATAGCTTTGGTTTGCTGTCTGTTGGTTGATTTTTTTTTTTTTTCATTTTTAGAAATAAAGCAATGGACCCCTTACCTATCTTTAAGCACTCTTTGTGGTCTCAGAGCCTATTGCTAATTTTATTTTTTTAAGAGACAGGGTGTTGCTATGTTGCCCAGGTTGGGTGCTGTGGCGAGATCGTGGCTCACTGCAGCCTTGACCTCTAGGGCTCAAGCGAGCCTCTTGTCTTAGCCTCTGCAGTAGCTAGGACAATAGGCAGGCACCAACATGCCTGGCTAATTTTTTCTTTTTTTTTTTTCTGTAGAGACCAAGTCTCAACTTGTTGCCTAGGCTGGTCTCAAATTTCTATCCTCAAGTGATCCTCCTTCATTGGCCTCTAATTTCATCTTTATTATATCTTACCTTATTTGTTTTAGAGACAGTTTCACTTTTTTGCCCAGGCTGGTTTCAAACTCCTGAGCTGAAGCAATTCTCTCACCTCAGCCTTCCAAAGTGCTGGGATTACAGGCATGAGCCACCGCACCCGGCCTTCTAACTTCATCTTTAAATTAAAATTGTAGAAATATCTGAGTAGATTGGAGAGAGGAAATTAATTATATAGACTGTAGACTATTAGTTGACATTGTATTAGGTACCACACATGACTTCTCTTAGTAATTCAATAATCTTTTGATGGAAGAATTACAGACCTCATTTTATAGATGAGGAAATAGGCTTAGAATCAAGTGACTTGCCCAAGAATATACAGAAAGCAAATAATGGGACCTGATAATTGAAACCTTAATGTGCGTATACTTTAAGAGTTTGTATATTATACTTTTTCACACACTGTGATGAGCTTTTTCTGTTATTTTGAAATAAAGGTAACAGTATATTTACTTTTTCCCTCTTTCTACCCTATAGACCCAAGTCTTGGATTGAGGAACAGGCAATGGGATCATTCCTCAGTGTGGCCAAAGGATCTGACGAGCCCCCAGTCTTCTTGGAAATTCACTACAAAGGCAGCCCCAATGCAAACGAACCACCCCTGGTGTTTGTTGGGAAAGGAATTACCTTTGACAGGTATTTTTTATGGTGTCCGTGCTTTGTATTTTGGTGAATTATTTGTGTGCAGTTTAATTACTTGGTTATAGGGTTTTTTGGTTTGATTTTTTTTTTTTTTTGAGGCAGAGTCTCACCCTGTCACCCAGGCTAGAGTGCAGTGGCGTGATCTCGGCTCACTGCAGCCTCTGCCTCCCAGGCTCAAGCAATCCTTGTGCCTCAGCCTCCCAAGTAGCTGGGATTACAGGCGTGCACCACCACACCCAGCTAATTTTTGCATTTTTAGTGGAGATGGGGTTTTGCCGTGTTGGCCAGGCTGGTTTTGAACTCTTGGCCTCAAGTGATCCGCCCACCTCAGCCTCCCAAAATGCTGGGATTACAGACATGAGCCACTGTGCCTGGCCGGTTTATAGTTTGATACAAAAGCATGGTGTTTGGTTGAAGGTATACATTACTTTAAATTTATTATGCTACCACCTCTAAAATGCTTAGAATATGTCAGAGACTATCAGGTATTTTGCATGTGTTAGCCCTAACCATACCCCTGTGGGCTAGGTATTGTAGACATTCTCCAGGTAAAGAAACCATGACTCAGAGTTTAAATAATTTGTTCAAAGTCCTATAACTAGTAAGTGGAGTCCGAAGTCAAACTCAGGTGTGTCGTGTCCTTTTTTTAAAAAAAATATAGAGATGAGTTTTCACTGTGTTGCCCAAACTGGTCTTAAACTGCTGTCTCAAGCAATCCTCCCACCTCAGCCTCCCAAAGTGCTGGGGTTATAGGTGTGAGCCATTGTGCTCTGCCTAAAGTGTCTTCAGATTTTTCTGCCATGCACTTTGCTTGTCCTCTGTGGCTGTTAAAGATTCTCCACGAGGTTAGTGGTGATGCCCCTGTTTGTATTATGCTGTCTTCCCTTTGCTTGCTTCAGATGATTACTTCTTTTAGCTGACCAGTCTAGCTCCCATTAATCTTATTCAACCATAAGTATTTCTTAGAGTTGGAAACTGTATCTGGTTATTTCAGCCAAGGAGAGGCTGAACTGAGAAAGATAGTGGAGTTTGGTATTTCCCATGGGAAGCATTTGCCACCAAACACAAGTTTCAGGGATGCCAGCGAGTATGAGACGTAAAAAGGGCTACTTAGCAAAAAAACTAGGTTAGAGAAACCCATGAGGGGTTTCATTTTTGTTTTATTTGCTTAACTACAGGACTTCTCAGGGTACAGAATATAGCATTTTCTGTATTTCCTTTTGAAGGAACCCTGATTCCTGGGAATCATGTTACCTGGAAACTACTTTGGAAAATGCTGCTAGAGAACCATACGATGTTGATGTCCCCTTGTACATTTTTGTGCCCTTTCTGGAATGCTTCTAGACGTAGGAAGCCCCTGTCATTGGCATAGCTTGCTGTCAGTGTGGTCTCCTTGTGTTAGCAGGTCAAAGTGCCTCCTTGTGTCTCCCACCCACTAGTTCACATTTTCTCCTTTAAAGCATTGATCTCCAAATGGTTTTCCTGGTATAGCCCATCAGTAAAAGATCTTGAGTGCATCCCTTTGAAAATATGCATGCTTTTTTATAAGTTATATGCATTATACTATTGTACTAAAGTGTCTATTATTTTATTTATTTATTTTTTTGAGACAGAGTCTAGCTCTGTTGCCCAGGCTGGAGTGCAGTGGCGTAATCTCGGCTCACTGCAAGCTCCGCCTCCCGGGTTCACACCATTCTCCTGCCTCAGCCTCCCGAGTAGCTGGGACTACAGGCCCCCGCCACCATGCCCGGCTAATTTTTTGTAGTTTTAGTAGAGATGGGGTTTCAGCTTGTTAGCCAGGTGGTCTCGATCTCCTGACCTCGTCATCTGCCCGCCTCGGTCTCCTGAACTGCTGGGATTACAGGCGTGAGCCACTGCGCCTGGCCACTAAAGTGTGTATTATAAAAACAATACAGCAAACACAATTTAGAAAGTTAAACTTTTTTTTTTTTTTTTTTTTTTTTTAGTAGAGACGTGGTCTTGCTATGTTGCCCAGGCTGGTTTTGAACTTCTGAGCTCAAGCAATCTGCCTGCCTTGGCCTCCCAAAGTGCTAGGATTACAGGTGTGAGCCACCACACCCAGCCTAAACTTTTGTTTTGTTTTGTTTTTTGAGACGGAATCTTGCTCTGTTGCCCAGGCTGGAGTGCATTGGCGCAGTCTTGGCTCATTGCAACCTCTGCCTCCTTGGTTCAAGTGATTCTCCTGCCTGAGCCTCCCGAGTAGCTGGGATTACAGGTGCCTGCTACCACTCCTGGCTAATTTTTTTTGTATTTTTAGTCCCGAGTAGCTGGGATTACAGGTGTCTGCCACCACGCCTGGCTAATTTTTTTCTATTTTTGGTAGGGATGGGGTTTCACCATGTTGGCCAGGCTCGTCTCAAACTCCTGATCTCGTGATCCCCCCACCTTGGCCTCCCAAAGTGCTGGGATTACCGGTGTGAGCCACCACACCTGGCCCTAGACTAAATGTCTTGCCAATTGTGACACAAATATTTTTATGCTAAGGGTGAAGTTTATTGTTAATTTAAGTCCACATTTGTAATTTTTGCTGAGAATAAAAACAAAGAGGCCTAAACCCAAAGCCTTCTTTGGGTTTAGAGAAGGTTTCCTTGCAGGAGTGTCAGTTTTAGCTGAAGATGTGAAGAATCAGGAGGAATTAGCTCAGGAGAGACTAGGGACAGGCATTCTAGTGCAGGGAAACATGGTGAAGGCTGTAAGGTGGGAAGGAGCAGGGTAAATTCCTGGTATGGCAAGAGTACCAGTGTGCCTGCACACAAGAGCGTGATGGAGAGAAGGGGCAAGATACGGCTAGAGAGGTACACAGAAGCTTGGTCGCTGCGGGCCTGCTTAGATTTTTGCACTCTGCTCTGAGAACAGTTGGCCGTAACTGAAGGGTTTCCACCAAACAGAATGACGTGAGATTTATACATACAGTGAAATTCACCCTCTAAGTGGCCAGCTCAATGAGTTTTAACAAATGTGTGCACCTTGGGGGGGTGCAGTGGCATACACCTGTAATCTCAGCTACTTGGGAAGCTGAGGTAGGAGGATTACATGAGCCCAGGAGTTCAAGAGCAGCCTGTGCAACATAGTAAAACACCATCTTTAAATAAATAAATAGATAGATTAGATAGGTAGATAGATTGATTTTAAAAACCAAAGAACAAATGTATACACCTATGCACCGTTCACCACTGTCAGGAAAATACAACATTTTTATCATCCCCCAGAAGTTCCCTTCTGCCTTTTTGTAGTCATTCCCCACCTGCCCTTGCTCCAGACAGCCGATCATCTTCCTATTACTGCAGATTAGTTTTGCCTATTCCGGAAAGTCATATAAATGCAGTCTTTGATGTCTGGCTTCTTTCAGCGTAGTATCTGGGGTTTATCTATGTTGTTGGTCATGTCAGCCATTCTTCTTTTCTATTGTTGAGTAGTGTTCAATTGTATGGAAATGCCAAATTTTGTTTACCCATTCATCTATTGGTGGAAATTTGTGTTGTTTCCAGTTTTAGGCTATTAGGAATAAAGTTAAGAGCATCTGTAAGCCTTTGTGTGGACGTGTTTTCCTTACTCTTGCGTAAATACCTAGGAAAACAGCCACTGTGTTGTATAATAACTGAGTGTTTAACTTTTAAGAAACTACCAAACTTTTCCAAAGCGGGTACATTTTCACTTCTACCATCAATGTACAAAGATTCTAATTGTTCTACACCTTCCTCAGTATTTGATATTGTCAGTCTTTATAATTCTAGCTGTACCAGTGAGTATACAGTGATCTCTCTTTGTGGTTTAATTTGCATTTCTCTAGTGACTAATGAAGTCGGTCATTTTTTATTTTTTGAGACGGAGTCTCGCTCTGTCACCCAGGCTGGAGTGCACCTCGGCTCACTGCACCTCCGCCTTCTGGGTTCAAGCAATTCTCCTGCCTCAGCCTCCCGAGTAGCCGGGACTATAGGCACACACCACCATGCCTGGCTAATTTTTGCATCTTTAGTAGAGACGGGTTTTCACCATGTTGGCCAGGCTGGTCTCAAACTCCTGATCTCAAGTGATCTGCCTGCCCCAGCCTCCCAGAGTGCTGGGATACAGGCATGAGCCATCACACCCAGCCAAAGCTGGGCATTTTTTAATGTGCTTATTGGACATTGGTATATCTTCTGTAGTAAGGTATTCAAATCTTTTGCCCCTTTTTATAGGAGTGTTGGCTTTACAGAATTGTAAGGTTTTTTAAAAATATATTTCATTTTAAGTGAGTTTTAGATTTTGACGCTATGCTTCACTTTGAATCTTTGTGTATGGTGTGAAAAGACCTGGTTTGTTTTTGTCTTTTTTTTTTCCTATGTGGCTGTTCATTTACTTCTGCACTGTTTGTTGAAAAGACTGTCCTTTCCCCACTAGACTACCTTGGCACCTCGGGTGGAAATCAGTTGTCCATATAATTGTAGGTCTGCCTCTGGGCTCTGTATCCTTTCACCAGTGCCTGAAGACCAAATATCTTGATTACTGCAGCTTTGAGTAGGCTTGAAATCTAGTCACATGAGTCCTCCAGCTTTGCTCTTCTTTTTCAGAATGACTTTGGCTACATCCTTTGCATCTTCATATACATTTTAGAATCTGCTTGGGTTTTTTTTTTTTTTTTTTTTGAGACAGTGTCTCACTCTGTTGCCCAGGCTGGAGTGCAGTGGTGCAATCTTGGCCCACTGCAGCCTCGACCTCCCTGGGCTCAGGTGATCCTCTCACCTCAACCTCCCGAGTAGCTGGGACTACAGATGCGAACCACTATGCCCAGCTAATTTTTGTATTTTTTATAGAGATGGGGTTTTGCCGTGTTGCCCAAGCTGGTCTCGAACTCCTGGGCTCAAGTGATTTGCCTGCCTCAGCCTCCCTAAGTGCTGGGATTACAGGCGTGAGCCACCACACTCGGTGAATCTGCTTGTTTTTTCACACAACAAAACCTACTGAGATTTTGATTGAGATAGATTTTGTGTGTGTGTAAAAATGTGCTGTTTTTATGGTTAATGAAATGACAGTGGTGAGACTGATACAGAAAGACCCGTTAAGGAGACCTGACAAACATCCAAATGACAGAGGGTAGTAGCATCAATGAGGGCGGCTGAGTAGAAAATAAGTGGGTGGATTTGAGAGAGATTGAAAAAGTGAGCCAAAGCTGATTGCTGATCTTTAACTGGTGGCTACCTTAGAACCATAGTCATAGGAATTAGAGAGCAGAACTTCCAGAAGAGGCCTGCAGATAAATGTGGCAGGTGGACAGAAGAAAAACTTCAAATACAACAGCGTGTTCCCTTTGTCCATGGGGTTTACCCATGTTATTTTTCTTCTTTGAGCCAGGGGATCATCTTTAATTCTTGGTGAACATGCCAACCATCTAAGTAACAAGTGCTTCTGAGGTAAGTGAGAATTAGGATTTAATTTTGAAGGAAAGCAGACTTCAGAGCAGCAGGCAGACCTCTCTCCAGTGAGCCACCAGGGCACATGAGCAGCAGATCTCAATTAGAACTTAGAGTCGAAGCCCCTGGCTCTGTGCTTGGCCTGTGAAGCATGTTGCTTCTGGACTCCTACGGACTGGAAGCAGAAAAACCACTAGCTAGTTAGAAGCCTCTGGGGGTCAGGTAGTTTGGTTTCTTGCTAATTGCAGCCTTATTCAGTTCTCATGTTGAAGTACTGTCTCTCAGCCATTGGGCCTGTGCCTCATTTAGGTTGTATTTTGCCATCAGCAGGATATAGCACACCTTGTGCAGTGTTGGAAGGAAATGTTAGCCCTCTGTCCTGTCGGTTTCAGAGAAATGCCTCCAGTCATCTCTGTGAGCTCATCAGCTTTTCTTAACAGCTCATGACCTTCACGTTCCATAAGTTGATCAATTCATAAAATTTGCTGAATAGACTATGTGGGTGTCAGGAGTTAATCAGACAATACAGAGATGGAATTTGCACAGTCTTGATTTTATGATATAGTAATGTTTCCAGTGGCACTGTTTAAATTTCATTCAAGTAGAAATAAAATGAGCTAAAGGCTGGGCGCGATGGCTAATGCCTGTAATCCCAGCACTTTGGGAGGCCGAGGCTGGCGGATCACGAGGTCAGGAGATCGAGACCATCCTGGCTAACAAGGTGAAACCCCATCTCTACTAAAATCACAAAAAAATTAGCCAGGCATGGTGGCAGCTGGGACTACAGGCGCCCACCACCACACCCGGCTAATTTTTTTGTATTTATAGTAGAGATGGGTTGCACCGTGTTAGCCAGGATGGTCTCGATCTCCTGACCTCGTGATCCGCCCACCTCGGCCTCCCAAAGTGCTGGGATTACAGGCGTGAGCCACCGTGCCCATCTGTACTTTTTAAATAAAGTGATTTTGGCCATCTTCTTTGCTCTTAATATTGCACGTTGTCCATTTCCCCATAGTGGTGGTATCTCCATCAAGGCTTCTGCAAATATGGACCTCATGAGGGCTGACATGGGAGGAGCTGCAACTATATGCTCAGCCATCGTGTCTGCTGCAAAGCTTAATTTGCCCATTAATATTATAGGTAAGTGGGGTAACGGATTACATCTCATAACGCTTCTGGATTCTAGCCAGGTGGGAGAAGAGAGACAACAGATATGATTTCCCCTAATCTGAAAAGATAAGAAATGATTTTTAAATAGTCATCAAGCAGTAGCTATTTAGCCCAGATAAGTGTTTTACTGTCTGAGCTGATTGAGCTAAATGTATCTTGCAACCAGTGGGCTGTAACTGGAATTGATTTGTTTCACTTCTGCAAAAAGTGGCTAGCAGTCAGGGGCACATAATGTCAAGTTTGTAGTTGACATTATGAAACTTGCTGGGTACTTGGGGTGGCAGGACGTTGCTGGCTCATTGACTGATTGCTTCGTAGGATTGTGGCCGGTGAAATGGCACAACACACAGAAAGTGCCTAGAACAGAAAAAGTGCTCATTATGTGGCAGTTCTTAGTAATGGAAGATACAAACTCCCAGGCACAGTACTGGGAGTTTGTATAATAGCATTGCTCATACTCATTTCAGAGGAGACGGGGAAGGAGGAGAGAGTCTTAGGTTAAATAATAATGCCCTGACTCTTGTCCATTGCACAAGGAAGGTAGAATTGGAATCCAGGTCTCAGACATGCCCCCCTCCTTCACTATCATAGTCCTTTTTTTTCCTGAACTATTTAAAAGTCAGTTGCAGACATCACGACACGTCCTCTAAGAAAAAGGACATTCTATGTAATGACAAAACCATTATCTTTTCCGAGGATTAATTCAGTAACCTAATTCAAGTTTCCAGTTGTGTAAAAAATGTCCATTTTATTTATTTATATTTAGGTTTTTTTGGTTTTTTGGTTTTTTTTGAGATGGAGTTTCGCTCTTGTTGCCCAGGCTGGAGTGCAATGGCGCGATCTTGGCTCACCACAACCTCCACCTCCCGGGTTCAAGTGATTCTTCTGCCTCAGCCTCTTGAGTAGCTGGGATTACAGGCATGCGCCACCATGCCTGGTTAATTTTGTATTTTTAGTAGAGACGGGGTTTCTCCATGTTGATCAGGCTGGTCTTGAACTCCTGACCTCAGGTGATCTGCCCGCCTTGGCCTCTCAAAATGCTGGGATTACAGGCATGAGCCACCGCGCCTGGCCTATATTTAGCTTTTAAATCCAGAAACTAATCAAGGACCACACATTGCTGTTGGTGCCCCTTTAGATTTCTTGATTCTAGACCCTATTCCTGTTTTCTTCCACGGCATTAGCAGTTTTGAAGGGTCTAGGCTTGTTTCATGATATTCTGCAATTTGTATTTATTTGAATTGCTTCTTCTTGATTAGAATCAAGTTAGACTTCTTTGGGAAGAATGCTACATGGGTGATGTGTACTTCTTGTTGCTGACACATCATGTCAGTTGTGTCATTGGTGATGTTAAATTTGATCAGTTCGTTAAGGTGGCCTTTGTGTCTTGCTTCTCATGGCTCACAGGTGGCCTCTTGTCCCATAGGTGGCATGTTTGGACCCAGTATATACTGTGTGCCTTCATATATTATTTCCAATAGGTCTGGCCCCTCTTTGTGAAAATATGCCCAGCGGCAAGGCCAACAAGCCGGGGGATGTTGTTAGAGCCAAAAACGGGAAGACCATCCAGGTTTGTAAATGTGAGACACAGCACTCCCCATCCAGCGTTCCTCAGGAATCCCGTGGTGGCCACATAACCACAGCTAGGATGCGTGCAGAGCCCCAGAACCATATTAGGGGAGGGTGCTGTCTTTAGTGCTGGGTAGCCTTTCTTTTCCTTCCCTTTCCTGAAATGGGGTCTCGCTGCATCACCCAGGCTGTAGTGCAGTGGCGTGATCATGTCTCACTGCAGCCTTGACCTCCCCAGGCTCAGGTGGTCCTCACACCTTAGCGACCTGAGTAGCTGGGACCACAGGTGCGTGCCACCATGCCTGGCTAGCTTTTTGTAGACACAGGGTTTTGCCATGTTTCCCAGGCTGGTCCCAAACTCCTAGACTCAAGTGATCTGCCCACCTTGTTCTCCCAAAGTGCTAGGATTACAGGCGCGAGCCACCATTCCCGGCCCCTGAGTAGCTTTTCTTGCAAAGGCAGAAGTATCTTTTTTGGGGGATTTTGAAGAATGTTTTTCCAGACTTATTGTTCCTCCCATTTCCTGTATGCTATACATGTGTATACACACGTTTCCATGAATTTGCTGCCAGCCCTGCAGAGGGCGGCAAAGCAGTAAAATTGTGGGCTATCTTCTGGATATACCTGTGCTATGAGTGACTTTTTTCCATTGTAGGTGTTGAGGTAGAACATACTGTCCTACATCATGGGCCCTGCACTGAAGGGGATGTGGCAGCAGGTCCTCTGGGTGGCACGTGCATGCAGGTGTGTACAAGCCACTCAGAAAACGACTGGACCTCTATTTAAAAGAAAGGAATATAGTTAGGAAGTGTTACTGAAGTTGCAAGAGTTTTCATTTCTAGGATTGAGACTGCCATGTAGCTGTAGCTTTCTTAAAGCTCTTTAACCTCATTTTTGGAAATCTTTACATTTTTCCCCTTCTTGTTACAAAGTTACGGGTAAAATGGACTAGACATTTTTCTATTTATTTTGGCTTCCAAAGTCATCAACATTAGGTCATCAGCTCTGGTACAGTGATTATTATATTATTATTTTTTTATTTTTAATTAGAAATGGGGTTTCACCATCTTGCCTAGGCTGGTGTCGAGCTCCTGGGCTCAAGCTGTCTGCCCACCTCTACCTCCCAAGGTGCTGGGGGATTATTAAATCATATTTGCTCTCCAGATTAGATATGTTCCTATTCTCATTGAAGTATGAATGGTTTGATAATGACACACGTCACAGTAGCTTTTTCCAACTTTTCCGTCGAACACTGTTGCAAGTGTCTAGTTTTCATATTCTTTACTTGCGCTGTCACCCTTTCTGTTTTTGACCCTCTGCAGGTTGATAACACTGATGCTGAGGGGAGGCTCATACTGGCTGATGCGCTCTGTTACGCACACACGTTTAACCCGAAGGTCATCCTCAATGCCGCCACCTTAACAGGTCAGACCGCGCACTTGCCTTGATTTTGTTTGAAGGAAGTCTTGTTCGTTGCATGGATTTCACACACTATACTTGTGGCATTATTTTGCTAAAATTTGGCTTGGTCCATTGGCATTCAAAGATCTTTCACCAGAGGAATTGTTCTGCAGTTGTAAAATGTTTTGAATATTAGGTTTGTCGTTTTAAAACATTCCAAGCTGTACTTTTTTTTTGAGACGGAGTGTCACTCTGTCATCCAGGCTGGAGTGCAGTGGCGTGATCTTGGCCTCCTGAGTTCAAGTGATTCTCCTGCCTCAGCCTCCCAAGTAGCTGGGGTTACAGGTACGCACCACCAGTCCTGGCGAATTTTTGTATTTTTAGTAGAGACGGGGTTTTTGCCATGTTAGCCAGGCTGGTTTCGAACTCCTGAACTCAGGTGATCCACCCGCCTCAGCCTCCCAAAGTGCTGGGGTTACAGGCATGAGTCACTGTGCCTGGCCTAATTTTTATATTTTAGTAGAGATGGGGTTTAACCATGTTGGCCGGGCTGGTCTCAAACTCCTGACCAAGGTGATTCACCTGTCTCAGCCTCCCAAAGTGCTGGGATTACAAGATTACAGAAGTGAGCCACTGTGCCCAGCCTGGGCTGTACCTTTAAGCAGAAATAACAAGTGCGCCAGATCAGCTCATCTAGAGTGACATCTAAAAATGATGTTAAGAGCCAGGAGCGGTGGCTCACACCTGTAATCCCAGCACTTTGGGAGTCCGAGGCAGATGGATTATGAGGTCAGGAGATCGAGACCATCCTGGCCAACATGGTGAAACCTTGTCTCTACTAAAAATACAAAAATTAGTTGGGTGTGTGGCACGTGCCTGTAATTCCAGCTACTCGGGAGGCTGAGGCAGGAGAATTGCTTAAACCCCAGAGGTGGAGGTTGTAGTGAGCCGAGATCATGCCACTGCACTCCAGCTTGGTGACAGAGCGAGACTCCCTCTTAAAAAATAAAATAAAATAAAATAAATGATGTTAAGAGATTGTTTCTGTTACAATTACCATTTGATACAGATCTGAAAAGATTAGTGATAAATCCCCAAGTCAATAGCTTTCTTTTACTTTTTTAAACTAATTGTAATGTATCTAATACCCTCTGAGCTTTCAGAGCTTTACTTTTTTTTTTTTTTTCTTCTGGAACTTTTTATACTTGATGTCATAAGGAAATAAAAACATTTTACCAGAGTAGCAGGATTCTCATTTAACAAGTGACACAGTGTGAAGCCAGCGCTTTAAGGCCAGGCTCAGGTGGAACTCCCAGCTGTGCCACTTACTAGTCAGTTAGCCGTGGGCAAGTTTCTTGGCCCTTTTGAGCATTGGTACTTGGGGACAATTCCATTTGCTTGGAAGAGCTGTAAAGGCTGGAGGGAGTTTCTTGAAAGCCTCTTTAATACAGGCTGTGACACCACCAGCCCTGGAGGGCTGGGAATAGATTCCTAAAGGGATGACAAACAAGTGTTGTCTTATTGCCAAATCCCAATGTTCATAATCTTGCATCCAAATGTTCTCTTCCTAGTAATTCATCCTGACTCTACCCCTTTTTAAAAAAAATTAATTTCTGAATCTTAAAGTCAGACTCTACCTCTTTTAAGATGAAAATTTAGATCATTTTTTATCCTTTGGTTTTATTCTTGCCCTGGTCATGTTGAGCCTTTACTTTGGCAGAAATCATGTTCCCTTTTGTATGTAGGTCTAAAAATAGTCCACAGGTCTATTGCTAAGAGTTTTTTTTCAAAGCTGGCATTATAGTGTTTTCATGGTTTTTGGTCTATCTATTCAGTTTAGCAAACACTTTACCTGAAAAGCAGAGCTTCTAGGGTGGGGGGTTGGGGGAGGCACTGGCAGTGAAGCGAGTACCCCCTTACTGTAAATGAGGAATCACAGAGGATAGATACATCAGATACGTCAAGTTCTACAATTTAAACATAACGTTCATAATTACCACTTGGGGAATACTTTTCCTAGATGCTTAATAGCAGCATTCTACCCCACTTTTTTCTCAGTCTGAGGGGTTGAGAAGGTGGGAAAGTTGGCCCTACGTAAGCAAGGGTGACCTTCTGGGTGAGCTTTCAGACCACACCAGGTGATGGTTCCCCAAATACTACTGAGCCCCTTCTGAGTTCCAGAAGCTAGGGTTCCAAGAGGAGAATAAGAACCAGTTTCTAAACTCAGGCTCTTGATAGGAGGAAGTACACAGTCTTCAGAAATAGAAGACCTGATTTTAAAACTTGTCCTAACTTTTAATAGCACGTTAAAAGTTGGACTAGGCTTTAGTTGTCTCATCCATAAAAGGGGTATAATAGCACCTCGTTCACAGGAAGGATGCCGTGAAGATTAAATGAGACAATACAGGTTGATGTCCATGGCCCAGTACATCATAGACACTGAAACAGATGTTACTGTCCTTTGCCTTTGAAAGGCAGGCCGTACCCCAGATTGTAGGAACAGTGACATATTCGGGGATGGCCATATCCAATCACAGTGTTTCTTTTCATTTTCTTAATGCTTGGGCATAATTTAGGATTGAATGAGTGTGGTGCTATCCTCACTTTCCTTGGGGCTTTGATGTTTCTTCCAGACTATGAGCAATTCTGGTAACATTGATCAGTGAGCATCACAACACAGGGCTCCAAACGTGCCTTGTAAATAAAAATGGGAAGTATGCCTCTGCTACTAGTAGTTCTGAAATGGGCTGTGGAAATAATTCTGGAATTATAGAGAATAAACTATTTAGCTATATAATAAAATCATCTTTAGAGCCGTGGTCCCAACTGGACCACCTTAAATACTTATGTCTGCCATTTTTTATTACTTTAAGGGAAGATAGCATGGTCTTGTTTGAGGGGATTGTTCATCTTTTCTATGACAAATTTTAAAACTGATAGATGACTCTTAGGGGGTTGACTGAAATATTTTGAGGACAAGTGAATAATTATATAAAAAACCACTAACTTGTAAAGTATTAATAGGTATGTATATATTGTCCCTCAGTATGCGTGGGGGATAGGTTCTAGGATCCCCCCTCAGATACCAAACCCACGATGCTCACATCCCTTATGTAAAATGGCATAGTATTTATATATAACCTATGTACATCCTCCAGTACACTTAAGTCATCTCTAGATTAGTTATACTGCCTAATACAATGTAAATGCTATGTAAATATTCGTTACACTGTATTGTTTAGGGAATAATGACAAGAAAAAAAGTCCGTGTATGTTCAGTACTGATGCAGCCATCTCCCCCGCTTCAAAATATTTTCTGTTGACTCCATAGTCAACAGAACATAGTCATATTTCTGTTGACTCCAAAATATTTGGTTGACTCCATAGATGCAGAACACACGGATACGGAGGGCTGACTAGTTAGTACTATCTTCAAGTTTCAGTTTTCCTTGGGAGAGATGCTAATGAGCAGTTTCATGTAAAGACATGGTTAAGAATTTAAGGAGCAACTTGGACATACTTTGCATTGCAGGGAGCAAATGCCACCTTGTGAAGACTATAGATTGCCCCCAGTTTCAGTGCTGCCTCCTCTGACATTCCATATGTGTGTCCTGGTACTGATGGTGGTGGGTTCAGTGCTTGTCCTGATACTGAAGGATAGTAAGGTTTGCTTTTCCTTTCAATAAATACTTAGCTCCTTTATGCCAGGCAGTGTGCTTTCTGGGCCCTAAGGATATGCCTAGGAAGCAGACGTGTTCCTTGACTCAGCGCTTACAGATGGGCCAGGCAAATAACAAATGAGATTACTAGGAGCTCATACCACAACTAAAGGAGGCAGCACTAAGTGGCTGTACCTGATTGTCTCTTCTCAAGAGGACCTGCAAATCTGGATTTTTAAGTTGATTTTTTAAAAATATGCTAATTAATGTAAAAATAGAAGTCAGCCAATGGGACACAACTTTGTTGGAGAAAAAACTAAAGATGAAACAAGTAAATATTATGCAGTAATAACAGCCATCAAAGTCTTATAGCAGTACTTAGATGTGATTAAAATTGCTGAAAAATTAGATTCCTTAAATTATGATATCTCCATCCAGTGGACTATTTTTACATCATTAAAAATATTTTCCAACATTTGTTTATAAAAGAGGAATAATTTTTTCTCTTTTTTTTGAGACGGAGTCTCACTCTGTTGCCCAGGCTGCAGTGGCACGATCTCAGCTCACTGCAGCCTCTGCCTCCTGGGTTCAAGCCATTCTCCTGCCTCAGCCACCTGAGTAGCTGGGATTACAGGCATGCGCCACCACACTCGGATTTTTGTATTTTTAGTAGAGACGGGGTTTCACAGTGTTGGTCAGGCTGGTCTCGAACTCCTGACCTCAAGTGATCCACCCGTCTCAGCCTCCCAAAATGCTGGGATTACAGGTGTGAGCCACCGCGCCCAGCCAAAGAGGAATAGGATAAATTTTTAAAGCATAAAAGGAAGAACACAGCCAGGCGCGATGGCTCACACCTGTAATCCCAGCACTTTGGGAGGCCGAGGTGGGTGGATCACGAGGTCAGGAGATCAAGACCATCCTGGCTAACACGGTGAAACCCCCTCTCCACTAAAAATACAAAAAAAATTAACCAGGTGTGGTGGCATGTGCCTGTAGTCCCAGCTACTCAGGATGCTGCGGGAGAGAATGGCATGAACCCGGGAGGTGGAGGTTGCAGTGAGCTGAGATCGCACCACTGCACTCCAGCCTGGGCAACAGAGCAAGACTCTGTCTCAAAAAAGGAGGAACACATGCTTGAGCACATACAGGATGGCCTTGTTTTTTATGAAAATTTAGAAGTTGGGCTGGGCATGATAGCTCATGCTTGTAATCCTGGTGCCTTGGGAGGCTGACATGGGAAGATTGCTTGAGCCCAGGAGTTCAAGACCAGCCTGAGCAACATAATGAGACCCCATCTCTACAGCAAGAAATCTTTTTTTTTTTTTTTTGAGACAGAGTTTCGCTCTTGTTGCTCAGGCTGGAGTGCAATGGTGCAATCTCGGCTCTCACCACAGCCTCTGCCTCCCAGGTTCAAGCGGTTCAAGCGATTCTCCTGCCTCAGCCTCCTGAGTAGCTGGGATTACAGGCATGCACCCCACGCCCGACTAATTTTGTATTTTTAGTAGAGACAGGGTTTCTCCATGTTGGTCAGGCTCGTCTCAAACTCCCAACCTCAGGTGATCCACCCGCCTCAGCCTCCCAAAGTGCTGGGATTACAGGCGTGAGGCATTGCGCCTGGCCTTTTTTTTTTTTCTTTCTTTCTTTTTTTTTTGAGACAGAATCTCGCTCTATCACCCAGGCTGGAGTGCAATGGCATGATCTCAGCTCACTGCAACCTCCGCCTCCTGGGTTCAAGCAATTCTCCCTATCTCAGCCTCCTGAGTAGCTGGGATTACAGGCACCACGCTCAGCTAATTTTTGTATTTTTAGTAGAGACGGGGTTTCTACATGTTGGCCAGGCTGGTCTCGAACTCCTGACCTCAGGTGATCCCACCCGTGATGGGATTACAGGCGTGAGCCAGCATGCCCGGCCCAAAAAGAAATTTTTAATTAGCTGGGTGTGGCAGCATGTACCTGTAATTCCAGCTACTCAGGAGGCTGAGGCGGAAGGATCACTTGAGCCCAGGAGTTTGAGGCTGCATACAGTGAGCTCTGATCATACCACTACACTGCAGCCTGGGTGAGTGAGACCTTTCTCAAAAAAAAAAAAAAAAAAAAAAGGTTTAGATGTCTGGAAGGAAATTTCAAAAATAGGTTAACAGTTATCCCTAAAATGAAATTATTGGTCAAATTCAGTAGGTTCCTTTTTTGCATTTCCTAATAATTTAAGTGAATTCTGGCCTGAAAAACATAAAAATATGTTAAGTATGTACAGGAAAGATTTCCTAAGCTTATCTATTTTTGAAAATGAGGAAGCCATTAAATAGGGTACATGCTAAGGTTTCCATCTGGGTGGCGGAGGAGCCCATTTTGCCTGGAGAGACTGCACGTGACCTGAGGGCTTGTGTCTTACAGGTGCCATGGATGTAGCTTTGGGATCAGGTGCCACTGGGGTCTTTACCAATTCATCCTGGCTCTGGAACAAACTCTTCGAGGTAGGAATAATATTTGTATATCTAAATTGTAGAGATGGTGAATAAATTATTCTAGCCTTAGAAGGATAGACTTCTTCAACCCTGTGTTAAAGTGATTTTTATGCCGCAGGTTTGCCTTTGAATTGAAAATGAACCACAGCAATAGATTGAGTTCAGTGGCATTGGGTTTTCCACAAATGCTCCTAAAGGAGGGGATGATGCCCCCTGCTCCCCTCCGGTAGCCTCAGCGTCCTGTGAAAATATCTCACGAACACTGTGGTCATAGTTTTAGAATCCCTGAGGTAGAAATGGTTTTGAAGATGGCTTTGTGGAGCAGCGTTTGTGACTGCGTGTCGTGAGTCATATAAGGGAGTTCACCCTGCATCGATGAGGATGTCTTCAGACCGCTGTGCTCTGTGCCTCCCTCCATGCCCTTCACAGCCAGCCTCTTCCCAGCAGTCACCCTCACTTCCACACACACACACACACACACACACACACACCCTCACTTACTGCCATTGGTTTTCGAATGTCCACACCACTGTTAGCCTAACTCAGCCTGTCTTGAGGCAGCAGGTGACTCTGTGGCCTCCTGACACCTGGTTCAGCTTCTGTGATAATCCTTTCTTGGGCTGCCTCCTGTGATTCTCCTGCTCCTGTCTCCTGACGTGTTTGTTCCCTTTGGCCGCCCTTTGGCTGGTGTTCAATTCAAGGCCATAGGCTCTTCCTACTCTACACATTCCTCACATGGAAGCTCCAGCCAACACATGTTGCCTGATGGCTCCCATCTCTCTCCCGAGTCCCAGCCTCTGTGTACCCATGTGGCTGCTAGACAGCTCCAGCTGGCTGCTTACTCATTCATTCAACTAGTAATTAATGGGAGCTTACTCTGTGCCAGTGGGAGGGGAGACAAACATAAAATGTCCCCAAATATAATCCTGAGGGTGGTTTAAGGTCTAAACTTATTTTCACTCTAAACTGCTTCTCCTTCATATATGTCATCATTCACGAAGCCCAATTTTCCCAGTTCTGCAATACTCAGCCCCATCATCTTCTTCCAGGCCGGGCCAGGAACCTCTCCTCTGGCCTCCCACATAACCGTTATCCCTCTCTTTCATGGCACCCACAATATTGTTGTTTTGACTTTTAAAAAACATTTAAGCTTTAAAAAAAAAATCTCAGTTATATGTGCATAAATCAACAATCAGCAGCCCACAGTCTGTTTTCCAGAAGGCAGCCACTTTCAACCCTTGGCTGATTCATCTGGTATTTACTTATGTCTTAAAATAACAGCTTATATTGCTGCTTCTTGATTTTTCACTTTTAGGTCTTTGATTTTTTACCAGTGAGTTAAATAATCTGTTTATGTATCTGTTTCTCCTACTAGCCTGTAGGCCCTTGGGTGGCTCAGATGGTAGTATTTCAGCACACCTGGTGGTGCTCAGTAGTTCAGTAAACGATGAATGAGTGAGTGGGTAAGTGATGAATGAATGAATGTGGTCATCCTGTCTCAGGATTTCAGTGATACAGGTCCAGTCGTGTGTTTCTGTCACATAGAAGTGACCCGCCACATAAGAACTCTTTCACCCTCATCAACCCACAAAGCCTGTAATTGTAGTTTGATGATTTTAGCAAAATGCCCTACAGATTTGTGAAATTGCTTCACAGCATTCCCGGTTTCTTTTTATTTTTTATTTATTTATTTATTTTTGAGACGGAGCCTCGCTCTGTCGCCAGGCTGGAGTGCCGTGGCACTCCGTTGGCTCCCTGCAACCTCCCCGTCCTGGGTTCAAGCAATTCTCCTGCCTCAGCCTCCGGAGTAGCTGGGACTACAGGCGCGCACCACCACGCCCAGCTAATTTTTTGCATTTTTAGTAGAGACAGCGTTTCACCATGTTGGCCAGGATGGTCTCGATTTCTTGACCTCGTGATCCACCCGCCTCGGCCTCCCAAAGTGCTGGGATTATAGGCGTGAGCCACTGTCCCCAGCCTCCTGGTTTCTTTTATAGTTCTAAAATAAATCTTTTAATGAGTGGACACAATTCTGAAACCTATTTTCTAGTTTCATGTTTTAGAGTAACAGGTTAGAACAACTCTTCCTTCATGCATTGAGCATGTTAATGCCATGAATTTCCCACAACCTGCCTCATCCACTCTTCCACCTGTCATACCTGTTCTCTAGGCCAGCATTGAAACAGGGGACCGTGTCTGGAGGATGCCTCTCTTCGAACATTATACAAGACAGGTTGTAGATTGCCAGCTTGCTGATGTTAACAACATTGGAAAATACAGGTATGTAAGCTAAGCTAAATGTACATTTATACAATCATCCTTGATTGCCAAAATAGCTATTTTCAATTTTATCCCCTTATATAAAAGGTTTAACTATTTAATTTCCTTTTGGTGTAGTGCTTGTAAGATTTTTAATGTCTTGAATTTTCAAGTATTTCTTCAACCAGATTTCAAAATTTGCATATTTCTAATCTAATGGTAATTTTCAATAAATGGTAAGGGAAAGAGATGGAAAATATGGGAATTCATTACCATAGCAAAAAGGAATATAGAATTTATCCTTTACTGCTTAAAGCAATATCTGAAAATAAATATTCTGAAACTGATATGTGGGTTAGCATCTTAATAGGTCTTACAAGCTTGACTCTTGTTCTTTGGTTATAGAATGTACTTAGCAAAAATGTGGGATCTCAGTGCACATTTACATGGGGTTGTAAAGTGCTTTTTGTCTTTCTCTTCAGATCTGCAGGAGCATGTACAGCTGCAGCATTCCTGAAAGAATTCGTAACTCATCCTAAGTGGGCACATTTAGACATAGCAGGCGTGATGACCAACAAAGATGAAGTTCCCTATCTACGGAAAGGCATGACTGGGAGGCCCACAAGGACTCTCATTGAGTTCTTACTTCGTTTCAGTCAAGACAATGCTTAGTTCAGATACTCAAAAATGTCTTCACTCTGTCTTAAATTGGACAGTTGAACTTAAAAGGTTTTTGAATAAATGGATGAAAATCTTTTAACGGAGACAAAGGATGGTATTTAAAAATGTAGAACACAATGAAATTTGTATGCCTTGATTTTTTTTTCATTTCACACAAAGATTTATAAAGGTAAAGTTAATATCTTACTTGATAAGGATTTTTAAGATACTCTATAAATGATTAAAATTTTTAGAACTTCCTAATCACTTTTCAGAGTATATGTTTTTCATTGAGAAGCAAAATTGTAACTCAGATTTGTGATGCTAGGAACATGAGCAAACTGAAAATTACTATGCACTTGTCAGAAACAATAAATGCAACTTGTTGTGCTCTCTGGTGTGGCTCTGATATTTACTTACATATTGCTACAAACCCAGTAACTTATTACTAGAATATCATTCGTCTCTGTAGCCATGTTGTATGAACTATGTAATTAAATTGGGGCACAGTGGCTTATGTATTTTCTCAATGTTCCTCATCACTTAAAGGTACTCAGGGATTGAGCTCATCAGTTTGGGTAATAGTGGCTTGGCCCATGATTTCCAAAATGAATCAGTCAGAATAATAGTAACCATTGTTGACTTACCATCTGCCAGGCACTGTCCTCAGTGTTTTCAGGTGTTAAATTATTGAGTCCTACCCAATGAGACAGGTACTGTTATTACCCTCATATGACGGATGAGGGAAACGAGGCACAAGAGAAGTTTAGTAACATGCCACTGATGTCACAGAGCAAGTAACTGGTAGCTCAAAGTTCAAGCCAGGTGGTCTGGCTGCTGCACTGGTACACTGCAGTGCTCTTTTTCAGTTCAGTGACTTGAATGGATGTAGAATTTATTTGAAGTACTGAAGTAAGAAACATGACCACAGGCCAAGCACAGTGGCTCATGCCTGTAATCCCAGCATTCCGAGAGGCCAAGGCAGTAGGATTGCTTGAGGCCAGGAGTTTGAGACCAGTTTGGGCAACATAGTTAGACCCTTGTCTCTATTTTCTTAAATTTTAAAAAGAATTCAAGCCAGCAACAGTGTGCTGAAAAAAGAAACGATCATAAAAGGGACTGTCAGCTGAGCCCAGCTACTGGGGAGGCTGACGTGGGAAGATTGCTTGAGTCTGGAGGTCAAGTCTGCAGTGAGCCCCCTGATCATGCCACAGCACTCTACCCTGGGTGAAAGAGCAAGAACCTGTCTCAGGCCAGGCACGGTGGCTCACACCTGTAATCCCACCACTTTGGGAAGCCAAGGCAGGCGGATCACAAGGTCAGGAGTTTGAGACCAGCCTGGCCAATATGGTGAAACCCCGTCACTACTAAAAATACAAAAAAAATTAGCCAGGCGTGGTGGCGCATGCCTGTAATCCCAGCTACTTGGGAGGCTGAGGCAGGAGAATTGCTTGAACCCAGGAGGCGGACGTTGCAGTGAGCCAAGATCGTACCACTGCACTCCAGCCTGGGCGACAGAGCTAGACTCAGTCTCAAAAAAAACAAAAAGCAGGTGGCGGGGGGGACAGCAGATGCAATGGCTCATGCCTGTAATCTCAGCACTTTGGGAGACATTGTGGGAGGACAACTTGGAGCCCAGGAGTTTGAGACTAGCCTGGGCAACATAGTGAGACCCTGTCTCTATAAAAAATTTTTTAAGGCTGGGTGCAGTGGCTCACGCCTGTAATCCCAGCACTTTGGGAGGCCGAGGCAGGTGGATCACCTGAGGTCAGGAGATCGAGACCATCCTGGCCAACATGGTGAAACCCCGTCTCTACTAAAAATACAAAAATTAGCTGGGCATGGTGGTGTATGCCTGTAATCCCAGCTACTTGAGAGGCTGAGGCAGGAGAATCACTGGAGGTGGAGGTTGCAGTGAGCGAAGATCATGCCACGGCACTCCAGCCTGGCAACAGCGAGACTCCGTCTCAAAAATAAATAAATAAAATTTTAAATAAGCTGGGTGTTGTGGTGGTGCACCGGTAGTCCCAGCTACTCAGAAGGCTGGGGCAGGATTGCTTGAGCCCAGGAGTTTGAGGCTGCAGTGAGCTATGAGTGAGCTATGAGCCACTGCACTCTAGCTGGGGCAACAAACCAAGACCCCATCTCCTAAAAAAAAAAAAAACGGGGACTGTCAACGGGTAAAACTGTTTGCTCACCTCCTGAAACTATAACCAATCAACATAATTCCATTGGTGCAGACTTAGAACAAAGCTCTCCTCGTTTTTACTTTTGTATCCGATGAATCAAATTAATCCATCAATGGGATGTGTGCCCTTTTTTTAACTTTGAAAATGTTTAACAGGAAAAGCTCTTTGTTACTGTTAATTTTAACATTTAAGAAATTTGACATGCAAAAATATTGTATATCTAAACTGGTTTACAGAGGGAATGGAAATGGGCATGCTTGTTTGTGGTATTTATTAGAATTAAAACCCGGTGAGTGTAGTGAGCAAACACAGGTTTCCCTGGTTATTCATGTTCAGAAGTCACTTCATCAGGAAAGATGGAATTAGAGGGTTGGAATTACAGGCTTATGAAGAAAACTGAAAACAGATTTATTCTGGGTGATACAGAGCCTCAGTCGGGCTTTGATAGAAGGATTCTGTCAAAGGCTTTTTATGGATAAAGGAACAGTGGAACTCCTGTGTTTACTAGTGTGTGGTATACAAAAAGCATAGCACAGGCCCTGGTTTCATGTGGCTTACCTAATCTGGTTGAGATGAAATTTTTTTTTTTGAGACAATCTCATTCTCTCACCCAGGCTGGAGTGCAGTAGCACGATCTCAACTGACTGCAACCTCTGCCTCCCAGGTTCAAGCGATTCTCATGCCTCAGCCTCCCAGGTAGCTAGGACTACAGGTGCACACCACCACGCCCAGCTAGTTTCTGTATTTTTAGTAGAGATGGGTTTTGCCATGTTGCCCAGGCTGGTCTCGAACTCCTGGCCTCAAGTGATCCACCTGTATAGGCCTCCCAAAGTGCTGGGATTACAGATGTGAGCCACCGTGCCTGGCTGAGATGAAATTTAATAGTTGTCACTGAATGTACATCTAGCTGCCAGGAACTTCACGAACCCTGTGTCTCCTAAAAATACAAAAACTAGCTGGGTGTGGTGGCATGTGCCTGTAGTCCCAGCTACTTGGGAGGCTGAGGCAGGAGAAATCACTTGAACCCGGGAGGCAGAGGTTGTAGTGAGCCAACATTGCACCACTGCACTCCAAAACCAACCTGGGTGACAGGGCGTGATTCCCTCTCAAAACAAAAAAAGGTACATTCAAATCATACTAACATTCCATTCCCAACCAGTTGGTTGTTAAACAAATCATGTTTATTTGACCCAAGTCTCACCACCGCTGTCTCAACTGCCCTGGTACAAGTCACCATCCTCTCTGCACTCCTAGATTACTCTCTTTCACTGGTCTCCCTGCCTTCTCCACTTGTTCTCCTGTTATCTGTATGACTAGAAAGATTATTTTAAAACATAAATCAGGCCGGGCCCAGTGGCTCATGCCTGTATTCTCAGAATTTTGGGAGGCCAAGGTGGGAGGATCACTTGAGGCCAGGAGCTCAAGATTAGCCTGGGCAACATAGTGAGACCTTATCTCTAAAAATTAAAAATAGGAGTTACATCGTGTCACTCCTTAGCAACTTAGTTTATGCAAGGCACAGTATTAAACCTCTACATAGATTATCTTGTTCTTAGTAATTTTTCTAAGGCAGTGTTCTCTCATCTTATAAATGAAGTGATGGGTTTTCAGCAAAATCCAAAAAATGTTAGTGCTTTTTTGTGCAGTACTCTAGGAGGACTGCAAGAGAAATACCACTGACCATGTTCGCAGGAAATTTACAATGAGGTTAGGTAAACTGGATATTAATGAGACTTGAAAGGCTGGGCACGGTGGCTCACTCCTATAATTCCAGCACTTTGGGAGGCCGAGGTAGGTGGACTGCTTGAGCCCAGGAGTTCAAGACCAGCCTGGGCAACATGGCAAGACCCCATCTCTACAAAAAATTAGCCAGGTGTGTTGGCACATGCCTGTAGTTCCAGCTACTTGGGAGGCTGATTGGGAGAATTGCTGGAGCCTGGGAGGCGGAAGTTATGGTGAGCTGTAATTGTGAAACTGCACTGCAGCCTGGGCAACAGAGTAAGACCCTGTCTCAAAAAAAATATATATATATAGAGAGAGATTTGCAAAAAAGTAAAATGATGCCATACTTTTTACTTATTCCTTATTTTAGAAAATAGAGTATTAGTTTTAATAAAGATTGTTTTTGTTAACATTTAATGAATTATTTTTTAATGAATTGATTTTTAAAATTCTGTTTTTGTTTTTTTTGAGACGGAGTCTTGCTCTCAACCAGGCTGCAGTGTAGTGGCATGATCTCGGCTCACTGCAAGCTCTGCCTCCTGGGTTCACCCCATTCTCCGGCCTCAGCCTCCCAAGTAACTGGGACTACAGGCGCCCGCCACAACGCCTGGCTAATTTTTTGTATTTTTAGTAGAGATGGGGTTTCACCATGTTAGCCAGGATGGTCTTGATCTCCTGACCTTGTGATCCGGCTGCCTCGGCCTCCCAAAGTGCTGGGATTACAGGCATGAGCCACTGCCTCCAGCCTAAAATTCTCAGTTTTAACTTATCAGATAAATATTAGCAGACTTAACCCACATAAACAAAAACTTTGGGATCCTCAATAATTTTTAGGAGTGTAAAGGGGTCTTGAGACCAAAACTGTCTGAAAACTGCTGGAGTAGGCTTGTTTCCTCCTGGCGGTCTCTTCTGGTTCTTTCAGTCATCACATATTTATTATATCTATTATGCCAGGCACCATTCTAGATTCTGGGGATACAGGTGAATAAGATGGGCAGGCTCTGATGCACGGAACTTATTTTCTAGTTGGCATGTGTATGACAGAGAGAGAAGGAGGAGGAGGGCAGGTGATTCAGTTATGAAAAAATGAACAAGATAATTTCAGATTACATAAATGTTGTGAAGAAAATTAAACAGGGGAAAGTACTTAGGAGTGGGGATCTAAGTGAAACTGAGGCTGGGAAGATGACTTGATCCGAGCCTGGTTGGCAAAGGGAAGCTCCTGCTTTTTCTCTGAACATTTCTGCCCTGGCTCACTCCTCTGGCAATGAGCTTCCTGTGGTTCCTTAAACATCCCAGGCAGGCTGCTTCTTCAGGGATCCTTCGGTGTAGAAAGCACTCCTAGTTAAATTTTCATGCCAGTCACTACAGTCCAGATCTCCTTGGAGAGGCCTCCTCCAATCACCTATCTCAAAGAACACCCCTCTCACTAGCCATCCCCTTACTGGGTTTCATTTTCCTTCCCAGCTCTTCTCTCTGCACAATATTGCTATGTATTTATGTGCTTGTCTGTCTCCTTCCAGAGATTTGGGATGATTGCTATAACCTCCAGATCATTAAATAGTGCCTGGGAAGTGGAGCGCTCAGTAAGTGTGCTGGGTAATAACTGTAAAATCAGATATAATGAAAAAAAGTTATTTGGTTTTAAAGAGATAAATAAGAAGGTTGGGCACGGTGGCTCACGCCTGTAATCCTAGCACTTTGGAAGACCGAGGCGGGCGGATTGTCTGAGCTCAGGAGTTCGAGACCAGCCTGGGCAACAAGGTGAAACCCCGGCGCTACTAAAATACAGAAAAACTAGCCGAGCGGCGGGCGCCTGTAGTCCCAGCTACTCGGAAGGCTGAGGCAGGAGAATTGCTTGAACCCAGGAGGCGGAGGTTTCAGTGAGCCGAGATCGCGCCACTGCATTCCAGCCTGGGCGACAGAGCGAGACTCCGTCACCAAAAAAAAAGAGAGAGATAAGCAAATGTTAAAAGCAGGTTACTACAAGATTAGCAGCCTAGTGCCGGGCGCGGTGGCTCACGCCTGTAATCTCAGCACTTTGGGAGGCCGAGTCGGGCGGATCACGAGGTTAGGAGATCGAGACCATCCTGGCTAACACGGTGAAACCCCATCTCTACCAAATATACAAAAAATTAGCTGGGCGTGGTGGCGGGCGCCTGTAGTCCCAGCTACTCGGGATGCTGAGGCAGGAGAATGGCGTGAACCCGGGAGGCGGAGCTTGCAGTGAGCCAAGATCGCGCCACTGCACTCCAGCCTGGGCGACAAAGCGAGACTCTGTCTCAAAAAAAAAAAATTAGCAGCCTGGCGCCTTGGCTCATTACTGTATTCCCAACACTTTGGGAGGCCGCGGCGGTAGAATCACTTGAGCTCAGTAAAACACCTGACTCAACTAAAAAAAAAAAAAAAAAAAAAAAAAAAAGCCCGTCGCGACTGCACGCACCTGTGGTCCTAGCTACTTGGGTGGCTGAAGTAGGGGGATTGTTTGAGCCCGGGAGGTCGAGCCCTGATCATGACACTGCACTCCGGCCAGGGCGACAGAACGAGACCCTGAGAAAAAAGAAAAGAAAGAAAAAAAAAGATTAGCATAGTGACTTTCTCTTTGATGTAACCATAAATATTTAAAGACATCAGTGCCGGGCACATTGGGAACCTCAACAAAGTTGTTTCCGTTATCCATCTCCGACCAGAATTCAGGAAGAACTTTGCCTGTCTTGTTCCCGCTATAACCAATGACTCAACAAATGTTTGTGGAGTGAGTGGGTGACCCTCTCCTTTTACCAACGGTAAACAGCCCGCGGAAAGAAAAAGTGACTTAGCCAAAGTCTCTCCAGGCATTTGGGGCAGAGTCGGGACTAGCATAGTAGTATCCTGACTCTCGCAGGAGGGCTCGCTCCACTGTAGTTATTAATTCTCCTCTCCACACAACCAGGTCTAATCCGGCCAAAGTCTTCAATTCTTAAGCTAAGAAAAAAGGAAAATACATGTAAACTCTGTTTTGCGATAGACAAGAAAACAGAAGAATTAAAAATCCTCCTTCCGGGGTGCACCAGAATCCTCCCATCGCTCGGTCCTGTCACGTGACCACGCCTACTACACCAGCCACGTGAGCTTCTGAGCCGGCTTCCGCGCAGGCGCAGTGGATCTCTCTTGCGCCATTCCAAACATGGCGGCTCCACTAGGGGGTATGTTTTCTGGGCAGCCACCCGGTCCCCCTCAGGCCCCGCCGGGCCTTCCGGGCCAAGCTTCGCTTCTTCAGGCAGCTCCAGGCGCTCCTAGACCTTCCAGCAGTACTTTGGTGGACGAGTTGGAGTCATCTTTCGAGGTAATATAAGACATGGGCGTCTTTGTCCCTAGCCTTCCCTTTTTTCTGAAACGTGAACTGCGCGTACGCGTATCTCCTCCAGGGATCCGAGCAACTAATTCACAAATGGGGAAACTGAGGCTTAAAGTAAGTCACTTGCTTTAGGCTTCCCCGTGGCCCGTATTCAATTCAGGTCTGCTGGCGGGGGCGCGTAAACTCGACGTTTGTGGAAACGTGAACCCGAAGTTTGCCTAAACCCCAAACTTGGAACCCTTCCAGATTCCCAGCCGGTCCTTAGTCTCATCCCCGAGCACCGTTTCTTGCATCCCTGCATGTTTAGTAAGAGGCTCAAGCCTTTTCGGAGCTGAGAGTTTCACTGCTGTATCCTGTATCCTTTCCGCTGGGCTTCACCTTTAAACGATCCTAAAGGGACTCTTAAGAGCGGAAATTGACTTAAGTTACCAGGCGCAGCTTGGTACTAAGAGCTGAGGAAGGAGGAATGCTGGAGGTTAGGGAGGGAGGGAGGCACAGGTGACCCAATCTCTCAGTTTTGCCCAAGGAGTTTACCTTGTAGCAAGAAAGGTGAACTGTATATTGAGGGAAGATAGAGAGGTGAAAATAAGTGCTCTGGTGATTTCCAGTAGTCTTTAAAGTGGAAGATGAGCTATTCCTGTGTAGTAATAAAGTAATGTACGTTCAAATTGGAGTTAACTTTTCCACATTTTAAATCCCAGTTTTGCCGGGCGCGGTGGCTCACGCCTGTAATCCCAGCACTTTGGGAGGCCGAGGCTGGCGGATCATGAGGTCAGGAGTTCGAGACCAGCCTGACCAACATGGTGAAACCCTGACTCTACTAAAAATACAAAAATTAGCCAGGCGTGGTGGCGTGCGCCTGTAATCCCAGGTACTCGAGAGGCTGAGGCAGGAGAATCGCTTGAACCTGGGATGCGGAGGTTGCAGTGAGCGGAGACCGCGCCATTGCACTCCAGCGTGGGTGACAAGAGCTCGACTCCGTCTCAAAAAAGTAAAATAAAATATAAATAAATAAAAATCCCAACTTTGTGACTTTTGTATTGTATCTAATAGCACAGTGGTAAATGAATATAATTTGCAAGCGATTATTCAGACTGCATGGACAAAATGCTTTTACCACACGGATGTACAAAGATTTAGAAATAAATGATTTGAGATGGAGTCTCACTCTCTCGCCCAGGCTGGAGTACAGTGGCGCAA
Organism: Homo sapiens; assembly: GCF_000001405.40. Classification (NCBI taxonomy): domain Eukaryota; kingdom Metazoa; phylum Chordata; class Mammalia; order Primates; family Hominidae; genus Homo; species Homo sapiens. The sequence goes on from NC_000004.12 coordinate 17,616,026, forward strand.
TTTCGGCTTACTGCAACCTCCGCCTCCCGGGTTCAAGCGATTTTCCTGCCTCAGCCTCCCGAGTTGCTGGGATTACAGGCACCTGCCACCATGCTATTTTTTTTATTTTTTAGTAGAGACAGGGCTTCACTATCTTGGCCAGGCTGGTCTCGAACTCCTGACCTCGTGATCCACCCGCCTCGGCCTCCCAAAGTGCTGGGATTACAGGCGTGAGCCACTGCGCCTAGCCAGAAATAAATGATTTAAAGGACAGACCGTTTAGGAGGAGGAGGAGGAGACACCTTTGAGGTGGTGCTAAGTGGTAAAGGAAGGGGCTGGTGAACTTTAGAGCAGCATCTAGCATTGTGCTTGAGGGGAGCTGGCTCTCAGTCATGGGCACTTGCTGAAAGACTGGCCCTGTACAAGTCTTAGCCAAAGTTGACTCCCAGCACCCTGCTGCTTAAAAACGTACAGTGGCTGCTTGTTGCCCTTGAGATAAGATCAAGATGTTTAGTGTGGTCTCCCAGGCTTTGCATGTTGCGTTCTCTCCTTCAGACTCGTTTCCTTACTGCAGCCACACAAGACTTTCCCACGTGTACCATTTGTTTTCTCTTTGGGCTTCCAGGCCGCTCCTCAGCTCACTGCATCACTTCCTCAGTGGACCCTTCCCTGGCCTTCTTTTTAATACTTACCATTAAATTCGGCTCCATGAAGTCAGAGACTACCTGTTTTGTACCCCCACCCCTCACATTGTGTAACCTGTAGTGCTAATACAGTGGTAGTAGATAGCAAGTGCTAGATGAATATTTGTCAGACATTGAAGGAATCTGTAGTGTGGAGCCTGTAGTGTAGTTGGCTTGTGCACAGAACTCCTTGCCTGATTCACATATATGTCTGTAGGTGCCCTTGAGAGAGAACTCCCTCTGGGACTTGATTATCCATACAGAGAATACAGAGAAAACCAGTCCCTGCCTTCAGGAAGCTTGTAATAAACGGCAGGCAGTTGCCTTGTTGTAGGATCACTGCTCTGATAGAAGAAACCTGGGGTACTGTGGGAGCACATATAGGTGTGGACATCAAAGAAGGCTTCCCAGAGAGCAGGAAAGCCAAAGAAGCATTTTGACTTAGCCAGGTGAAGGGGAGTGGGAGTGGTGCGAGCTGGATCCTCTCTGCTGCTGGGTGATCACGATCTGTCTAGTCTTGTCTCACGATTCAATTCAAAGGCCACATTTTCTTTGGAACTTTTCCTGTTTCCTTCCTTGTGTTCTGTGTGGACCTCAATTTTCACAGCCTCCAGTGGCACATAGCAGCACCTACTTACCTGCTTCTCATTCCTATTGGGGTGCCACTCCTTGAGGTCTCTGTCTGCTCATTCTAGCTGCTTAGCACATGCTCTTTGATGGAAGGAATTTATTGAGCTCATGCACTCTTGATTTTGGAGGGAACGTTGGAGACCATCTAGTTCCATTTCCTCCATTCATAGGTAGAGAAACTGAGGCTCAGTGAGGGCAAGTTACTTGCTGAAAGCCAGCCGTTGGGTTTGTGGAAATGAGGACAAGCACTTACTTTCCAGGCAAAGGCTCTGTTTTAGCCATGCTTTTAAAAAGCTGTTCTCTTTCTAGGCAGATGCGGTGGCTCACGCCTGTAATCCCAGCACTTTGGGAGGCCAAGGTGGCTGGATCACTTGAGGTCACGAGTTCGAGACCATCCTGGGCAACATGGTGAAACCCCATCTCTAACTAAAAATACAAAAATTAGTGGTCTCTGGTGGCACACGCCTTAATCCCAGCTACTTGGGAGGCTGAGGCAGGAGAATCGCTGAAACCCGGGAGGCAGAGGTTGCATTGAGCCAAGATCGTGCCACTGACTCTAGCCTGGGCAATAGAGTGAGACTCCATCTCAAAAAAAAAATATATGTTCTCTTTCTAAGCTACCACACATTTTCTTCTTAATACAGCTGTCCAACTGTCTATAAAGGCCTGTGTATCTTTTTTTTTTCTTTTCTTTTCTTTTTTTTTTTTTTTTGAGACAGAGTCTCACTCTGTCACCCAGGCCAGAGTGCAATGGCACGATGTTGGGTCACTGCAACCTCCACTTCCTGGGCTCAAGTGGTCCTCTTGCCTCAGCCTTCCAAGTGGCTGGGACTACAGGTGCGCACCACTACGCCTGACTAATTTTTGTTTTTGTAGAGACAGGGTTTCACCACGTTGCCCATGCTGGTCTTGAACTCCTGGACTGAAGTGATCCACCCATCTTGGCCTCCAAAATTGTTGCTTACAGGCGTCAGCCACCATGTCGGACCCTAAATTTTTTTCTTGAGTGGGTGGAGGGCAGTAAAATTCTTGAGATGAGATTTCCTGCCACCCTGTCTGGTAGGCCTCCTGGCTCAGGGGAGCTGGCCCAACTTTTTTGGCCAGTTTGTGACTGGTTGGCCTATTAATGGGATGTTTTCCAGTAGCCATAGGTCTCACAAAGGAAGTACATCCTACCCACATCCCAAACCCAACAAGAGTCAACTTTCGTTTTTTTTGAGACAGATTCTCGCCCTGTCACCCAGGCTGGAGTGCAGTGGTGCAGTCTTGGCTCACTGCAACCTCTGCCTCCCAGGTTCAAGCAATTCTCCTGCCTCAGCCTCCCGAGTAGCTGGGACTACAGGCACGTGCCACCATGCCCAGCTAATTTTTTGTATTTTTATTAGAGATGGGGCTTCACCGTGTTAGTTAGGATGGTGACTTCGTGGATCTGCCTTCCTAGTTAGGATCCTGACTTCGTGATCTGCCTGCGTGGGCCTCCCAAAAGTGTTGGGATTACAGGCGTGAGCCACCGTGCCCAGCCAGGAGTCAATGTTCAAAGTAATCCTGAGAATGGGCAATCTGTTTTTCTGATTTACTTTCTCTGTAAATCAAGCGCGGGAGCTGCAGGCAGGCAGAATTTTTGCTCGTTAAAGGGCCCTCACATGTAGGTAATGTTCTAAATTTGAGCTCAGATCTGTCTGCCTCACACCAAGTGTAGTTTGCTGATTGCTGACAGAGCTCCACTTTCCTGTGTTTGAGGCTTCTTTTCTAACTCCTTTTCCAACTGCCATGCTGTTCTCTTTCTGTGCCTCCCCAATCTCCCTGCCCACTTCCTGCAGTGGGCCTGCTTTGGTACATTTCCTTAGAGTTGCTTGTGCACAGAGCTCCTTGGCTGATTCACATTTGCATCTGTATAGGTGCCCTTTAGAGATAACTCTCTCTGGGACTTGATTATCCATGTGATACCAACCTTGTCCTCTTAGGCCATCCAGTCAGTAATATGTGTTATTAAACACTTCCCTTGTGCCAAGGCAGTGTTCCAGGCACTAGGAGGACAGTGGTGAATAAGACAGACAAAATTCTCATCTACTAGTAGGGGACAGATAATAATGGATGAAAATAATGGATATGATGTCAGTTAATTATGTGAAAAACAATAAAACTGTGCTTGGGTGTGGAGCATGAGCAGGAGGGGCACAGTTTAGAAAGGGTAGACCGGCTGCTGTCTCTGAGGGGGAGAAGATTGTCCTGAGTCCTGAATGGGTGGTGATGTGAGTTGTGTAAGCACCAGCAAGAGGCCACAGTGGGGCTGGAAGAGTGTCTGGGCCTGGTGTGGAATAAGATACAGGGAAGGGGCATGTAGTAGGACAGAGACCAGATGTGGTGCCGGCTCGTTTGCCTGGCGCTTCCTCCATGGGCCTAATTAATTGGTAAACTCAGTTTACCAGATGTTTCCATTGGCATGGTGTCTTGCCATCTCATATGCAAACACAGATGCTGCCACCTCATCAGATGACTTCAGGAGAAGTTATTTCTTCCTCTGGAGTAAGATTTTTGATGTATAAATGATATTTTTTTCTTTCCTATGTTTTGATTACACAGGCTTGCTTTGCATCTCTGGTGAGTCAGGACTATGTCAATGGCACCGATCAGGAAGAAATTCGAACCGGTAAGCATTCCCTCTGTGTACACAATGTTCTGGGCTTCAGCAGTATTTCCTAGTTGCTAATTTTATACTTCATGTGTTTCAGTCCTGCTTTTATCCTAAGACAACATTTCAGGGACTAAAATGTGTGCACATAATCTCTATGAGCTGCTGATTTTTGGTTCAGTTTATTAATTGACATATCACCCATAACGAATCATTTATAATGAACTTTTCGTATTCGTACTAGGTAAAGAAGAAGACCAATAGTGTGTACTGCTTTTTAAAAAAATTTTATTATTTTTGGAATAGGTCTTACAGAGAAAAGTCTCTTGTGCTTCTTTTTATTCCCCAAGTTCTGTCCCTAAAGGTAACCAGAGCTTCTGATTTCTTCGTACCATATTTTACATGTTTTTTTTTTTTTTTGATGGAGTTTCACTCTTGTCGCCCAGGCTGGAGTGCTCACTGCAACCACCACCTCATGGGTTCAGGCAGTTCTCTTGTCTCAGCCTCCCGCGTAGATGGAACTACAGGCATGCACTACCATACTCAGCTAATTTTATATTTTTAGTAGAGACGGGGTTTCGCCATGTTGGCCAGGCTGGTGTCGAACTCCTGATCTCTGGTGATCCATCTGTCTCAGCCTCCCAAAGTATCGGGATTACAGGCGTGAGCCACCGTGCCCGGCCTTATATGTGCCATTTTAACTGTAAATTATGATGCTGATTGCTGGATCTCTGCATTGTCTCTTTTTTTTTTTTTTTTTTTTTGGAGACAGAGTTCTTGCTCTCTCACCCTTTTAAGAAAGGAGTGCAGTGGCATGATCTCTGCTCACTGCAACCTCTGCCTCCTGGGCTGAAGCAGTCCTCCCATTTCAGCCCCCCAGTAGCTGGGACCACAGTGTGAGCCACCACATTTGGCTAATTTTTGTTTTTTTATTTTTTTGTGGAGATGGGATCTTGCTGTATTGCCCAGGCTGGTCTTGAACTCCTAGGCTCAAGCAGTCTTACTGCCTCAGCCTCCCAAAGTGCTGGGATTACAGGCGTGAGCCACCACGCTTGGCCTCTGCCTTGTGTTTTTTTTTTTTTTTGAGACGGAGTCTCACTCTGTCACCAGTCTGGAGTGCAGTGGCGCGATCTCGGCTCACTGCAACCTCTCACTCCCTGGTTCAAGCGATCCTTCTGCCTCAGCCTCTTGAGTAGCTGGATTACAGGCATGTTCCACCACGCCCAGCTAATTTTTGTATTTTTAGTAGAGATGGGGTTTCACCATGTTGGCCAGGGTGGTCTCAATCTCCTAACCTCATGATTCGCCCACCTCGGCCTCCCAGAGTGCTGAGATTACAGGCTTGAGCCACCATGCCCAGCTGCATTGTCTTTTTAAAGAAGATCTCATGGCTTTTATGCTATATTAATATCTCTCTCTTTTTTTTTTTAACCTGAGAAAAGCATAACTTATCTGCTGTTTAATGTTGGTTAACACATGAGAAGTTGGGGGTTATGATTACTGCTGTGGCCAAGATTAAAATCCCTGAGTTGTCTATGAGAGGGCTTTGTTTTTACATTCTGATTATTCATTTATGAGGGAGATAAATGAGTCTGTTGTTTTTCTTATTTTAATAATTTTGTTCCTTTTTTTTTAAGGTGTTGATCAGTGTATCCAGAAGTTTCTGGATATTGCAAGACAGACAGAATGTTTTTTCTTACAAAAAAGATTGCAGTTATCTGTCCAGAAACCAGAGCAAGTTATCAAAGAGGTATGAACTCAGTTTTCTCCTCAGCTCTATAGGAAGAACTAAGTGGTGCCAGGATTCCTTTTATGCTTTAAATGAGATGTAACCGTTTCCTGCGAGTTTCATTCAGGCTTTATAGGTCAGTGTGAAATGTGGCTAGTCATCCATGTTTGGGACAACCTGAACAAGAAGTAAAGCCAAGGAGTGGGGTCCGAAAGCAGAGTGTCAGACGGAACAGCTCTGATGTGACTTGTGTCATACATTGGCCTTCAGGAAAGATTTTTCTTAAAAGATTCTGCCATGTGAAAAAAGGACAAAAAGCCACTAACATATAGGCTTGTTTTGGACAAAAACTGAGATCTGTGTCCCCACTTGCCTTACCCAGTGCCTTGCACACAGGAATCCAAGGAATCAAAAAGTAGTGTTCGACCCAGGTTCCTGGAAACTCAGGATTTCGTTGATCTCAGTTGTTCTAAGCTAGGGCATTTGGAAGTGTGTTGGGGTTGCCACGATGACTTGGGAAGCTTTAATGGCATTGAATGGGTTGGGCCAGGACCTGCCCCATGTGATGTGGAAGAGTGAAGAATCATCCTGCCCAAAAAGCCGGCAATGCCCTCAGTGAGAAACACTGAATTGAGATTATTGGTTGGGGGCAATTTTTGAAGTAACTAGTCCCAATTAATCAAAAAGTCTCTTTTCATTCATGATACCAGCTGTTGGGGATAGCTATTCTTACAGTTTATCATGTCAGATCATTTCCTGATGTGAATACTTGAATAACAGTGCAGGTATGTCCAAGACTGGATGGTTAGTAAAGGATGTAATGCTGTTCTTAAAAAGCTCTTGAAAATGTAATTTTAACAGTTCATAATCTGAAGTGATAGATCAGTGGTGTGGATTTTCTTGTAAACAGTTGTTAACAAATGTTTCAGATTTTCAGTGTTTTAGGTTCTCAGCAGTAGCCTTTGGAGAGAGGTACTGGATGGCTGGGGACCAGGATGGGATAGAGTCTGTAATTAGTCTGTTTTCACCCTGCTCATAAAGACATATCTGAGACTGGGCAGTTCACAAAAGAAAAAGGTTTGATGGACTTACAGTTCCATGTGGCTGGGGAGGCCTCACAATCATGGCAGAAGGTGAAAGACACATCTCACATGGTGGCAGACAAGAGAAGAGAGCTTGTGCAAGGAAACTCCCATTTTTAAAACCATCAGATCTCGTGAGATTTATTCACTACCAGGAGAACAGCATGGGAAAGACTTGCCCCCGTGATTCAATTACCTCTCACCAGGTTCCTCCCTCGACACATGGGAATTGTAGGAGTTACAATTCAAGATGAGATTGGGTGGGGACACAGCCAAACCATATCAATCTGATTTCTTTTTGGCTGCCCTTTTGAATTTTGTAACTTGCATATTACTTTCTATAAGAAAAATAAACGTAGGCCGGGTGTGGTGGCTCACGCCTGTAATCCTAGCACTTTGGGAGGCTGAAGCAGGTGGATAACTTGAGGTCAGGAGTTCGAGATTAGCCTAGCCAACATGGCAAAACCGCATCTCTACTAAAAATATAAAAATTAGCTGGGTGTGGTGGCGTGTGCCTGTGATCCCAGCTACTCAGGAGGTTGAGGCAGGAGAATCACTTGAACCCGGGAGGTGGAGGCTGCACTGAGCCGAGACCGCACCACTGCACTCTAGCCTAAGTGACAGCAAGACTTCGTCTCAAAAAAAAAAAAAAAAAGCCCATAAAAACTTATGTTAGAATCTGTCATCTGGGTTAATCAAATAGTGGAGCCAAGCAGAGTAATGGGCTTAATATGGTTTAATGGATTCTCTTTGTTTTGAATTGTTAGCCTCTTAACTAACCAGAACCGTATGTGTTTTTCCTGCATTTGCTCTGACTTAGTCCATGACTTTCATCTGCAGGATGTGTCAGAACTAAGGAATGAATTACAGCGGAAAGATGCACTAGTCCAGAAGCACTTGACAAAGCTGAGGCATTGGCAGCAGGTGCTGGAGGACATCAACGTGCAGCACAAAAAGCCCGCCGACATCCCTCAGGGCTCCTTGGCCTACCTGGAGCAGGCATCTGCCAACATCCCTGCACCTCTGAAGCCAACGTGAGCAAAGGGCAGAGGCAGTTGGCCTATGAGTGGGCTGATGCGTGAGGTTGGCCACACATTCCTTCCTGTGGACTTGACATTTTGGAAGAACTCTTTGCCAGATAATGAGTTCATTTTAGTTTTATGCTCCCATTGAAAAATTTTCCACTATTTTTATAAGCTGTTAATTTCTTGAGTACTTTATAACATGTCTGTAGCTTGGATAAACCAAGTAAGTATTTTTTTTTTGTCTTTAGCAAAGTTTAGACTGTGAATATGATGACACAGATTCTTTTTTATGGTGGCTTTGCTTGTTTTAAATTTTTGCATGACTTTTCATCTTTTTATGTGTGTTTCCTGTAGTTTGATCCGAAGGAAAAGAGTATAGTAGCCTGAGAATCAGGAGATGGGAGTTTTAGTCGTAGGCCTTATGATAATTACCCCGCGGTGGTGTGTAGAAAAGTATGTAAATTTGCTCTGTTTTAAGACTTTGAACTACCTCAAGAAGAGGAATCTAATACAATATTTGTAATGTTTCCAGAGCTCTCAGAATGAGGATTTTTTTGTAAATAGGTCAGAAGACGATGGAACTGTCCTGGGTTAGTATAGTAATCTTACAGTAGGATCCTTAGGTTGATGCTGACTTCTGTTTGGGGTATGTTTATATTTTATGTGGTGTTTACTTTTTTTTTTTGACATAGAAGGATATAGTGGGAGCAGTGATACGCTAACATTCATTACATTCTGCAGTAATGAATCTGTTTAATGGGTCAGTCACTGTTTTCAGTAGCATGACAGTGGGGTCATAGGTGAGCTGTGAGGGGCTAAATCTTGCTCTGATTGTCTCTTTCTGTTTTGAGTTTTGTTTGCGTGTATCATTTTTGTTCTACATTTTGGGAGGGGAAACATTTTCCGTTAAGGAAGGTTGTTGCCAGTGGATTTGACTCCAAGGGACTAGAGTGTCGTGGTGGGGGTGGGGAGGGGCTGCAGGGTGATCATTGGCTACTGAGCCTCCACAGAGAGCATGTGGTGCCCTGCCTTTGGGAGGGTATTTTGCTCTCGTTAGTTTTGTGGGCAGCCTCAGATTCCCTGTTGAGTTGCTGTTAAGAAATGGAGATTTCTGGCTCTCATTGGGTAAGGTTTTCTGAGTTTTATATCTTATTAGATCACATCCCTTTACCCAGAACAAATGCTTCACTGTCTTCTGATTGGCAGTACTCCTGTGGCTTTGTGCCTTGACTCATTTTGTTGTCTTCAGCCTTGAAGGCCCCTTCCCACATGGACTGACATCCACTCATGTGCCTGATCCCTGAAGCCTCCCAGCACCCATTCAGTTGCATCCCCAGGGCACAGGACTTTGATCTCTTCTGTTGCCCTCGCTAGGTTCTCCCTGGTGGGTTAGTGCTTTGTATCTGTCTCTCTGCCCCTCACTAATTCTACACCCATGAGAATTAGACATTATTCTCCTTAAATATATAAGGACCATATAATCTGTATCTTTTTGGTGTGTGTATATGGTATCTGGCACATGGATCTCTGATTACCAGCCTGACATCAACAAATCCCCTCAGTTACAACGTATAGGTTAAACAAAGCTTTTAAAAGCTCATGTGGTATGACCTCAAGGTTGCTAACCTGGTCACTCATGGTAATTAGAAACTCTGATTGGCAGCTTTGTATTTCTTGACTAAAAACCTAAATAAACTGATTAGGTTTTAGGCGTTCTTTCAAAGAGGTTCTTGAGAAGATTGAGAACTATCCTATTTGGTGCTTAGTGAAAAGATTTTGAATTACTGTACGTACCAGTTGTTGCCATTTCTTTATTAAATTCAGAAGTTTTTTTGCCAAATAACAATTTTTCAATCTTCTCTGTTTGTAGACATCTTACTGGGTGATGAATAATCCTCTAAGAAACCCTCTGAGCTGCTAACTTTTTCAGGGAGAAAATCACAAGCCATCTTCTCAAGTTCCCCTAGAAACCTGTGGAATGCCCTCTGCCAAGCACTGCTCTGGTACTGGGGAGTGGAGTATTATGTCTTGGAAGAGACTCCTGCTGTGATTGTCCAGGGGTACGTTCTGGTCTGGCTTGGTGCTTGACCTTAGGTCTGCCCACAGGCTTCAGGCTTTCAACTTTGAAACAAACATCTGTGCCACACACATTTTGTAAATGATCCCATTCAGTCTTCTAGAAGCCTTATAACAGAATCAATATTGTTTTTCCCATTTTCACAGATGGATAATAAATCTGTAAAATAGGGATAAGACTAGGACCTATTCCCCAGGATTACTTCTGCAGATTAAAGGAGATGTTGAGGCCAGGTGCAGTGGCTCACGCCTGTAATCCCAGCACTTTGGGGGGCTGAGGCAGGAGAATCGCTTGAACCTGGGAGGCAGAGGTTGTGATGAGCCAAGATCGTGCCATTGCACTCCATCCTGGGCTACAAGAGTGAAACTCCGTCTCAAAAAAGAAAAAGGAGATGTTGAATGGGAAGTCAGCAAGGGTGCTAGAATGTAGCAAGTATTCTTCAGGTGTTAGTGATTTCTGTTGTTCGGGAAGAGGAGGGTTATGGAGGAAGAGTATGGGATTTAGGTGGGTTAAGTGATTTGCCCAAAGTCAAGAGGTTAGTCTTTAACCTTTGGCAGAAGCAGGATTTGAAGTGAGTTTTCACACCCCTCTTCCCTGGTCAGTGTGTTGATAACAGCCCACCCACCTGTGGTTCCAGGGTGTTCTTAAGAAGCCAAGGTTGTCTTGGGTGTGGTAGCTCTTTGAAAGGTAGAAAGTTCCACCAAGAAGGCCTTTTTTCTTGAATACTGCTTAGCTTCCTTGTCAGGCTCCAAGATGCAGATTGCCTGTGGGCTATCTCTCTCCACAGATAAACCTACTCACATCTTCAGGACAGCCTTTTTTTTTTGAGACAGGAGTCTTGCTCTGTTGCCCAGGCTGTAGTGCAGTGGCACAACGGGGTCCCACAGGCAAGTGCTGGGGAAAGGCCCACCCAGCCATCAGGTAGCCTGTGTGTTCTACAAACAGCAGCTGGCAGCACTGTCTCCTGCCGGACATTCCTGCCACCCGACATCAAAGCTGGTGGGTGACCTTTTCAGCCATTTGACATTCCTCCCAGAAGAACCTCTGCCTCCCAGAGGTTTAAGCAGTTCTCCTGCCTCAGCCTCCCAAGTAGCTGGGCTATTTTTTTTTTTTTTTTTTTGAGATGGAGTCTTGCTCTGTCGCCCGGTTAGAGTGCAGTGGTGCAATCTCGGCTCACTGCAACCTCTGCCTCCCGGGTTCAAGTAATTTTCCTACGTCAGCCTCCCGAGTAGCTGTCAGGTGCACACCACTACACCCAGATAATTTTGTATTTTTAGTAGAGATGGGGTTTCACCATGTTGGTCAGGATGGTCTCAATCTGACCTCGTGATCCGCCTGCCTCTGCCTCCCAAAGGGCTGGGATTACAGGCATGAGCCACCGCGCCCAGCCTTAATTTTTGTATTTTTAATGGAGATGGGGTTTTGCCATGTTGGCCAGGCTGGTCTTGAACTCCTGACCTCAAGTGATCTGTCCGCCTCAGCCTCCCAAAGTACTGAGATTACAGGCATGAGCCACCGTGCCCAGCCCATCTTCATCTTCTTTACTTGAACTTAATTCTTTTTCATGCATCTTCCCTTCTTTCCTCTTTTCTCCTCCACCCAAATGTCTTAACTGTTAACATTCCCAGGTGTTTGGTCCTGGGCCTCTGGAGGTTGTGAAGGAGCACTGCTCAGTCCTCCCTTCAAGAAAGCAGCTTCAAGGAGTTCAATTACAAAAGCTCCTGGCATTGGGGACCTGCCGCCATGTTCCTGCCCAGGGCATGCTGGTCCTGGCTGTCACCAAGCACAGTGGAGGTCAGGTGCTAGGCCATTTCTGCCCGACACAGGCCTCCTCTAATGAGCAGTCTGAGGCCAGGCACAGGAGGCTGAGGCAGGAGAATCGCTTGAACCCAGGAGGTGGACGTTGCAGTGAGCCGAGATCGAGCCACTGCACTCCAGCCTGGGTGACAGAGTAAGACTTCGTCTCAAAAAATAAAAAATAAAAAAATACTGAGCAGTCTGCTTGGGCGCTTCCATCAGCCTGGCCATGACATCTTTGGAGCTGTCCTGCCCTCTTTTGCCCCGGTGTTCCTTGGCCCACCTGTCAGACCTACATCATAGGCTCTTCCTGTCTTCTGTTTCCTCTCCCCTTTCTCTAACATAGGTGTTTCTCCTGAGAAAGAAAAAAACCACCTGTCCCTGACATTCAGAAGCTGACAACACTGTTCGGTCATGCCATTCTCCTGTTGGACATAAACAGTCTCTGAATGCCAACCCCAAAGTTGCTCTCAGGCCATGATAAAATAAACCACTTAATAATTTTGTCTAAGCACGTACAAAGAAAATTCAAGGTCAGTTTACCACTCACAAAATACCAAACATCCTTCTGCTGGTTAAAACGAGTGACAGCTGCCGTGTGTGTGTGTGTGTGTGTGTGTGTGTGTGTGTGTATGTGTATATGCGTATATATGTGTATGTATGTGTGTATATATATATGTGTGTGTGTATATATATATATGCAATTATACCTTTATCCCTACTCTAGTCCACCTTCCTATAAATAAGATGTATTGAGATGCTCAGTGCCCCCATTCTGACAGCATCCAATCGAGTGAATCCTCACTTCCTTGAAATCACCCAACCAGGGCCAGAATCCTAAAAGAGGTTCTTTGTGACACCCTCTGTCTGAGAAGTCCTATGGTTCTCTGTGATGAATAGACCCAACTTGTTCAAATACAGGCATTTCTGGTGGGCTTTGGCTGAAGGCATTCACACCCCCCAGTGAATGTCTTGCACTTCTAATTGTGTCTCGGGGCATGCCTGGTGGAGGACCTGACTGAGACAATTGTGACTGGATGTGGTCTGAGAGCAGGCAGTAGGATGAGGCTTGGGGACTGGCTCACTCACTGCCCAACTGGTAGCAAAACCCATCTGGAGCAGCGTGTGAGGTATGGACACTCACTCACACGAGGGGGTGGCCCAGTTGCTGAGGATTCCACCAGTGGTACCCTGGGAAAATATCCCTGTGGAGGGGAATGGGAGGAGTCAAACTGTGGAAGATAAGAGGAGTACTGCACACAAGGACAGTAGAGTGTCTGTTCCCTGCAGAGGGATAGTGAGGAACTGATGAGGTGACTGTGAGTGCCCGGGGCCTCTGTCGTTATCTTGGAGGATCACTTTGAGGTCAGGAGTTCATGACCAGCCTGGCCAACATGGTGAAACCCTGTCTCTACTAAAAATACATTAATTAGCATGGTGGCGGGTGCCTGTAGTCCCAGCTACTCGGGAGGCTGAGGCAGGAGAATCGCTTGAACCCGGGAGGCCGAGGTTGCAGTGAGCTGAGATGGCGCCACTGCACCCCAGCTTGGGTGACAGAGCAAGACTCCGTCTCAAAAACAAACACACAGTACTGCATCCTGGGGGTGGAGGTGAGGTGACGGTAGAGATCAGTGCTACCCTTGGAAATCTGACAGATACAGTAAGATGGTCCCTATCATAGTTCCATTTAATTTGCCAGCCTCATCTGCAGAATCCAGATGGATCCTGGAGAAAAATTAACCAAGTAGCCTCAATCACAAATGTTGGGTTGGATATTACATCAGTGTTAGAGCAGTTAAGGGCTCAGGTATGTGGTGTGCAGCCATTGACTGGGTGAATCCATTTTTACCTACCCCAATTACAAAACAGTTTGCTTTCATGTGGAACAGATAGTATTCCTTTCAGTTTTGCTGCAGGAACATATTAACTCTTCCACCCCTGTCATAATACAGCCTGAAGAGATTTACCATTAAATACTGTTTTTTTCTCTCTCTTAACTTAATCCCGAATTGGATAATTTCTCTTCATCTTCACTGTCACCTCTACGCCATCACTGTCATCTCTAGACCGCTCTGCTGTTGAGAGATTGATGGAATCATTATGCAAACTAAAATAGAATGTTTTATCTATCAAATTGTATTTCTTTGTCAATAGTGTTAGGGCACAGTAGGTTCATTTACTGCTGGTAAGGGTGTAAATTGTTAGAAACTTTCTGAATGGCAGTTTGGTAATAACAAACAAAAAGCTTAAGTTTGTGTCCTTAAATGCCTTACTTCAATACCCAAGGCATATGGCCTCAATAAAAAATTATGGAAGCATGCAAAGATTTTGTTAACAAAGATATAATCATTGCAGGGTAGAATTTAGAAATTTAAGACTGAAAGATCTTTTCAGTCACCTGCAGCAAGAAAGGAGTCAAAACCTATGTACGATCTCAACTAGTAAAATTTTCTCCTTGCCCAGGGATCATGCTGAGTTTAAGGACAGAAATGCAAAGTGCAGCCTGGGAAAGTGTTTCAACACACAAAAATAGAACCACCTGTATGTAGTCTTTTTGAAAGCACAAAATAAAGAGCAGTCCTACAGGGTTCACTGCTATGTCCTGAATGTTGATGTCCCTTCCAAAATTCATATGTTGGAACCTAATGTCAATGTAATAGTATTAAGAGGTGGGGCTTTTGGGAAGCAATGGAGTCATGAGGGCTTCACCCTCATGAGTAGGATAAGTACCCTTACAAAAGAGGCTCAGGGAGGCGCTCTTGCCTCTTCCACCATGTAAGGACACGTAGCAGGCACCCATTTCTGAAGAATGGGCCCTCCCCAGACTCCATATCTGCTGGTGCCTTGATCTTGGACTTAGCCTCTAGGACTGTGAGTGACATATTTCTATTGTTTATAAATTATCCAGTATAAGTAAGATATTTTGTTAGAGCAGCCTGAACGAACTAAGACACTCTAAGCGGGAAACTCACAAAAAATATTTGGTAGTGAAAAACAGTATGGTGTGTTAATGTATGGTGACAAGTGTTTGTTTGCATTTAAAAATGCATTGGAGCCTCGTTTTGATTAGGCAGTAAATTTACCTTTAATACGTAAGTTTGACAGTTATATGTAATCAGCTTTTTTTTTTTTAAGATGGTGTGATTGAGGTTAATGTGAACTGAACTTTCTATTTCTAAGCTGTCTTCATCTAATTTTACCTTTCTGTGGAAAATCAATACAAGTCAACCATTTTTATTGCCCAGTTATTCAAAGTTTTATTCAAAGAGCAAAGATTTGACAATGCATAGAATTAACATTGGTTTGTGGGCCACCTTCTGGGCCAGCACCAAAGACTGAAAAAATATTTTGCCCCCTAAAAGTTGTTATTGAGTCTTGTCAAATCACATTGCTCTGTCAGAAGGTAAGACAAATCAGTGTGGACTGAGAGCAAGGTCAGCACCGTGAACAGCCATTGCGGTTCCTTTAACCCACTGGGAATTCATGCAGTGAAGAAGCAACACACCATGAGGCAAATGGCTCAAACCCAAAGACCAGAGGTTCAGGGGATATATATATATATTTTTTTAATCTGTAGAGATGGGATCTCACTATCTTGCCCAGGCTGGTCTCGAACTCTTGGGCTCATGCTGTCCTACCTCAGACTTCCAAGTAGCTGGGTTTTCTTTGGGCTAATTATTTTTTTGTAGAGATGGAGGTCTCGCTGTGTTGCCCAGGCTGGTCTCAAATTCCTGGCCTCAAGCTCTCCTCCCATCTCAGCCTCCCAAAGTGTTGGGATTACAGGCATGAGCCATGTGCCCAGTCTAGAAGATCTTTGACTTCAAAGAACAGATAATCTAGAGACCTTCACAAGTGATCATGTTGGCACTATGGTCATTACACTGAGACCTATAACTGGGCTAGGATTGGTTATTTACAGAAAAACCTTGTGGTACTTAATTCCAATTCATGTTAATTTATGTTATCTTGCTTAATCCTTGCAAAGCCCTTTTAGAGGTGGGTGTTATCCCATCTATAATCTGCTGCTTGTCTTAGACCAAGGAAGTGAAAGTATTCAGTCCAAGCATGCTACCATCCATTTCTGGTAGGTTTGGTTTGTTTTTAGTTGGCTTTCCTGTTTAACTGTTATTTGTCTTCCTATTGAGGTTAGATGTGCATTTTGGAATTGCATCATTTTACATAGAAACAGCTTTCCAGTGGAGTTGACTAGCATCCTAAGGACAAGTACAACCACTTTTGAAATAGATCATGGAAATCACAAAGTCTGATGTTCCACAAAATGGAGTATGATGTTATGGACACTAGAAATACAAGGTATGGGTCATTAGTAACGCTAATAACATTTTCCTATAGATGACTTTTAATAACACTGGTTTAATGTCAATTTTTTTTTTTTTTTTTTTTTTTTTTTTTTTTTTTTTTTTTTTTGGAGACAGGGTCTCCCTCTGTCACCCAGGCTGGTTGGAATGCAGGAGTTCGAACTTGGCTCACTGCAACCTCTGCCTCCTAGGTTCAAGTGATCCTCCCGCCTCAGTCCCCCAAGTACCTGGGACCACAGGCACACGCCACCATGCCTGGCTAATTTTTGTATATTTTGTAGAGATGGGGTTTCACCATATTGGCCAGGCTGGTCTCAAATTCCTGGACTCAAGCAGTCCATCTGCCTCAGCCTCCCAAAGTGATGGGATTACAGGCGTGAGCTGCTGTGCCTGGCAGAACAGTATGAAGTGTTAACGCCAAAATTTGTTTTAGCTATCATATATAAATCATAAGCATATTATTTGGTTGGTTGGTGTTAGTTCATTCCTTCAATCGGATGATTTAAAATAAATGTTTTTCAAGTATCCTCTGTGATGTATCCCAAAGGTTAGCTTAGAAAGAAAAGTACTTGGTGAACCATTCCTGGTGCGGAGAGCCCTGTTTCTGCTGGACTTCTTTGGCTTGGGCCGTTTCACCATCTGGGGTCCTAAAAGCAAAAAAAGGTTTTTTTATATGGTTTTGAAAACTATGCAAGAAGCAGCTTAATACCCACCATCTTTTCAGGGAAAGATAACTGCTTGTTTACTCTTCAAAAACACCCAAATGGGACTGGCCAACATTAGTAGTGGGAAACAAATTGTAAAGGATGGGGCTGGGGAGGGAGTACCTAATCCTCATTTGGAAAACAGAAGGTTCACCATTGTTTGGTTCTCCATTGTTCCTTTGAGACTTAGTGGTTGTAGCTCTAATAATGCAGGATTAACCAAACCTACAGATCAAGAGACTTTGTTTTTATTTTTTGTGACAGAGTCTCCCTCTGTCACCCAGGCTGGAGTGCAGTGGCATGATCTCGGCTCACTGCAACCTCCAGCCTCCTGCGTTCAAGCGATCATTGTGCCTCAGCCTCCCGGGGAGCTGGAATTACAGGCGCATACCACCACACCTGGCTAATTTTTGTATTTTTTGTAGAGATGGGTTTCACCATGTTGCCCAGGCTGGTCTCGAACTCCTGACCTTAGGTGATCCACCCACCTCCATCTCCCAAAGTGCTGGGATTACAGGCGTGAGCCACCAAGCCCGGCCCGATTAAGAGACTTTAGAATTCCAAGGTGATAGAGTAAATCTTGAGGAATAATGTTAGTAATAATACTGAAACTATATTGAAGATTTTTGTGCCAAGTCCTGTGCTAAGCACATCCTATGGATTAATTCCTTTAGTCTCACGTCAGTCTGATGAGATAGGTGCTGTATTATCTTAATTTTAAAGGCAAGGTATATGGAGACCTGGAGAGGTCAAGTGACCTGTCCAAGGCCACAGAGCTAAGAATGAGGAAGACTGTAATTTGAATTCAGACCTCCAGGCCAGATGGAGTCCACCTTTTGTATAACCCATGCTGAAGTTTTCAGGTAAGTGATTCAGTGTCCCTTGTCTAATCATCCATGAAAAAAGGCCTTCTGGAATTTGGTACCAGGTGCTAGAAAGAATCCTACTTCCCCTCTTATCTACAGGGAAATAGAATAAGGGCCCCTGTCCCCAACATCCCCCAAACCTTGTGGCAGTTTTTGCATCTGTAGACTGGTTGGGTTTGTAGGTCCGGCCACAGCTGGGGCTTGGGTCCAAGCTGGGTGATGTAGTTATTGGAGGGGCATTAATCCTGGAACTCAGATCGCCACTCAGAAAGTTCTTTGCATAGGAGGCGAGGTTCGGCACGCTGACCACGCGGCTGGGCACGTCCTCCACCTTCTTTTTCTGTTTGTATTAATGGACAGGTTAGTGCAATGCAATGCAAAAAACAAAATAAAGCATTATTGTAAAAGCAAATAATGCTCACCCAATCAAAATTGTATCGGAGAAGAAGCAACAATTTCATTTATACACTTACATGCTATTTTTTAAAGCACTTTTCCCTCCAATCTTCATTTTGTATTATAAATAAATATGTATGTTCACAACCTCTTAACCAAAACTTCTGGAGATGGATGTGTTTTGCAACTCAATTTTGTTTAAGATTTTAGAAGGTCATGTAACACCCCCAGCAGGGGATGGGCCCACCCTAGCCTCAAATGCATTTATTTAAATTTCTGGAGTGAAACTTGTATTTTGTCACAATGAGGGATACATAAAAACTACACGAGATGACATTAGTTAAGTCACAAGTGTATTGTCCTGTGAACTATTTTTAAAAATACTATTTTTGTTTTTAAGATGTAGCCTTGCTCTGTCACCCAAGCTGGAGTACGGTGGTGCGATCTCAGCTCACTGCAACCTCCGCCTCCTGGGTTCAAGTGATTCTCCTACCTCGGCCTCCTGAGTAGCTGGGATTACAGGCATCTGCCACCAAGCCCAGCTAATTTTTGTATTTTTAATAGAGTTGGAGTTTCACCACGTTGGCCAGGCTGGTCTTGAAATCCTGACCTCAAGTGATCCACCCACCTCGGCCTCCCAAAGTGCTGGGATTACAGGTGTGAGCCATTGCACCCAGCCAAAAATACTATTTTTTAAGAGCCTTTAGGATTTTGTGATAGTAGATAATTGAATGTGAATATGCTCATTGTGAAAAATTCCAAAAATATGTACAGAAATAGTTAAGAAGTGGAAGATTCTTACTCTTCTCCCTCCCATCACCTAGATAGAGCTATTCTTAATACTGACACACATTTATTCTAGAAAATTTGGAAAATACAAAATCCCATAAAAAATAAAAATCACACATAATCCGCCCAGCCATAGATATAAACAAGTGGGTTTTTTTTTTCCAATGAATATTTTTCTGAGCGTACACCAGCCCTTAAATAACCTGTGGTTACCTTTAAGAAAAACGAAACCAATGGAATTGTATAATGCATTAAAACCATTAGAACCAATTTACCTTCATGGAAGGGGTCAAATATCCCGGGTGAGGATTGAAAGAGAAAGACCGATTCCGGTGGGACATGGCACTGGGGAATGCTGCGTAGTGAAATCTTCTCTCTTCCTAGAAAACCAATACAACTGAGTCTAAATGAGCCTAACCACACAGCACTGGGTTTGACTTGAAGGAAGATGGCTGTGAGGGCAGAATAGAGAAGGAAAGTCCAGGGGAGGAAGGGGAAGTCAGTGGGAATAAAGCTGCCAGGCACTGAAGCTTTTGAGGAAGCACCTTTGCTTTTTTTATGTCCCCAGCCCCTCTTGTAAAGAAAAGGGCAAGCTGATGCCTTAGGAAATTGAAAATTCAACTGTTCTTAGCATGTGAAGGTAACCTAATGCAGAAAGTTAGTAATTAAGGCAAAGAAAGAAAACCCCCAGGTATGCAAAGGATTTTGCCGCCTTTCTTCCTCTGTCTTGTTTGACATTTGTGTTGCCTAACATATACAAACATAGGGAGAGTAATGAAATCCATCCCCACTTTACCTATAATAACTATATGGCCGATCTTGTTTGTGTGTATCATTTTCCACTTTTTTCTCTCCTGCTGTATTATTACTAAATTCCAGTTATTACATAATTTTTCTCTGTAAAAACATCAGTATGTATTTCTTAGAAATAAGGATTACTTTAAAAAAAAAAAAACCCATGATACCTTTGTTCACACGTAGCAAATGAGCAATAATTCCATATCAATGTCACCTAATTTTCAAAGCACAGAGAGATACAGAAGTGAGGCAGGTGAGCAGGAGCAGAAATGACCAGCAGGCCTTGGTTGGATACTGAATCAGAGGGAGCTGGGTTCTTTCCAAGGGGCTTAGGGAGTGGCTTTGCTAAGTAGAAAACAGGTGGTCATTTTTACAAAAAGAAGATCAACAATAAAAACACTAATTCTACTACAATTCAAACCTAAGCCATTATAGATTTTCTCAAATTCTGTAAGTTAAAAAACCAATATTAACATGGGGCAAATGCTGTTGGACTTGGGAGTAAAGTGATTTTTTTTTGCCTCCTATTTTCCTGTATTAATTTTTTAGTGAGTATGTCTTCTTTAATAATAGAAAAGAAAGGAGTTTTTCTTTGAGACAGTCTTGCTCTGTCGCCCAGACTGGAGTGCAGTGGCGCTATGCTGGCTCACTGCAACCTCTGTCTCTCGGGTTCAAGTGATTCTCCTGCCTCAGCCTTCCTAGAAGCTGGAATTACAGATGCCCACAACCACACCCAGCTAATTTTTGTATTTTTAGTAGAGACAGGGTTTCAACATGGCTAGGCTGGTCCCGAACTCCTGACCTCAAGTGATCCACCCGCCTCCGCCTCCCAAAGTGCTGGGATTACAGGCTTGAGCCACCGCGCACGGCAAGAAAGGATTCTTTGTAAGATATTAGGGCACCTAGAGAAATGCTGGGTGCAAGTGAACGCCCCTCCCGGGGGAGCCCGCAGTGCCCGGCCAGGTGCGTGGGTGAGGCGCCCCCTGACAGCCTCACCGTGAGCTGCTTGATGATGTCCTCTCTCTCCTTCAGGCGGGTCTGCAGGCGGCCAATGAGCTGAAGGTCCTCGGGCCTGGACGCTCCCTTCCCTGGCTTCTCTCCGGAATCTTTCAGTCTGTTCCAAGCAGGCATGCAGTCAAGTCCCCCTTACAGCAATTACTCAACAAAGAGGGAGAACAAGTGCACACGATGGGAATGCCATCCTGTGTTCAGCCCGGCCAGGGAGGCCCAGATAGCAGCAGCGGCTTGCCCAGGGCCCCCTGGGGAGATGGCTTGCCGAACCCAGGATTCCAGCTCTGTCAGGTCCCCTGAGGCTGCAGGGCCAGGAAGCAAAGGCCCCTGTGTGCACATAGATGCTGCACTCAGCGGGGCTTCAAGAGCCAGGGATGCTGCTGGGAGAACAGACCAGGGCAGGAAAATGTCCCGTAGGTTCTCTTAATGCTCTGGCGCCATCTGCTGGCGGACATAGAGCGCGGCCAGTGGCCGGTACCTATGGCCTTTTTTTTCTTTTTTGGAGACGGAGTCTCCCTCTGTCGCCCAGGCTGCAGTGCAATGGCGCGGTCTCGGCTCTCTGCAACCTCCGCCTCCCTGGTTCAAGCGATTCTTGTGCCTCACAGCCTCCTGAGCAGCTGGTACTACAGGCGCGCGCCACCGTGCCAGGGAAATTTTTGTATTTTTAGAGGAGACGGGGTTTCACTATGTTGGCCAGGCTGGTCTGGAATTCCTGACCTCGTGATCCGCCCTCCTGGGCCTCCCAAAGTGCTGGGATTACAGGCGTGGGCCACCGCGCCCGGCCCCCACTGCTTTTTCAGCGTGAAGCCAGAGAAGAGTAACTGGGTGGTGAGGAGAGGAGGGCTGGGGGTGCAGATAATCTACTGACTGGAGTTGATAAGAGCCCAGGGCTTTGGGTGAGATGACCCGGCTCTAATACTGGCTCTTCTTTTTTCTAGATATGTGACCTTGGGCATCATTTCACCTGTGTGTGGGCCCCAGTTCCCTCTCCTTTAAAATGGGCATGAAACTGGGTGGTTGTGAGAATTCAATGTGATAATGGGAGCCTGGCATATAGTAAGTGCCCGTTAGACTGTAACTGGTAAAACCTTTCCTGCTGGCTTTTGGATGATTTGCTTTGTATTGGAGACTGGAGAAGTTTTTAAGAGCTCAGGCTAAAGGTCAGACAGGTGACATTTAAACTGAATTAATGCTGCCTGACCTTGGGCAAGTGGCTTCACCTGTTTGGACCTGGCTTGCTGCCATCACATCCTAAATGGTCTTGCTAGTCACCCCCTCCCCCTGTTTCTTCTCAGCAGTCAGAAGTGACCCTGTGAAAAGGCAAGTCAGGCCATGTCACTCCTGCCCAGTGCCTTGTGAAGGCTTCCCAGGGCACTCTGAACACATCCAAACTCCTTCCCATCAGGGCAGGAGTCCCTTCACCCAGCTCCTCTCCTCCCACTCACCCTCCCTCTCACTGATGCCTCAGGAGTGCCCTCACCTCCTTGTACTTAAACATCACCTCCTCACAGAGGCCTTGTTTTGCCCACCCTTGCCACTCCCAATCCTGTCTTCCAGCACTTTCACCGCCTGGTATGATGTTAACTGTTTGCTTTTTTTTTTTTTTTTTTTTTTTTTTTTTGAGACAGGGTCTATTTTTTTTGTTTTGTTTTGTTTTGTTTTGAGACAGAGTTTCTCTCTCTGTAGCCCAGGCTGGAGTGCAGGGGTGCAATCACAGATCACTGCAACCTCAACCTCCTGAGCTCAGACGATCCTCCCGCCTCAGCCTTCCAAGTAGCTGGGACTATAGGCACACACCACCATGCCCAGCAATTTTTTTTTTGTATTTTTTGTAGAGACGGAGTTTCACAATGTTGCCCAGGCTGGTCTCGAACTCCTGGGCTCAAGCAGTCCACCCTGGGCTCAAGCCTCAGCCATGCAAAGTGCTAGGATTACAGGCATGAGCCACCAAGCACAGCCTGTTTGCTTATTTCTTATCCGAATTCTCAGCAGAATTTGTGAGCCTATGAGAGCATTGTCTTTGTTTTGTTCCCTGCTATAACTCCAGAGCCTAAAGCAGTGCTGGGCATACAATGGGTCCTTAACAATTATTTGTTGAATGAATAAATGCAATATGTTTGCATGAGGGACCAGTGGGAATAACAATTCTAATTGAGCAGCCCTGATCCTTCTGATTTCTTCGAAGTGTGAGGGTTAAACCAATGCTCATCCTCACAAATTCCCACTGCCCTGCAGAAAAGGGGAACATAGCCTCATAAAATGAAGGGAGACTGATGAGCCCCTGGCTAGTTCCCCCCACCACACCCCGCCTCCTGCCCTGAACTTGCTCTGTTGCTGAAGCTGGAGTGCAGGGTCCTGATCTCCGTTCACTGAAAGCTCTGCCTCCTGGGCTCAAGTGATCCTCCTGCCTCAGCCTCCAGAGTAGCTGGGATTACAGGCGTGTGCCACCACACCTGTAATTTTGTATTTTCAGTAGAGATGGGGTTTCGCCATGTTGGCCAGGCTGGTCTCCATCTCCTGAGCTCAAGTGATCCACCTGCCTCAGCCTCCCAAAGTGCTGGATTCCAGGCATGAGCCACCGTGCCTGGCCAGAACCCAGGACTTTCAATTTGAAAACCAGGAAATCCCAGGGTCATTGGGGTGAGTTGGCCACCCTACTGAATGGTACATTTGCAAGACCCTCCCTGGGGCCCGAGGCCTCACTTACTCGGCTTCCAGGGCAGCCAGCCGGGCCTGGAGCTGGGCCTGGGCACTACTGAAATCTGCCACCATGGCCTGCATCTCCTTCCGGTGTTCCTGGCGCAGTGTCTCCACCTCCCTGGCCCGCTGGGCTTGCTGAGTCTCCTCCAGGAACCTGTGGTGGATGAAAGCACAGCCAGGCTTGCCCAGCTCCAGGGATGGCACCCCTTGGGCTCTGGGGTTTATTTCCCTCATCGCTGCCCAGTTTGGGAGATCTGGGTGGGGAGAAATTGTGATCTAAGGACACCTGTGGGAAGAAGAGCTGAAGTCTCTTGAGTTGTGGAGTCCAGGACAAACCCCCACTATGGGACCCCTTCTCAGCACCCTCCCATCTCAGAAGGAGAAACCTGAGCATGGGGACAGACTTCAGGTGGAAGTGATGGAGAGCAGCCCTGCAGGGGAGCCCCAGAAAACACACTCTTCACTTGGGACAGGCGGGGAGGCAAGAGGCTGAGATTCTCTATCAGTATGGCCTGAACGCTGGGACTCTGAGACCTGGGAGACCAGGTCTTCCCTAACAACTACACTGCAGTGGAAAGCCTCCCTGAACTTTTTTTTTTTTTTGAGACGGAGTCTTGCTCTTGTTGCTCAGGGTGGAGTGCAATGGCACGATCTCGGCTCACTGCAACCTTCACCTCCCGGGTTCAAGCAGTTCTCCTGCCTCAGCCTCCCAAGTGGCTGGGATTACAGGCGCCCAGCACCAGGCCCAGCCAATTTTTTGTATTTTTAGTAAAGACGGGGGGTTTCACCATGTTGGCCAGGCTAGTCTCGAACTCCTGACCTCGGGTGATCCATGCGCTTCAGCCTCCCAAAGTGCTGGGATTACACGCGTGAGCCACCACACCTGGCCACTCCCTGAATCTTTATCCCTCACCTTTATCAAAAGAAGTGGTTATGAAAATTAAATTGGGCTGGGTGCGGTGGCTCACATCTGTAATCCCAGCACTTTGGGAGGCCAAGGCGGGAGGATCACGAGGACAGGAGTTCGAGACCAGCCTGACCAACATGGTGAAACCTCGTCTCTACTAAAAATACAAAAAAAAAAAAAAAAAATTAGCTGGGCATGGTGGTGTCCGCCTGTAATCCCAGCTACTCAGGAGGCTGAGGCAGAAGAATCACTTGAACCTGGGAGGTGGAGGTTGCAGTGAGCCGAGATGGCACCACTGCACTCCAGCCTGGGCAAAAGAGCAAGACTGTCTCAAAAAAAAAAAAAAGAAAATAAATGAACAAGCACAGTCAAGGCTCAAAGCAATTTTGGGCCAACACAACAGGGTTCAGTGTACACAGCTGACAAATATTAAAAAAAAGGAATCCTCCAGACATTAAAATGACAAAAAAAATTATGAGCAATTTTATGATTGGCATTAGGACATTCAAAAACTTGGATGAAATAGACGAATTCTTTGAAAGATACAAACTGCTAAAGCTCACTTAAGAAATAGATAATATGAAATATCCTGTGTCTTTAAAGAAATTGAATTTGTATTAAAAGCTTTCCAACAAGAGGAAGAAAGGCTCTGAGTTCAGGATTGATGATAGGTTTTTCACTTCTACAATTAACCAAGCGTTTCATTCATGCTAGGGACATGCCAAGCCTCCTGCACACATTCCATTGCACTCTACAACAGCCCTGACAGGCCAGGTTTTTTGTTTTGTTTGTTTTGTTTTTTGAGACAGATTGTGGCTCTGCCGCCCAGGCTGAAGTGCAGTGGCCCGATCTCAACTCAGTGCAACCTCCACCTCCCAGGCTCAAGCAATCCCCCCTCACCAACCTCCCGAGTAGCCGGGACTGCAGGCATGCACCACCACGCTTGGCCAATTTTTCTATTTTTAGTAGAGACGGGGTTTCACTATGTTGCCCAGGCTGGTCTTGGACTCCTGACCTCAAGTGATGTGCCTGCCTCAGCCTCCCAAAGTACTGGTATTACAGGCGTGAGCTACCACGCCAGCCGAGGCTGGAGTCTTATCCCCATTTTACAGAGGACTCAGTCTGGGAGAGGTCAGCTAACTCACCCAACCTCACACAGCTAATTAAGAGCGCACAGCTAGTTAAGAAGACACCGCATGGTCTGAACTATTCCACTACACCGTCTCCGTAAGGTTGGATTTGATGACACTTTTGGTCCAATTCTCAGTCTCATAAATGCCCTGATTTGCAGGGAAACAAACAGGACTCCCTCTTTTTTTTTTTTTTTTTTTTTTTTTTTTTTTTTTTGAGACGGAGTCTTGCATTGTCGCCCAGGCTGGAGTGCAATGGCGCGATCTTGGCTCACTGCAACCTGGTCCTCCCGAGTTCACGCGATTTTCCTGCCTCAGCCTCCCGAATAACTGGGATTACAGGCACACACCACCACGCCCGGCCTTTTTTTTTTTTTTTTTTTTTTTTTTTTGTATTTTTAGTGGAGACAGGGTTTCATCATGTTGTCCAGGCTGGTCTCGAATTCCTGACCTCGTGATGCGCCCGCCTCTGCCAACCAAAGTGCTGGGATTACAGGCGTGAGCCACCGCGCCCAGCCAGACTCCCTCTTTTATTTCAAGGCACTTCCTCTGCGGTTTTGAGATCCAGAATTTCTGGAGCTCTGGGACTTTTCATGGGTCAGAGGAGTAACATCTGTGAAATGCTGGCGCATTCAGTGTCTAGTGTCTTGTGGGGCAGGATGCCGAGGCAGTGACCCATTTCAGGTCTCAGGCTCAGCCAGCCGCAGTAGGGGGAGGGGGGGTGGCGGGGTAGGGGGTGAGGGTGGCGCGGTGGCGGGGCGCGCCGGGTCACCCACCTGCGCTGGTCTCGGAGCTTCTGCGCCTCCTGCTGATGCTGCTCCACCTCCGCGCGCAGCCGCCGCACCGCGTCCTGGAGCTGCGCGTTCTCCTCCCAGAGCCCGCATCCCTCGCCGGAACCCTGCCCAGCAGCGCCCGGTGGGGAGCCGGCCTGGCCCGGGCCGCCCCGCTCCTGAGGAAGGCAACCAGGAGAGGTGTTTTCAGGAGGCGCAGGGGCAGACAAGGCAGAAAGGGCCAGAGATGTGCTGCGGCGAGATGGAGACCCACTGGCACCCCGCCCAGGCTGGAGCCTGTGGCAGGCTCCTGAGTTCCCTGCAGGGACTCCCATCTAGTCTCTTAAAAAATTTCCTCCTTTGGGAGTTGGCCAAATCTGGCCCTTAGAGTTTAATAAAACTGCTGAGCTAAGAATGGGTCTTGCATCCAAATGAACACCAACCACACTCCACACTCCACCTGCCAGGGTGCCCTCCATGCCTGCCTCAGTGAAGTCTTCCCTCCGTGAAGTTAAGTGTTCAGTGAAGTGATACTGCCTCAGTGAAGTCTTCCCTACCTCTCAGGGGGAACTGATAAGCTTTCTCTAATACCACCAAATCTTGCTAACTCTGGCTCTGTAAGGGGTGACACTGAAGAGAATATGTGTCCATGCTGGTTTCCTTGGCTAGATTGGGAGCTATTCCTCTCTTCATCTTTCCAACCCTGTAGCACCTAGCCTGGTGTATTCTATAGGTGCCACGTGAATGCTTGCTAAACAGAATTGTGCTAGAATGTCTGTAGTTCAGGTAGAAACACAAAAATTGCTGTCCAACAGCAAATGGAGTCAGATTTAATCTGTGATTAGTGAATGTTCCAGTTTTCAAATTCACTCAAACATGCCCGACCACTTGTGCATGTATTAGTTCACTGCACACAGTAATTGCACAGCTGTGCACGGGGAGAATCTGTGGCCCAGGCCCCATGTCTCTGCCTTCCTGCTCTGGGGTTGGCATGATGTGGGATGCCCGTGGGCACCCACTTGGCACTCTCACATGCATAGCCTGGAAGAGCAAGAGCAGGGGGGTTACTGCTCTGTGGGGACAATCCTTGACCAATGGAGGACAGAAACAGATGGAAAAATGCATTCCCCTCTTGGGTCTCTGGGTGGGAGAGATATGAGAATTAGATCCCAGTAGGACAGACTCCACTTAGCTCAGCGGTGGCCAGCTTGGGCCTGCAGCCTGGCATTGTGTCCCCTCCCCTTTCCTTTTTGACTCCTGCTGCCTGGGCTGTTCCTCTTTGCCGACACCCCTGCATCTCCTCTCTGTGTGGGGTATCACCTGAGACCACACTTTCCTTCTAGAGGGTTCAGGGCTTCCCTCCTATGGGGCAAAGGTGAGGGCTGGTGCATGGGTGGCCACGTATCGGCTCATGTACTCAGTGCTCCTTGGCTTCTATCCAGAGCCCTCAGGTGAACACTGACTCCCTCCATGGCCCAGTCCCCAGCTGTCTCCATCCCACATTTCCCGTCCCCTCCCATTGGTACCAGTGGCTCCCACCCATCTAAACACTTAATGGAACACGTTCTGTCTTCCCTCTGCTAGACCTAACCACTGGGCTAACCTGTGATTCATCATTTGTTAATATTTTTCACATAAACACAGAAATTGCCTTCCTATGCTCAGCAACAGCTAAATCTGGCACACATGATTCCCATGTCCCCCGGTCCTTCAGCAGGACTGGCCACCAATGAATCCTCACCACCCACAGGCACTGGTGGAGACCCTGCTGAGGGCTGGGAGTGGGGGTGGGGAGGCGATGAGGCAGGCAGACAGGTTATCCTCAAAAGACTCCTGATCCAGTCTAGGCAACAAGGACATCTATGAAATGGCATGTCCCCAACAGGACCGGGCGGTAGATCCTAGAGCCAGCTGAGCTGTCTTGACAACAAGTGCTCCAGGATCTCAGAGCCAGAGGGGGCCACTGTGTGCCAGGGAAGGCCCCCAGCATGAGATATGCTGGGCAGCATCTCAGGCAGGAGGAGTGGCACAGGCGAAGGCCAAAGGGAGGGTGCAGATGCCGGGTTTATGAGCCGCAGGGAATATGGCAGGACATACAGGTCATAATCAGTGGTGGAAGCTTTTCAATGCCAAGTTGAAGCATTTGGAGCTTTCTCCAATGGGAACCACCAAAGGCTTTATGAAAAGTGATGCTGGTCATCCTAATACCAAAGCCTGGCAGAGACACAACAAAAAAAGAGAACTTTAGACCAATATCCCTGATGAACATTGATGTAAAAATCCTCAATAAAAGACTGGCAAACCAAATCCAGCAGCACATCAAAAAGCTTATCCACCATGATCAAGTGGGCTTCATCCCTGGGATGCAAGGCTGGTTCAATATACACAAATCAATAAACATAATCCAGCATATAAACAGAACCAACGACAAAAACCACATGATTATCTCAATAGATGCAGAAAAGGCCTTTGACAAAATTCAACAGCCCTTCATGCTAAAAACTCTCAATAAATTAGGTATTGATGAGATGTATCTCAAAATAATAAGAGCTATTTATGACAAACCCACAGCCAATATCATATACTGAATGGGCAAAAACTGGAAGCATTCCCTTTGAAAACTGGGACAAGATAGGGATGCCCTCTCTCACCACTCCTATTCAACATAGTGTTGGAAGTTCTGGCCACGGTAATCAGGCAGGAGAAAGAAGGGGTATTCAATTAGGAAAAGAGGAAGTCAAATTGTCCCTGTTTGCAGACGACATGATTGTATATCTAGAAAACCCCATTGTCTCAGCCCAAAACCTCCTTAAGCTGATAAGCAACTTCAGCAAAGTCTCAGGATACAAAATCAATGTGCAAAAATCACAAGCATTCTTATACACCAATAACAGACAAACAGAGAGCCAAATCATGAGTGAACTCCCATTCACAATTGCTTCAAAGAGAATAAAATACCTAGGAATCCAACTTACAAGGGATGTTTAGGATCTCTTCAAGAACTACAAACCACTGCTCAACAAAATAAAAGAGGATACAAACAAATGGAAGAACATTCCATGCTCATGGATAGGAAGAATCAATATTGTGAAAATGGCTATACTGCCCAAGGTAATTTATAGATTCAATGCCATCCCCATCGAGCTACCAATGACTTTCTTCACAGAATTGGAAAAAACTAAAGTTCATATGGATCCAAAAAAGAGCCTGCGTCGCCAAGTCAATCCTAAGCCAAAAGAACAAAGCTGGAGGCATCATGCTACCTGACTTCAAACTATACTACAAGGCCACAGTAACCAAAACAGCATGGTACTGGTACCAAAACAGAGATATAGACCAATGGAACACAACAGAGCCCTCAGAAATAATACCACATATCTGCAACTATCTGATCTTTGACAAACCTGACAAAAACAAGAAATGGGGAAAGGATCCCCTATTTAATAAATGGTGCTGGGAAAACTGGCTAGCCATATGTAGAAAGCTGAAACTGGATCCCTTCCTTACACCTTATACAAAAATTAATTCAAGATGGATTAAAGACTTAAATGTTAGACCTAAAACCATAAAAACCCTAGAAGAAAACCTAGGCATTACCATTCAGGACATAGGCATGGGCAAGGACTTCATGTCTAAAACACCAAAAGCAATGGCAACAAAAGCCAAAATTGACAAGTGGGATCTAATTAAACTAAAGAGCTTCTGCACAGCAAAAGAAACTACCATCAGAGTGAACAGGCAACCTACAGAATGGGAGAAAATTTTTGCAATCTACTCATCTGACAAAGGGCTAATATCCAGAATCTACAAAGAACTCAAACAAATTTACAACAAAAAAACAAACAACCCCATCAACAAGTGGGTGAAGGATATGAACAGACACTTCTCAAAAGAAGACATTTATGCAGCCAAAAGACACATGAAAAAAATGCTCATCATCACTGGCCATCAGAGAAATGCAAATCAAAACCACAATGAGATACCATCTCACACCAGTTAGAATGGTGATCATTAAAAAGTCAGGAAACAACAGGTGCTGGAGAGGATGTGGAGAAATAGGAACACTTTGACACTGTTGGTGGGACTGTAAACTGGTTCAACCATTGTGGAAGACAGTGTGGTGATTCCTCAAGGATCTAGAACTAGAAATACCATTTGACCCAGCCATCCCATTACTGGGTATATACCCAAAGGATTATAAATCATGCTGCTATAAAGACACATGCACACGTATGTTTACTGCAACACTATTCACAATAGCAAAGACCTGGAACCAACCCAAGTGTCCAACAATGATAGACTGGATTAAGAAAATGTGGCACATATACACCATGGAATACTATGCAGCCATAAAAAAGGAATGAGTTCATGTCCTTTGTAGGGACATGGATGAAGCTGGAAACCATCATTCTCAGCAAAATATCAGAAGGACAAAAAACCAAACACCACATGTTCTCACTCATAGGTGGGAATTGAACAATGAGAACACTTGGACACAGGAAGGGGGACATCACACACCGGGGACTGTTGTGGGGTGGGGGTAGTGGGGAGGGATAGCATTAGGAGATATACCTAATGTAAATGACGAGTTAATGGGTGCAGCACACCAACATGGCACATGCACACATATGTAACAAACCTGCACATTGTGCACATGTACCCTAGAACTTAAAATATAATAATAATAAAAAAAGAAAAGAAAGTGATGCTGGGCTTTGGGAGAATAGCTGAAGCTGTACGTTATGGACTGGAGGGAGAGAGGGCTGGGCTGTTAGGAGGTGACTGCCACCCAGCTAGACCAGGAATGATGGATGTGCAGGGAAGGGGCTGATGGGCAAAGTCTGAGCAGGAAGAGGAAAGAGAGTTGGCACTGAGCCTGGGTGACAACAAAGCTGCTCCACTTAGGGGAACAGCAAGGTCTAGATGGAGCCTGTCTGGTAAAATGTTCTGAGAAATTCAAAATGTTCTGCAGATCCAGAGGAGTAGCCCAGACCAGCTGCATCGAGGGCCTATCTAGCACCAACACCCTGAGATACCATTGCGTCTGAATTATAAATAACATGCAGCACTTAAAACCTTTTTTTTTTTCTTTTCGAAGACAAGACCCTGCAGGCCCACCAAGTATCCCACAGGCCTGTGGAGAAGGGTCTTCCCCACTTCGGGCAGGGGGGAGGGGAATGACCAAGTACCCAGAGCCCATCCCTTTTTTTTTTTTTTTTTTGAGACAGGGTCTTGCTATGTTGCCCAGGCTAGAGTACTGTGGCACAATCATAGCTCACCACAGCCTGGAACTCCTGGTCAAGTGATCCTCCTGCCTCAGACTCCCGAGCCAGTATTACAGGCATATGCCACCACGCCCAGCTAATTTTCAATTTTTTTTTGTAGAGATATAGTCTTGCTATGTTGCCCTGGCTGGTCTTGAAATCCTGGCCTCAAGTGGTTCTCTGGCTTTGGCCTCCCAAAGTGCTAGATTCCAAGTGTGAGCCACTGCACTCAGCCTCAGAGCCCATCCTTTATGGGGCTTCTTACTGCGGCCCTGATGCTGCTCTGGGAGGGGTATTGCTGGTGCAAGGGCGGGGGCACTGACCTCTGTGGCGATTATGTGATCCTTGCTGTCTCCTGGACACTGGCTGCTGGCTTGCTGTCTGCCCAGAGCCCTCAGCTCGGCCTGCAGTGCCTCCAAGTCCTTCTGGTGCCCAGAACAGGCAGCTTGCTGCTCCGACAGCTCCTGTCTGAGCGACTCTGGAAAAGGGAGAGCAGCAGTGAGTTAGGCGTTGGGTCTAGGCTGAAGCCTGTGTCATGGGGACAACAGTCTCTGGGGTGGGGTTGGATGACGTGGGTGGCTGCTGAAGGCTTGTGGTGGGTTAGGTTCCCCAAACCTTTTCCAAGGTAACAGTAACAACAGGGCCATGTGTGAAAACTGTTCTCATTTAAGTCCCACCACCAACTTTTCTGGTATGAATTATCCCCCACCCCCGCTTCATTTTAGGATGAGGGACCTGAGCATCAGAGAGGGTGAGCACAATGCCCAAAGCCACACAGCTATTAAATGGTGGAGTTGAGATGCAAAATTTCAAGTGGTTCTTCACTCTGAACCCCGTGCTTGCCCTCTACTGGTTGGTTAGGATGGGTGGCAGGTGTGGGCAGCATGGCCTGAGCCCAGGGCATTCTGTGACAACGCTTGGCCTCAGCATCAAGTTAGGAGGCCAGGCAAAGAACAGGAAATTATCAAATGACCGAAAAGGCCTCTTCTGGGGGCGATGGTCTCAAGTTGGAAATTTTGAAATTTATGTCAACTCTTTTTTATTTTTTTTTGAGATGGAGTCTCGGTTTGTTTCCCAGGCTGGAGTGCAGTGACACGATCTCGGCTCACTGCAGCCTCCACCTCCCAGGTTCAAGCAATTCTCCTGCCTTAGCCTCCGGAGTAGCTGGGACCAGGCAAGCACCACCACACCTGGCTAATTTTTGTATTTTTTTTTTTTTTAGTAGAGATGGGGTTTCACCATTTTGGCCAGGCTGGTCTCGAACTCCTGACCTCAAGTGATCCACCCACATTAGCCTCCCAAAGTGCTGGGATTATAGCGCGTGAGCCACAGTACCCGGCCAATATCCTCTTAAGACAAAATGTTCACAGGTTCTTCTTTCCACTGGTGTGGGGTCTTGGCTGGATCATGGAGGTAGGAGATGGCATGTCATCCCAGCAGGATAGGGACTAAAATGGAATCATCCAGGAGAGATGTGTACGTTCTCTTAAACTCAGGGGAGAGTAAGGCCAGAAACTCGAGCTTCCAACTCCAGCTTCCCCTCTGAGGATGGAGACTGATTTCTAGTACACTAGACACTTCCCGGCATGATTGAAACAATTATTTCAAAATGAATATTTTCTGATAGAGCAGATGCTATTTAGTGAGATATTCCTTTTAAAAAAGATACTTTTTAAGTGCTTGTAAATTTGATACTTCACTTTTCTGTAATGAGCTTTTGAGACTCTGTATTTTAGTTATTGAAAATAACCTTTGAAACATTGTTCTGATCATTCCATAAGCACCTAGCACAGGTTTTAGTACAGAGCAAGTGCTCAACATATATTTGTAAAATAAACAAATGATCTTTAGAGTGAAAATGGATGAGGTGATAAAAGTGTATTCATTATAAAAGCTTTCCTATAAGCTTACTAACCTTCCCTCAAAGGTTAACTATATTAAGCACATGTAAAAGCATAGTGTATTTGGATGATATTAAGATGAAAAATTGGCCAGGCGTGGTGGCTCATGCCTGAAATCCCAGCACTTTGGGAGGCCGACGTGGGTGGATCACGAGGTCAGGAGATCGAGACCATACTGGCTAACATGGTGAAACCCCGTCTCTACTAAAAATACAAAAAATTAGCCAGGCGTGGTGGCAGGTGCCTGTAGTCCCAGCTACTCAGGAGGCTGAGGCAGGAGAATGGTGTGAACCCGGGTGGTGGGACTTGCAGTGAGCTGAGATCACACCACTGCACTCCAGCTTGGGTGACAAAGCAAGACTCCATCTCAAAAAAAAAAAAAAAAATTTACTTCGTAATCTTTCCAGCAGAATTTTGATAAAGTGATTTCTATAGCTTATTTTCTTAAAAAAAAATCCAAACATAACCCCATTTTTTGAAAACTGTTATCACAAGATATATGCAATAAAACTCTTTACCAAATCATAAATTATAGGGTATTCATTCTTTACCCTCCTCTCTCATACCTTCCCACCATTCATCTATCCATCTACCTATCCATCCTTCTATCCACCTGTCCATCCATCCACCTGTCCATCCATCCATCCACCCACTCATCCATCCATCCACCCATCTATCTGTCTACCCATCTGTCCATCCATTCATCCATCCACTGATCCACCCATTGGTTGCCCACCCAATCATCCACCCATCCGTGTGTCCACCCATTGGTTGCCCACCCAATCATCCACCCATCCATCTGTGTGTCCACCCATTTGTCTGCCCAACCATCTGCCCATCCACACATCTCCATTTGTCTGTCTGTCCATCCATCCATCCATCCTTCCTCCTGTCCATCCATCCACTCATTTTTCTGTCCCTCCACCTGTCCACCCAACTACCCATCCACCCACACCCCCATCCACTTGTCCATCCATCCATCCATCCATCCATCTAGCATGTCTAGGTCCCAACCCTCTAGTAAACACCCACCCTCCCTGCCCTCTCACAGGGACCTATAGTATTGCAGGTCAGTTGTGTCTCACACAGATATAAGAAGAAGAATAATCAGCATCAGGAATATCTCATATCAACCTGCCATTACTGTAGGTGCTTGCACCTTCCCTTGAAGCCTATGATTTGTTGTCATCACAGAGTCCACAAAGCCCCTTCTTCTTGGGACTGGTGCTGAGAAGCCCAGCCTTTCCCCAGGGTCTTTCCAGGGATCTCTCCTGATTCTTTTCTTTGGGGAAGAATGGGGCTGCTGTGGAGTCAGAAAAGCCAGGGAAGGGGTGGCAGGGACAGCTGCACTGGCAGCTGCTGCTGGGTGTTGGAATCACCAGGATGTCCAGCCTGACCTGTACATGGGGAGCCTTGGACCTGAGCCATGTGGCACAGCCTGGGTTCTATCTTTACATGCTGCTAACTTCAGCATTTCCCATGTAGGCACCTCCATTCCAGGGTAGCTGCTAACTGGGAAGTCTACGAAACTCTTTCCTTCCTGCTCCTCACACCACTTCCTCAGAAACATGCAGTCAGTGGGACACGCTTTCTAATGAGAACTCAACCAAGCAGCAAGGTAGAGC
The DNA here is from genome assembly GCF_000001405.40 of Homo sapiens. NCBI lineage: Eukaryota > Metazoa > Chordata > Mammalia > Primates > Hominidae > Homo > Homo sapiens. Next base: position 17,650,840 of record NC_000004.12, read on the forward strand.
CTAACTCACTTATGGAGGTAAAGAAAATGCTGTCCTCCAGAATTCTCTTTTTACTTTTCCTAATTTTTTTTTTTAAAGAGATGGGGGTCTTGCTATGTTGTCCAGGCTGGTCTTGAACTACTGACCTCACGTGATCCTCTCTCACCTTGGCCTCCCAAAGTGCTGAGACTACAGGCATGAGCCACCACACTCAGCACCCAGAAATCTCTTAAGGAGAGCCCTGTCTAGGTTTGGAAGAAATACTTAATAAAGCCAACATGATCTTTAGTGCTCAGCATGAAATGGTGAGAGGTTATTTGTCTTGCTCTTAAGAGTAAGAAAGATGACAGTAAAGGAGAAAATGAGGGACAGGGATGATCTACAAAAATGAGAGAGGTCTCCAGAATCAGGCATACAACATTGAAATATTCAGTCATGGCCGGGCGCAGTGGCTCACGCCTGTAATCCCAGCACTTTAGGAGGCTGAAGTGGGTGGATCACGAGGTCAGGAGATCGAGACCATCCTGGCTAACACGGTGAAACCTCGTCTCTACTAAAAATACAGAAAAATTAGCCGGGCGTGGTGGCGGGCGCCTGTAGTCCCAGCTACTCGGGAGGCTGAGGCAGGAGAATGGTGTGAACCCAGGAGGCGGAGCTTGCAGTGAGCTGAGATCATGCCACTGCACTCCAGCCTGGGCGACAGAGCAAGACTCTGTCTCAAAAAAAAAAAAAAAAAAAAAAAAAAGAAGAAAAGAAACATTCAGTCATAATGTAACAGGGAACACTTAGATAGACTTACTGCATACCAGGCTCTATTTGAAGCACTTCTCATGCATTTACTCAAGTAATTGTCATTACAGCCCAGTGAAGTGAATGCTATTATTATCCTCATTTTAGAGATGGGAGACTGAGGTACAGAGCAGTTAAGCAAATTCCTACCCAAAGTTACACAGCTAGTGAGTGTTAGAGCTGGGCTTCACACCCAGGCAGTTTGGCTCTAGAGATCTTTACCTCTGTTAACTTCGAAGATGCTGTGTGTGAGTGGTTTTATTGATGTGGCAACTGAAAAGGGGGAGAGTTTTGTGCTGGGGATGATGTGGGGGCAGGCAGAGGAAGCAGAGCCTGGAGGCCTAAGATCCTCCAATTTGCCGAAATCTTCAGAACAGAAATGAGAGGTTGAGGCAATGCCATGAAACTCATATGAAGGCTCAGAGATCTGGGTTACATGCAATAATAATGATGATGATGATAATGATAGTATCTACATTCACTGGGCTCCTGTTATATGCTAGACACTTTATATTTAATATCTTTTTTTTTTTTTTTTTTTGAGTCTTGCACTGTCGCCCAGGCTGGAGTGCAGTGGCGCCATCTCGGCTCAGTACAAGCTCTGCCTCCCGGGTTCACGCCATTCTCCTGCCTCAGCCTCCCGAATAGCTGGGACTACAGACACCTGCCACCACGCCCGGCTAATTTTTTGTATTTTTAGTAGAGACGGGGTTTCACTGTGTTAGCCAGGATGGTCTCTATCTCCTGACCTTGTGATCCACCCGCCTCAGCCTCCCAAAGTGCTGGGATTACAGGCGTCAGCCACCACACCCGGCCTTTATGTTTAATATCTCATTTAATCCACACAGTGAGCCTATGAGGTAGGGACAACTGTAATTCAATTTTATACAAAAGGAAAATGAGACTCACAGTAAGCCATCCCAGGTTTCACAGCTAGTTGGTGGCAGAGCCAGGATTGTCCCTGACATGTGTGCCTGAGATTCCTGGAGCCCTGGCCTGTGAGCCCGAGACCCCTGGAGCCCTGGCCTGTGTGCCTGAGAGCCTGGAGCCCTGGCCTGTGAATCTGAGAGCCCTGGAGCCCTGGCCTGTGAGCCTGAGATTCCCGGAGCCGTGGCCTGTGAGCCCGAGAACCCTGGAGCCCTGGCCCTCAGCTTGTCTCTGGTTTCTACATGCAGACCCTGCAGTTGGCCAGGCCCTCCTCAGTACACTATTGGGTGTATACCTAGCAGCAGGGCCTGCTGTGCCTGCATCCTCTCACGCTCCTCCTGCAGCTCTTGCCTGGCCTTTTCCTCCAAGGCCTGGAGCTCCAGTCGGTGTGTCTGGTGTTGGATCTGGAGGCTGTGGCTGGATTCCTTCTTCAAGCGTTCCTCTGTGGCCTGTGGGAAAAAGTGGGAACAAGAAGGCATGAAAGTGGGCATGAGGGTGGGAGACCTGACTCCTTTGCCAAGCTCTTCTGAGCCAGGATGCTCTGAACACTCGCACTCTCCCATGGAGGGCTTATCAGGCTACAGAGAATGCTGTAGCAATGGCCTGGCCACAGCAGCCATTTTGCACCAGGTGAACCACCTCCTTCCACAGCTGATTGGGCCAGAGTGGACACCTGTTCTAACCTGGGCCAATCAAAGTTCCTTTAATGTAAATTTGACATGAAGAGGTGGGAGATAGAGCAAAAGAGACTGACAGACAGATACTGACTCTGTGGCTCCAAATTTACCATACTCAGGAGCACTAAGGTAACTATCTGACATCTGCCCCAGGACTAGTGTGGTGATGGCTGCTGTCTGTGGAGGAAGCCCAGGGCTGGTGTGCACAGCAGAGCAGAATGACATAGGGAAGGGTGAGGGGTCCCTACAGCTTTTCAGTCCATGCTCTTGTTTGGTCCTGAGAACTGTCTGTGTCTCTGTCCTTGGGTTCATATTCATTCATTCTTTTTTTCCCTACTTTTTATTTTTGGTTCATTCACGCTTTCACTCAACAAACATTTATTTACTGAAGTCCCACTGTGTGTCAAACACCCAAAGCAAGTTCTGTGAGCAGCTGGGTAAACTTTAATAAGTGTCTCTTCACTGCCTGCCTAACTTCACTCAAGCTGGTTTCTGTGAGAGGCACAAAAACAACCCCTAAGATGTCCATGTCTGAAAACTGAGTATGTTACCTTACATGGTCAAAGGGACTTTGCAGATGTGATTAAGGATCTTAGATGGGAGATTATCCTGAAATATCTGGGTGGGCCTCAATCACAAGGGTCCTTATAAGAGGGCCGTAGGAGGCTCAGTGAGAAAAGAGTTGATGGTGGAAGCAGAGGTCAGAGAGGGAGGGGGAGGGGGATTTGAAGCTGCTACACTTTTGGCTTTGATAATGCAGGAAGGGACCAGAAGCCACGGAACTCAGGCGGCCTCTAGAAGGTGGAAAAGGCAAGGACACAGATTCTCCTCTGGAGTCTTTAGAAGGAACCAGCCCTGCCAATTCCTTGATTTTTGGATTTCTGACCTCTAGAATTGTCAGATAATAAATCTGTGTTGTTTTAAGCCACCAGGCTTGTGCTAATTTGTTACAGCAGCAATAGGAAACTAATATAGTTTCTGCTTTTTTTTTTTTTTCCAGTTAGCAGAGTTCCAGTTAATATATATCCCCAGGTTTTAGATGAGGAAATGAGAGATGGGCATTGGAGAGATGAATTTGGTTTCCCAGGGTCACACAGAAAAAGATATGGAAATTATTATCCCCTCATCTTTTTAAACTCTTTTTTATATATATATAGAGGGAGGGTCTCACTATGTTACCCAGCTGGTCTCAAATTCCGAAGCTCAAGCAATCCTCCTGCCTCAGCCTCCCGAAGTGTTGAGATTGCAGGCATGAGCCACCACGCCCCAGCACCCGCCCCTGCTGCCATATTTTTCAACAGAGCAGGAAACTGGGGCTAGAAAGGCAGGGAACCTGCCTGCAGAGAGGTGATGGAAGAGGCAGGATTGTGACCCATGAGTGATGGAGTCCAGGGCCCAAGCCCTTTCCACTCACTCATGCAGTGGGCATTTCACCAAATTTCCTCTGGGATTTCACCAAATGCATGAGGCTCCTGTGAGGGAAGAATTCAACCACCTTTGAGCCCAAGTTGGCCTCCCAAACCCAGCGGGTCATGTGGAAGCTTTCCTCAGCCTGTCTCTGCCACCTGTCACCGGGGATAGCAATAGGGAACTGGTCTCACTCCTCCCAGGGGAAACGCAGTCATTCTGTGCCAAATGTCTTTTTCTTTTTCTTTTTTTGAGACGAGGTCTCACTCTGTTGCCCAGCTGGAGTGCAGCGGCGCAATCATGGCTCACCTCAGCCTTGACCTCCTGGGCCCAAGTCATCCTCCCATCTCAGCGTCTTGAGTAGCTGAGACCACAGATGCTCACTACTCCACCTGGCTAATTTTTTTTGTAGTGCTTAGTTCTCCCTATGTTGCCCAGGCTAACCTCAAACTCCTGGCCTCAAGTGATCCTCCCGCATTGGCCTCCCAAAGTTCTGGGATTACAGGCGTGAGCCACCATGCCTGATTGCGAGTTTATTTAATAAAACAGAAAAGGCTCATACTTTTCAAATTCTCTGATACCTTCCTCCTCTTTCCCTTGCTGCAAGGCTCAGAGAACACCAATTGGTGACATGTTTATCCCCAGGGAAATGGGGATGGAGAGGTTGAAGCCTGGCTTTGCAAGACGGAGCCAAACTCTCTCACTCTGACCCAGCCTCTCTCCATCCCTGGGGGCAAGTAAAGGTTCAGGTCAGCACTGCCCACTCACTTGCTCAGGAGCCCTTGGCAGTGAGGATCACACAGGGTGCAGCACTCAGGGCTCAGGGCAAATTGGAGACTCATTCCTGGTGAATTTCTCCAGCTGCTATGGGAGGGTTACCCTGCTCTTGTTGTGGCCAGTTTGGGGCCTCCTGAGGGACCTAGTTTCACCCTGTCTCTCCAAAAGTCCTATATTATGTAAAGTCTCCATTCCCAGTGCTTCCAAATACCTTAGACAACTCCCTCATGGCTTCCACCCACTGATCCCAGCAACCTGTTTGAGGGGCTGCCTTTTCCCCTAGAGGTAAGCTACGTAAGGACACATAGTGTAGTGATCATCTGGTATCTCTGCAGCTCTGCGTGATGGCAGCTCGTGGTAGCTACTCAGTGAATGCCTGCAGAATAGATGAGTGAACAATAAAAGTGAACCTTTTAAAAACCAAGCTGTTACTCAGCCATGCACTGTTCTAAGTACTTTACATGCAGTGTCCCTTTTGATCTTCATAACCATCTCATAAGATTCATACTACCATCTATCATTTTATAAATGAGGAAACTGAGGCACAAAGAACCTAATGACCTATCCGAGCTCCCACACTTTGTAAATGGCAGATCCAGGACTTGAACCCAGGCAGCCCATTCCTACTCGCCGACACAGGAACTGGGGCTTATACCCGATGGGCAGAGTGTCCTTTCACTTTCCTTTGGCCGGGACTCAGACCTCATGGGTCCAACCCCCTAGAGCCCCTGGAACTCCCCGCCTCAGGTGAGTGAAGCCTCCTGCCTCTCTGCCTCATGTGAGAAATTGGGGTCCACAGCATGAAGGAATAAAGCTCAGGGATACACAAAGGTCCATGTCACCCAGCAGTGAATACACCTGGGAATCTCCCCAAGCTGAGCTCTTGCAGATTGTAAGCCAAAGTGAAAAAAGATTTAGAAGGATTGAAGAAATAAGGAAACTGACATCTTTTTTGAATACCTAGTAAGTGCCCGGCAGTCCATGTGCATTATTTCCTTTCTTCTTTCTTTTTTTGCTTTGTTTTGAGACGGAGTCTTGCCGTGTTGCCCAGGCTGGAGAGCAATGGTGTGATCTCAGCTCACAGCAACCTCTGCCTCCCAGGTTCAAGCAATTCTCCTGCCTCAGCCTCCTGAGTAGCTGGGACTACAGGCACGCACCATGACACCTGGCTAATTTTTGTATTTTTAGTAGCAATGGGATTTCACCATGTTGGCCAGGCTGGTCTTGAACGCCTGGCCTCAAGTGGTCTGTTCATCTTGGCCTCCCAAAGTGCTGGCATTACAGGCGTGAGCCACAATGCTCGACTTTCTTTTTTTTAAAGCTTCTCTTATATTCTTATCAGGGGAATATGTGCAGATAGTATAAAGAGCCAAATAGTATTAAAAGAAAGGAAAATAAGCAGCCTCCTAGTCCTTTCCTCCTCCCTCTCTGTCTCCTGTCCTCGGAGGCAGCCATTGTCAACTCCTTGTTTCTTGTTGTATTTACCAGCATTAAAAAGACAATGTTTCCAGTCTACTGTATCTTGATTATTTTTGAGACTATGAATTGTCTTCCTACTACAGTAGATCAGCATTTTAGGTCTCACTCACTCTCTTCCATTCCTTTTACATAGTATACAATATATATTTTTAATATATTGAAGTATACTTCATATTTTCCTTATTGAGAATATGTAAATATTATTCACTATTGAGCTAAATGAATTATTATGATTGAACTTCTGCCTCATGCAGCTTTTTGTTTTTCCTTGCATTAGTAAATGCTGCATTTTTTATTTGTTTAGTTTCCTTTGGCTATCTGGCAAAGTCTTCCTACAACTTCTAAATGCTTTGTAAAACACACAGTGCAATTTTCCACATGGCCAAATCTGTCAGAGAATCCATCAGTTTTGCTTTCCCCTGGAGACAGCTCTTCCAGAGCCCTCAGTTCCTTGCTGCAGCCTGGACTGAGCTGTTGTCCAGCAGCAAAACCAGACTCCTCAAACCTTCCTTCTTGCTCCTGAATTGAATCCCTGGCATCGTAGCTCTCTTTTATTCCCTCTCCCTTGGTTTGCTCCCTTGTTTTTGTGGGACACCTCTTCAAGGAACTGCTTAAGACGGCAGGAAGGGAACACCCTCTGAGAAAGCCGTGTTTAAGCCAGGCCACAAGGTAGAAGGCGCTGGATGAAACATGCCTGAACCACCCCACCAGATTATCCATAGTTGTTTAACACAGTACAATTTCCCAAACCCTTGGAAAGGTCTTTGTGGCTGAGCTGTTCTTTTTTTTTTTTTTTTTTTGAGACAGAGTCTTGCTCTGTCACCCAGGATGGAATGCAATGGCATAGTCTTGGCTCACTGCAACCTCCACCTTCCAGGTTCAAGCAATTTTCCTGCCTCAGCCTCCCAAGTAGCTGGGATTACAGGCACCTGCCACCACGCCGAGTTAATTTTTGTATTTTTAGTAGAGACAGGGTTTCACCATGTTGGTCAGGCTGGTCTCGGACTGCTGACCTCAGGTGATCCACCCACCTCCACCTCCCAAAGTGCTGGGATTACAGGCATGAGCCACTGCACCCGGCCTGAGCTGTTCTTTCTCAATTCTGTGCTGCTCTCTTCGTTTTTAGCTGCAGGACTGAGCCTGACTTCCTGGCGTGTTCATGTACGCCACTGCTCTAGTCATGAAAGCAAGTCGTTCTTATGCCACCAAGGTCGCAAGCAGGTGGGGAAACGTAGCACAAGAAGCCCAGCAGACCTAGCCCGCTTCCTTTGCCATTTACTAGCTGTGTGACCCTGAGCAAGTTGCAAAATCTCTCTGAGCCTCTTTCTTCATCTGGAAAAAGGGAATACAATAATAACAATCTGGAAAGATGCTCGGGGGATTGGATGTCATGTAGAAAAGGGACGGCTTTGTGCATGGCAGTTCTCACCTAGCAGGTGCCCGGCACAGAGTAGACGGCACAGTCATTCCCTCACCTTGAGTTCCTGATGTCTGGCCTTCTCCAGCATGCGCAGGGCTCTCTGGTGGGAAGCCTCGAGCTGGGCTTTCATGGCGTGGTTCTGCTGAGTGGTCTCCTGGAGCTCACGCTGCAGCTTCTCCCTCTCCAGGTCCGAGAGCTGCTTGAGTGCCTGCAGGTCCTCCCTGTAGTTGCTGGTGCACTGCTCCAGAGCCTGCTGCATCTGTGAGACCTGCGCACAAGGCATCCTGCCCTCAGTCTAAGCCCCTTGCCTTTCCTGGGATGTTTTCTTCAAATAAAAGCTTTCTAAATGTTACCTCCATGCAGCTGAGCCTCCTCTGTCTGTAGAGACTCTGAAGGGATGGAAGCTGCAAGCTTTAAGGACCTGGGGGTGGCCAGTCCTTCCAGCTAGGGCCACAAATGCCAGGAAGGAGGAAAAGAGGGGTGGGGACATCAACCTTTCAAGAGAAATCACTAGGGGACTGATGCCTTCCAGGGACCCACGTGGCAGCCCCCCTCCTCCCTCAGGTGCTGCTCGAATCTGGCTTCCTCACTAAGGATTCTCCTGATAGCCCCATGTAGTACTACCTCCCCCAACTCCACATCCCCCATCACAGGACAGCCTCCCAGAAACCTCTGCCCTGCTCTAGTTTTCTTTTTCCTGAGCCATCATTACCTTAGAATGAACTACGTGATTTACTGACTTCTTATGTCAACCATTTATTGTCTGTTCCCACCTCCATTGCTAAAATATACATATCATTATATATAAAATATCTTTTTTTTTTTTTTTGAGACAGGGTCTTGCTTTGTTACCCAGGCTGGAGTGCAGTGGTGTGATCACGACTCACGGCAGCCTCGAACTCCCAAGCTCAAGCGACCCTCCCGCCTCAGCCTGCCGCGTAGCTGGGAGTACAGGCACATGTCACCATGCCCGGTAATTTTTTTTTATTTTTTGTAGAGACAGAGTCTTGCTATGTTGGCCTGGTTGGTCTTGAACTCCTAGGCTCAAGCATTCCTCCTGCCTCAGCCTCCCAGAGTGCTGGGATTACAGGTGTGAACCACCACACCTGGCCATAAAATGTAAGGTATTTTGTCTGGTTTGTGCATTGATGAATCATCAGTGGCTCATAGTGAGTGCTCATTAGCACAACAGGTTTTTTATTTTCTTTTTGAGACAGAGTCTTGCTCTGTCACCCAGGCTGGAGTGCAGCGGTGCGATCTCGGCTCACTATAACCTCTGCCTCCCAGGTTCAAGCAATTCTCCTGCCTCAGCCTCCCGAGTAGCTGGGATTACAGGCGCCCGCCACATACCCAGCTAATTTTTGTATTTTTAGTAGAGATGGGGTTTCACCATGTTGGCCAGGCTGGTCTCGAACTCCTGACCTCAAGTGATCTGCCCCCCTCGGCCTCCCAAAGTGCTGAGATTACAGGCGTGAGCCACCGTGCCTGGCTGCAACAGGTTTGGAATGAATGAATAAATAAAACCAAGAATCCCACTTTGCCCTGGTCCTGTAATGCCTTCCCAGCTTGGATGTGAATCAGGCCCTGCATGCATTTCCAAGTTTGTAAAAAGGAGGGGGCAGGATCTCAGGAAGGGGGCACATCCCCACCAGGGTTGTCCTACCTGGGCTTGCAATTTGGCCTTCTGGCTTTGCCAGTCCTCCTCTAGACGCTGGATTTTGGATGTTTTCTCCTTCAACAAAGAGCCCAGTGGAGGTTGTGGGTCACTTCCCTCCTTGAGAAGCACTTTGGTCCTTTGAAGATAAGGATGCCACAATCACAAAAGATCCTAGGGCTAGGAATGACACTGCCACTCCGATAACGTGCCAGCCACTGTGCCTGGGAGGAGAAAGCTCCGATAGCAGTTAGTGGGGATTAGAAACATCTTGCTTGGCTTTCAAAAAGCAACCTGCCATATAAAGTGTATTATTGTACTTAGGATACAATCGGGAACCACCTGATATCTGTTTAGCAGGAACCGCCTGATAGCTGTTTAGCAGGAACCACCTGATATCTGTTTTAGTGGGTTCTTAATAAATGATGATCAACTGTCAGAATGACTGAGAGCTTAGAGTTACTGATATGAGGTCTTTGGGGGCTCCAAAAAAGAGATCTCTATGGTCTTAATTTTGCAGCTTTTTCTGCATCTATAAAAACGACAACAACACTTCACTTTAATACAGTGTTTTGCACTCGTCAAAGCATGGTCACACATTTTACTGGTGTCCCCAAGTACAAATAGGGGGATTATAAATAGGCCTCCACATATGCAACATGAACAAGGAAATGCTAGTTTAAAGCTGCAAAAGTTTCTGCATTCTAGATAAGATGCTGACAAATGTCTTTAGAAGAGACCAGAGCTCCCTTCCTTAATTCGGAACTTTTGAACCAGCTGAGAATTTCAAGTGTGATCGGTTTAGATTGGGATGTGAAGTATTTATCTTGTTTGACAGCGTGAAAGGATGCCACATGGTGGGGTTCTCTGGAGAGATTGCCAGGTGATGAGCAGCATCTTCTTCCCCTGACAAGGACATCAGGCCAGAGCTCCAGAGGTGGGGTTTAGGGTCTCGGGCTGTGAGAAAAGGCCATGAGAAGGGGCACTCTGCTTGGCAGAGGTGAGAAGGCCCAGGCTGGGGGGTTAAGGAAGAGACAGACAATGGGGACCCCGAAAGGAAGGGTCTGATACTAGAAGCAGCATAGGAAGGTGGCCAAGAGAATGGTGCAAAAGCCAGACTACCCAGCTCCAAATTCCAGCTCTACAACCCACTCAATACGGGAGAGAGTTTAAAGATCTCACTGAGATCTTGGCCTGATCTTCCTCCTCTATAACATAAGGTTAATAATGCTGCCTTTTCCATAAGGATTAGTAGAGTCAATATCTATACTTAAAACAGCGTCTGGCACATAGTAAGAATTACTTAAAGAACTAACTACGGGCTGGGTGCGGTGGCTCATGCCTGTAATCCCAGCACTTTGGGAGGCAGAGGCGGGTGGATGACCTGAGGTCAGGAGTTCGAGACCAGCCTGGCCAACATGGTGAAACCCCGTCTCTACTAAAAATACAAAAAATTAGCTTAGTGTGGTGGCAGCCACCTGTAATCCCAGCTACTCTGGAGGCTGAGGCAGGAGAACCGCTTGGACTCAGGAGGCGGAGGTTGCAGCGAGCCGAGATCACACCTATTGCACTCCAGCCTGGGCAATGAGAGCGAAACTCCACCTCAAACAAACAAACAAATAAAACTGTACATATTAAAAGAGAGAAGTTTTCTTTCTCTGCATCATTTTGATTATCTTAGTTTATCCTCAAGTCTTTCAAAGGTGTGCAAAACATAGCCACCTTTAAGGAGCAATGAAGCAGGGATACCTGGGTCTGAACTCTGGGTATGAAACCAGCCCAAGGGTTAGGAGGCCAGAGAAACTGGAGGAGCAGCCTCGGTCAAGAGTGAGAGGTGGCACCACCAGGTAAGCACTCCCAGTGAGTCCCAGGAGAGGGGAGGGGGCTGAACTTTCTCTCAGGATAGGGCTCAGTTATTATTATTCTTTTTAATGTTTTAGTAAAATTTACATGTAGTGAAGTGCACAGATCTTAAGTGTACAATTCAGTGAGTTTTGATAAATATATACAACCATGAAACCAACATCTCAATCAAAATAAAGAACATTTTCATTACCCAAAAACTTCCCTTGCAGCCAAAGCTTTGATTTCCATCACCATAGATCACTTTTGCCTGAGCTTAAGCATCATACAAACAGAATCACGTGGGATGCATTCTCTTGTTTCCAGGTTATGTTGCTCCTCATCATGACTTTTGGCCTCATCCATGTTGTTGTGTATGTCAGCAATTCATTCTTTTTGTTGCTGTGTAGTATTCCATTACATGAATACATTGTAGTTTGTTTATCCACTTTTCTACTGATAGACATTTGGATTGTTTACGCTTCTGGGCTATTATAAACAAAGCTGCTAGAAATAAACGTGCCCAAGGATTTTTGTGGATATATATTTTTTTCTTTTTTTTTTTGAAATGGAGTCTTGTTCTGTCACACAGGCTGGAGTGCAGTGGCACAATCTCGGCTCGCTGCAACCTCTGCCTCCCAGGTTCAAGTGATTGTCCCGCCTCAGCCTCCTGAGTGGCTGGGACTACAGGTGTGTGCCACCATGCCCAGCTAATTTTTGTATTTTTAGTAGCGATGAAGTTTCACCATGTTGGCCAGGCTGGTCTTGAACTCCTGTCCTCAGGTGATCCACCGGCCTCGGCCTCCCAAAGTGCTGGGATTACTGGCGTGAGCCACTGTGCCCGGCAATGTTTTTCGTTTCTTTTACTTAAATACCTAAAAGTGGAACTGCTGGTAGGTATGTGCTTAATGTTTCAAGAAACAATCAAATAGTTTTCTAAAGTGATTTACCATTTTAGACCCTACCAGCAATGTATGAGAGTTTCAGTTGCCCTGGATTGTTGCTAACATTTTGTGTTGTCAGACTTCTTAATTTTAGCCATTCCAGTGGGTGGGAAATGGTGTCTCACTGTGGTGGTAAGTTGCATTTCCTGATGACTAATGATGTTAACCACATGTCCATGTGCATATGAGCCACTCACATATTTTTGTTTTTCTTTTTTTGGGACAGGGTCTTGCTCTGTTGTCCAGGCTGGAGTACAGTGGTGTGACCACGGCTTGCTGCTGCCTCAACCTTCCAGGCTCAAGCAATCCTCCGACCTCAGCCTCTTGAGTAGCTGGGACTACAGGCATGTGCCACCACGCTCAGCTAATTTTTGTATTTTTTTGTAGAGACAGGGTTTTGCCATGTTGCCCAAGCTGGTCTTGAACTCTTGGGCTCAAGCAGTCCACCAGCCTTGGCCTTCTAAAGTGCTAAGATTACAGACATGAGCCACCATGCCCGGCCTCACATATATCTTTTTTAGGGAAGTGCTTGTTTGAGTATTTTGTCCATTTAAAAAATAGGTTTGCAGCACATGACAAAGATGCCCTCTCTCACTCCTGTTCAACATAGTATTGGAAGTTCTGGCCACGGTAATCAGGCAAGAGAAAGAAATAAAGGGGATCCAAATAGGAAGAAAGGAAGTCAAACTATCCCTATTTGCAGATGACATGATCCTATATCTAGAAAACCCATAGTTTTCTATGCCCAAAATCTCCTTATGCTGATAAACAACTTCAGCAAAGTCTCAAGATACAAAATTGATGTGCAAAAATCACTAACATTCCTATACACCAGCAACATTCAAGCTGAGAGCCAAATCAGGAACACAATCCCATTCACAACACACACACACACACACACACACACACAAACTGTAGTTTGTGACAGAGCAATAACACCTGACCCTCACCCAGGAGTCAAGCTCATGTAAGTCCTGCTGATATGGTTAGGTTTTTTGCCCCCACCCAAATCTCATCTTGAGTTGTAATCCCCATAATCCCCACGTGTTGAGGGTGGGACTTTGTGGGAGGTGATTGGATCATGGGGGCCGTTTCCCCCATGCTGTTCTTGTGATAGTGAGTGAGTTTTCATGAAATCTGATGGTTTTATAAGTGTTTGTCATTTCCTTCTACACACTTTTCTCTCACCTGCCGCCATGTAAGATATGCCTGCTTCCCCTTCTGGCATGATTGTAAGTTTCCTGAGACCTCCCCAGCCAAGCAGAATTGTGAGTCAATTAAACCTCTTTCCTTTATAAATTACCCAGTCTTGGGGGATTCTTTATAGCGGTGTGGAAACGACCTAATATACCCGCAGAGCCTGATAGAGCCAATCATAAGGGTAGCTCATCTATGAGCTAAATCTTTGATATTTGGGGGTGTTTGTTAGAGCAGCAATAGCTGACTGACATAGGTGGTATAGGTGGGGATTTCCTCAGGATCACAAAGCTTCCTTATACCCCCTAATTAAAGAACACTTGGAAACATAGGGGCAGAGGTTTTGGACCAGTGCAAGTTTGAATCTTGGAAAGGTTTGCTAACTTCTTTGAGCTCCAGGTTCTTAAGCTAAAAAATGGCTTCTCTGGGTTGTTGTAACAATTAAGTAACACAGTTTATGTGAAGCCCATAGCTGTGCTGAAGACATACAAGATATGCTTGTTGCCTCCCCAAGCATGCTGCAAGGAGCAGTGATAAATACTTGAGGATAGAATGAATGAATGGATGAATCCTTCCACATCTGAGTCCTCATTCAATGGAGCACTCAGAAGTCTGCATGTCCTCCTGTACCTTTCTTCTTCATCACTGCTGGTTCCTTCTTCAGCTGCTAACTTATCTTGATACTCCTCTCCTCTCGGCGAAGTTTCATCCAGCTTCAAGCATGGATCCTAAGGCCAAAAAAGAAAAAGAAAAAAAAAAAAAAGGCAAGATGAGCTTAAGTACAGCTTCATGATTCAACCTGTGGCTTATTCAAATCAGAGAGCAGAGAAGAGGGAGCCCCCAGCAACCCACTATCGGTGCCCTGCTTGCAGGGGATGCCAAGGCTTGTGATGATGACGTGACTAGAACAGTGCCTGGCTTACTATGATTAATGCCAGCCCTGAGCCCTGTATCCTGTTTTTCAGTCTATGAAGCATTTCACACTGCTGACAAAACTAAAGCATAAAGAGGGGAAGTAACCTGGCTAGGGTGCCACCATCAGGGAGGAGTGGAAATGAAATATGCAACCGGATAATAGGACCCTGGGGACTGAACTCTTGACCACTTCCTGGTATGGTTCCATGCATAACCCTCAGAGAGAGGTCCTTGTTTCCTTGTTAAGCCTGCTGCACGGGGCTGTTGTGAGGACCTGAGAACAATGCTGGCTCATGGCTAGTGGTCAGTAAGTGTGAGTGAATGGTGTTACTATTATATCCGTTTAAGAGTTTGTAGTCTGCTGTGTCCCATTATGTAGAATCAGAAAACATGGAACTTGCTGAATGACCAGAAATGGGGTATGGGAGAAGAATATGGGAACGATTAGTTAACAATGAGGCTTCTGAATATTTTCTGAGTTGAATTTGCTCATGTTATCATTCTCTCCTTCCCACAGAGATACACAGGTGAAAAAGACCTTGTTATTTTGATTTTTCTATTTGTCATAACCACACTGTCCATGAAAACAGTATAAGACAGGGTAGGAACAGATTTGTCTCACGAAATAGTGATAATTGTAACCTGTGCTTTTCATTAACTAGTTGTATGGCCTTGAGCCAGCTTCTTCCCTTTTTTGGACCTGAGTTTCATCAACTGTGAAACAAAGGGGCTGGCTTATATCTGTAGTGAAACTGTGTTCCAGGGATCCTGGGAGGTGTCTCAGGGGTAGGAAGGGGCAGAGCTGAGGCTGGAGGGTAGGGCCTTGGGCTCCCATCCACCCTTGATCTGGAACAAAACTGCTTTTATTGCCTTTCCACATACTGTATTATCTATAAAAGGCCATCAATGTCAAGACCAATGAAGACCTCCACATTGCCAAATCCAATGGTCGATTCTTGGGTCTGCACTAACGGGGACTCCCAGCAGAACTGGAAATATTGATGATTCCTTCCTTTGTGCAGCCTTCATTCCTGGGCTTTCTCCTCCCCCCGCCCCCCAGTTGCTGCTTCTTAGTCTTCTCTGCTGAAGCCTCCTCCTCTCCTGCTTCTCAAACTACCACATGTGCAGAACCAAACTCTTGGTTTTACTCCTCCAAACAACAAGCATGCACCTGGCTCAGGGCTTTGCACTGGCTGTTCCCTCTTCCCTCTGATATTTGCATTCTTTGCTCCCTCACTTCACTCACTGCAACCAGCAGCTCATCCCTGGCTTAAAGCTTAGGCTCTGCTACCAGACGACCTGTGTTTAAATGCCAGATCTTTTACTTATTAACGATGTGACCTTGGGAAAATTACTTAGGTTTTCATGAGGATTAAATGAGCTGATACAATGTAAAGTCCTTAGAACAGTATTAGGTACCTAAGGAACACTCAACACTCAAGTTTATTCCCTGGAATTCTTTTTTTTTTTTTTTTGAGATGGAGTCTCACTCTGTCACCCAGGCTGATGTGCAGTGGCGCAATTTCAGCTCACTGCAACCTCTGTCTCCCAAGTTCAAGCAATTCTCCTGTCTCAGTTTCCCAAGTAGTTGAGACTGCAGGTGCATGCCACTGTGCCTGGTTCTTTTTTTTTTTTTTTTTTTTTTTTTGGTATTTTTAGTAGAGACGGGGTTTCACCATGTTGCCCAAGCTGGTCTTGAACTCCTGAACTCAGGTGATCTGCCCACCTCCGCCTCCCAAAGTGCTGGGATTACAGACGCAAGTCACCATGCCTGGACTCCCTGGGATTTTTGTTCCCTGGACACCTTCTCTAAAATCTCACCCCCCTCACTCTCTTTTCCTCACCTTGCTCTATGTTTTTCTCACAATACATATCACGGCCTAACGTTGACTTGTCCACTTTTTAATTATCTGTTTACCTTACTGGAAGGTAAGCTCCATGAGGGCAGGGGCTTTGCTCACCTGTTTCCCTGATGCCTAGAACAGTGTGTGGCACATGCGAGTCATTACTAAATGAATAAACACAAATATGTCACGGGCCACTCCAGATAGCAGGGGGACCACTCTCTCCCATACTTGCCCTACACCCACTTTTTTTTTTGTTTTTTTGTTTTTTTGTTTTTTGTTTTGTTTTATAAGATTTCACTCCGTCACCCAGGGTAGAGTACAGTTGCAAAATCATGGCTCACTGGAGCCTCGACTTCCGAGGCTCAAGTGATCCTCCCACCTCAGCCTCCTGAGTAGCTGGGACTACAGGTATACACCCACCATGCCTGGGTACTTTTTACATTCCCTGTAGGCACAGGGTCTTGCTATGTTGCCTAGGCTGGTCTCAAACTCCTGGGCTCAAGTGATCCTCCTGCCTCAGCCTCCTAAAGTTCTCATATTACAGGTGTAAGCCACAGCACCCACTCTTCCCCCACTTTACATCCCATGGAGAGAAGGGCCTGGGATTGCTGCATTGTCATGAAAATCCCCTGGGCATGTGGCTGGAGGGTGGCGTGTGGAGACAGCCATCACCCAAACTTTGAGTGTTTTCCTGTTCTGCTTTAGAAGCCCTTTGTGCCTTTATGATTCATAAGTTCACGTTCTGTTTAAATCATTTGCATTGCCTCTAAATGTAGCAGAATACCATGTGATGCCCACTTCCAGAGAATCATCATGGAGATGGCACTTGGGAATCCACTGCCCACTGTGCCCAGGAGGACCTGTCCTGGGGCACTCCAAAGTGATGGCCTGAGAGAGAGTAAACATCTGCTCTGCCTCCCGCAGCTTTTCTCCCTAAGCCCTTATCTTCCCCCTGGGGTGGATATGTTCTGAGTTAACTCTGCTAAGCCAGAACTACACTTCCCAGGACTTTCTTCCCTACATACTCTGGACCATGTGACTTTGCATAAAATATAGAAGATGGAAGTGAAGCAGCAGTCATTTCCTTGTTATGCTTGCATGCTTGGATGCTTGAATGCAGGGCACCTGGTGCTGTTGCAGCTCTCACATGTCATTATTGATCTACTCGCTCACCTTATTGGCCAGGGCAGGTGCTGGGCTCTCAGCTCCTTTAGCTCTTGCTGGTTTCTCTTTTAGTTCTCTCTATCCTGGGCCTGTGTGTACAGCTCCTGGGGCAGCAGCCAGGCCTGAAGCTCCTCCCACACCTGCCAGATCCTCCTCAGGGTTCTCCCTATCCCCAGGCAGGTGCATGTCTAGCTCCGTGATGAAGGATGCCTGATTCTCCTACAGGTCACCTGCATTAGCAAAGGTGGAGCCTTGTTGGCTTTAGATACTGACACAGTTCAAGCCCAGCCTTGTGGGCTGCAGTTCGTTCTTGATCTTCCTCAGTTCACTTCTGTCCTTCTTTCCTTCCAGCGGCCCGCCCTGCTGAATTTAGGCCCAGCACCAGATAAAGAAGCAACAGTTGAACGTAAAGTGTTTAGCTGTCTCCTTCAATTATGCTAGGTCAGTTCCTAAATTTAATCTCATATCCTATATCATTCTTAGTAGCTTGTTTCTGTGATCAAATCCTAATTGATGCACCCTTTAATCTCCAGATCCTACTTATTCTTCAAGGCCCTATTCAACTGTTACTTCCTCATGAAGCCTTCACAATCTTTTTTGTTGCAATTATACCTTCTCCTCTTGAAGTTCCCATAGCAATTTTTTTGCTACCACAATTTTCTTTTTGTTATTGTTGTTTTTTGTTTTGTTTTTGAGACGGAGTCTTGCTCTGTCATCCAGGCTGGAGTGCAGTGGTGTGATCTAGGCTCACTGCAACTTCCACCTCCTGTGTTCAAGTGAGTCTCCTGCCTCAGCCTCCCAAGTAGCTGGGACTACAGGCGTGTGACAACACGCCCGGCTAATTTTTTTATTTTTTTGAGTAGAGATGGGGTTTTACTGTGTTGGCCAGGCTGGTCTTGAACTCCTGACCTCAAGTGATCCACCTGCCTTGGCCTCCCAAAGTGCTGGGATTACAGGCATGAGCCACCGCACCTGGCCTTGCTACCACAATTTTCTTACAAATACTTATTGATCACTTACTATGTGCCAGGCATTGTTCTAGGAACACAAGAATAAACAAAACAACAAAAGTTTTTCTGCCTTGTACTGTTATAGGAGCATTTTCTTTCTCCCTTCCAAAACATAAGTGAATGTAAAAGTAATCCCAGATATAGTTTTTAAAATGTTATAAACCCTACAGCCAGGGACTGAGAACACGCTGCACAGCTATTTTTCATAGCCTGAGTCCTCCCTCTTTACTCTATGTAACTAGAAACTAAAGTTGAGCTGTTTGACATGAACTGGTCACAGGGCCCAGTGAGGTTGGTTCATTGTTGTGTATTTTCAAACATGTTGTGACTAAGCAGATTATAACCTACATGTGAACCAGAGGCTAAAAGGTCCTCCTGTGCCTCCTAGTTTCAGGTATTTTGGGCATAAAAAAAATCTCAGAGATCTTTAATTCCCACAAAGCCCAGCAGCAAATAACATAGTCTAGAAGCAAAATAGCTTTGTGAGTTACCTGCCATAAATTCAGGTTCTGTATAAACCTGGGGAAATTGCATGGTGAACATGGAAGAAAAATAGATAATCAGATGAGCATATGTACTATTACAATATAAATACATAAATGATGTATGATTAATTAGGTCCAGGTCTCAAAAGGAAAATTCAAGGTTACAAAGAAATTTTGTTCAATAGAAAGCACAAAATATGTTGGCAAAACAATTCTAATAAGACCAGTAGCTAGGACAAACGTGAACTGGCTAAGTTCTACATGGAGAGCTCTTCTGATAAAAGGAATTGTTCACTGAAATGCTATAATAATGAAGCTATAGCCCTCTAACGATAGAGCCTGAAAACATAAGGCAAAATGTGCATATCTGTAGTGAGAAATGGGAAAATATATAATGGGAGATTTTAATATACATCTCCCAGAAACTGATGGATTAAGCAGACAAAATGAGCTAGGATGAGGAAGATTCGAACAAGATCAGCAAGCTAAACCTAATAGCTAAAAAAATAAACCAATACCTACTAACATTTATGTGAGGTCATATAGTGAATATATCCCAGAGCCAGGATTCAAACATACATGTTTTACTACCACATCAAGAATATATGCTTTTTTTCCTATCTATAGGAACTATTTAAAATTGACCCTGAATTGGTTTACAAAGCAAATCTCAACCCAGTGCTCACATTTTACAGACTGTGCTATCTGATGACATTGCAAGAACATTAGAAAGCAATAAGAAGGTAGGTTTAAAAGAATCAGATAAACTTTAAAACTCTGGGACACAGATAAGACATACACTTAGACGGAAATTTATAGCTTTAAATGTATTCATTTGTATTTAAATGTATTCATTAGAAAACATTCAAGAATTTAGAAAATGAACAAAAGAATAAATCCAAAGTAAGTAGAAGAAAAGAGAAATAAAAGACAAAACAAATGAAATAGAAAAAACACATCTGACCAACACATCTAAAAGCTGGCTTTTGAAAAGATACATCAAACTTCTGGCAAGCCTGATCAGGGAAAAGGGGAGAAAAAACTTAAAGCAACATGAATAATGGACAAGGATCTCATGACAGTTATTAGAGATTAAAAAGAATTCCAAATGTACTCTGAGACAACACAGAGCCTGTGAAAGGGAATCTGCAGGATGTAATTTCTGGGCCACTTTATTGACCATGGCTATATTTAAAGGAGTCCTGGGCAGGAGTCCAGAAAGGGGAGAGGACTGAAAACACTAAAAGGGCTGATGCACCCAGATAACAACACTGGCTCCCAGCTACACTGCATTTGTCTATTTCTATACATTATCTCATGGATGCATATGGCTCTATGAAGTAGCCAGGAAAGGCACTGCCATCTTTGATTTACAGATGGGGAATTAAATTGGAGAAGTCCAGCCATTTGCCTCAGGTCTCATGGCCACTGGAGGGTGGCACAAAATCTAGAACCCTGTATTTTCTGACTCCCATCCACGTAATTCCATATCACTGCACTGACACTCAGCTGTGCTGTGTTAACCTGATTGTCACCTACCAGCATCAAGGCCTAACTGGATGTGAGTTCAAACCATGTTGTGCAAATACCAAGTATCTGAAAAACTGCAACTCAAAAATCAAACTGAGAGGAGTAATGTCAGCAACATGGTAGAAGGAAGTCCTGATCCCTTTTTTCCCCAATAAGCATATCAATTCAGCAATAGTTCATGTACATATTCCCTTTGTAAAAAATCAGAAACTAATCAAAAGGCTCCTGCACCCCAGGAGAATGCAAAACCAGACTCACTAAAGCTGGTAGGGAGATTCAGAACACACTCTTGCCAAAGATGCTGCCCCTGGTGAAGTACCATATGATCATGAAGAGACCCCCTACACCAGCTTCAACCAGAGGAGGAAAGGAGTTAATTGGCATGTCTAGCACCCCAAGTTTTCTAAGGGGGATGTCCCTAGAGGGCTAGCTTTTGTCTTGCTGCTGTTGGAGCTCTATAGGGTCCATCACAGTCTAGCCACTTGGAAGAGAATGGAGGTGGAAACTTGGGCTGGTAGATACCATAGCTCCTCCTTGGCTCAGTGCAGAGTGAGCAAATGAAAACCACAGCTTCCTGCTTCTTACTGGGAGGAAATGAGTTGGTAGAGACCCCCATTACCTGGCCAGGCTCATTAATGGGGGATTCTCTTGTACAAGATCAGCCTGGGAAGACTGGGAGAGGTGATTGCTTTGTCTAATGCATGGACACCAACACAGAGAGTCAAAGAGAATAAAAATCAGGCAAAGATGTTCCAAACAAAAGAACAAGATAAATCTCCATAAATTGACCCTAATGAAATAGTTATATGATTTACCTGACGGAGAATAAAAATAACTCTGATAGAGTTGCTTACCAAGATAAAGAGAATAATGAATGAACAAAGTGAGAATTTCAACAGAGAGGATATATTTTTAAAGTACCAGAAGAAATCATGGACCTGAAAACACAATAACACAATAACTGAAATGAAAATTCACTAGAGGAATTTAATAGAAAACTATATCAAGCAGAAGAAAGGATTAGTGAACTCAAAGACAGGTCACTGGAAATAATTCAGTCAAAGATGCAAAAAGAAAAAAGAAGAGAGAAAGGACAAGAAGGCTTATTTAAAGATAATGACTAAGAAGTTCCCAAATCTGGAAAAGGAAATAAGCATGCAGATCCAAGAAGCCCTAAATACATCAGATAAGATGAACCCAAAGAACCATACTGAGACAGATAATCAAATTGTCAAAGGTCAAAGACACAAAATTTTGAAAGCAGCAAGAGAAAAGCTATTTGTCACATATAAGAGAACCCCCTCATAAGACAATGAACATTTTCCAGCAGAAAACTTGCAGGCCAGAAGGGAATGGGATGATACATTCAAAGTGCTAAAAAAAATGCCAACTAAGAATACTATACCTGGGAAAACCCTCCTTCAAAAATAAAAGAAAGTTTGACTTCCTCTTGACTGATTTGGATGCCCTTTATTTCTTTCTCTTATCTGATTGCTCTGGTTAGGACTTCTAGTACTACGTTGATGAAGAGTGATGATAGTGGGCTTTCTTGTCTTGTTCTAGTTCTCAGAGGGAATACTTTCAACTTTTTCCCATTCTACTGAATTTTTTCCATTCAGTAGAATGTGGGTTTGTCATAGATGGCTTTTATCGCATTGAGGTATGTCCTTTGTATACCAATTTTGCTGAGAGTTTTAATCATAAAGGGATGCTGGATTTTATCAAATGTTTTTTCTGTATCTATTGAGATGATCATGTGATTTTTGGTTTTAATTCTGTTTATGTGGTGTATCACATTTATTTACTTGCATAGGTTAAACCATCCCTGCACCCCTGGTATGAAACCCACTTGATCATGGCGAATCATCTTTTTGATATGTTGTTGGATTTGGTTAACTAGTATTTTGTTAAGGATTTTTAGCATCTATGTTCAACAAAGATATTGGTCTTTAGTTTTCTTTTTTTGTTATGTCCTTTCCTGGTTTTGGCATTAGGGTGATACTGCCTTCATAGAATGATTTAGGGAGGGCTCCCTCTTCCTCTATCTTGCAGCATAGTGTCAATAGGGTTGGTACCAATAAGGAACAGTCAGCAGAGTAAACAGACAACCCACAGAATGGGAGAAAATCTTCACAATCTATACATCTGACAAAGGACTAATATTCAGAATCTATAATGAACTCGAACAAATTAGCAAGAAAAAAACAAACAATCCCACCAAAAAGTGGGCTAAGGACATGAATAGACAATTCTCAAAAGAAGATATACAAGTGGCCAACAAACCTATGAAAAAAAGCTCAAAATCACTAATTATCAGGGAAATGCTAATCAAAACCACAACGTGATACCACCTTATTCCTGCAAGAATGGCCATTAAAAAAATAGATATTGGTATAGATGCAATGAACAGGGAACACTTCTACCCTGCTGGTGGGAATGTAAACTAGTACAACCATTATGGAAAACAGTGTGGAGATTCCTTAAGGAACTAAAACTAGGAACTACCGTTTGATCCAGCAATCCCACTACTGGGTATCTACCCTGAGGAAAAGAAGTCATTATATGAAAAGGGTACTTGCACAGGCATGTTTATAGCAGCACAGTTCGCAATCACAAAAATGTGGAACCAACCCAAATGCTCATCAATCAACGAGCAGATAAAGAAACTGTGGTATATATATACAATGGAATATTACTCAGCCATAGAAAGGATGAATTAATGGCATTCACAGTGACCTGGATGAGATTGGAGATATTATTCTAAGTGAAATAACTCAGGAATTGGAAAACCAAACATCATATGTTCTCATTCATAAGTGGGAGCTAAGTTATGATGATGCAAAGGCATAAGAAGGACACAATGGACTTTGGAGATTCAGGAGGAAAGGTTGGGAAGGGGGTAAGGGATAAAAGACTACAAACTGAGTGCAGTGTATATTGCTCAGGTGATCGGTGTACCAAATCTCATAAATCACTGCTAAAGAACTTACTCATGTAACCAAACACCACCTGTTCACCAATAACCTATGGAAATAAAAAAAAATTTAAAACAACAACAACAAACAAAAATAAATGAAAGATTTTCCCAGACAAACAAAAGTGGAGGGAGTTCTTCATCACTAGACCTGCCTTACAAGAAATGCTAAAGGAATTTCTTCAAGTTGAAATGAAAGGATGCTAAACAGCAACAGGGTAGCCTAAAAGTATGAAACTC
The DNA here is from genome assembly GCF_000001405.40 of Homo sapiens. Lineage (NCBI taxonomy): Eukaryota > Metazoa > Chordata > Mammalia > Primates > Hominidae > Homo > Homo sapiens. The sequence continues at coordinate 17,674,097 of NC_000004.12, forward strand.
ATTAGAAAAGGTAAATATATAGGCAAATATAGAACTAAATTACTGTAATAGTAGTGTGCAAATCACTTTTAATTCTAGCATAAAAGTTAAAAGACAAAAGTATTAATAATTACAAGCATACCTCAGAGATATTGTAGGTTCAGTTCCAGACTACCACAATAAAGCAAATATTGTGATAAAGCAAAGACACACAACTTTTTTTGTTTCCCTATACACATAAAAGTTATGTTTACACTATACTATAGTTTATTAAGTGTGCAATAATCTTATGTCTAAAAATACATACCTAAATTTAAAAATACTATTTTTCTAAAAAATGTTAACAATCACCTGAGCCTTCAGTGTATTGTAATCTTTTTGCTGTGAAAGGTCTTGCTCAATGTTGATGGCTGCTGACTGATCAGAATGGTCATTGCTGAAGGCTGGGGCAGCTGTGGCAATTTCTCAAAATAAGATAACAATGAAGTTTGCCACATCGCTTGACTCTGTCTTTCACAAGAGATTTCTCTGTAGCATACGATACTGTTTGATACCATTTTGCTCACAGTAGAACGTCTTTAAAAATTGGAGGCAATCCTCTCAAACTGTCACTGATCTATTAACTAAGTTCATGTAATATTCTAAATCCTTTCTTGTTATTTTAACAATGCTCACAGAAGTCTCATCAGGAGTAAATTTCAACTGAAGAGACCACTTTCTTTGATCATTTCTAAGAAGCAACTCCTCATCCATTGAAGTTCTATCATGAGATTGCAGCAATTCAGTCACATCATCAGGCTTTACATTTCATTCTAGTTCTCTGTCTCTACATAGTTACTTCCTCATCTGAAATCTTGAACCCCTCCAAGTCATCCATGAGGGTTGGAATCAATTTCTTTCAAACTCTTATTGTTGTTTTTTATCTCCTCCCATAAATCATGAATCATGAATATTCTTAATGGTTTCTAGAATGGTGAATGCTTTCCAGAAGGTTTTCAATGGGCTTTGCCCAGATCCATCAGGAGAACCACTATCTATGGCAGCTATAACCTTATGAAATGAAATGTATTTCTTTTCTTTTCACCCTTATTGTGCCAAGAAATCTACTTCCTAAATAATAAGACTTCAAAGGAGAAATTATTCCTTGATCTATGAGCTACAGAATGAGTATTGTGTCAGCAGGCATGAAAACAACATTACTCTCCTTGTACCTCTTCATCAGTGCTCTTGGGTGACCAGGTGGTCAGTAAGCAATAATATTTTAAAAGGAATCTCTTTTTTCTGAGCAGTAAGTCTCAACACTGGGCTTGAAAAAACAGATGTGCTATCATACAGGCTTTATTGCTCTACTTATAAAGCACAAGTAGAGTAGACTTCACACAATTCTTAAGGCCTCTAGAAATTTTGAAATGATAAATGGTCATTGGCTTTAACTTAAAGTCACTAGCTTTATTATCTCCTAACGAGAGAGTCAGCCTGTCCTTTGAAGCGTTGGAGCCAGGCATTGACTTTTACTCTCTAGCTGTGAAAGTCCTAGATGGCATCTTCTAATATAAGGCTGTTTTGTCTACATTGAAAATCTGTTGTTTAAGTTAGCCGTTTTCATCAATGATCTTAGCTAGATCTTCTGGATAACTTGCTGCAGCTTCTCCATCAGCGCTTGCTGCTTGTTATGTTATAGAGATGGCTTGTTTCCTTAAACCTCATGAAACAACCTCTGCTAGCTTCCAACTTTTCTTCTGCAGCTTCCTTGACTCTCTCTGGCTTCATAGAATTGAAGAGAATTAGGGCCTGGCTCTGGATTAGGCTTTAGGTTAAGGGAATGTTGTGGCTGGTTTGATCTTCTATCTAGACAACTAAAACTTTCTCCATATCAGCAGTAGGTTTGTTTTGCTTTCTTATTACTCATGTGTCACTGGAGTAGCACTATTCATTTCTTTCAATAACTTTTCCTTTGCATTCACAACTTGGCTAACTGTTCAGCACAAGATGCCTAGCTTAGGCCTGTCTCAAAGTTTTTGACATGCCTTCCTTGCTACGCTTAATCATTTCTAGTTTTTGATTTAACATGAGATATGCAACTCTTCTTTTCACATGAACACTTAGAGGCCATTCTAGTATTGTTAATTGGCCTAACTGCAATATTGTTGTGTTTCAGCGAATAGGGAGGTCCAAGGATAGAGAGGGAAAGACGGGAACAGCTGGTTCTGGAACACAACCAGAACACATACAACATTTATTAAGTTCACCATCTTCTACGGGCATGGTTTGTGGTGCCCCAAAACAATTACAATAGCAACATGAAAGATCACTGATCACAGATCACCTTATCAGATATAATAAGAATAACAAATTTTGAAATATTGTGAGAATTACCAAAATGTGACACAGAGACACGAAGTGTATTTTTTAATTAAGGTACACATATTTTTATAGATAATGCTATTACACACTTAATAGACTGTAGTATAGTGTAAACATAACTTTTACATGTATTGGGAAACCAATAAATTTGTGTGACTTGCTTTATTCAATATTTACTTTATTGTGGTGGTCTAGAACTGAATTTGCAGTATCTCCGAGGTATGCCTTCATAATGGAGCTGAAAAATTCCTATTGCCTAATGATGACATAGCCATTGTAAAGATGTAGTGTTAAACATTATCTTTTCTATGTTTAGCTACTTTAGGATACATAAATATTTACCCTTGTGTTACAACTGCCCATATATTTTGTACAGTACAGTAATATGCTGTACAGGCTTGTAGCCTAACAGCAAAAAGCTATAGCATATAGCCAAGGTGTATAGTGGGCTACACAATCTAGGTTTGTGTAAGTACACTCTATAATGTTCTCACAATGACAAAATCACCTAACAACCCATTTCTCAGAATGTATCATCGTCATTAAGTGACACACAACTGTATATCACAATTGAACTTGACCGTGGGGATCAATAAATAGTTGGCTGAATGAGTACTTTTTTTTTAGATAAGGTCTGTGGCTCTGTTGCCCAGGCTGGAGTACAGTGGCACAATCTCAGCTAACTGCAACCTCTGCCTCCTGGGCTCAAGCTATCTTCCCACCTCAGCCTCCCAAGTAGCTGGGACTACAGGTACACACCACCACGCCCTTCTAATTTTTGTATTTTTTGTAGAGATGGGGTTTTGCCGTGTTGCCCAGGCTAGTCTCAAACTCCTGACCTCAAGTGATCTGCCCACATTGACCTCCCAAAGTGTTAGGATTACAGGCGTAAGCCACTGCACCCAGCCTGAATGAGCTCTTTCAAGCCCAGCAATACTTGTTTCAATTGCTATTATGAACACCTTTACATGCATAAACTAGAAAACCTAGAGGAGAAGGATAAATTCCTGGAAATATACAACTCTTCTAGATTAAACCAGGAAGAAATAGAAACTCTGAACAGGCCAATAACAAGCAGCAAGACTGAAATGGTAAAAAAATTGCCAAAAAAAGTCAAGGACAGATGGATTCACAGCTGAATTCTATCAGACATTCAAAGAAGAATCATATTAATCCTATTGACACTAATCTACAAGATAGAGAAAGAGGGAACCCTCCATAAATCATTCTATGAAGCCAATATCACCCTAATACCAAAATCAGGAAAGGACATAACAAAAAAAGGAAACTACAAACCAATATCCCTAATGAACATAGATGCAAAAATCCTTAACAAAATACTAGCTAACGAAATCCAACAGCATATCAAAAAAATAATCCACCATGATCAAGTGGGTTTCATACCAGGGATGCGGGGATGGTTTAACATATGCAAGTCAATAAATGTGATATACCACATAAACAATTAAAACAAAAAAATCACATGATCATCTCAATAGATGCAGAAAAAGCATCTGACAAAATCCAGCATCCCTTTATGGTTAAAACCCTCAGCAAAATCGGTATAGAAGGAACATAACTTAATGTAATAAAAGCCATCTATGGCAAACTTGCAGCCCACATTCTACTGAACGGGGAAAAGTGGAAAGCATTCCCCCTAAGAACTGGAACAAAACAAGGTTGCCCACTCTCACCACTTCTATTCAACATAGTATTGGAAGTCCTAGCCAGAGCAATCAGACAAGAGAAAGAAATAAAGGGCATCCAAATCAGTAAAGAGGAAGTCAAACTATCACTGTTTGCTGATGATATGATCGTATACCTAGAAAACCCTAAAGACTCCTCCAAAAAGCTCCTAGAACTGATACATGAATTCAGCAAAGTTTCAGGATACAAAATTAATGTATACAAATCAGTAGCTCTTCTATACACCAACATCGACCAAGCTGGGAATCAAATCAAGAACTCAACCCCTTTTACAATAGCTGCAAAACAACCAAACAAAAAAAACCTTAGGAATATACCTAACCAAGGAGGTGAAAGACCACTACAAGGAAAACTATAAAACACTGCTGAAAAAAATCATAGGCAACACAAACAAATGGAAACACATCCCATAGTCAGGAATGGGTAGAATCAATATTGTGAAAATGATCATACTGCCAAAAGCAATCTGCAAATTCAATGCAATTCCCATCAAAATATTGCCATCATTCTTCCCAGAACTAGGAAAAAACAAACCTAAAATTCATATGGTAAAAAAAGGAACCCACACAGCCAAAGCAAGGCTAAGCAAAAAGAACAAATCTGGAGGCATCACATTACCTGACTTCAAACTATACTATAAGGCCATAGTCACTAAAACAGCATGGTACTGGTATAAAAACAGACACATAGGCCAATGGAACACAATAGAAAATCCAGAATTAAAGCCAAATACAGCCAACTGATCTTTGACAAAGCAAAAAACAAAAAACATAAAGTGGGGAAAGGACACCCTATTCAACAAATGGTGCTGGGATAATTGGCAAGCCACACGTAGAAGAATGAAACTGGATCCTAATCTCTCACCTTATACAAAAATCAACTCAAGATGGTTCAAAGACTTAAATCTAAGACCCAAAACCATAAAAATTCTAGAAGATAACATTGGGAAAACTCTTCTAGACATTGGCTTAGGCAAAGAGTTCATGACCAAGAAAACAAAAGCAAATGCAACAAAAACAAAGATAAATAGATTGGACTTCATTAAACTAAAAAGCTCTGCACAGCAAAAGAAACAATCAGCAGAGTAAACAGACAACCTACAGAGTGGGATAAAATATTTGCAATCTATATATCTGAGAAAGGACTAATATCCAGAATCTATAAATAACTCACATCAGCAAGATAAAACAATCCCATCAAAAAGTGGGCTAAGGACATGAATAGACAATTCTCAAAAGAAGATATACAAATGGTAAACAAACATATGAAAAAATGCTCAACATCACTAATGATCACGGAAATGCAAATCAAAACCACCCTGTGATACCACCTTACTCTGCAGGAATGGCCATAGTCACAAAATAAAAAAGAACACATGTTGACATGGATGTCGTGAAAAGAGAACATTTTTACAGTGCTGGTGAAAATGTAAACTAGTATAACCACTATGAAAAACAGTATGTAAAGTTCTTTAAGGAATCTCCATATTGTTTTCTATATAGAACTACCCCCAATCCCACTACTGGGTATCTACCCTGAGGAAAATAAGTCATTATACAAAAAAGATACTTGCACACGCATGTTTATAGCAACAAAATTTGCAACTGCAAAAATATGGAACCAGCCCACATGCCCATCAGTCAATGAGTGGTTAAAAAAAAATTGTGATATATACATACCATGGAATACTACTCAGCCATAAAAAGGAAGAAAATAATGGCATTTGCAGCAACTTGGATGGAATTGGAGACCATTATTCTAAGTGAAGTAACTCAGGAATGGAAAACCAAACATGGTATGTTCCCACTTATAAGTGGGGGCTAAGCTATGAGGATGCAAAAGCATAAGAATGATACAGTGGACTTTGGGGACTTGGGGCAAAGGGTGAGAAGGGGGTGAGGGGTAAAAGACTGCACACTGGGTACAGTGTACACTGCACAGGTGATGGGTGCACCAACATCTCAGAAATCAGCACTAAAGAACTTATTCAAGCATATAAGGTAACACATATGTTAATTAGCTATATTGAGCCATTCCACAATGTATAGATATTTCAAAATATGTCACACATGATAAATTATAGTTTTTGATGTCATTAAAAATTATATTTAAGTTTTGTTATTTTGAAAGCTTTTTCACAGATCTTTTTCAGTTTTGTTTGTTTTTGAGCCTGTCTTGTACCTGGTTGCACTAAATATATAATAGTTCTCTCTTGTGAAAACCTTAAAAGCCTAGATTTGAACACATGTTCAATGATAATGATGATATAACAGAAAAAAGAACTTATTTCATGTAACCAGACACCACCTGTTCCCCAAAACCCTACTGAAATAAACAAAACAAAACAAAAACATTGTCCATGTCTCTGAACTCTAAATAAAACAGACTCAGAACATGGCTTCTGAGAATATCCCTGAGCCACTCCTGGTGTATCCTGAGTTGTTCAACCCAATTCCTACTCTTGGGTTTTTCCCATCAGGCGTTTTTCTCAGATTCAGTCCAGTGCTCTCTCAGTGCTAAAGTGGCCTGGGTATGAATAGTGTGCACGGAAAAATAAATAGATCTGCTTCTCCTTTCCAAACCATCTACTGCAAATGCTTCCTCCCACTTCCTCCCAGGCAAATGGCTGGTTATTTTAAATCTGTGTTCACATTTAGGTCCTCATCTTTCATCTTCCAGTTATTTAACCTTTTCTGGATTATTTCTATTTTAAAGAAACACCCACGCCCAGGAAATCTCCTAGAAGGGAATATTCAAAGTCATTCTCAAGTTCATTTGACAATCTTTCAAAAGTAGCATTATGTACATCTTAAAATAGAACACCGAACGTAATGGAGTTTTGCTGAAATGATTACAGGGGACTGTAATAGATACTATAAAGTCAACTTACATTGACAGAATCTTTAACAGTTCTGAAAAGTGACTTCATATGCTTTCTCCTGTTCATTACCACAAGTCTCTGGGGGTATGAAGTGCAGGGATTATTGCCACTGTTTTACTAACAAGAAGTAGTGCAGCATTGCAGCTTACAGCACAGGCCCTGGTACCACCCTTTGGGCCTTGGTTTCTCTGTAAGAGTCTCATAGGGTGGTTTGTGGACTGTGTGAAGTCCTATGGGTTTGCCATTATGAGTAATGAAGAAACTGATCTCAGGGATGGTTTCTGACCTGTCTGAGGCTCCTAAGGAGGTCTTGGGCAGAGCTGGGTGGAACCCATGTCCTAAGCCTTAGGCAGGTGGCCCTGCCCTACACTGTCTTCCCAGGCTCTACTGCATCTCAGCCAATGCCCAGAACCTCTCCATGGAGTGAAGGGCAGCCTGCCTTGTTCCATGTCAGGTGGAACCAGACCCTTCAATTCACACCAACCAAGGGTGCTGGCTCCCAATTGGCCTGAGGGACACTCAGGATGTCACAGTTGTTTAAGAGCCTAGTGGTTATCTGCCTGCCAACGGCCAGGACAGGTGATGCCTCAAATTCCTATGGTCCTCCAAAATATGGCACGGGGTGACTCTTGCCCAGCAAACCACTCAGGGCCTCCAAGGAGTAGGGGACACTTTCAGGCCTGGAGAGCTTTGGAGTGTCCCTGGATCCTTCCCAAATGCCTCAGGAGCTTGCCTTGGGCTGCTTCCCCATGGCATCCCATTTCCTGGTGAAGTCATGTTCAGATTTCAGTGTCAAGCAGATGTCCGCAGATGTCATTCTTCTGGAATAGTTTCCTGGACTTCCCTGGACAGAAAGCTTCCTCTCCCATATGGGCTTGCCATTAATATATCTTCTTGCCATCATCATAGCAGTCATTGTAACAGGTTAGTATTTAAGGAAATAGTTATTTCTCCCATTTGAAATGTGAGCCCTCCAAGGATCAAGATTGGGCCTCATTCTCCTGGACATGCAGCCCTATGGCTTGTATAGTGATGGTACTCAGACATATTTATAGAGACGAGATGACTTAAATGGCAGTTACCACAAATGACTCCCTTTTCCTTCTGGAGAGGGCGTGGGCAGGTGTATATATGAAAACTTCCACCCTTCTCCACCGCCCGTTCAGTGTGGCCCAGGCACCAAAGGAATCTTCCGGAAAAAAATTTTCCCTCAGAATGATTATGACTAAAATGGCTTTCTGGAAACCAATTAGTAAAACTTTGAATCTACGAGAATCAAGGAGACTGGCAGGGAGAGACCAGGATTAAAGTCTTGGTGAGGTCCCAGCTAAGTTTAGTGGGGACAGAGTCACACCCACGTTTGGCAGCCTTCTCCCTGCATGTTCTGGGAGTGGAGTGGAAAGCCTGATCTCAGTTGACATTATTATTTTTATCTCTCTCTCTCTCTTTTAGATTTCTTTTTATTGTTTGTTTATTTATTTATTTATTTTTGAGACAGTCTCACTCTGTTCCCCAGGCTGGAGTACAGTGGCACAGTCTTGGCTCACTGCAACCTCTACCTCCCAGGTCCTAGCGGTTCTCGTGCCTCAGTCTCCCATGCAGCTGGGACTACAGGCGTGTGCCACCATGCCCAGCTAATTTTTGTATTTTCAGTAGAGACGAGGTTTTGCCATGTTGCTCAGGCTGGTCTTGAACTCCTGGCCTCAAGTGATCCACCTGCCTCCGTCTCTCGAAATGCTGGGATTATAAGCATGAGCCACTGCGCCTGGACTGTTTTTATTTCTCTTGACTCACTGAAGTGCTTTGCAGAACAGCTACTGGCCTAAACTGAAACCCCTGAGTCTTGAACAAACTTAAATTTTATAGCCCCAATCCAGCAGGAACATCACTGGGGAAGTTGTCATTTAATATCCTGTTCTGATGCCCCTATTGCCACCAGCAGATCTGCCACCAGATTGTTCAAGCCCCTGCCTAGGCCTCCCTGGCTTTACCTCTGCCCCTTGTACCATTCTGTGTGGTTGCAGGTATGGCAGTACTGAAGTATGCTGCTCACACCTCATCTAGACCTAGGCAGAGCTTCGGCTCACCAGGCTGGCACAGAGCTGGCTTGCCAAAACTGTTTGAACTACATTACATTTTTTTTCTAATTGGCAAAGTTCAGAAAGTTTTGTAACTTGCTGTGTTAGCAAAGCACACGTGTTGCTGGTGGGGGCACAGAGCAGAACAACCTCAGTGAGTGGCAAGTGATGGTATCTATTGAAGTTAAACACGCACACACCACTGCACCCGGCAAATTCCACGGGAGCAAGAGTTAGCACCTAGAGAGCATTTGCACACACTAGGTGCTGTTTCCAACACCATACAGATAGGAATTCATTTAGACCTCACAAAGACCCTCTGGAGTAGATACTATCATTATCCTTGGTGTATAAATGAGAATGGTGAAGCAAAGAGACATTAAATTATTTGTCCAAGATTATCCAGCCAGTAAGAACCCAGGTGTCTGGTTCAGGGGTGAGCTTGCTTAACTACTATACTATATTATATCCCTCTATGGTGCTATCCATTGAAGTATTATCTATAATAGAGAAATATTAAAACAATCTAAATGTCAATCATAAGGGAATGGTTAAATATAATATGGTTTTTCTGTACAAGGGAGAACTAGGTGGTTGGTTTGTTTTTAAAAAAATGACGCTAAAAGGGAAGTATACTGATATATTACAATCTCTAAGCTATAAAATTTAAGTTAAGAAAAGCAGAACTGGCCAGACGCAGTGGTTCATGTCTGTAATCCCAGCACTTTGGGAGGTGGAGGTGGGTGGATGGTTTGAGCCCAGGAGTTTGAGACCAGCCTGGACAGCATGATGAAGGCTCGTCTCTACAAAAAATTCAAAAATTAGCTGGGCATGGTCGTGGGCACCTGTAGTCCCAGCCACTCAGGAGTCTAGGCAGGAGGATTGCTTGAGCCCAGGAAATCGAGGATTGCAGTGAGCCAGGACTGCACTCCACCCTGGGTAGCAGAACAAGACCCAGTCTCAAGAATAATAATAATAATAGTAATTACTATTATATTATAGTATAAAATAATTATATATAAAATAATTATATATAAAATAATTATATAATAAAATATAATATAAAATAAAATAATTATATATAAAATAGTTATATAAAAAATAATAATATAATTACTATTATTATTATTATTATTCATGAGAGTATCCTATCATTTATAGAAAAAACTCCATAATTATGCCTGTATATACACTATACCTCTGAAAGGATACATAAGAAGAGAGAAAATAAAACACAACAAGTAGTTTTTCCTGGGATAGGGAACTCAGCAGGAAGAAGGAAGATGCTTTCCAATGTATACCTTTATATACCATTTGAGTTCTGTACCATATATGTGGATTGCTTATTTGAAAAGAGGCCCGCATTTGAAAGAACAAACAATATCTGCAAAATGCCTAATAGAAAACAGCACCAGATATTTAAGCTGTTACTAAATGTCCACATTGTTTTCCAGCTATTTGTTTATGCACACTTCTCCCTCTAGCATCCAGCTCAGAGGCTGGCACATGCCAGGTATTGCACACATGACTGCAGAATGAATGAATAACGTGCATATTGAGTTGAATCAAATGAAACTGATATTTGTCGAGGTTCTTGCTGCAACTCTATAGAGGAGGCATCTGCACTTCCCTCTAGAAACCGAACTCATTCACTATTCACAACAGCAAAGACATGAAATCAACCCAAATGCCCATCAATGATAGACTGAATAAAGAAAATGTGGTACATATACACCACCATGGAATACTATGCAGCCATAAAAAGGAATGAGATATGTCCTTTGCAGGGACATGGATGAAGCTGGAAGCCATTATCCTCAGCAAACTAACACACGAACAGAAAACCAAACACCATATGTTCTCACTTATAAGTGGGAGCTGAGCAATGAGAACACATGGATGCAGGGAGGGGGAAAAACACTCACTGGGGCCTGTTGAGGGAGGGTGTTGGGTTGAGGAGAGCATTAGGGAAAAGATCTAATACATGCTGGGCTTAAGACCTAAGTGATGGGTTGATAGGTACAGCAAACCACCATGGCACATGTTTACCTTTGTAACAAACCTATTCATCCTGCACATGTACCCTGGAACTTAAAAAAAAAAAAAAAAAAAAGAAACCGAACTCATTGAAAGACAACATTCTAGATTAAGAAGGCTGAGGAGGGCTGGGCAGGTTGGCTCACACCTGTAATCCCAGCACTTTGGGAGGCCGAGGCAGGCGGATCATGAGGTCAGGAGTTCGAGACTAGCCTGACCAATATGGTGAAACCTCATCTCTACTAAAAATACAAAAATTAGTCGGGCGTGGTGGTGTGCGCCTATAGTCCCAGCTACTTGGGAGGCTGAGGCAGAAGAATCGCTTGAACCCGGGAGGTGGAGTTTGCAGTGAGCCGAGATCATGCCATTGCACTCCAGCCTGGGTGACACTGGGTGACAAAGTGAGACTCTGTCTCAAAAAAAAAAAAAAAAAAAAAGACTGAGGAGTTTCCTGGTGAACCAACCCATGGTTCCCAACAGGCACTTGTATTCTGGACTTCTTCAGGACTTGCTTTTTTAGCTACAGAGGTGGTTCTCAACTGGGGATAATTTTGTCCCCTGGAGACATTTTTGGTTGGAAAGGTACTACTGGCATCTCGTGGGTAAAGGCCAAGGATGCTGCTATACATCCTGCAGCACACAGCATAGCTCCACACACCCCGCCAAAACAAAGAATTATCCAACCCCAGAGTCAAGTGCTGAAGTTGAGCTGTGGTGATAGCACCGGCTCATGGACATCGTGACCATGACTGGTAGACTCAGGTCATCAGCCCTGGAACATACCTAGAATTTCTATGTGTTTATTTCCCTAAAACACAGCCTGCTCTACAATCTTCCTGAACTGCATTTTTTTATTCAGTCTCCAGCTTACCACCTTATTTCAGATTTAATCTCATCAAGAAGGATACCAGCCAACTCCGGTCCATCTCCCTGCCACAGTCACTTTGAGGAGCTAAGAAATACTTGAGTATCTCAGGACAACCTTTCTGGGAAACCCCACAGGGCGCTGGTGAAAGGTGCAGCTGTCTCTGGGGCCAAAAGTTCTCTGGAATGCTAGCTCATGAGACTGATTCTTGAGAAACTGAGGGAGAATGAAAATGTCTGCACATCCCTCAGGCAGAAATCTTCTGAAAGGAGAGGGACAGCCTCAGATCAGGAAGGGGCAAGCCCTGTGGATGAGGGTGCCTCTGCTCCTTTAGGCTTGTCCTCCAGGCTTACATGGGGGCAACAGGGCTGCTCAAGGATTCTCCCTTAATCTGGGTGTCAGAGGAGGAAGGAGGAAATCCAGGGAGTCCTGGCTGCTCCCCTTAACCCAATGACAGCTGGAGTCTGTTTTATCTGGAAGGCATCCTGGGCATGTGCTGCTCTTATGGAGAGAGGAGGGGATCAGAGCCAGTAGTTCCATCCTGTTTTGGCTATTTACCTGCCTGTGACTGTGGGCAGGTCACCTGCCCTCACCTTCAGTTTTCTCTTCTATAACATGGGTGCCTTACAGGGTTGTTGGAAAATTCCAATGAAGCTGAGCATGCTGGCTCATGCCTGTAATCCCAGCCCTTTGGGAGGCCAAGAAAGGAGGATCACCTGAGGTCAGGAGTTCGAGACTAGCCTGGCTAACATGGTGAAACACTGTTTCTACAAAAAATAGAAAAATTAGCTGGGCCTGGTGGCATGCACATGAGGTCCCAGCTACTCGGGAGGCTGAGGTGGGAGGATCACTTAAGGCCAGGAGGTTGAGGCTGCGTGAGCTGTGACTGCACCACTGCACTGCAGCCTGGGCAACAGAGAAAGACCCTGTCTCAAAAACAAAAAAACTCCAGTGAAGTCAAAGATGAGAACAGTGCTCTATGACTGACCAGTTCACATACAAATGTTAATTATTATTTAAATCCACAGTCACTAGATTTTGGCTCATTTTTGCCCTGGTGAATATGTGGTTGAGTGGGGGTTATCTCAGAGGAGTATGCCATGGGGGCTGTTGGCAGGACCGGGGCCTGAGCCCTGGAAGATGGGGGTCATGGGAGAGAAACTGCAGTTCCTGAGGACACTCGTGTACACAGAAATGGGTAAACAAGAGACTGGTGAGACTGATGTGGTAAGATTCAGACTGACCCATGTAGTGTTTTCCCTCCTGGAGTTTGAAATGGCCTGAAAATTGTAGGCAACAATCAAATAAGTGAAATTGAAGGCCGTGAGTTTTTTATGGCTCTCTTGCTGCTGAAACAGGAATTAAGAGGGTTATTCAAGCCAGGGTACTCAAGCGCCCACTTCAGGGAGATTATTTATATTGCTGACATGGTACAACAAATGTTCACTGAGTGCCTATCTTGTGGGTTAGGCTGTGTCCCTAAGAAGATATGCTGAAGTCTTAAGCCCCTGTACCTATGAATGTGATCTTATTTGGAAATAGGATCTCTGCAGATGCAATTAGTTACGATGAGGTCATGCTGTAGTAGAGTGGGCCCTAAAGCCAGTGACTGGTGTCTTTATAAGAAGGCTGTGTGAAGGCACAAAGACTCAGAGACAAGGGGAAAGAGGCCGTGTGATGACAGAGGCAGAGATCGGAGTGACGTGTTTGCAAGGAAGACTTGGCCAAGGAACAAAAGGACTGCCCAGCAACCACCAGAGGCGAGGGGAGCCGCACAGACCAGGTTCTCACTCGCAGCCTCCAAAATAAGCCAACACCTTGATTTCAGACCTCTGGCCTCCAGAACCGTGAGAGAGTACATTTCCATGGCTGAAGCCACCAAGTACATGGTCATTCGTTATGGTGATCCTAGAGAACAATCCAACCCACCGTGAGCCAGACAGAGACAAACAGGAACCAGTTTCTACCCTCAAGCGGCGTCCCTGAAACGGCAGGTTCACGGACAAGGGCTGTTGTGAGAGTAAATGAGATCATGGCTGTGGAGGCAGACAGCCGGGGCAAGAGAGGGGCTTTTATGACTACTACTGGGGTTCGTGCTGGGCAGAATCAAAGGCCCTGCTCGAGTTGAGTGCGCCCTTTATCCTCCAGGCAGGCTGCTCTCAGAGAGAGAGCGGAGACTCATCTGACAGGCCTTATTCTCTTTCAAACCATGCAGATAATTAGTCAGACTTCTATTTCCTTCGTGGTTTCTGTGAATGGATTTTGTGGTGATTTTTTTTTTTTCCGGGCATTTTGGCAGTGTCGAGGAGAGATGTAAAAGAGCCCATTAACATCAGCATGTGTTACTGGGGACACTGAAAGGCTGAGACCGAGAAAAGAAATATCTTTAATTAAATCTGACAAAGCTGGAGGTTACCTGGGTCTCCAGAATGCTGCAGTGCTGGCGGCCTAATTCCTGGGGACTTTCCTCAGCTCCTGTGGGGCGTGTCTTATTTTGTTGGATAAATTCTTCCAGCCTTAAAACCTAAAACAGGAGATAAGAAACACCACACAATGAAACCAGGTTCTACCTCCTCGATACAGTCATTCATCCGGGAATCAATTCTCCTGGGTCAGTCTGTTCTGGGGAGAGTGCCCCATTAGACAAATTCTACACACACTTCTAGAAATGCCTTTTTTTTTTTTTTTTTTTTTTTTTTTCTGATCCAGGGTCTTGCTCTGTCACCCAGGCTGGAGTGCAGTGGCACAATCTTGGCTTACTGCAACCTCCACCTCCCGGGTTCAAGTGATTCTCCTGCCTCAGCCTCCTGAGTAGCTGGGACTACAGGTATGCACCACCACGCCCAGCTAATTTTTTGTATTTTTAGTAGAAACGGGGTTTCACCATGTTGCCCAGCCTGGTCTCAAACTCCTGACCTTAAGCGATCCGCCTGCCTCGGCCTCCAAAAGGGCTGGGATTATAGGCGTAAGCCACTGTGCCCGGCCTAGAAATGCCATTTCTAATGAGCTAGTTGCTTGGTCTTTCCAGAAGAAAATGTGCCCAGTAGGTTTATAGTATTCCACACTTTCCTTAAATTATTTACATAGATATTTCTATACTCGATCTGTAGGGTGGCTTTAATACCATTCCTGGAAGGCCACTCAATTTCTTTTGAAAACAAAACAAAAAAGTTAATTGGTAAAGAAAATGAACAACATTTAAGAATTATATAGGTAAAATGAGAAAAGAGTGGTTGGGGGTGCTCTAAAAGTGTAAGGCCTTAATTATGATGATGATTAACCAACTAATTGTAATATTTGAATTAAACAGACAGATTTCCCCTAGACTTTGAGGAGAATGAGGCCAAAAAACATAAAGGAAACTTTGACTTTCCTCAAAATTTTCTAGAAACCTTAATACTAGTTAGGCACCATGCTAGGTACAAGGAGGGATGGGGAAGGGACAGAGTGAGAGCAAGATAGTAAAATCATAAAGCTTGGTCCCTGCCTTTAAGGAGCTGTCATTTTATGAGGGAGATAGATAAATGTTTATAACCCCAATGACACTCAGTAGAGATATGTACAAAATAATAAGAGCACCTCCTTAATGGTCCATTTGCTCTGTGCCACCCAGGAATCTAAGCCTTTTTTAAAAAAATTATTTTCTTTTTTAAAAAATTGAGATGGGATCTTGCTATGTTGCCCAGGCTGGTCTCAAACTCCTAGGCTCAAGAGATCCTCCCACCTCAGCCTCCCAAAGTGCTGAGATTATAGGGATGAACCACTACACCCAGCCAGGAACCTCTACAGTATTAACTCTTTTAATCCTCACAACAGCCTTTATAAGGTAGGCACTACTGCACAGAATTTACAGCAATAGGGCCGGGTGTGGTGGCTTATGCCTGTAATCCCAGAACTTTGGGAGGCCGAGGTGGACAGATCACCTGAGGTCAGGAGTTTGAGACCTGTCTGGCCAACATGGCGAAACCCCATCTCTACTAAAAATACACAATTAGCTGGGCCTGTTGGTGCGTGCCTGTAATCCCAGCTACTTGGGAGGCTGAGGCAGAAGAATTGCTTGAACCTGAGAGGCGGAGGTTACAGTGAACCAAGATTGCACCATTGCACTCCAGCCTGGGTGACAGAACGAGACTCCGTCTCAAAAAAAAAAAAAAAAGAATTTACAACAATAAACTCTGCCCAGGGGCATTCAAGCAGCTTAAGGGCACTGAAGGATGAACAGGAGTCTGCCATTGGTGAAGGTGGGATAGTGCATTCCAGACAGCAGAAACAGCAGGTGTAGTGGTAGAGGGCGGGTGGGGTAGATGTGAGGACTGAAGAAAGAGTCCATGTTGGAGGGGCCAGAGTGAAGGACGGGACAGAGGCAGCAGAGCCTTGGAGGATAGTGGTAGCAAGTGAGGTTCGGCCCAAATTGTGAAGAAGATGGGGATTCAAGATTTTAGGAAGGGAGGAGTGGGGCTTTGAGCAGATTTGGATTTTAGAACATGAGTTCTGGGAGTAGCTGGCCTAGAGAGAACGTGGAGGCAGAAAGATCCATGGCAACGCTCTTGCAAGACTCTAGCAACATTGCAGGGGAACAGCAAGGCTATCGGAAAGTCCTTCCAGACTTTCCATAAGGAATATTAGAGAAAGAGATATTTCAAGATTATAAAACTATGCTTAAACTGCGTCTTGCTAAGGTTTATGAAATATTCAGAGGAGCTGGTGCAATTGTTTATGTAACATCTACAAGTGGGGAAAGAGTCTAGGCAAGTCATTCCAAGGATCTTGTTCAAGGCATAGGTGTGGAGACAAGGGAGGGGACAGAAAGGCTTAAGGCGTAGGACCCACAGGACTTGACAAGGATCGGGTGTGATGATAGGGCAGGATTGTGACTAGGGGTGAGGATGGGAGAGCTGGGAGAAGAGACTATGATCAAGGATGACACTTTCATTTCTAGCTTTGGTAAGGTGGGGACAGATTGTAGCATCATTTAGGGGGTAGGAGGAGTCAAGAATGGAGAGCAAGACTGAGGCCCTTTGTCAATGGTCAACCTCTTGGTCATGACTTGCAACTGAATGTAAACATTCAGGTTCTGAGTGACCCTTAGTCATCAAAGAGGCAACATACCATACTAGAGGCAGTATTAGCTTAGCGGTTAAGGGTGGGGTCATTAGAGCCACATTACCTGGGTTTGAATCCCAGACCTGCTACTTGTTAGCTATGCAATGTTGGGAAAGTGATTTACCTTCTCTGTGCCTCAGTTGTGTCATTTGTATATAGAGATGATAATAGCACCTACATGGTAAAGTTGTTATGAGGATTAAAATAGTAAATGTAAACTTCTTAGATAGTATCTTGACTAGAGCAAGTGCTCCACAAAGCTAGCCATTATTGTTTTTAAAAAAAGAGCTCTGGGCTGGGCACGGTGGCTCACGCCTGTAATCCCAGCACTTCGGGAGGCAGAGATGGGTGGATCACCTGAGCTCAGGAGTTCGCGACCAGCCTGGGCAACACGGTGAAACCCCGTCTTTACTAAAATGCAAAAAATTAGCCTGGTGTGGTGGCATGCGCCTGTAATTCCAGCTAGTTGGGAGGCTGAGGCAGGAGAATTGCTTGAACCCAGGAGGTGGAGGTTGCAGTGAGCTGAGATCACGCCAATGCACTCCAGCCTGGGCGATAGAGTGAGATTCCATCTCAAAAAAAAAAAAAAAAAGAAAGGAAAAAAAAGAGCTCTAAGGCACATTCACAGAAATAGGTCAGGGCCCAGGCTTCCCTGACCTGTGTTATTCAAAAGAATGACTGGGCCTGTAATCCCAGCACTTTGGGAGGCCAAGGCAGGCAGATCACGAGGTCAAGAGACTGAGACCATCCTGGCCAACATGGTGAAACCCCATCTCCACCAAAAATACAAAAATTAGCCAGGCGTGGTGGCAGGCACCTGTAATCCCAGCTACTCAGGAGGCTGAGACAGGAGAATCGCTTGAACCCGGGAGGCGGAGGTTGCAGTGAGCTGAGATTGCGCCACTGCACTCCAGTCGGGCAACAGAGCGAGACTCCGTCTCAAAAAAAAAAAAAAAAGAATAACTGGGCTGGTCTCATACATGTACAGGCCACCTTAAGCTCTGCAGTGAGGAGTGGTCCATGTACAACATGAAGACTGGCAGTGTATCTTCAACAGGGCGAGAGGAAGAGATGGAGGGAGGGAGAAGTGAAGGAGGAGGGAGTGAGGGAAAGGCAGAAGGAAGGGAGGACAGCAGGGAAGAAAGGAGGAAGGATAGAGAAAGGCTTCTTTGCTGTGCAGCCCCACCTTGGTCTGGGCCAGAACAGAAGCCTCTATCCCAGAACTTTTCACCAAGACCCACCTCTAGACCCTGAAATATCAACTCTAAGGAAAGACATACTCATCATTTTTTAAAATAATGATTTTAGAAATAGAAGGAGTTAGAGAAACATCACACCTGTGTACTTATCACTCAGCTAAAGAAATAACATGTCACAAATACAGCTGCAGCTCCTTACAGTCTCTCCCTTCTAGAGATAACCACTGGTCCTCATGCCTTGTTTAGATTGACCTCTTGGATATTCCTAAACAATCGATACTGTTTTGCGCATGGCCTTTGTGTTCTTAAAAATTCCCTAGAGGTTGTGATGTACAGCCAGGGCTGAGGAACTGGTTTCATGGGTTCCTGAAGCAGGTGGGAGACACAGGTCTCATGTGGAAGGTTTGAGGGAGGACAGGGGAAGGAAGGAAACTTGTTGACATTTTTTTGGTTTAAGCAGGCTCAGAAATGGCTCTTAGGATTCTGTTTCTAGCCTTTTCCACTAGTTCTTTGATACTTTTAGGGGCCCACGAAAATGTGTTAATTTCTTTTAAAATCAGAAAAAAGTATAGTCTGGATGATATTCATCTTTCTACCAATGCAGTCATAAAATATAAATTTTTAATATTTTTTAATAAAGGAAGGGCCTAGAAAGGCAAAATTGCTAAGAGCCCACAAAGGGGCGAATGTAACCCTGGGGAAGGAAAGGCAGGGGAACTGCAGGCTACCCACTTGTGCCTTCATGAAGCCACAGAACCAACACCAGCGGCCTCCTGTGTCCTTCTCTTATTTGAGACATTAAAAGCCTCTTTGTTTAAGCATCTCTAATCTGGCTCTCTGTTACTTGCAGCTAAATGCACGCCCCCCGAGACAGCCTGCCTGTCTGGCTGAGTGTCCTTTTCTGTCTTCCAAAATTCTTGGCTTCTCAGTTAGGTAGAAGCTCCCAGGGACCAGAAACAGCACCCCAAGGCTTGCATTTGGTCAGGGCTCACCTCAAGCAGAGAATTCTGAAGCTTCACATTGAGGGCTGCTTTCTCTTCTTCCAGCTGCTTTATCTCCTTTTCTGATTTCTTCCTCACTTCCTCCAACTGTGCTTCTACTTCCTAAATGATGATTGGAAGAGTTAACCATACAAGGCACGAAAACAGGACACTTAATGTTTTCACACCCTGCCTTATTCCCAGAGATCAAAGAAGCTTATGAGTGTCATACAACACTGCAAATAAACATAAATTAGACATACACGAGAAGGTCAAAAGAAAACACGTGTTAACGTCACAACACAAAGCCTGATATATATAGGGGTGGGGCGGGGCAAATTGTTGTCTTTAAGTTTTCTAGTGTCAAATAAAAAAATGCTCATTACTAACAAAATTCTCAGTGTCACATTCATTACTAACAAACTTGTCAGTGTCACATAAGTAAAAAAGCCAACTACATTTTCGGATGCAGGGAAATAGGAAAAGCAGTACAAAATTTCTTCTCAACAGCATCCATACATGAGTCAAAATGGTGTGGTTAGCCGGGTATGGTGGCTCACGCCTGTAATCCCAGCACTTTAGGAGGCTGAGGCAAGTGGATTGCTTGAGTCCGGGGGTTCGAGACCAGCCCGAGCAACATAGTGAGATGGTGTCTCTATTTTAAAAACAAATACATAAATAAAATAAAATAAATGATGGGATTCCCAGGGCCTATTGCTCCATGGTCCCTCACCACAGCCCATGAGCCTCAGTGCAAAGCAGATCCAGGTGAAGGAACATTCTGGGGACCACATGAGCGGTGCAGTTACGTTCCAGCTGTGTCATCTCGAGCACATTTCCTACATTTCCTAACCTCTCAGTGACTCACTGTGCTACTCACTTGCTCCCTGCCACTCCAGGTACATAGTAAAGGATTGGTAGATGACAAGCACTAATATAATTCTCATAGAGGGGCCAGGCGCGGTGGCTGACGCCTGTAATCCCAGCACTTTGGGAGGCCGAGGTGGGTGGATCACGAGGTCAGCAGATCGAGACCATCCTGGCTAACACAGTGAAACCCCGTCTCCACTAAAAATACAAAAAACTAGCCAGGTGTGGTGGTGGGTGCCTGTAGTCCCAGCTACTCGGGAGGCTGAGGCAGGAGAATGGTGTGAACCCAGGAGGGGGAGCTTGTAGTGAGCCGAGATGGTGCCACTGCACTCCAGCCTGGGTGACAGAGCAAGACTCCATCTCAAAAAAAAAAAAAAATTGTCATAGAGACCTAGGCTTTCTGTTCTAGCTTAATTTCTGTGGAAATTGTGCAAGTATCTAGAGGAGTGAATGAGATAGTCTGTTCCTCTTAGCTGAACTTTAGGTAGACATTGTGTTACTCATTCATTCAACAAATATTTCTTGAGATCTACTATGTGCCAGGCACTGTCCTCAGAGCTGGGGAGATAAAAGGGAGAATTCCTACACACCAGGAGCTGACATTTGAGTGAAAAAGACAGGCAGCAATCAAAGTCCATGAGCTAACAAGACGGCAAACACTAGGTTGGATGGAGAAATAATAAAGCTGGGAGGGGGCTCTGCAGTGTTGGGGAAGGGCTGAAATGTTAGACAACTTGGCCAGAGAAGTGCTCCAGAAAGTGACTTTAGAGTAAAATCCTGTAATAAGTGAGGGAGTTCACCAAGGAGATATCTGTGTGTGAGGTTTCCAGGACCTGCAAAGGCCCTGGAATGTTCTAAGGACAGAGAGGAGCTGCCATGGCTAGACTAGATGAGGTTTGAGGAGCACCATCTGAGGCCTCAAGCATCAAGGTAAGACTAACCAGTGAGGAGTGACGTGGTTGCAATTATATTTGGATAAGCTGGCTACTGTTTTTCTTTGTTGTTTTTTTTTTTTCTGAGACAGGGTCTCGCTCTGTCACCCAGACTGGATGGAGTACAATAGCACAATCATGGCTCACTGCACCCTTGACCACCCGGGCTCAAGCAATCCTCCTACCTCAGCCTCTGAAGTAGCTGAGACTACAGGTGCATGCCACCATGCCCAGCTAATTTAAAAAAAAATTTTTTTAGAGATGGGGTCTTGCTATGTAGCCCAGGCTGGTCTTGAACTCCTAAACTCCAGCGATCCTCCCACTTTCACCTCTCAAAGTGCTAGGATTACATGCATGAGCCACCATGCCCAGCTTCACTACGGCTTCCTTCTTGAGTACAGACTGATGTGGGTGGAGGCATTGGGTGAGAGCAGTGGCAGGCAGGCCTGGGAGGAGGCTGTGGTGGTAACTGAGGTAAGAGTGATGGTGGCTGGGCCTGTGGTGGCAGTGCAGCTGGGAGGAGGGGTAGAACTTGGGATATATGTGGAATGTTGAGTGACAGGACTCACTGAAAGGAGAGGTCAGGATGACACTAGGAGAGAATGGTGCCGCCATGAACTGAGGTGGGGAAGACAGGAGTGGATTCAGGGACCATCTGAGGAGCTTGTCTGCATGTGTCAAGCTTGATACATCTGTTAGATGTCTAATTAGATAGATAGAGGGTCTGGAATTCAGGGGAGGGTTCTGGGTTGGAGTATGCATTTGAGAACCATCAACATACAGAATGTATAGAGGCATGCATTTGAATGAGAAAAGCTAGGGAGAGAACATGAAGGAAAATATAAGACATTAAAGAACCAAGCCCTCGGACACTCCAAAATTTCCTGTGAATTAGAGGTTACAATATCCAGCAGGTATTTGTAGAGCAGCTCTCCTAGGCTGTCAGTTGATTATAGACCTGTAGATCTAATGGACATGATAACAGTAGCTGACATTTGCTGAGTACATGCCATTTGCTGGCACTTTACACAGATCATCTCTCTGGTCTTTGTGAAAGCAGTATGACTTAGGTACTACCACTAAGCCTTATTGTAAAGATAAAGAAATGAAACTTAAAGAGGTTAAACGCCTTGCCCAGGGTCAAGATTTGAACTCAGGAAAGCCTGATTGGTTGACTGTGCTTCTTCCCTGCCTTCTTAAGGAAAATTTAGTTCCTAGTACAGAAAAATGCTTGACTGTGTGAGTACAGAGGTTGTCATGTATCGGACAACAGCATCACTAGGCTGAGCAGAGAAGACTTGTAGGAAAACCCATGTTTAAGCTAGACTGGAAGGATCATTAAGAACCGGACGGGACCAGGCAGGTAAATGTGGAAGCAGGGAGAAAGTACTCTTCATCAAGATAAAGAACATGGAATGAAAGATGAACTAAAAGGCTGGAACCATCGAGTGTGCTCACGCCTATAATCCCAACACTTTGGGAGAATGAGGCAGGAGAATTGTTTGAAGCCAGGAGTTTGAGACTAGCCTTGGCAACACAGCGAGACGCTATCTCTACGAAATTTTTAAAAAATTAGCTGGGCTTGTTGGCATGTACCTGTAGTCTTAGCTACTCAGGGGGCCGAGGCAGGAGGATCACTTTAGCCCAGGAGTTCGAGGCTGCAGTGAGCCATGATCGCATCACTGTATTCCAGCCTGCATGTCAAAGCAAGACCTTGTCTCTAAATGAATGAATGAATGAATAAATAAATAAATAAATAAATAAATAGTAAAAGGGTGGAGGGCAGAGTTGGACAGGGGAGAGGTGTGGGATGAGGTAGAAGAGAGCAATCAGGAGTGTGCCTCTGTAGGGTCTTAAGAACCATGTTAAGGAATTGGAACTATTTAATACATTATAACGATGATAGGGAGTGATTGGAGAGTTTGAAACCAAGGTTGAATTTCCAGAAGTTTCCACTGCAATGAAGATTAGATTACATGAAGTGGGGAGACTGGAGGCAGGGAAATCATCGCACAGTCCATCATGAAATGGAGGTTGACTGGATCAGCATGGTACCACTGAGGAGAGAGGGAAGTGGAGGAATTCCACAGTCATTGAAGAAGCAGAATTAATACATTTGATGGATGACTGAATGTGAGGGGTGAGAAAGGGATCATGTTTGACTCCTGAGTTTCCAAGTTGAACATCTGAAAAGATACTGCTGCTGATCACCTGCATGATACCTTTATACTTCCTATGGGGCCAAGCCCAGCCTAGGCCAGTGACTCTGGGGAGGCCCTTAGCATTTTTCCTGGGGTCAGTCACTTAAAAGAGAAGAAAAAAAAACCCTGGATATTTAGCATGTGTATAGTCTCTGTTCAGTAAATCTATGATCCCCTTTTGCAGGGCTTGTTGTTTCTGAGAGCTCATTTTCTAAACACAGTATGTAAATTCTCCTTTGGTTTCAAACAAGTTCAGGTAACTTAAGCAATCATCAGCAGCAAGGCCATCCCTTCAACAAAAATTCATTATCTTTACTTCATTAATTAGCTTCTCATCCATAGAAGCTTTTATTGAACAGAAGTTTTGTTTAACATGCTTTAATAAAGAAGACACTCACTAACATTGCCAAGATGTGTTCACTGTAACAGCACAGTGACAATCACCTGTGATAATAATTTTTAGCATAAAGGAATGGCTATTTCTAATTTTACGTAGCTTAACTTCGCAGTCTACAAGTGATTAATCATAGCTTCAGCTGTAACCTTGACAAATGAACCTAATGTGAAAAAAAATTCTCCCTCAGATGGAAATAATCAATTTCAGCAGTAATTTTTGGCATTACTAAGCTTCATGTTGGGTGCAAAATAATGTGGTTTGCTTTCAGAAAACAAACAGTTCTGGGTCACTGGAGAACACAGATTTGAAAGAAGCATGCCCAGTCCAGCTCAGCCCAAAGTGACCTTGAAGATTTCAACAGGAAAATTCCCTTAACTCAGGTAAAGAGAAAAAAAAAAACAAACAAAAAAACAATAACAAAGACAAGGATATTGAGAAAAAAGGAGACTAATGCTCTCAGATATTTAAACTGCTTCAGCCCAAACCTGGAAGACTGTTTCATGGGCCATTAATTTATAGAATTCACAGAGCATTTTCATAAACTCTATTCTCACTGAACTTTCAGATACCCAGGAAAACAGGTTTTATGGCACCCATTTTACACAGAGGAAATCCCACTGCTGATAAGACGTAGATACAGGACTCACACTCATTTTCTGTTTCTTTGTCCAGATTGTCTACAATTACAGGTAATTAAGGAAAAGAGATGTAAAAGTGCCACTGTAAGGGAACAACTGAGCAATCACCGAAAATTACCATGTAGAGATTTCAGTTGGCGTATTACGAGAAAACTTGTTAACTTTTTTCAAAAAGAAAAGTTAATTATTTGGTATATATTTAAAGTTCATGATGCAGCTGAAAGAGTCAACCAGTACAAGGCCTTAAATAATCACTCAGAACCAGTCATTAGCAATAATACCAACACTGATACTAATCAATACATGGGAGACCCCATGAAGTGTCCCAACTCAGTAGTAGGGCTTAACTAGAGTTAGAGAAAATTCTGCTCTAGACTCATCCTAACCAAGCTTAAAAATAAATCTGGAAAATTGAAAATGTTATGTTATGTATAATTTATCATAATAAAAATGTCTCACACAATGAAGCTGGTTCACAAGTAATTTAACTGCCTGTCAAAACAAAATTCAGCAAAGAGGACAACAAAAACTAGATGTTCAACAACTTAACATTCTCAATGTCCAGCATTCAATAAAAAATTACTAAATAGGCAAAGAAGCAGAAAAATGTGTCTCATAAAGAGCAGAATAAAAAAGACCCAAAAGTGACAGAGATGACAATGTTAAAGGAACATTTATAAATGTATTCAATAATTTAAAGGAAAACATGAAAATAATGAGGAGGGAGAAGGAAACTGTAAAGAAGAACAGAATGGAATTTCTAAGGCTAAAAATTATAATATCTAAAGTGAAAAATGTACTGAATGGGTTTTTAAAAAGATTAGATGGTACAGAAAGAAAGATGAGTAAACTTGAAGATACAGCAAGAGAAATTATCCAAACTGAAACAGAGAGACAAGGAATCTGAAAACGAAGAGAACCTCAATGACTTGTGGGACAATATTAGAAGAGAAGCAAGAGCAGGAAAAGAAATGGAAGAAATGGCCATAAAATTTCCAAATTTCATGAAAACTGTAAACTCATAGATTCAATGAGCCTATAACAAAAACACAAAGAAAATCACATCATGGCATATCATAACCAAATTGTTGAAAACTAGTGATAAAGAGAAAATCTTGAAAGCAGCCGATAAGAAGAAATATACTATGCACAAGGAAAAGAAGATAAATGTGGCTGTTAACTTTTCATTAGAATAAAATGCAAACCAAAAGATACTGAATGACATCTTTAAAGTGTTGAAAGAAAAAACAACTGTCAACCTAGAATTCTATATCCAGTAAAAATATCCAACAAAAATGAAGGAAAAATAGAGAAAGAAAATATGTTGTGAGTAGGAGTTGACACACGCTACAAGAAATGTTACAGGAAGTTCTTTAGGCTAAAGAAAAATAATACTATACAGGCACTTGAAGCCACCAAAGGAATGAAGACTGCAGAAATGGCAAACAAATGGGAAAATGACCCTTTTTTCTCATTAACTTTTTTTTCTCTAAAATATGGTTGTCCGTTTAAGCAAATATAAAAGCAATGTACTGTGGGATTTACAGCACGTGTAAAATAAAATACAATATATAACAACTATTGTACAAAGAACACAAAGGGTGAAATGAAAATGTATTATCATGAGGTTTGTATGTGTGAAGTAATGTATTTCAAGACAGACCAATAAATTTAAAGGTGCATATTCCAAATCCTACAGTAACCACTAGCTCTCCACTTTGCCAAAAGAGAGCATACCTAGTAAGTCAAAGGTGGAGCTAGAAAATGGAATACCCCCAAAATACTCAATGTATCCAAATTAAACGGGAAAAGGGGGTGGGGAACAGATGTGACAAGTAGGAAAAACAAGATGGTACACTTAATGATAATTACATTAAATGTGAATGGTCTGAATGTCCCCTAAAAGGCGGAGATTGTCAATCTGTATAAAAAAGGATCCAAGTATACCACAAAAGCACTTTTAATAGAAAGACACAGGTTAAAGTAAAAGGACAGATTAAAATAGACCAAGATACACTAACCGTAAACATGCTGGAATATACATATATTATCAGACAAAGCAGACTTCAGGACAAAAAATATTTCATAAATAATAAGAGTCAATTCATCAAGAAGACACAAGAATCCTAAATGTATATGCACAAATAAAAAGGTTTCAATTTACATGAAACAAAAACTGAGAACCAAAAGGAGAAATAGACAAATCTACAATTTTAATTTGAGATTTCAATCTTCCTCTCTCAGTGATCAACAGAACGAGCAGAGAAAAATCAGTAAGGACATAATAGACTTGAACAATACTATCAACAAACTTGACCTAATTAGCTTTTATAGAACACTCCACCCAACAGCAGCAGATTCAGATTCTTTTCAAGTACACATGAACCATTCATCTAGACAGACCACGTTTGGGCCAAAAACAAGCTGAAAAAATTTCAAAGGAATGAAATGACTGAATCTATTATCTAACCACAGGGGAACCAAATTAGAAATCAATAATAAAATGATATCTAGAAATGTCCCAAATAGTTGGACATTGAACAATATACTTCTAAATAACCAGGGTTATTTTGGAAATTGATAGAAATATGAAAAAAAAATCTGAGATTTTGGTGGTAGTAGCAAATAAAGAAAAAAATTTGAGAAAATATCATTAATATTTGTTATTTAAAATTAGAAAACAGAGGCCATAATGACATATGTCGAGGTGACATATTTAAGATTTGACAGTGAGACTGCTCTCCCCAGGCACAGTGCTTATTACACACTGACTTGACTCTGGTTGTTTGACTAGATCTTGTCCTCCCTACCAGATTGTTTGTTCCCTGAAGACATGGCTGATTCCTGTGTTCCTGCATTGCTCGAAACATAAATATGCATTCAGTCAATGGTAAATAAACAGTAGATGAATAACGGCAGAGCGAGGACCCGAATGTTATAATCTACGGCCCAGGGCAATGTATATTCTTTTATACACATAGACTGGTAGAGAGCAAGAATTACTGGCTATGGAGTCAGACAAGCCTGATTCATATCCAACTTTAGTTGTGTTCTACTCAAGTTACTTAATTTCCCAAGTTCCTTGTCTATGAAGTGGAAAAACAACAACAGAGCTGAGGTCAGGATCTGAATGCTGAGTGGAGAGTTGTCATTCATTTTGGCTGCCAAAGATCTAGCCTCCCTTCCATTTGGATGTTTGAGAACCCTCCATCTGATGGATCAGAGCCCTCCTCTTATTATAGACCTGGAAAACACCAGACTGCCTGCAGCTTGAGCATGGGCACATGACTGAAGCTTCCCAGTCAGGCGCACCTATCCTGGATTGCAAATCACAGGCCATGATGTGGACAGTGGGAAGCACACAGAACTTGGCACCTGCAGTATCCAGGGGCAGCAGGGCCAGCTGTTCTAGAGCTGTACTGACCAACCGAACTTTCTGTGATGATGGAATGTTCCACAGTGTGACGTAGCTAATGTGCAGAAATCACATTTCTGTGTGATTTCTCAGACACTATGCTCAGACCTGTGCTGGCCAGTAGGGTAGCCACTGGCCATATATGACTAGGGAGCACTTGAAATGTGGCTAGTGCCACTGAGGAACTGAAATTTAAATTTTATTTGATTGTAATTAATTCAAATTTAAGTAACCACACATGTCTAGTGGCTTCCGTATTAGATAGCTCAGTCAGTTCTCCAGGCAATGCGCAGGGCCCAGTGTGGGTGGTGTTGGCTGTGTAAGCTGCAGGTCCAGGTTCAGAGGTGGCAGCATAGGTGTTCTAATTTGTTTTGCAATAGATTTGGGACATTATTCCTGGCTGGGTAGCTGCCAAGCCCAGTTCCTTGGTCTTCCATTACGCTTGTTAAATTCCTTTTCTGCCTAAACGCCCAGTTTGGTTTGTGATTCTTGTCACCAAGAATCCTAAGTGATACAAATGAGAATTGCAGAAGTGATTAGCACAGCTCAGGAGGTGCTGAATACATCATCTGCACCCCTTCCCTAGGAGTCAGTGTATGCAAATGCTAATTATAGGATGTGTACTGTGCTGTCCATCAAGATTCGGTGACAGTATCATCTAATCTGGGGTCAAGGAAGGCATCAAGGCCTACAGGTCAGCTCCAGCCCACCTCCTATAGTGTTTTCTTTAGGGTAGGGTAGCACTTAGGATACACAGTATACCTGCAGACAAGGGCTCAAAGAAATAGTGCACTCCTAACTCTACAGGGGAAAATGATATCTATTTTTAGTCCATAAACCCTAGATTGGAGGCCTCTTTAAGGTTTCACCTTTCCCAATCTGCATGGCCTAATTTAAATTCTCAGTTCTTGGAAACGAACAAAATGTAAAACCAAAAAAACAAGTAAGTGCAACTTATTGTGACATGATTCATATCCCAGGTGGACTCATGCCCCCTATTAAGGCTGAAGTGAGATTTACACATTCAGGGTCAGGTGTGGCTGACAGGTTACCAGGGCAACCTGTAGTTCTGCGAGAGCATGCTGCGGTCCCTCCTGCTGCTTGTGGCCGGGGATGGAAAGAGTGTCCATCTGTTTGTCTGAGGATTAGATTTGTGCAACCAGTTGCAGCTCATGTGGAGAAAAAATGCTTTCAATACAGCTGCCTACCCAGTGTGAAGGTGGGGAAGCCACGGGCTCTGGAGTCAGGATATCAGATTTGAATTGCAGCTCCACCACTTAGCTGTGTGTGTTGATATATAACATCTTTGAGCTTCAGCTTCCTCAACTCTAAATGGGGATATGAACATTTTGTAATATTGTTGGAAAGACTAAATGTGTTCTAAAGTATGAGGTACTTTATAAAGTATAGTGGTCATGAAATAATATTATCACACATTATGTTACCCAATGCACATGGAAATTAACAATGAGACCTGGGCATGGTGGCGCATGCCTATAATCCCAGCATTTTGGGAGGCTAAGGTGGGAGGATCCCTTGAGTCCAGGAGTTCGAGACCAGCTGGGCAACATGGTGAGATCCCCATCTCTACAGAAAAATTTAAAAATTAGCCAGGCATGGTAGCATGCACCTGCAGCCCCAGTTACTCAGGAGACTGAGGTGGAAGGATCCCTTGAGCCCAGGAGGTTGAGGCTGCAGTGAGCCATGATCACACCAATGCACTCCAGCCTGGGCAAGAGAGAGAGACCCTGTCTCAAAAAAAAACAAAAAAAGAAATTAACAATACCTACCATATCTTGAACTTTCATTACATGTTTGCACTAAGGGTTTATATATACTATAATACCATATTTAATTTACATAATAAGCCCTTGAAGTATTTAGCCCTATTTTAGAAATCAGGCTTTAGGCCAGGCATGGTGGCTCACGCCTGTAATCCCAGCACTTTGGGAGGCCAAGGAGGGCGGATCACGAGGTCAAGAGATCTAGACCAACCTGGCCAACATGGTGAAACCCTGTCTCTACTAAAAATACAAAAATTAGCTGGGTGTGGTGGCACATGCCTGTGGTCCCAGCTACTTGGGAGGCTGAGGCAGGAGAATTGCTTGAACCCGGCAGGTGGAGGTTGCAGTGAGCCGAGATTGCGTCACTGCACTCCAGCCTGGTGACAGACCAAGACTCCGTTTCAAAAAAAAAAAAAGCAAAAAGCAAAAAAAGAAATCAGGCTGCCGAGAGGTTATATGACCTGTCTACAGTCACACAGCTTGTGTCAGGGTTAAGACTTAGATCCAAGACTAGTCTTGATCTTTCACCAGTTCATTTAACACATAATCTTGAGTATTTACTACTCGTAACCCCCACACAACAGTGCATGCCCCAGTGATACAGGATTATCTTTCAGTGGACACTCAAAGCTGGTACTGCAGAATCTTGGGCTATAAAGAGGCCTCCTTGTAATTAAACAAAGCATTCCACCTACATTCACAATGATATTGCTTCATACTTCCTTCTTTTCTGAAATCTTCACATATGTTACTTACTTATTCCAGCAAACACAAGAGACGAGGCTTTGCATGCCTTGCCAGCAGAAAGCCACCCTGTTTGGAGGGAGAGTGGAACAGCACACAGAGACAGAAATTTCCCTCACTTTGGCATGCTGCTGATTAATCACCTGTATCGACCTGCTGCCCACGTGTCCTAGGCACTAGGATACGCCTTGTGTCTTCACGTGGTTCCTCATTAAATCCTTGCAGCTACTCTACAAGGTGCTATTATTGTCATCCTCCATTTTACAAATTAGGATCCTGAGGCATGTGGAATTGCCCTCTGTGGGGGCCCAGGTTAAATCACTTGAAGTGTGGTGATAGAGTGGGGAATTGGATCCAGGAACTCCTCCAGGCATGAATTTTTGGTTAATGGTATTTCTCTGTGTGTTTTTGCAGAGTAAGTAGAGTTGAATTTCCCTAAGTTCACCACTCGTGACACAATTCCACCCCATGTCAATGACTCCAGGCCTATAGGGGTGTCCCCCATCTCCTCCAAAAGACCCTGAACTCCCTTTGGAGAAGGCATAAGGAGCTGTGCTATCTATCATAACTGTATGTTTCATCTGTGTGTATTCAGAGAATAAGCTTACATTTGTACAGAGCAGGAGCTCAGTAAATGTTTGAGGAAGAAAAGAAGGAACAAAAAAGGAAAGAAAGGAGGTGGGAGAAAGAAAAAAGAACCAGAACAGTCTCTATGGAAGTAGGTCTCACCCTCTGCAGTTTCTTTCTTTCAGCCTCCACGGACGAGCGAACGGATTTGATTTCCACGGTGTGCTTCTTTACCAAGTCTTCTAGTCGCTTCACTAGCTGGTCTTTGAGATGTTTCTTCTCCTCTTCTGTCTGATGTTTGATTTTACGAAGGTCTTCTTCATATTGTTGCTTCATATATTCTGTCTCAGCACTTGCCTCTTTCTTGGTCTATAAAAAGAAAAAGGACCTTGTAAAACCACTGGGGAGGGGTGAGGAGCAAGGAATCACCATTTCCCTTTCATACAACTTTTACAACGTTTATACACTGTTTTTACAGCATGTAGCACAAGGTGCAATCAATTTTACAAGACTATATATTTGATGTTAGTAAAAGTCTCCACCACTGGAAAAGGGCTTTTTGCAATGGTGTGTCTATTATCATGAGATCAGATACTTCAGCCCATACTATGGTAGATTTTAAATAATGCTTTGCTTGTTTTGACTGGGAACATGCAATGAGATCCTAAGCCAGTTTCCAGTTTCCCAGAAGCCGATGATATAGCGTTGGGAGGATTCTGCTACAGTCTCAGTCTCCTGGTTTCCAGTAGCATGGAGTAGGCAGTAAGTTGGCTGGAATTCTACTCCAGGAACTACAGGGTCTTCTGATTCCAAGTGGATCCACTATGCTTGGGGACTGGCCTCTACCTGACGCTTATAATAGATAGCAAAGCTCTCTGTGCCTTCTCCATCCCCAGGGCTGGGTCAGACACTACCTGCATATCTGTGCCTCCTTTCATGCAAGGGCACTCCTTGAGACAGCTTTGATCCTGCTGAGGATGAAGATTGCCGGCTTCCAAGTCATTCTCTTCCCGCAGGACTTTGTTCTCTGAAACTAACTCAGTCTTCATGGCATCTGCAAGCATACATTTCAGCATTATTTGGAATGCTCTTGGCCATGGCCTCTTGTTCAAGGCTTTCTGCTGTCAGGCCCCCGTTCCGCTTTACAACCACTTTGTCCAACATCCCCTGTGTAATTCCTGCCCTGTGGTCTGCTGACCCCGAAGCATGGTCAAGGTAGCAATTCTCATCTCTTCTCAAGAAGCCTCGTGAGCTTAAATAACTGCCCTGCTCTACCTTCCTAAATAACCTCCAAATCTTTTTGACTGCAGTTTCTATAGGTTAAAAAAGTTGAGCATGTTTCAAATATGTTCTTTTAATAGGAATTTAAAGGATGAAACAAAAACCAATATTTAATATAAGCAGAATGACTAAGTTTTCCTCCCATATTCTCTGAAGTACTCATGTCCCACTTTTGAGACCTCTGCTCGAAACCCACAACACCTTTCTGGTTCCTGCAGAACCAGTACCTCCCCTTCTCTGCACCTTTCTGCTCCATGGTGGCATCTTTCCCATGCACGTTATTCGTCTGCTGCCTGGGCCATGTCTAGATACCAAAGCATGCTGTGGGCCGTAAGGTACAGGCCCATGAGCTCCCTGAAGGCAGCTCCCAGGTTTTGTGCCTTTGTTATATCTCCCAGTGTCAAGAGCTTTCTGTTGAGGGCCCTAGGGGAAGGCACTTAGAATCATGTATTTTTGGATACAAGCAAGAGCTCTGTCACCAACCAGTTGGCTGACCTTGAGCCAGCCACTTATCTTTTCTTGGTCTCATTTCTTCATCTGTAACATGAAAGATTGGCAATACTTTTTGGGCTGGGCGTGGTGGCTAACGCCTATAATCCCAGCACTTTGGGAGGCCAAGGTGAGGGGATCACTTGAGCCCCAAATTTCAAGACAATACTTTGTATTTAATTTAATTTTTTTTTTGAGAGGGAGTTTTGTTGCTATTGCCCAGGCTGGAGTGCAATGGCCCAGTCTTGGCTCACTGCAACCTCTGCCTCCAGGGCTCAAGTGAGTCCCCTTCCTCAGCCTCCCAAGTAGCTAGGATTACAGGCACCCCTCACTGTGCTTGGCTAATTTTCTTGTATTTTTAGTAGAGACAGGTTTATACCATGTTTGCCAGGCTGGTCTCGAACTCCTGATCTCAGGTTATCCACCTGCCTTGGCCTCCCAAAGTGCTGGGATTATAAGCATGAGCCACCATGCCTGGCCTGTATTTAATTTTTTAATTTTTATTTTTTCATAGAGATGGAGTCTCACTATGTTGCCCAGGCTGGTCTCAAAGTCCTGGGCTGAAGTAGCCCTCCCTCCTCAGCCTCCTAAAGTGTTGGGATTACAGGCATGAGCCACCATCAATCTGCCCAACCAGATTGACAATACTTATCACACAAAATTATTGGAAAGACTCAATAGCATAATTGTGTTAAATGATGTTAAAAGCATAAAGCATTGTGTAAGTGGTGGGGGGTGAAGTGAGTCAGTGCTAAGAATTTCAGGCACTGTGGTGAGCCTGGTGGGGAAATATCTGGGGGCAAGGGGTCCTTTCACATCACACCTTTTAGATGTCCAATCTGAGCCAGCTCCAGGTGAGGCAGCTGTAGTTGTCAGCTCACCTGTACCCTGCAGGGATTGGTCTCACCCACCAGGCAGGTCAGATCAAGCAGCCCTGCCCCTCCTCTCTGCTCCCTTAGCAGGCTTAGGCTGCCAGTAGCACCAGACCAACCTGGCAGCTAACCTTGGGTCTTTTAAGGAAATCATTCCAGGGCATCTCACCTGTCTGCTGTGTCCCACGACACTCCTGCAGCATCATTCTGTCTTTGGCAACAGCCAGCTTCTCCCCAAGTTTTTTTGCAGTGCCTTTCAACTCTGAATTCTCCTGTCGAGCCTCCTTAAGCTGCACATCCAGGTCCTAAACAGACAGGAAGGGTCCCATTTCTCTGGTTATAGCTCTGTATAGAGACATCCTGTGTACACAGAATAGCCATCAGACCTGAAAGGCGGGTATATGCACAGCAGAAGCCCTGAGTCAGTGGAATTCAGTGGCCCAGGGCTCATCAAATCTCTCCTCATCCTCTGGCCTTCCTTTAGTGAGGATTAAATGAGATAAAGTGGTAAAAAAAAAATGCTCAGGGAGTGTTAGAAATACTAACTGCTGCTACTTGTAGAGATGGGGCTCTGTGCTTTTGTGGGGCTCACATAACTGAATCATCCATGATCCTGCTCTCTATAAACACAAAGTCCTGGGGATTTTAGGTTGCTATGAAACTAACAGGGGCTTTAGAATCAGGCTGACCTGAGTTCAAACACTTATTAGCCATGTGCCAATGTAGGCTAGTCCTTACGCCTCTCAATTTCAGTCTTAGCTTCTCATCTGTAGACTGTAGGTTTCCAAGTTCTCCAACGTTAGGGACCAAGTCTAACTCACCACGTGTCCCTTGCCCATAGCCCTGGGCCTGGCAGATAGTCAGTGTTCAATAAATATCTGTGGGTGGGGCGCAGTGGCTCGAGTCTGTAATCCCAGCATTTTGGGAGGCTGAAGCAGGCGGATCACCTGAGGTCAGGAGTTGGAGACCAGCCTGGCCAACATGGCGAGATCCTGTCTGTACTAAAAATACAAAAATTAGCTGGGTATGGTGGTGGGCACTTGTATTCCCAGCTACTAGGGAGACTGAGGCAGGAGAATTGCTTGAACCTGGGAGGTGGAGATTGCAGTGAGCTGAGATCGCACCACTGCACTCCTGCCTGGGTGACAGAGTGAGGCTCCGTCTCAAAAATAAGGAAACAAAACTATATATATATATATATATATATATATATATATATATATATATATAGTGTCTGTGTGTGTGTGTGTGTGTGTGTGTGTGTAATGAATGTAGGTGAATTCAATGGAGATAATAGGGCTCACCTCCGTAGAAGGCAAGTGCTTAGCACAGTGCCTGATCTATAGCAGGTTCACAATAAGCAGCCCTGCTGATTTATCCCTTTGGGGTTGTAAGAAGAGATGCTGCTTTACCTGAATCCTCTCCTTCAGCTTCTGGGCGTACTTCTTCAGGTCACTTATCTTGCGGCCTCTGTGCTCCAGGTCTCCTTCCAGCTTCCGGACCTGAGCCTGCAGGGCTGACTCCTGGACCTGGAAGTTCTTGCGGAGGTCCGACTCCTTCTCCTGCCACTGCCACAGGGCCTGGCTCACCGACTGCTGCATGGCCTGCCGGATGGCCTCGTTTTCCCTCTCGTAGGTGGCCTGCAGCTCCTCGGCCTTGCGGGCGTAGTCCTTGCTCAGCTGCTGGTTCTCCACTCGCAGCCGCTGCACCTCTAGCAGGACCTCCTGCATCTCCGGGCCCTGGCCTGGCTCCGACTTGGTTTCAGGGCTCTCCTGGGGCAGCCGGCCCTGCGGGGTAGCCTCGTGGCTCGTCAGGTGCTGGAGCCTCCTCTCGTAGTCAGCCTTGAGCTCCAGCATTTCCCTGGAGAGCGTGAGGACTCGCTCGGCGTGCTCTGCCTCCACCCTCAGCTCTCTCTCCTTCGTCTCCAGCCTGCACGAGGCCGACTCAGCCAGCGCCTCCTCCGTCAGCCTCTTTTGCAGCTCCAGGGCGCTCTCCAGGGCCTGGATGCGCTGTAGAAGGGCTTCCTCCTCTGCGCAGCCCTGTTCCTGCAGGAGCCTGGCCTTGGTCTCTGCCACCGCATTCTGGAGCTCCTCCTGGTGCGCTTCCCGCAGCGCCTCCATGCTGGCCTCAGCCTCATCCTGGCGGGTGTTCAGGGCATAAATCACCTGCAGGAAAATCAACAGAGCCCAGTTAGGGTGAGGGGGCTGGGGTGTGGGAGGGCTGAGGGGACAGAGCAATATTCTCCTGCATGGCGGTTGATCTGCACAAGTGGCACCTGAGAAGAGGATTTGCGTGCAGGGGATTTATTAGAAACTGTTCCCAGAAGAAGCCAGTGAGAGAGCTGCAAAGTGCGACAGGGAAGGACTTGGATTGGGAGCAAAGGGGTGACATTGCACAAAGGCCCCAGAGAGGGCAGCTTTGGCCGAATTCCGAAGGGGACCTCTGTAGTACAGTGGGAATCCACGGAAGAGTTTTAAAGCAGAGAAGTGATGTCATCTCATTTGTTCAGAAGGAACACTTTGGAATGCAAATCCCGGAACAAAACATTTAGAAAACTGGACCCAGGCCAGGTGCGGTGGCTCACGGCTGTAATCCCAGCACTTTGAGAGGCAGAGGCAGGCGGATCACCTGAGGTCAGGAGTTCGAGACCAGCCTAGCCAACATGGCGATCTGGTCTCTATTGAAAGTACAAAAATTAGCTAAGTGTGGTGGCACGCCCCTGTAATCCCAGCTACTCGGGAGGCTGAGGCAGGAGAATCACTTGAACCCAGGAGGCGGAGGTTGCAGCGAGCTGAGATCACACCATTGCACTCCAGCCTGGGCAAAAAAGAGTGAAACTCCATCACAAAAACAAACAAACAAACAAAGAAACAAAAACTGGACAGAGCAATATATAAAAAGGCCAGTATAACTTGAAAATCAGCTAATGTAATACCCCACATCAACAGAGTAAAGGACAAAAACTACAAGATTGTCTCAATAGACACAGAAAAAAATATTTGACAAAATTAAACATCTTTGCATGATAAAAAACACTCAACAAGCAAGGCACAGAAGGGACTCTTCTCAGCCTCATAAGGCACATCTAGGAAAAGTCCCCAGTTAACACCATACTCAGTGATGTAAGACTAAATGCTTCCCTCGTAGGATCAGGAACAAGACAAAGATGTCTGTTCTCCCACTTTTAACACAAAAGAAAAAAAAATGCTTTCTTTGCTGTGTGAAGAACTGAATGAAGGAAGACAGGAGCACAATGAGAAGCCCGGGAATGAAGAATGACTCTTAGGATGTTGGCCTGAGCCACAGGTCGGTGTTTCCTGAAATGGGAAAAACTGTAGGTAGAACAGGTAAGCAGAAGAAAATCGGGAAGTCTAATTTGGACATAGTAAGTTTGATGTGCCCCTGGACATACTAGTGGAGATGGCACCAAGGCATAAACAGAGATAAATGTCCAGCGCTCAGAGGAGGCAGCCTGAGCTACAGAGGAGGGGGGTGAAGTCAGGAGAGTTTTGTTGCTGTTTGCTTGATGAGAGATTCCAGAACATATTTGTAGGATGATGGGAATGACCCCATGGAGAATCCAGAAGTTGAAGCCAGGCACAGTGGCTCATGCCTGTAATCCCAGCACTTTGGGAGGCTGAGGTAGGAGGATTACTTGAGCATAAGATTTTGAGACCAGCCTGGGCAGTGTAGGGAGACTCTGTCTCTACCAAAAAAAAAAGCCAGATGTGGTGGCTCACACCTGTAATCCCAGCACTTTGGAGGCTGAGGTGGGCGGATCACATGGTCAGGAGTTCGAGACCAGGCTGGCCAATATGGTGAAACCCCGCCTCTACTAAAATTACAAAAATTAGCCGGGCGTGGGGTGGGTGCCTGTACTTCCAGCTACTG
The DNA here is from genome assembly GCF_000001405.40 of Homo sapiens. NCBI lineage: Eukaryota > Metazoa > Chordata > Mammalia > Primates > Hominidae > Homo > Homo sapiens. The sequence goes on from NC_000004.12 coordinate 17,711,371, forward strand.
GGGAGGCCGAGGGAGGAGAATCGCTTGAACCTGGGAGGTGGAGGTTGTGGTGAGCAGAGATTGCGCCACTGCACTCCAGCTTGGCCAATACAGCAAGACTCAGTCTCAAAAAAAATAAAACAAAAACAAAAACAAAAAATGAAAAAGCTGGGCATGGTGGCACATTCCTGTGGTCTCAGTTACTTGGGAGGCTGAGGTGGGAGGATCACTTGGGCCAGGGAGATTGAGGCTACAGTGAGCCGTGATCCTGCCACTGCACTCCAGCCTGGGTGACAGAGTGAGACCCTGTTTCAAAAACAAAACAAACAGAAGTTGAAGCCCCAGGAATAACAATAGATAATAAAGGGCCAAAATCCCTGAGAAGGGTACCACAGAGATTGGTTTCAAGAGCCGTGAGAACACGTCCTCATGGGGATAGGATGGAAGGAAGAGGTGGAGACAGGTGTGTGGCACTTGGGACAGGAGAATGAGGGAGCTCTCACCTTGTAGACATGAGAAGGTGGCTTCTACATTCTCAGTGGAATGAGACAAGGTCACTAACAGTGAGCTGAGTTGGAGGACAGGAAGAAAGCATAAAAGTGTGAGGTGTGAGAAGTTGTGAACTCATTTTTAGGAAGAGGGAAGCCAGTGGTCTACTTTACAGTGTGTGGCATCAGAGGCTGTGTTGAGTTACAGTTCTCTCTGCTTTGCTATGAGATTTTCCTCAGTCAGGTTCATCTGAATTAGTTCAGAGAAGAACAGGAAGGATGGATGGGTTATCTGGAGTTGGAGTTTTATTTGGTGGGTGTGACAGAAAGAGAAGACAAGGTATTTTCAAGGTGCAGCAAGATGGAAAGATGGAGCAGAAGTAGTTTTTTGGTGATGACAAGGCCAAGTGGCAAAGGGAGCATGTGACTGAGGCCAAGTAGAGGAAATGATCACTGGAGATAAGGGGGTCAAAGACTGAGAAATCCAGGGCAGAGTGAACCCCACATGAGACGTCCTCACTGAGAACAATGCAAGAGAAGCTGGGCTGGTGTAGACGCCGTGGAGTCAGATGCCAAACACGACACTGGCTGCCTGGGGCATTTACAATCAGAAAAGTTTTCCTGAAGACTCCCCATCACACCCTTTCACACGGACTTTTAGCCTTTGTGGGTTGCTGGTTTTTCCTTATCCATGAGGCTGTCTATTGAACTACACTCTAACTTCATTGCCAAGTTCCTATTACTGATTCACCCATGGTTTTCAAACTGCACTCCTTGTAGTCTTGAGTTCTCTGATAGAGGTCAGGGCAACATCAGGGATCCTGGGGGAGGCTGAGCAAGTGGGGAGCCCCCTATCAACCATGGAAGAGCTTTCACACTCAGCCTTCCCTAGCATAGAGTTTAGAAAACAAAAAAAAAGCTTTGTATGGCTTTAAAAAAAAGTCAAAAACTAGAGGCTTAGATAATTATGAAATAGAAAATAGGCCAATCGGGAATAGTGTATGAGAGGAAGTTTTGGGTATCACTGTGTGCCTGTGTGTCTGTGCATGTGTGCATTCATTACAAAATCATCATCGACGGCCAGATGGCACCACTAGAGGTGACATGTGTAATAGATTTAATAACGGTTTACCTGGAGGCTGCAGATGTTGAAGAAAGAGTGAACGTATAACCACGACACAGCCTAAGATCTTACTTTTCATTGTCTCTGTCTGATATAGCCATCAGTTTTTTGTCTGTCTTCCTCACCAGAATGTAAACTCCAGGAGAGAGAAGCTTGGTCTTCCTTGTTCATTACTCTCCATCCCCAGTGCCTGGCTCAAGTGGACACTCTAAAAATTATTATGCGAATGAGTGAATAAAGGAGTCAGAACTCCATCTTAAAGAATGTAACTCAAGGTGCGATATGAATGTGACATCTTGTGAAGCCCTGGGAGAATAAGCACTACCTTGAGGACCATGAATCCAACACTCTGTCATGGACAGGAGAAGGAAGTCCCCTTGTCCTTCCAGGAAGATCCTGCAATGAAATGAAGTGCTGTCTCCAAAACTCCTCCCTCTCATCACTTGGTGCACAGGATTTGGCCACTTCTGTTAATTTCCGTGACCTTCTAATGACTTCCATCCAAGAATATATCTGGAAGCTGAAATTGGTTTCCCACTGGCTATAATTTATGTTAATAACAGATACCATTTTAATCAAATTTACTATGTGCCTAGCACAGGGATAGGTGCTATATACACATTCACAATCTCAGAGGATCCTCATGGCAACCCTGCAATTTGGTATTTTTCTGAGCAAATGGGGTTCAGAGAAGTTCAGTAGCTTTTGTGAAGTCTCATATAAGAAGGTTTGAGTAATGCTGAAGCACACGTTCTACACATGGTGCCACACTGCATCTCACCGTCTCACTCAGTCATTTATTCATTCGCGGATTCACTGCACATCTCGGATGTGGCAGGCTCTGTGCTGGGCACTGGGGTTACCTGCTGGCCAATAAGACAACTGAATTTGCAACCTCAGAAATATTTTAATCCAGTAGGAGAGTCAGACAAGAAAATGGAAAGTTTCAATGCACTGCGATGAGTACTACGAGAGGATTTGTCACCAGTTACTATGGAAACACAGAGGAAGCGGTCTGGGAGGAAAGAAGACTTCCCAGAAAAAGTGGGCCTTGCCTCCTCATCCTTGGGGTGGCCAATCCCCTTTTCCATGTCAAGCTGCACATGGACAAGAACCATATCACTTCTTTGGGCTGCTCGACAGCACTTGGTATACAGTTGAGTATACAGTAGGTTCACAGTAAGTATCTGCTATGGGGCTGCTGCAGTTCATCAAGGATTCACGCTTTCCTTCCACAGCGAAGAGCTGCTGCAGAACAGCCATTGAGCAGAGGCCCCATTTCCTAGCTCCTTTCATTTAGGTGAGGTCCTATGACTGGTGATTGCCAATGGAATTTGGGTAGATGGGGTGATGTGTGTCATCCTGGGGCCAATGTGGGGACATTAAGAAGGGCTTATGTCCTTTCCACAGTTTCTTTTTTCATCTGCAAACTTAATGCAGAGGAGTCAGAGGCCTTAGAGGAAGGCAGAGTTCAAGATGGAAGGCATCCGAGCCCTGAAGGACCAGGGAGAAGGCCACCTACTCCCTCAGGAACACTGTCTGTCATTGATCTTTATGGCAATAACTACCGTGTTGAGCCTCTGACATCTTGGCATTTATCTGTAACAGCATCTATTAGTACCTGTTTGGGGTCCCTGAGACTAACTCCAGGTTTAACCATTCATTAGAGGATTCAGTATATAGCCATGCTCGGGGCTATGATTTATGACAGTGAAAGGTACAAAGTAAAATCAGCTAAAAGGAAACGTGCATGGGATGAAATCTGGAGGAAATTTAGGGGCAAGCTTCCAAGGTGCCCACCCAAAATTAACACAAAATCAGATTCAGGGTGAGGGTAGCAGAGAGGGTACCACATGGTGGGCTCACAATGTCTAAGGGCACTTTGGCATGTTCACATGGAGCCACAGTGTCTGGCAACCAAAGTCCCCAAATCCAACAAAATGTGGTATCCCTTGGGGACACCAAGGATCTGCCTGAACTGTTCTGTCAGGCTGAAATCTGGTAAATGGTTCCTCCCCTCCCCTTCCCCTCACCTCCCTGCACAGAAGGTTACTTATATATCCTTTCAGGGATAGTGTGTACATAAACAAGAATGTTATGTTACATACTCCATATCACATATTTTCACCGTCTTTTATACACATACACATTCATCTGCACCTTGATTTTTTTAAACTTCATAATAGATTTTGGAGACCATGCTATTTCTGTACATAAAGAAATTAATGTTGGGGCCAGGCTCAGTGGCTAACACCTGTAATCCCAGCACTTTGGGACGCCAAAGTGGGCAGATTGTTTGAGGTCAGGAGTTCGAGACCAGCCTGGCCAACATGGTGAAACCCCATCTCCATTAAAAATTAAAAAATTAGCTGTGTGTGGTGGTGTGCACCTGTAATCCCAGCTACTTGGGAGGCTGAGGCAGGAGAATCACTTGAACGCGGGAGGTGGAGGTTGCAGTGAGCCGAGACTGCGCCACTGTCACTCTAGCCTGGGTGATAGAGTGACACTCTATCTCAAAAAACAAAAACAAAAACAAACAAAAAAAATGAAATTAATGGGGTCAAAAGACACAAAATTTCAATTAAAGGAATAAATTCAAGAGATCTTTCATATAGCACAGTGACTGTAGTTAATAACAATATACTGTATATTTGAAAATTGCTAAGAGAGCAGATTTTAAGTGTTCTCACCACAAAAAATGATAAGCATGTGGGGTAATGCATATGTTAAATAGCCTGATTTAGCTACTCCATCACATTTGCATACATCAAAACATCATGCTGGAAACCATAAATGTATACAATTTTTACTTGTCAGTTTAAAAAAAAAGAGATTTCTTATTTTAATTTTTGGCTGCTTCATGTGCCATTGTGTAAGTTATAATTTATTTCTCTGCCTCCTTCTGAGAGCCGTTAAGTCATTTCTGTGGGAGATTATCGACATGTTTCTTATTTCACTGTTATTAAGTAAAATTTTCTTTACTCTTTTTTCCATTTCTGCCAGTAAGCCTGAAGTCTGCTTTTTGCTTATAAATGCAACTAATAAAATTCCAATGCCTGGCCTTAAAAAACTCATCTTCATAATTAATACAGGAGCCTCAGAAAGAGATGCAAGAGGAAGGAGGACAACATACCTGCCATCTTGTGTCATAAAACTAGCTCAAAGAATGTTGAGAATGCTTGCAAGCATCCAGTGTGTCTTCCTGTGCAATGTGGAGATGTGTGCAAGTGTTCACCACTGACCATGCAAGGGCACTCCTGGGACTGCTCCCCAGGACATGTACTTACTCTTACCACATCCTCTCTTTTCTCCACCCTCTCCACTCCCTTCCCCTCATTCTATACTTGTTCTCTGAGCTTGACCCTTTTTCCTCTCCCAGGTTTTTTTGTTTGTTTGTTTTTTGAGAGACAGGGTCTCTATGTCCCAGGCTGGAGTGCAGTGGTGTTATTATGGCTCACTGCAACCTTGACCTCCTGGGCTCAAGTGATCCTCCCACCTCAGCCTCCTGAGTACCTGGGATTACAGGTGCATACCACCATGCCTGGATGATTATTTCATTTTACTTTTTACAGACAGGGTCTCATTATGTTGCCCAGGTTGGTCTCGAACTCCTGGGCTCAAGTCATCTGCTCGCCTCAGCCTCCAAGAGTGCTGGGATTATAGGTGTGTGTCACTGTGCCCAGCCCTCTCCTAGTTTAACAGTCTCTTTTCATCTTAACATCTGTCCTTTTACAGCCTGTCCCTCATGGTCAATCATTTCAATTACATTCTTGTTGACATCTCCAATCCCCTGCTCAGCTCATCTTTAGCCTTGCATTCTTGGCATTCTCAATACCAGAGCTTACCCTTTATTTTATTTTATTTTATTCTATTCTATTGTCTCCCTCTGTCTTCCAGGCTGAAGTGCAGTGGTGTGATCTTGGCTCACTGCAACCTCTGCCTCCTGAGTCCAAGCGAGTCTCCTGCCTCAGTCTGAGTAGCTGGGACTAAAGGCACATGCCACCATACCTGGCTAGTTTTTTGTATTTTTAGTAAAGATGGGGTTTCACCATGTTGGCCAGGCTGGTCTAGATCTTCTGACTTCAGGTGATACACCTGCCTCAGCCTCCCAAAGTGCTAGGATCATCAGTGAGAAACACTGCACCCTGCCCAGAACTTATCTTTTAAAATGTGCTCAAGTTATTTCATCTCTCTGAAGCTCAGTTTTCTTGCCTGTAAAATAGAGAGAATCCAGGCCCAGTTTTTGTGAGGATCAAATAGGGTAATATATCTTAGGTGTCTGGCACGTAGTAAATACTTATTAAACGTTTCTTCCTTCCCTCCTCTCTCACCCAATCTCCTCCAAAGGAAAGGTCCCATGTTTTAGAGACACAATCTCCTCCAACTTGTTCTGAATATCTGAAATCATTGAGCAGATTTTGAGCAGTCCGCTCTTCTCCTGGGCTTCATGCCTCACAGGTCGCTTGGCAACTCTTCTGCCATCTGCTTGCTTGCTTTCACTCACCACCTTCTAGACTGGAACATCAGACTGCTCCAGGCCTCATTTATAAACCCACCTCCTATGGGGGAGGCTGACTTCAGAATCCATCAAGGCACATAAATAATTCAGCAGCCAAGAGAAATTCTGAGCAAGTCAAAACGACTTCCTAAGAGTTTTAGAAATCCACTGCTGATGGGTTGACGTCAGAGGAGATTTCAGCAGAGGCCTGTTAGGGTCGTAGAGATTGAGTGTTGTAGGTTTAACAAGGCTCTAATTAATGGCTTTTAAGCATCAGATCCTGATGACAGTTTTCATCAAGTTTGGCAGCAGGAATCAGAATTGAAATGAAAAAGAAAAAAAAAAGGACATAATATCTGTTGAGGGCCCAGAGTATGACATTCACTGGGCCAGATAATTTACATGTGTCTTTTCAATTAATCTATTTAGGTTGGTGCAAATGTAATCGTGGTAATCGCAACAAGTAATGGGGAAAGCCGTGATTACTTTTAAACCAACCTAATAACAATTCTACAAAGTGAATGTTTTTATGCTTAGCCTTATTTTACAGATGGGGCTAACTTCATATGTAGGGGTAATATAATAGAACTCCACCTTTTTCTAGATGTGTGAACTTCAGTACGTTGCTGAACCTGAGTCTCAGTTACCTTATCCAAGACATGCGGAGAGTTTTGTTTGGAGATCAAATGACATTATGAACCAAAAACCCTTCACAGCACTCTTAAGCACTTAACCCTTCTTAAGCTCTTAAAAAATTCATTAGTTATGATTTTTACTATTATCGGTATTACTGCCAGAAGTCATTGAGCTAAAAAGTGAGAGTGCTGGGATTCAAATCCAAATCCTTCTGGGTCCAAAGTTAAAAGAGTAGAATCATACCTTGTTTAGAAAAAAAAAGCTGGTAATATGCTTTTACTCAATGTTTTTGCAGCATTTCCTATATGCCTGGCATGATACTAGGCATGGGAAAAACAGAACAAATAAGACCATTCTGTTGAGGGGCTTATAGGCTAGTAGAGTGTGGCAGACTACATTATTTGTCCGTATAATAATCTTCGCCCTTTCTTTCCCCTTCCTTGCCATGGTCTGTGGATGGCATTTATTTGTCTTCCCCATTGATGTTGAACTTGGCTGTGTGACTTGCTTTGGCCAAGGGAATGTGAGTGGACTTGTTGCAAGCAAAGGCTTTTGATATGTTTATGTGCTTTGGCTTGCCCTCTTGTGCTTCTACCACTTGCTACAAGAAAAGCCTGTGCTGGGTACCCACGGGTCCCAGAATGAGAGACACAGAGCAGGCTGGACCCCACCCCAGAGTGTGGAATGCAACTGGCTCAGCCAAACCCAGCTGAAATCAGCTGAACAGCAGTGAAACTGAGCAGGAAATAACTCACTGCTGTAGCCATTGAGATTTAGAGTTGTTTGTTACACAGAATTATTGCAGGAACATCTGCCTAATACACAAAGTGAGATAGAAAAGAAAGCCAATTAGTATGTACAGTAGTTGTCCCTTATCTGAGGGGGATACCTTCCAAGATGCCCACTGGATGTCTGAAAGCTTGGCTGGTACAACCCCTATAGACACTATGTTTTTTCCTATACGTATGTACATATCTGTGATAAGGCTTAATTTATAAACTAGGCACAATAAGAGGTTAACAACAATCACTAGTAATAAAATAGAACACTTATAACAATGTACTAGCATCACTGCTCTTGAGCTTTGGGGCCATTATGAGGTAAGAATAAGGCTTATGTACTTGAAAACAAGCACTGTGACAGTTGATCTGATAATCGAGACAGCTACTAGTGACTAATGGGCAGGTAGGGACTACAGCGCCGATACTCTGGACAAGGGTATGATTCACATCCCAGGAGGAAAAGAGGAGGACGGCACAAGATTTCATCATGCTACTCACAACGACAAATAATTTAAAACTTATGAATTGTTTATTTCTGGAATTTTCCATTTCATATTTTCAAGACTTCTTTGGTCCACCTTGGGTAACTAAAACCTTGGAAAGCAAGACCACAGAAAAAAAGGGACTACTGTCTAGGGATATTTCAAGTACTTTGCTAGAAGTCTGTAGAGGTGCAGAGAAAGGCACAGGGGAGGAAAGGATCACATTGCTCCAGTAATCCCCCCTTTTCTCCTTCATTACCATTAGTGGATCACTCCTATCAATACATAACTGTGCTGTAATTTTTATCATGAACAAAAATCTTTATTTTAACCCCACATTCTCCATTTTTCTACACCCCTTTATAGCAAACTCCTCAAATACTCTATAACCATTGTTACTAATTTCTCAACTTCCCTATTCCTCTTGAATTATCACCAATCAGGCTTTTACACCAACTAATCCACTCAAACAGCTCATCAGAGTCACTAGTGATGTCCATGTTACTAAAACAATACCCAGTTCTCAGTCTTCATCTGTTCAACTTTTCAGCAGCATTAGAGCTAATGAATCACTCCCTCTTCTTGAAATATTGTCTTCTCTTGGCTTCCGCAATAGAACATACTCCTACTGACCGCTGACCACTCCTTCTCATCTCTTTGGCTAGTTACATCCTCCTCAACTCCCATCCTTCACATAGGAATGCCCCAGAGTGTTAGCCTCAGTCTGTTTCTATTCTTTTGCAAAAATTTCCTTGGGGTCTCACTCAATTCCATTATTTAATGCATTCTCTATTTGCTAATGACTCCCAAATTTATATGACCAGGCTGGACCTGCCACCTGAACGTCATACTCATGTATTCTGTTGCTTACCAATATCTCTACTTGGATATTGAACCTGCAGCTCAAATTTAATTCTGGATTTTTCCTTTTAATACCTGCTCTTCCCACAATATTCCTCATCTCATTTCACAGGAACTCCTTTCTTTCAATTGCTAACGTCAAAAATTTTAGAATCAACAAATAAGCACATGAAAGGATGCTCAACATCTTTAATCATTAGGGAAATGCAACTCAAAACCACAATGAGATAGCACTTCATGCTCATTAGAATGGCTATCATCACAAAAAGAGAAATGTTGGTGAGGATGTGGAAAAATTGGAGCCCCTGTACATTGCTGGTGGGAATGTAAAATGGTGTAGCCACTGTGGAAAACAGTATGCTGGTTTCTCAAAAAATTAAACATAGGGCGAGGCGCGGTGGCTCATGTCTGTAATCCCAGCACTTTGGGAGGCTGAGGGGGGCAGATCATGAGGTCAGGAGTTCAAGACCATCCTGGCCAACATGGTGAAACCCCGTCTCTACTAAAAATGCAAAAATTAGCTGGGTGTGGTGGTGCACCCCTGTGTTCCCAGCTGCTCGAGAGGCTGAGGCGGAAGAATCGCTTGAACCAGGGAGTTGGAGGTTGCAGTGAGCTGAGATCAAGCCAATGCACTCTAGCCTGGTGACAGAGAAAGACTTCATCTAAAAAAAAAAAAAAAAAAAGAAAGAAAAAAGAAGAAAAGAAAAAGAAATTAAACATAGAATTTCATATGATCCAGTAATTCCATTTGCTTATCTTTCTCTCTAAAATATAAATTACATGCAGGTGAAAAAGTTCGTCTGCAGAGTTCACTACCAGATCCCCAAAGAGTGGCTGGCTCATGGAAAGGACCCTAATATTTGTTGAATGAATAAAAAATCTCGGCTGGGCGCGGTGGCTTACGCCTGTAATCCCAGCACTTTCGGAGGCCGAGAAGGCGGATCATGAGGTCAGGAGATCGAGACCATCCTGGCTAACACAGTGAAACCCCATCTCTACTAAAAATACAAAAAAATTAGCCAGGCGTAGTGGCGGACGCCTGTAGTCCCAGCTACTCAGGAGGCTGAGGCAGGAGAATGGCGTGAACCCGGGAGGCAGAGCTTGCAGTGAGCCAAAATTGCACCACTGCACTCCAGCCTGGGCGACAGAGAAAGATTCTGTCTCAAAAAAAAAAAAAAAAAAAAAAATCTCTTTGCCCTAGCAGAAAGGGCATCCGAGTGCAGAGGATACCCAAGTTGGGTTTGGAAAGGTGAGCAAATGTCACCCAGGTGGACAGGAAGGGGAAGAAAATACTGATAAGGGAAGTACCATGAGCAGGAAGTAGCGCAAAGGCATGGCATAGAGGCAAGACATGCAAGGGGCGTCCTCCGGGGCAGAGCCGAGGTGAAGGGCATTGGCAGGGAAGAGGAGCGCACCATGACATGACGCTGGACAGGTGGGCAGGGGTCAGACCCTCACAAGTCCAGCATCCATGTTAGCGAGTGCTGACTTTGTCCTGTTTGCTAGCACATGGTGATCATGCAGACTCCCAGGCCCTGCCCCAGACAGCCTGATGTGGAGAGTCTGGGGGAGGTCCCGAGATATGCATTTTTAACATTCCCTCGCAATGGGCCTAAGATCTGAAAGCCAGATGGATGCATACTTTGGAGACTTGTGGTATGTGTTCCACGCAGGAAGTTTCTCTCACAAGATTCGGCCTCTTGGGAGTTAGGGGGAATAACACTGCATCTCATAACTGCATCTCTGGAATCGTTGCAGAGAGCAGTCTGGTTGAGATGCAGGCAGGAAGAAGAGTTAAGGAAGGGGCCAGGGAAGGGAGTTTGGGCTAGAGAGCTGTCCAGGAGGAGGAGTGGCAGGGCCAGTGACTCACTGGGTGTGGAGAGGGGGAGACGGAAGAGTCCAGAAGATTCTGCAGCTTGTGTGACTGAGGGTATGGCTATCCCATTTCTACTGGGAAGCAGAGCTTCCTGGGATCACAGGACACCAAAAGGCCACAGTCACTGCTCTTGACTCACATCCCTGCACACAGAGCGGAGCTTCAGTGTTCTGGGCACCAAGTCAGAAAAGAGGACTAACTAAACCGCCAGAAGGAAGCCCTGGATTCGGGTGCTGAGAGGCCTGGGGAGAGCAGAGGTTGTGTGGTTACTGTCCCTTCCTTTAAGAAAACAGGCTCAAACAGGTCCCCAACAAAGCTGGGCTCCTTCCAGCAAATGAGCTTGGAATGGATTTCTAGATAGATCCAAAACGCTAATTAAAATCTCATCATTGCTCATCAGAGAGCTGTTGCTAGGCACCTAGCTGCACATGGCATTGAACTGTGAGACATCAGCTTCTGAGTAATTGAAACCCAACTGTTCTCCAAACCAATTTAGGCTGAGACTTAGCTGAAAGACGAGGGTGGGCTCCCAGGAAGGTTCTTAATGAGAGCCCCACCGTCTACAGGCCCAGTCCAACCCTCACACAGAACACAGGCCTGGACTCTTTCCCAGGGAGTCTCCCCACTGCATAAGATGGGGGTCTGGAAAGGGATCATCTTGTTTATTTCAAATCTCGAATGACTTGCTTAGAGTTTTTGGAAAGCACCTTTGGTTGGCCAACCTGGTTAATAAACATGTGTATGCGTGAATGATTTTTTTTATGAATAAAAACAATACAAAGAAATCTTAACACTTTTCATAGGAAATATTATGAGAGAGAATTAATCCAAGCGGGAGCATCAAACCCTATAACCATGCATACAAATGGAATTGCGAAAATTCAAACGCAGACAGAGCAGCTCTTCCAGTTCACCTCTTTATATGCCAATTTTACATATTTAAATCCTGAAAGCAGCTTTTGTGTGCAGATCTAAATAGACATGCATATCCATTTTTCCATATGAATGGTATAACAATGTGTGCTACCATTATTTTTGCATAGCACTTTCCAGTTCACCAAGCAACTTTACAAGGTAAACCCCGCAGCATGATAAATATAAACATATTGAATGCTCGTTCTAACTGAATTTTTACTTTTGCCACTATTCGCAGCAGAGAAAAATCTCTTTAACTATTTTCTAGTTCATTTATTGTAGCTTCTGCAAAATCCTCAAATAAACAGTATGCTTCAAGTTATATATTATTGTCCAAACAACACCATCACAAAACCCAAACATCCATTTATGATACTTAGGTCACCTTTGCCAGTTGTCTTCCCAGCAATGGCTGAATTTCTGTGCCCTGACTGCACGTGGCCTCGAGTGTAGCAGCAGGTAGTTTTGCTAATGATTCTGTTGAATTCTCAGTTTATGGGTTATGGGTCAGATGCTGCTCACTTAACCTGCACATCAGAAATGGAAGGGCCACACTGGGTCAAGTCCACGGCCAGCCCATCTCTTGTCTCTGACTTATGCTCTCAGTAGCGTCTGTATACAGTCCATGACAGTCTGCCAGGCCAGGGAGAAAAGGGACATACAATAGAGGAGTCCTAGGAAGGGTGGTCTGGAGAAAATGATTCCAGAAATGTCTAGGCAGGACACGGAGCAAGCTCACCCTCCACTTTACACAGCCAAATCTTCTTACTGTTGCTGTGATGTTCATTCCCAGCATTCCCAGAAGAACTTCATGCAAGGTCGAATTCAAGAGCTCATTTCTGAAAGCGTAGCGTGCCTGCCACCACATGACCTCTTTTGTTCGTGCCCTGTGGTTCCCTGTCTGCTGGATGGAAGCTTCCAGTAGCACGTCATCACATCCGGGGCAGCAAGACTCTCTTAAACAAGGTACAATCTTGTTCCAGGTTTGTTTCAGAATCACACATGCCACCACTATACAATGTATCCATGTAATCAAAAACCACTTGTACCCCTGAAGCTAATGAAATCTTTTAAAAAGAGGGAGGCAAAAAAACAAAATCTCACACACACACACACACACACACTCACACACACACTCTTACATACACATGCATATGTATCGACAAAGGAAAGGGTCAAGAATACACCAAAACATGACCGTGGTTATCTTTAGATGGTAAGATTATGGGTGATCAATTTTTCTTCTTCTTTTTGTTTTTATGCATTCTCTAATTTTTCTATGATGCACATGGCACTTCATTTATCATCAAGTTGTATTTTTTAAGGCTAAAGGTATACCATCAAAATACTCTCCATCAGTTAATCCACAAGTACAGAAGCCTGGGACACAGCCCTGGGAGAAGAAACAGATCCTGACAAGGAAGGGCCAAGTCCTGAGGCCTCCCTTGAGGGATTTGGCTCTGGCTGTGCCATGTCCACCTGGCTGGTGAGAAACCAAAATTGGTCTGTTTTAGTCTGAGCAGCCCAATTACAGTAAATGTGTTGTCTCTTCCACCAAGAAACTTGGTTCCATGGAGGAAAAGAGTTTAAGAGAGTCTTGCTGCTGATGATGTAACGAGGTGCTACCATCCAGCAGGCAGGGAACCACACCGCACAAACAACAGAGGCCATGTGGTTGCAGGCACTCTGCGCTTGCAGAAATGAGCTCCTGAATTCAACCTCGCATAAAGCTCTTCTGAGAATGAATGTCACAACAACGGTAAGAAGATTTGGCTTTGTAAAGTGGAGGGCAAGCTTGCTCTCTGTCCTGCCTAAATATTTCTGGAATCATTTCCTCCAGACCACCCTTCGTAGGACTCCTATATTCTACGTCAATTCTCTCCCTGGCCTGGCTAGAGTGTTCTTTCTAAATTGAAGGGCTGACTACAAGACAGTCTTGCTTAATACTCCATGGATGCTCTTCATCCACCCCAGAAGTGGCTCTCAATCTCTATCTGCCCCCGCATACCTGAGGGTAGGGCCTGGTCTCTGGGGGACTCACCGCTGCAGAGCCTGCTGGCTTTGTGAGGCAGGGTCATGACTTCGTCACCTTTGTGTCCCAATGGCAAACATAGGGTCAGGCAATGTGCAGGCATACGGCAGGTCCTCAGGGACAGGAACTAGTAGGGACTGTTTGTTACTCAGTATTGTATCCTCACTACCAAGCAGAACCATGGTCCAGGATTTAACAGATGGTAAGTGAATGAGTGAATAAATGGTGAAAAAATGAATGAAGAATTCTGTATGACAGAGAGGGGACACCATTTAGATGTGTTATGTGCAAGTGGATTTACGCAGTGCTGCCTGGGAAAAAGAGGCATGTAATTATTATCCCCACTTAGCCTATTTAAGAAATGCTATTTTTCTCATCCCAGATACCAATGTCAAAAAGTAATAGAAACTACTCTTTCACAGACACATCTAGTAGCACCAAATATGTGTCAGGTCCTGAATCCAGGGCTGCTTTCATTCAGTTCAAATCTGGTAGCTGTCTTTAGGGTCACGCACACTCCTATTAGCACATTTGAAGGTGAGGGTCTGGGAAGTTGCCAGTGTGGGTTGGATAATAGGGTTAAGTGTAAAGGCATCTCCATTTTCACTAATGGTGACAGTCTCCCTTTTTCTTGGCTGGGTTCCCTGAGCCAGTCATATAGCGTCTGTCAGTACTGGGAGGCAGAAAGTGGCATTTAGTACATATTCCTAAAAGTCTTTCCTTGCCTTTTTAAAAAGAAAGGCCCAGGGGTTGTGGCATAATGCCCTCTCAGGATGGCTTGGTCAGATCCTTCTTGTCCAGTGAAAATCTGTGAGATTCCTTTTAAAATCATTATGATTCAGCAACCAAATCCCATATATGTACGGATTTACTAATCAAAACTCTTCTTTTTTTTTTTTGTGACAGAGTCTTGCTCTGTCACCCAGGCTGGAGTGCAGTGGCGCCATCTCTGCTCACTGTAAGCTCCGCCTCCCAGGTTCACGCCATTCTCCTGTGTCAGCCTCCTGAGTAGCTGGGACTACAGGCACCCGCCACCACGCCCAGCTAATTTTTTCGTATTTTCAGTAGAGACGGGGTTTCACTGTGTTAGCCAGGATGGTCTTGATCTCCTGACCTTGTGATCCGCCTGCCTCAGCGTCCCAAAGTGCTGGGATTACAGGTGTGAGCCACCGTGCCCGGCCCACTAATCAAAACTCTTCTATATACAAAACCAGATTCCCAAATCCATTAGCTTGGGTTAAAGGAAATTTATTGGCTCATATACCTGAAAAGCCCGAAGCCAGGGCTAGCTCCAGGTGTGGGCTCTTAAATGATGTCTTTTTGTTTTCTTTTGTTTTGTTTTTATTGGGACAGAGTTTTGCCCTTGTTGACCAGGCTGGAGTGCCATGGCGTGATCTCAGCTCACTGCAACCTCTGCTTCCCAGGTTCAAGTGACTCTTGTGCCTCAGCCTCCTGAGTAGCTGGGATTACAGGTATGTGCCACCATGCTTGGCTAATTTTTGTATTTTTAGTAGAGACGGGGTTTCACCATGTTGGTCAGGCTGGTCTCAAACTCCTGACCTCAGGTGAGCCACCCATCTCGGCCTCCCAAAATGTTGGGATTACAGGCATGAGCCACTGCGCCTGGCCAAATGATGTCATTTTGACTCTACTTTTCCCCATCCCATAGTTTTGCTTTCCTCTGAGTTGGCTTTATTCCTTGGTAGGCTCTTGACAAAGTAGCCACAGGCAGCTTCAGGATTTTATTTTCCCAGCTCAGCCTGCCCCAGGAAAGAGAACTCCTCTTTGTCAACAGTCCCAACAAAAGCTCCAAAGCTAACTCTATCGATCTGGCTAGTGTCATGGACCTAATGCTGATGGATCACTGTGGCCAATGGGATAGAATATTCTGATTGGCTAATTTCAGGTTGCATGGGATCCAGGAGAATGGGGTTGACCTGCCTCAATCACATGGAATGAAGACTGAGTCAGGGTACCTGCTCAGTATCTCAAAGGAAATTAGAAACCTGGTGCCAGGACACACATAGATTCTGTGTCAGTAAGAACAGATACATGCTACAGCCAGCATTCCTGACCCTTCTAAGTAAACTCAGTATGACTCACTGAACACCAACTTCAGAACTGGAGGAGACAGAACAAAAGATTAAGACTCTGTCCCTACTCTCACATAGCACATGAGAAGGACGTGTACACACACAGGGTCATGTGAAACCTCCAGGCAGAAAGATGGCACAGGATGAAGGCTCCGCAGGACACCAGAGGAGGCACCAGGACAGCTGACAAGAGACCTGAGTCCCAAGACCCAGCTCTGTCCCTCTCAAGCAGTGTGAACTTAGGCATGTCCTACAGTCTCTCTGAGAAAACTAAGTTTCCTTTCCTAATGTATTAGTCTGTTCTCACACTGCTATAAAGATACTAGCTGAGACTGGGTAATTTATAAACAAAAGAGGTTTAATTGACTCACAGTTCCACATGGCTGGGGAGGCCTCAGGAAACTTACAATCATGGCGGAAGGTGAAGGGAAAGCAGGCAACTTCTTCACAAGGTGGCAGGGGAGAGAGTGAGTTCAGGGGAAATTGCCACTTTTAAATCATCAGATCTTGTGAGAACTCCTTCATTTTCAGATCAACAGAACTCATGAGAACTCACAATCATGAGAACAGCATGGGAAAGACCACCCCCAAGATCGAACCACTTCCCACCAAGTCCTTCCCTTGACATATGGGGATTACAATTCAAGATAAGATTTCAGTGGGGACACAGAGCCGAACCATATCACCTAATAAATGAAATGGTCAAACTAACCTGATATTTCCCAAAGGGAATGAAAGTGACAAAGGGTCAAATAAGCTTGGGGAGTGTTTGGTTAGCTCTGTTATAAAGACATTTGCTTAACTGTCTTTACCCCAGCAGTTGGCCATTGAGTTCTTATTTAAAAAAAAAATTACAATGAGTCCAGGCATGATGGCTCATACTTGTAATCCCAGCACTTTCAAAGGCTGAGGTGGGAGGATCACTTAAATCTAGGAGTCTGAGACCAGCCTGAGTAATAAAGTGAGACCTTGTCTCTACAAAATTAAAAAAAAATTATCCAGGAATTATGGTCATAATGACGATGACAATCACGACGAAGGTAGTGATGATGAGGATGAAGATGAGGATAGTGTTGCTGATGGAAGAGGATCAGGGCCAACATTGCATATCCATCCACAAGCATACCTGTAGTCCCAGCTACTCAGGAGGCTGAGATGGGAGGATTGCTAGAGCCTAGGAGGTTGAGGCTGCAGTGAGCTATGATCATGCCAGTGCACTCCAGCCCAGGTGACAGAGCGAGACCCTGTCTCTTAAAAAAAAATTACAATGAAAATTAACATGCCTCAGAACATATTTTGGATAGTGCTGGACCAGGAGATCTTTACATTTTGACTGCTGTGAGTTAAAGTATGAACAGCACACAAGAACAAATCCTAGGAGAGCTTAGGGCTTGCAGACTCCGTCTCTCGGGGCAGTCAGTGTAGGTCCTGCAGTGAAAGCAGGTGTCCTGAAGGGTGGAGAAGATGGCAACTAAGGGGCAGTAGGAAGGAAGAGTGCTGCGGAAATTGAGCCCAGGTGTGGAGCAGAGGCAAATGCTGGTGTCAGACTCAGAGGTGGTATTTCAGCATGTTAGTAGTAACCTCCGGGTGATGGGATTACAGTAGATTTAAATTTTTTAAAAAAAATTTCTGAGAGCCAAGATGGCCGAATAGGAACAGCTCTGGTCTACAGCTCCCAGCGTGAGCGACACAGAAGACAGGTGATTTCTGCATTTCCATCTGAGGTACCGGGTTCATCTCACTAGGGAGTGCCACACAGTGGGTGCAGGACAGTGGGTACAGTGCACCATGCGCGAGCTGAAGCAGGGCGAGGCATTGCCTCACTCGGGAAGCGCAAGGGGTCAGGGAGTTCCTTTTCCTAGTCAAAGAAAGGGGTGACAGACGGCACCTGGAAAATCGGGTCACTCCCACCCTAGTACTGTGCTTTTCCAACAGGCTTAAAAAACGGCACACCAGGAGATTATATCCCGCACATGGCTTGGAGGGTCCTGCGCCCACGGAGTCTTGCTGATTGCTAGCACAGCAGTCTGAGATCAAACTGCAAGGTGGCAGCAATGCTGGGGGAGGGGCGCCTGCCATTGCCCAGGCTTGATTAGGTAAACAAAGCAGCTGGGAAGCTCAAACTGGGTGGAGCCCACCACAGCTCAAGGAGGCCTGCCTGCCTCTGTAGGCTCCACCTCTGGGGGCGGGGCACAGACAAACAAAAAGACAGCAGTAACCTCTGCAGACTTAAATGTCCCTGTCTGACAGCTTTGAAGAGAGTAGTGGTTCTCCCAGCATGCAGCTGGAGATCTGAGAACGGGCAGACTGCCTCCTCAAGCGGGTCCTTGACCCCCGAGCAGCCTAACTGGGAGGCACCCCCCAGTAGGGGCAGAATGACACCTCACACGGCCAGGTACTCCTCTGAGACAAAACTTCTAGAGGAACGATCAGGCAGCAGCATTTGCGGTTCACCAAGATCTGCTGTTCTACAGCCACCGCTGTTCTGCAGCCACTGCTGCTGATACCCAGGCAAACAGGGTCTGGAGTGGACCTCTAGCAAACTCCAACAGACCTGCAGCTGACGGTCCTGTCTGTTAGAAGGAAAACTAACAAACAGAAAGGACATCCACACCAAAAACCCTTCTGTACGTCACCATCATCAGAGACCAAAAGTAGATAAAACCACAAAGATGGGGAAAAAACAGAGCAGAAAAACTGGAAACTGTAAAAAGCAGAGTGCCTCTCCTCCTCCAAAGGAATGCAGCTCCTCACCAGCAATGGAACAAAGCTGGATGGGGAATGACTTTGACGAGCTGAGAGAAGAAGGCTTCAGACAATCAAACTACTCCGAGCTACAGGAGGAAATTCAAACAAATGGCAAAGAAGTTAAAAACTTTGAAAAAAAATTAGATGATTGGATAACTAGAATAACCAACACAGAGAAGTCCTTAAAGGAGCTAATGGAGCTGAAAGCCAAGGCTCGAGAATTACTTGAAGAATGCAGAAGCCCCAGGAGCCAATGTGATCAACTGGAAGAAAGGGTATCAGTAATGGAAGACGAAATGAATGAAATGAAGCGAGAAGGGAAGTTTAGAGAAAAAAGAATAAAAAGAAATGAACAAATCCTCCAAGAAATATGGGACTATGTGAAAAGGCCAAATCTACATCTGATTGGTGTACCTGAAAGTGACGGGGAGAATGGAACCAAGTTGGAAAACACTCTGCAGGATATTATGCAGGAGAACTTCCCCAATCTAGCAAGGCAGGCCAACATTCAGATTCAGGAAATACAGAGAACGCCACAAAGATACTCCTTGAGAAGAGCAACTCCAAGACACATAATTGTCAGATTCACCAAAGTTGAAATGAAGGAAAAAATGTTAAGGGCAGCCAGAGAGAAAGGTCAGGTTACCCACAAAGGGAAGCCCATCAGACTAACAGCAGATCTCTTCGCAGAAACTCTACAAGCCAGAAGAGAGTGGGGGCCAATATTCAACATTCTTAAAGAAAAGATGGGGAAAAAACAGAGCAGAAAAACTGGAAACTGTAAAAAGCAGAGCGCCTCTCCTCCTCCAAAGGAATGCAGCTCCTCACCAGCAATGGAACAAAGCTGGATGTGGA
Source organism: Homo sapiens (assembly GCF_000001405.40). Lineage (NCBI taxonomy): Eukaryota > Metazoa > Chordata > Mammalia > Primates > Hominidae > Homo > Homo sapiens. The sequence continues at coordinate 17,730,739 of NC_000004.12, forward strand.
ATGACTTTGACGAGCTGAGAGAAGAAGGCTTCAGACGATCAAACTACTCTGAGCTACAGGAGGAAATTCAAACAAATGGCAAAGAAGTTAAAAACTTTGAAAAAAAATTAGATGATTGGATAACTAGAATAACCAACGCAGAGAAGTCCTTAAAGGAGCTAATGGAGCTGAAAGCCAAGGCTCGAGAATTACGTGAAGAATGCAGAAGCCCCAGGAGCCAATGTGATCAACTGGAAGAAAGGGTATCAGTAATGGAAGACGAAATGAATGAAATGAAGCGCGAAGGGAAGTTTAGAGAAAAAAGAATAAAACCCAGAATTTCATATCCAGCCGAACTAAGCTTCATAAGTGAAGGAGAAATAAAATACTTTACAGACAACCAAATGCTGAGAGATTTTGTCACCACCAGGTCTGCCCTAAAAGAGCTCCTGAAGGAAGCACTAAACATGGAAAGGAACAACCGGTACCAGCCACTGCAAAAACATGCCAAAATGTAAAGACCATCAAGACAAGGAAGAAAACTGCATCAACTAACGAGCAAAATAACCAGCTAACATCATAATGACAGGACTAAATAAACACATAACAATATTAACTTTAAATGTAAATGGGCTAAATGCTCCAATTAAAAGGCACAGACTGGCAAATTGGATAAAGAGTCAAGATACATCAGTGTGCTGTATTCAGGAAACCCATCTCACGTGCAGAGACACACATAGGCTCAAAATAAAGGGATGGAGGAAGATCTACCAAGCAAATGGAAAACAAAAAAAGGCAGGGATTGCAATCCTAGTCTCTGATAAAAAAGACTTTAAACCAACAAAGATCAAAAGAGACAAAGAAGGCCATTACATAATGGTAAAGGGATCAATTCAACAAGAAGAGCTAACTATCCTAAATATAAATGCACCCAATACAGGAGCACTCAGATTCACAAAGCAAGTCCTTAGTGACCTACAAAGAGACTTAGACTCCCACACAATAATAATGGGAGACTTTAACACCCCACTGTCAACATTAGACAGATCAACGAGACAGAAAGTTAAAAGTTAAAAAGGATACCCAGGAATTGAACTCAGCTCTGCAGCAAGTGGACCTAATAGACATCTACAGAACTCTCCACCCCAAATCAACAGAATATACATTTTTTTCAGCACCACACCACACCTATTCCAAAACTGACCACATAGTTGGAAGTAAAGCACTCCTCAGCAAATGTAAAAGAACAGAAATTATAACAAACTGTCTCTCAGACCACAGTGCAATCAAACTAGAACTCAGGACTAAGAAACTCACTCAAAACTGCTCAACTACATGGAAACTGAACAACCTGCTCCTGAGTGACTACTGGGTACATAACGAAATGAAGGCAGAAATAAAGATGTTCTTTGAAACCAACAAGAACAAAGACACAACATACCAGAATCTCTGGGACACATTTAAAGCAGTGTGTAGAAGGAAATTTATAGCACTAAATGCCCACAAGAGAAAGCAGGAAAGATCCAAAATCGACACCCTAACGTCACAATTAAAAGAACAAGAAAAGCAAGAGCAAACACATTGAAAAGCTAGCAGAAGGCAAGAAATAACTAAAATCAGAGCAGAACTGAAGGAAATAGAGACACAAAAAACCCTTCAAAAACATCAATGAATCCAGGAGCTGGTTTTTTGAAAAGATCAACAAAATCGATAGACCGCTAGCAAGACTAATAAAGAAGAAAAGAGAGAAGAATCAAATAGATGCAATAAAAAATGATAAAGGGGATATCACCTCCGATCCCACAGAAATACAAACTACCATTAGAGAATACTATAAACACCTCTACACAGATAAACTAGAAAATCTGGAAGAAATGGATAAATTCCTGGACACATACACCCTCCCAAGACTAAACAAGGAAGAAGTGAATCTCTGAATAGACCAATAACAGTCTCTGAAATTGTGGCAATAATCAATAGCTTACCAACCAAAAAAAGTCCAGGACCAGATGGATTCACAGCCAAATTCTACCAGAGGTACAAGGAGGAGCTGGTACGATTCCTTCTGAAACTATTCCAATCAATAGAAAAAGAGGGAATCCTCCCTAACTCATTTTATGAGGCCAGCATCATCCTGATACCAAAGCCTGGCAGAGACACAACCAAAAAAGAGAATTTTAGACCAATATCCTTGATGAACATTGATGCAAGAATCCTCAATAAAATACTGGCAAACCGAATCCAGCAGCACATCAAAAAGCTTATCCACCATGATCAAGTGGGCTTCATTCCTGGGATGCAAGGCTGGTTCAACATATGCAAATCAATAAATGTAATCCAGCATATAAACAGAACCAAAGACAAAAACCACATGATTATCTCAATAGATGCAGAAAAGGCCTTTGACAAAATTCAACAACCCTTCATGCTAAAAACTCTCAATAAATTAGGTATTGATGGGACGTATCTCAAAATAATAAGAGCTATCTATGACAAACCCACAGCCAATATCATACTGAATGGGTAAAAACTGGAAGCATTCCCTTTGAAAACTGGCACAAGACAGGGATGCCCTCTCTCACCACTACTATTCAACATAGTGTTGGAAGTTCTGGCCACGGTAATCAGGCAGGAGACAGAAAGGGTATTCAATTAGGAAAAGAGGAAGTCAAATTGTCCCTGTTTGCAGATGACATGATTGTATATCTAGAAATCCCCATCGTCTCAGCCCAAAATCTCCTTAAGCTGATAAGCAACTTCAGCAAAGTCTCAGGGTACAAAATCAATGTACAAAAATCACAAGCATTCTTATACACCAGTAACAGACAGAGAGCCAAATCATGAGTGAACTCCCATTCACAATTGCTTCAAAGAGAATAAAATACCTAGGAACCCAATTTACAAGGGATGTGAAGGACCTCTTCAAGGAGAACTACAAACCACTGCTCAATGAAATAAAAGAGGATACAAACAAATGGAAGAACATTCCATGCTCATGGGTAGGAAGAATCAATATCGTGAAAATGGCCATATTCCCAAGGTAATTTATATATTCAATGCCATCCCTATCAAGCTACCAATGACTTTCTTCACAGAATTGGAGAAAACTACTTTAAAGTTCATATGGATCCAAAAAAGAGCCCGCATTGCCAAGTCAATCCTAAGCCAAAAGAACAAAGCTGGAGGCATCACGCTACCTGACTTACCAAACTATACTACAAGGCTACAGTAACCAAAACAGCATGGTACTGGTACCAAAACAGAGATATAGATCAATGGAACAGAACAGAGCCCTCAGAAATAATGCCACATATCTACAACCATCTGATCTTTGACAAAACTGACAAAAACAAGCAATGGGGAAAGGATTCCCTATTTAATAAATGGTGCTGGGAAAACTGGCTGGCCACATGTAGAAAGCTGAAACTGGATCCCTTCCTTACACCTTATACAAAAATTAATTCAAGATGGATTAAAGACTTACATGTTAGACCTAAAACCATAAAAACCCTAGAAGAAAACCTAGGCAATACCATTCATGACATAGGCATGGGCAAGGACTTCATGTCTAAAACACCAAAAGCAATGGCAACAAAAGCCAAAATTGACAAGTGGGATCTAATTAAACTAAAGAGCTTCTGCACAGCAAAAGAAACTACCATCAGAGTGAACAGGCAACCTACAAAATGGGAGAAAATTTTTGCAACCTACTCATCTGACAAAGGCCTAATATCCAGAATCTACAATGAACTCAAACAAATTTACAAGAAAAAACAAACAACCCCATCAAAAAGTGGGCAAAGGATATGAACAGACACTTCTCAAAAGAAGACATTTATGCAGCCAAAAAACACATGCAAAAATGCTCACCATCACTGGCCATCAGAGAAATGCAAATCAAAACCACAATGAGATACCATCTCACACCAGTTAGAATGGCGATCATTAAAAAGTCAGGAAACAACAGGTGCTGGAGAGGATGTGGAGAAATAGGAACACTTTTACACTGTTGGTGGGACTGTAAACTAGTTCAACCATTGTGGAAGTCAGTGCGGCGATTCCTCAGGGATCTAGAACTAGAAATACCATTTGACCCAGCCATCCCATTACTAGGTATATACCCAAAGGACTATAAATCATGCTGCTATAAAGACACATGCACACGTATGTTTACTGCAGCACTATTCACAATAGCAAAGACTTGGAACCAACTCAAATGTCCAGCAATGATAGACTGGATTAAGAAAATATGGCACATATACACCATGGAATACTATGCAGCCATAAAAAATAAAGAGTTCATGTCCTTTGTAGGGACATGGATGAAATTGGAAATCATCATTCTCAGCAAACTATCGCAAGGAGAAAAAACCAAACACCACATGTTCTCACTCATAGGTGGGAATTAAACAATGAAAACACATGGACACAGGAAGGGGAACATCACACTCCGGGTCCTGTTGTGGGGTGGGGGGATGGGGGAGGGATAGCATTAGGAGATATACCTAATGCTAAATGACGAGTTAATGGATGCAGCACACCAACATGGCACATGTATACATATGTAACAAACCTGCACATTGTGCACATGTACCCTAAAACTTAAAGTATAATAATAATGAAATAAAATTAAATTAAAAAAAGAAAGTTCGATTATAAAAAAAATTTTCATTTTTTAAAATTTTCTTATTTCCTATAATGAATTACTACTGGTTCAATTAAAATGATCAAAGGAAATTTTAAAAATATTTTTTAAACCCTGACATGATATGAACCTACATGTAGCTTTTTCTATGTCCAATATTGTATTTTATTAAAAGGGAAAGATTTTCATGTTAATGGTAACTTTCAAGGCTTCTTCCTTAGACCCCTGTCATTGGCATTTTTTTTCATAGTCAAAAAGCAAATCTAAGGATGACAAATATGAAAAAGAAACCCTTCTCTATCCAACCGTTCATTTTTCCTCATTGCTCCCTATCTCATTTCAGGTGTTCCGGCTCCTGAGAGGATGCTGAATGTGCAAGACCACAAGTGCAAGGAACGCCATGCTCAATCACTCTGCAAATGACATTACAACCGGAATAAATGCAAAGGCAGCAGGTCTCTTTAGGACATACACCTACACACAGTGCCAAACTCATCCTGTGGCCAACAGATGTACAGAGAATCCCAGAGTGCTTTATTAAGGATGGGTGACTGTTCATAGTTGGCATAGTTGGTTTCCTAAACCTGGGAAGCTCAGCAAACCAGTTTTACAAAAACATCAATAGATGATGATGGTGGTGATGATCTTGATAACAGTGTTAATGATTATATCAGAAACTAGTACTTCTGAGGGTTTACAAGGTGGCAGGCACTGAGGCAACATCTTCCTATACCTTCTCTCATGTGATTCTTCCAAGCATCCCATCAGGTAAGTCTCATTATTGCCCCAGTTTTACAGATAGACAAACCAAGGTGTGGTGAAGCTGGGTAATATGCCTGAGGTTACGGGGCTGGAAAACAACAGAACTAGGATTCTGTTCCGTCTGACTCCACAGCCTGTGTTCTTAACCACTGTGTAAGCCATTTAAAGAAAATAGGAGTACCACTTAAGTAAAAGTGAATCCTAATTCTGTGATTGGTAGGGACTTAATTAAATAATGAATCTTAATCGTTACTCAATCTTAAGTAAAAATGAATTTGAATTATGTGATTCGTAAGGTTCAGGTTAAGCTGTGTTTAAAAAAACTCTCCAAAAGTACAGAGGGTTAAATAAGGTGGAAATGTCTGCTTCTCTTGGGACAACAGTCTCAAGGCCAGTGGTGGTCAGAAATGGATGGAAGGCTCTACTCTGTGACCATTCAGCCTTCATCAGTTCTCAACCTACAACTTCTGTTATCTGGGCCCAAGTCAGCTGTCCTGGTTGTCACCATTCTCATGTGGTAAGAAGGGGAAATACAGGAGATACAGGGTAAGTACCTTGTGCTTAGGTTGGGGATGAACTAGAGGGTGCATTCATCCCCTCATCTCACCTCCCTCTTGCCTGCACTTACTCCCATAGCCACACCTGGCCACACGGAGGCTGGGAAATGAAGTCTCTAGCTGGGCTGCCATGTGCCCAGAAAACTCATGGATGGTTCAATTATTGAAAGGAAAAAGGGGAGGCCTAGTGCAGTGGCTCACGCCTTTAATCCCAGCATTTTGGGAGGCCGAGGTGGGCAGATTGGCTGAGGTCAGGAGTTCGAGACCAGCCTGGCCAACATGGTGAAACGCCATCTCTACTAAAAATACAAAAATTAGCTGAGTATGGTGGCAGGCACCTGTAATCCCAGCTACTCGGGAAGCTGAGGCAGGAGACTCACTTAAACCCAGGGGCGGAGGTTACAGTGAGCTGAGATCGTGCCATTGCACTCCAGCCTGGGCAACAAGAGTGAGACTTCGTCTCAAAAAAAAAAAAAAGAAAGGATAAAGGGGAGATGGCTGTTTCCTCCATGCCAGTACCTCAGGACATTAAAATTAGAGCTTGCCTTTTACCAAATTTATACCAGCTGTGTTATGTACAAACAAGGAAGATAAAGCTCAGAGAGTTTAAGAGATCTGGTCAATGTCCTTCATCTCATTAGGCAGAACTGAATCTAGAGCCTGTTCCATGATTTTCAGAACAGTGTTCTTTTTTTTTTTTCTAAATTGAGTCTTCATATTAAATTGGAAAGGAAAGCATGAAATTTCTAAGTTGTGCCAGATAAACACAATGACCTTTAAAAAATGATACCTGATTTTAACATTGCTCAGATGTTAAAAAGAGGTTGAAAAGGAGCCAATAAATGTCAAAAAGAAAGATAAACATATTCATAGAATTTTAAGATCGTAAGCAAGATATCACCAGGATCACCTTCCTCATTCTGTAATAAGGCAGCTTTGGCTCCAGAAGTTGAGTTGACTGATTTATCTTTCGATTTTCAGTGTTCCTCCCCCGAACCTCAAAGTCCCTCATGAGAAGGACAAAGTATCTCCCAACACCCTAACATTGGAGCCCATAAGACTCCCAGGAAACCCCACTCTATCTTCTTGAGCATTATCTCAAATCTGTTACTCTCTGATCTGGCTCACATTCAGAAAACAGTGAGTTTCAACCAACCAACTTCCATTTATAGAGGTACCATACTAGCTGCTGAGGAACGCAAAGATACAAGGGCCATGGTTCCTGCCTCTGGGAGCTTACAATTTAGCAACAAACAGACAAAAACAACCATGAAATGATACAAAATGGCATAACAGCTGGATATAGACTGTCAGCTATTTTATTTGTTTTCCCAGAGAGCATAATATTCCACATATCATCTGTAATAGACCCTGACCCTTGGTCACAGGGATGAGCAGGTATCTAAGACTGGGCTGATGATAGAACTCCATCCCTCTGACCAAAGTGATTGGCATAGGATGGGCATGTGACTCAAGCCAAGCCAAGCAGTCCTTCTTGGGAATTTATTCATTGGGATGGGAGAGAATTTCTCTCTTGCTTGTTAGGTCTGAGGGTTGGAAGGGTATGAATTCAGAGTGACCAGTGGCCCTGCTCTCCATCACATGGAAAAAGCTTCCTGTTAGTAGGAAAGGGTGACCCTGCCAAGCAGATCAATGCAGAGATATGAGTTGGAGAGAGAGTTAAAGATATCTGCCTAACAGCAACAAATATCCAGATTATGTATCATCATCATTATCATCAGAATAAACATTTTGAATGTTTATGCCAGGAATGGTGCCTACATACAATGTAGGCACTTAATAGCATCTCATTGAAGGATGATAAAAACAGTAATATTCATAAGTATAATGTCATTATCCTCCTTTTTTCTTTGGAGAACAAGGAGGACCAATAATTTGCCACACAGCTAATGAGAGAACTGGGCCATGAACCCAAATCTGTCTGACTGTAAAAAAAAATCTTAGTTCTTTCTACTGCAACAGATAGTCCTGTGCTATAGTTTGGATGCTTGTCCCCTCCAAATCTCATGTTGAAATTTGACCCCAGTGTTGGAGGTGGGGCCTAATGGGGGTGTTTGGGTCATGGGAGTGGCTCACTTATGAATGGATTAATACCCCAGGTGGCGGGCACAGTGAGTTTTCACTCTATTATTATAGTTTCTGTGATGGGTCCTTGTTAAAAAGCATCAGCCCCTCCCTTCTCACTCGTTTCCTCTCTCGCCATGTGATCTCTGCACACGCCAGCTCCCCTCAGCCTCCACCATGAGTAGAAGCAGCCTGAGGCTTTTACCAGATGCCCAGTCTTCCATCCAGCAGAATCATGAGCCAAATAAACCTTTTTTCTTTATAAATTACCTAGTCTCAGATATTCCTTTATAGAAGTAAAAAATGAATTAACACACCCTGTGCCTGCAAGGCACCATCCTCTGAATGAAGATAGCAGCTTGACTTTCCTGCATAGAATTAGGATTCATGTATTCACCTCACTTGACCCACAAGGTGGATTTGATTCTGGACAGCTTCTTCTCTGTGTTGATTCCTGGCAGGCTCCTTCCCCAGTCTGACCTCCCCTCCTCAGCCACCATGGCGGATCCCCTTCCAGGCAGAGGAATCTCAAGTCTTGTCCCCAGTACAACTGTCCCACAGTGGACATCAGAATCTGCCTCTGCTGTTCCCGCCTCTGTCCAGAGTAGAAAACTTCCGCTTGTGACACCTACACAACATCTCCACAGGTGTTCATTATTCGAGGTTCCTGGGAGAGGCGACGTTAGCCAGGCAGAATCTGGGTGAAGAGTTCTAAGCCAGGGCAGCATGGCAGAGCAGAAGAATAACAAGAGCCTGGCTGGCTCCCTACACCATATGTCATACCAACTGTTTTTTTTTTTTTTTTGAGATGGGGTTTCACTGTGTCTCCCAGGCTGGAGTGCAGTGGCGCCATCTTGGCTCACCGGCAACCTCTGCCTCCCAGGTTCAAGTGATTCTCCTGCCTCAGCGTCCTGACTAGCTGGGACTACAGGCACCCGCCATGATGTTCAACTAATTTTTGTATTTTTAGTAGAGATGGGGGTTCCACCATGTTGGCCAGGCTGGTCTCGAACTCCTGACCTCAAGTGACCCACCTGCCTCAGCCTTGCAAGGTGCTGGGATTACAGGCTCAAGCCACTGCACCCACCCTGTCATACCAACTTTTAACTGTCTACATCTGGACTTCTTTTATCTAAGAGGCGAATGCACTTCTAATTTGTTCAAATTGCTATTATTTTGGATTTTCTGTTAAACGTTAAACCTAACCCTAAGTAATAAAAAGTCCCTCCTTGTTCACTTTTGCATCTTCCGCACCTTGCATAGTGTCTGGCACAAAACAGGCACTCATAAAAAAATGTCTGGCAGCTGGGCGTCATGGTTCACGCCTATAATTCTAGCACTTTGGGAGGCTGAGGTGGGCGGATCGCAGGAGGCCAGGAGTTGGAGACCAGCCTGGCCAATATAGCAAAGCCGCGTCTCTACTAAAAATACAAAAATTAGCTGGGTGTGGTAGCGGGCGCCTGTAATTCCAGCTACTTGGGAGACTGAGGCACAAGAATTGCTTGAACTGGGGAGGCAGAGGTTGCAGTGAGCTGAGATCACGCTACTGCACTCCAGCCTGGGCGACAGAGTAAGACCCTGTCTCAAAAAAAAAAAAAAAAAAAAAAGTCTGTGGAGTCATAAGCAAATGGGTGTATGTTAAATGGTTCACACCACAACAACAATGTAAAATAAATATTTTGCATACATATAGCAAACATATGTAGATATTCGTAATTCAGGAAGTACTTTGGGGAAAGCTAGGGATGTTTCACTATAGCTTTTAAGACCTAGTTGAGCCACTGTTTATACTCTTCATTTCTTGAAATAAAATACATAATCTTGCCCTTGGAAGAGAGCTGCTGTCAGGTGGGCCTCACCGTTCAGGTCACAACAGACAGAAAAGGAAGAGTGGCAGTTGCCCAGTTGGAAGCTGGCTGGGAGAGATGATTGATTGGTTTTGGGATTATACTTATCTAATATTTATAAAAGCTAACCATCATCAGAAGCCAACCTCCAGGCCCCCAAGTGCTTTGTATCATAAAGCCTCATGGGAGACTTATGTTTTATGTGGTGTCTTTCTTTTTCCATCACAACAGGTTTCACTGTCGGCTCTGCTTGCAAAGCAAGCTGCATAACCTTGCCGTCTCTTTGTCCTGGACTGTTGTAGCCAAGGGGAATGAATAGCCAACTCATTACTTTTCTTAAAAAAAATACCCACCCCCAGTTTCTTAGTAAGGAGAAAGCAGTTACCCTTAGGAAATGGAATATATTTCTGCTTATGCGCACATCTCTCTTTTGTTCAATCATTTAGCAAATATTTATTGAGTGCCTGCCACGTGCCAGGCACTGTTCTTGGTATTAGGAATACGATGTGCTTTAAACACACCTGGGTTCTTGTGGGCATCAAGCTAACATTCTAGTGGGAGGATCTGACAAACATATTAAATGAGTAGAATAAACAATTTGTTAGTGATATGTGCTCAAAGAAAGAATAAAGCAAGGAAGGGATATTGGGGGATGGAGTTACAATTTTAGACAAGGTGGTCAAGAAAGGCTTCACTGAGAAAGTGACATGCGAGTGAAGATTTGACAAAAATGAAAGAGTAAGCAATAAGGTATCACAGGAAAGCGCAGTCCTGCCCAGGGTTCAAGAGCAAAGTCCTGGCCGGGCGTGGTGGCTCACGCCTGTAATCTCAGCACTTTGGGAGGCCGAGGCAGGTGGATCACCTGAGGTCAGGAGTTTGAGACCAGCCTGGCCAACATGATGAAACCCCATCTCTACTAAAAATACAAAAAGTAGCTGGGCGTGGTGGCGCATGCCTGTAATCCCAGCTACTCGGGAGGCTGAGACACAAGAATCGATTAACCCAGGAGGCGGAAGTTGCAGTGAGCCGAGATTGCACCACTGCACTCCAGCCTGGGCAACAGAGCAAGACTCCATCTCAAAAACAAAACAAAACAAGAAAACGTAAAGTCCTAGGCAATATGGACTGACATGGACATAAACCCGGAGGACACTCTCCTGGGTTAAATAGCCCACTCACAGAAAGACAAAGACCACATTATGTCACTTCTATGAAGTATCTAAAATAGTGTGTTTATATAATTAAAGAGTGGAATGGTGGTTACCAGTGGTTGGGGCAAGTGGGAGATGGGGAGTTTCTAATCAATAGGTTTACTATCAATAGAAGTTACTAACAGTTACAATAAGAGTTGCTAATCAATAGAAGTTTCAGCCAACAAACATAATTAACTGCTAGAGATCTGCTGTACCACATTGTACCTACAGTCAGCAATAATATATTGGACACTTAAAAATTTACCAAGAGGGTAGCTCTCATGTTAAGTGTTCTCACTACAATAAAATATACATATACATATACATATGAATATATATATATATATATATATATATATATATTTTTTTTTTTTAAAGAGGCTGGCCAAGGTGGTTCATGTCTGTAATCGCAGCACTTTGGGAGGCCAAGACAAGAGGATCGCTTGAAGTCAGGAGTTTGAGACCAGCCTGGGCAACACAGCAAGACCCCCATCTCTACAAAAAATTTAAAAAATCAGCCAGGAGGCTGAGGTGAGAGGATTGCTTGAGCTCAGGAGGTTGAGGCTGCAGGGATCCATGATCACACCACTGCACTCCAACCTGAGTGACAGAGCAATGATAACAGAAGGGCTGGGGTCCCAGCTAAACCCCACCCTTAAGCCTGGAACCACAGGCCTGAGTGAAAACGGCTGACCCCATTTTTCTGCGCAAATGTTGCCTTTTTGGCCTGCCTCGCCCTGCCCCTATCCTGTGCCTATAAAAGATTTCAGCTGATAGAGCAACACAGGCAGCTGAGCATTGAGGTTACAAGCAGCTGAGCCGCGAGCAGAGAAGCAACTGAGCATCAAAGACTGTGGATAGATGCAGCTAACTTCAGACAGTGCGGCTTCAGGGAAAGATCACCTTCCCATCCCGTTGGCAGCCTCCCTTTCTGCTGAGGGCTACACATCACTCAATAAAGTCTTCCACATGCATCACCTTTCAAACAGTTCATGTGACCTGATTCTTCCTGGACACCAGACAAGAACCCAGGTGCCAAGAGGGCAAGAACCTGGGTGCCAAGAGGACAGGGGCTGCCACTCTGACCCTCCACTGAGCTGGTTGGCACTTGACCATCCCTGGACAGCAGAGCTGAAAAAGCATTGGTTATACATGCTTGGAGCTGCTGTGGAGCCCCACAGAGCTTGCTCCTGCCAGAGAGGAGTGGCCGGCCATTCCAGCATCCATTTACTCCAGTTCCCGCACTTACTGTCTTGCATGCTTCCTCCTGTGAGGAGTGGCCAGCAGCTGGCTGAGTGAAACGGGCCACTCCAGTTCCTGCCCACAAAGGAGGTCAAGAGAACTATCCTGTCTCATCGAGACCCTGTCCACCCTCACCAAAAAAATAGCAAAGTATGAGAGGTGTAAGTATCTATGTGGGTTGATGGATCCACCAGGCCAGAGTGGCTGGGATGGGGGTGGGGAGAGAGCTCGTGGAAAGAGGGATGGCACCAGTGGTGGAGGCATCTGTCAGCCACCGAAGAATTTAGATTCACTCCTCATGAAATGAGAAGACCTGGAGAGTTTTGAACAGGGTGCCAAAGCTGATTCACCTGTTATAAAGTTCACTCTGGCTGCTGCGTTGAGAGCAGGTGGAAGCAGGGAGACTAGTCAGGGAGACCAGTGAGGAGACATTTATTTTCCAGGTCCCCAGGCACCATCTCTCACCAGCCATTTTCCTCTCTCCCTCTTCACTCCTGCGGTGATCTTCCTCCCCAGCCACTTCAGAAACAAGAATCGTCTTGTGCTCCCTCTGTCCTCATCCAAATGTGCTTTTAAATTCTTTCATCACACTATTCAACAACAGATACTCCTGTAAGCAGATTCATACCCAAGAAAAGCCAAGTGAAGAACAGCAGTTTCTAGAGTCTGCGTAGGGCAGTAGAAGAGGACTATTTTCTCCTCACTGGTTTAGTCAACACTTCTTCAGGTCTTACCCAAGTGTATTAGTTTTCTATTGTTGATAAACAACCACTAACTTGACCACTTAAAACACGTGCTGTATGTCAGCAGTCTAGGTATGGCAGGGTTGGGGTCTTCACTCAGGGTCTCAAGGACCAAAGGAAATCGTGGTGTTGGCCCAGCTGAGTTCTCATCTGAAGGCTCTGGGGAAAAGTCCGTTTCCAAGCTAATTCAGGCTGTGGGCCTAATTCAGTTCCCTGTGGTTATTAGACTGCTGTCAGGGGACTGCTCTCAGCTCCAGAGGCCACCGGCTTTGACTCCTTCACTAACATTTGGTCACATTTCACATCTTTCTGATTTTTCTATGCCTGATCTCTAGACTCAGTTTGAAGGCCTTGTGTAATTAAGCCAGATCTGCTTGGCTCATCTCCCTATCTTAAAGTCAATTTATTTGGGGTCTTAATTACAACTGCAAAGTCCCTTCACAGCAATACCAAGATTAGTGCTTGACTGAATAACTGGGAGAAGGTGCAATAGACCAGGGGCTGCGAATTATGAGCCATCCTAGAAATCTGCCTACTACACCAAGAAAAAGGGAGCACATTGACCCATCTGGGGAAGTGCCTGGAGTAGAAGAGCTGAAGGCGCGAGGCAGGCCTTGGGGGCTGGGACTAGGATTCAATGTGCCATGAGTCACTCATTCTCTCTCTCTCTCACACACACACACACACACACACACACACCACACACACACACACACACACACACCTTTCTCCATTCACCTCTCATCTCTGCTGGTCTTCATTCCGCAGAGTTGCTCCTCCCATGTAACAAGAAAGCCATGTGCCTGTAATCCCAGCTATTCAGGAGGCTGAGGCAGGAGAATAGCTTGAATCCGGGAGGCAGAAGTTGCAGTGAGCCAAGATGGTGCCATTGCACTCCAGCCTGGGGGACAGAGCGAGACTCCATCTCAAAAAAAAAAAAAGAAAAAAGAAAAAAGCCACCAACTGCCCTAGTTCCTGCTATCACAGTTTTGCTTTTCCAGTAAAAAGATAATGTCTTTCTCCTAATGCTTGAATATCAACCTAGAGAAAGAGTCTGATAGAGCCAGCTTGGGTCTGGGATGGGAAGTAGAGTGCTGAGATTGAGAGGCAGCTGGAAGAGGTGAAGAGTTGTCTAAAGGAGGCAGTAGGACGCATGTCAGGTAAGCAGATGCACAGAGCCACTGGGACCTCTTCAGCCGGAGCTGCTGCTTTTCCTCAAAGACCTTACAGCCCTTCTGCATCGCTCTCCTTCCTCTTCTGACCTGCTTAGTGGTCCTGCCTTCTCTAACCTTCAGGGGGCTGACATCTAGCTCTAACATCCACAAGATTAAGTCCAAACCTATAAACTTGGGGCCATGGGATGGGGCCAGGCATTGGAGAGAGAATGCCTTGCAGAATAATCTAGAAAGAATTCTGGACTAGATTTTAGTCCTTGCTCTGCTACTAACCGTGATCATGAACATGTTGCGGTGGCCATGGAGGTTGGCCGCTCAGACCTCCCTTAGAGAGAACCTGATGTGGGGAGTATAGTTGGGTGACAGCTTATACCTTTCACACCTTTGGATTTGCCGTGATATTCACAACAAAGCTTGATTTCCCCCTGCCGCTTACCAAGCTACTTCTAGCCAACTACTAAGTCCGCGGCCTTAGGTACCGCGGCCGGGCTATTTCTGCCCAACACAAAACTCCTTGAATGTTCGATCTTTGCTCAGGGATACTTTACTGGCCTGGCCAAGACCCTTTCATGGCTGTATCGCAGTCTGAGGGTTCTCCTATCCACCCACTTCCTTCCGTCTCCTTTCACATATGCAGACCTGCACCTCCATCAATAGGTGCACCCTGCCTACTCCTGTTCTCTCCCTCATTACCTTTCACAGATATTTCTCCCAATAAATCTCTTGTACATCTAAATTCTTCTTGGTTTCTGATTTTCAGAGGACCCAAACTGACACACAGGTGAATCCTCCTTCTCTCATCTGTAGCATCAATGTCACTCGACTGGATTTCTGGGGTCCCTTCTGGCTCAAAGGTCCTACCTGCTTTTGTGATTTTAGAGAGTTATCCCTGTTTGATGAAAGAAGAAAAAGATGATTGCATATTTAGATCTCTGATCCACAACTATTTGGGCCTATGATCTTTGGTTATATTTAATTTTTGTCACTACAAAGAACTTTTTTTAAATTTTGAAACAGAGTCTCACTCTGTCGCCCAGACTGGAGTGCACTGGTACAATCTCAGCTCATTGCAATCTCTGCCTTCAGGGTTCAAGTGATTCTCTTGCCTCAGCCTCCCGAGTAGCTGGGATTACAGGAGGCCGCCACCACACCTGGCTAATTTTTGTATTTTTAGTAGAGATAGGGTTTCATCATGTTGGCCAGACTGGTCTCGAACTCCTGACCCCAGGTGATCCGCCCACCTCGGCCTCCCAAAGTGCTGGGATTACAGGCATGAGCCACTGCACCTGACTGCTACAAAAAACTTTCCTGTTGGTGATATCTTATCAGGCAAGGTAAAGGATTCTGGGCAAGATTTCGTGAAGGACTGGCTGAAAACTCTACACATTATGTGAATGAACCATCACTGTTTTAGCCAATGGTTCTTCTACTTCAGCATACAGAAGAGTCCCTTGGGAATGGCTTAAAAAAGTAGATTCCTTTGGCAGGGCGCGGTGGCTCATGCCTGTGATCCCAGCACTTTGGGAGGCTGAGGTGGGTGGATCACCTGGGGTCAGGAGGTCGAGACCATCCTGGCTAACACGGTGAAACTCCATCTCTACTAAAAATACAAAAAATTAGCCAGCCGTGGTGGCGGGTGCCTGAAGTCTCAGCTACTCAGGAGGCTGAGGCAGGAGAATGGTGTGGACTCGGGAGGTGGAGCTTGCAGTGAGCTGAGATCGTGCCACTGCACTGCAGCCTAGGCGACAGAGCGAGACACGGTCTCAAAAAAAAAAAAAAGTAGATTCCTGGCTGGGCACGATGGCTCACACCTGTAATCTCAGCACTTTGGGAGGCTGAGGCGGGCGGATCACCTGAGGTCAGGAGTTCGAGACCAGCCTGACCAACATGGAGAAACCCCATCTCTACTAAAAATACAAAAATTAGCTGGTTATGGTGGTGCACACCTGTAATCCCAGCTACTCAGGAAGCTGAGGCAGGAGAATCGCTTGAGCCCTGGAGGTGGAGTTTGCAGTGAGCTGAGATCACGCCACTGCACTCCATACTCCAGCCTGAGTGACAGAATGAGACTCCATCTCAAAAAAAAAAAAAAAAAAAGTAGATTCCTGGATTTGACCCATTGAGAGCTTCTTAAGTTCTACACAAATTATTTCCTGGGTACGTATAATGTGCTGTGGGGCACCATAGGAAGTCACTGATGCTGCATGGTGGGGGGCGGTGTGAGCCAAGGTGATCTCTTTAGGTGGTGACATTTCAGCAGGTAATAAAGAATGAGAAGGAATTTGTCCCCCAGGTGGCAATGTGGTAAAGCCATTCCCAGTATGTTGAGACAACTCAACTGCTAGGCAGTTGAGGGGGTGTGGGGTTGGCCAGCGAGGGAAGAGAAGAACATGGGAAACGGTGTGGACCTTTGGTTTAGCTCCGTTTCTGGCACGGACGTTATTTTAGAGATCTGTGATATGGGTAGAGGTTGGTACTTCCGAAGTCTGGAGAAGAGCTCTCTTATCTAAACAAAATACAAAGTAAACAAAAAGATAAGAAAGAGTCAGCATCAGTGGCTTACACCTGTAATCCTAGCACTTTGGGAGGCCGAGGTGGGTGAATCACTTGAGGTCAGGAGTTTGAGGCCAGCTGGGCCATCGTGGTGAAATCCCGCCTCTATTAAAAATTCAAGGCCGGGAGCGGTGGCTCACGCCTGTAATCCCAGCACTTTGGGAGGCCGAGGCGGGCGGATCATGAGGTCAGGAGATCGAGACCATCCTGGCTAACACGATGAAACCCCGTCTCTACTAAAAATACAAAAAATTAGCCGGGCGAGGTGGCGGGCGCCTGTAGTCCCAGCTACTCGGGAGGCTGAGGCAGGAGAATGGCGTGAACCCGGGAGGCGGAGCTTGCAGTGAGCCGAGATTGCGCCACTGCACTCCAGCCTGGGCGACAGAGCGAGACTCTGTCTCAAAAAAAAAAAAAAAAAAAAAAAAAAAATTCAAAAATTAGCCAGGCATGGTGGCGCATGCCTGTAATCCCAGCTCCTCCAGGCTGAGGCAGGAGAATCGCTTAAACCCGGGAGGCAGAGGTTGCAGTTAGCAGAGATCGCGCCACTCCACTCCAGCCTGGATGACAGAGAAAGACTCCGTCTGAAAAAAAAAAAAAAAAAAAAGAAAAGAAAGAGTCAGAAGTAGCAAATGCCATTTGTTTTTTTCTTCAATGTCCAATACTTAGAATGCTGCTCCACCGGAACCTCTCTGTGACACGGTGGGGTGTCCACTCTTGCTCTCTGAGGTGCGTGTTATATTCCAGTACATTTCCCAGTCCCAGGAGTGAGCATCTAACTGACTTTTGGCAACCCCCCACCTGCCTCGAAAAGCTAAACTGCCCCAAAGATCCAGGAATCAGTTTGGGGCATCCTCAGTTGATAGAGTTGTCCCTGTCAGAAGTGGGAATCAAGACTCTTTGGTCCATTGATATACCTCAGAGTTGGTCAATGGTTGTCCTTGGATTTGACACATGACTTTGTCCCTTACTTTAATCCTCTTGTGTAATTTTTTTTTTTTTTTTTTTTTTTTTTTAGACAATGTCTCGCTCTGCCACCCAGGCTGGAGTGCAGTGTAGTGGTGATCTCGGCCCACTGTAGCCTTGACCTCTGGGGCTCAAGTGATCCTCCAGCCTCAGCCTCCCAAGTAGCTGGGTTCACAGATTCGTACCACCACACCCAGATAATTCTTTAATTTCTTGTAGACACGAGGTCTTATTATATTGCCCAGGCTTGTCTTGAATTCCCTGGCCCAAGTGATCCTTCTGCCTTGGCCTCCCAAAGTGCTGGGATTACAGACATGAGCCACTGTGCCTGGCCTTCCTGTATAATTTTTTGTTTTATGTCTTAGAGATGGGGTTTCACTCATCACCCAGACATGAGTGTATTGGGTGCAATCATAGCTCACTGCAGCCAAACTCCTGGGCTCAAGTGATTTTCCCAGTTTAGCCTCTGGAGTAGCTGAGACTACAGGTGCTTGCCAGCACACCCAGCTAATTTTTTTTTTTTTTTTTTTTTTAAGAGACAGGGGCTCGCTATGTTGTCCTGGCTGGTCTCAAACTCCTGGCTTCAAGCGATTCTCCTACTTCAACCTCCTGAGTAGCTGGGATTACAGGCAGAGCCACTATGCTCAGCTTAAAATATCCTTATTTCTTTTTTAAAGAGTATATATGTTTCACAATTTTAAGGCATTAAAGATCCTCTGAAGCGCATCTATAAGCCTCTTAATGTCTATGGACTCTAGTTCAGGAACCCATGGAATTATAAAAAAGGAGGCCAGAAAAGATCAGAAACGAAAGAACCAGACGGGCACAGTGGCTCACACCTATAATCCCAGCACTTTGGGAGGCTAGGGCAGGAGAATCGCTTGAGGCCAGGAGTTCAAAACCAGCCAGGGCAGCCTAGTGAGATCTCATCTCTATTAAAAAAAAGATGCTTCAGGAAAGGATTCTAGGAAAAAATAAAAGAAAACACTATCAATGGAAACAGATCTAAAAATTGAATTATTAAAAACTATCAATGGAAACAGATCTAAAAATTGGATTATTAAAAACTATCAATGGAAACAGATATAAAAATTAAATTATTAGTGCCATCTATATGGCCTGCATTTGTTGCCATGTTACATCATAATATGGTGGTTGCATTACATTAAAAAACAAGGTTGTATTACCTTAAAAATAAACATGGCTGTATCATCTTAAAAAAATCAAAGCTAGAAGAATAAAATTCACCTCAATCCCCTTCAGTACAAAGGAATAGTCATACTAACACTCTGGTGTTTCTTGCCAGGTTACTTTCGTGCATATATATTTTAAGGTATTTATTTTCATAGTTAAGTATTTATTTCATAGTTAAGATCGTGGTAAGTATTCTATTTTATTTCGTCACTTTTAGTATTTACCGTTATAATGTAAGTGTCTTTTTCCTTCATACAAATCATGCTTAACACCAATATAAAATTCCATCATGTACCTCAATCATATTTTATTGCTGTTTACACCTATGTTGAAGTTTATTTTCAATGTTGTCTTATAAATAATGGTGTTTAGAATAAAGATCTGCATTAAAGCTTTTTTCCTATTTTGGATTTTTCCCTTAGGACAGATTCTCAGAAGTGAAATTTGAGGATGAAAGGGCATGAACATTTTTAAGAGTCATCATACATATTGTAAAACTGCTTTTGAAAATAGTCATGCGATTTCCTATCACCACCAGCTTAAAATAGTGTCTGCTTCACTATACTCTCACCATTATTGTGTATTGTTATTCTTTAATCTTTACTGTTGGCAAAAATCATTGACTTAATTCCCATGATTCAGTTTTAATCCTATGAACTTTAATTCTCAGAGATGCCAGTAAGATATTACAAACCAGTATCACAGATACGCAAAAAATGAACTAAAACATTTTACAAACATTCATAAAAGCAGTTTCAGTCTTTTCATTCATCCTGCTTCATATTGTTGTATTTTAATGCAGGGTTTCACTCTCAGTGACGCTGGCATTTTGGGCTGGATAATTCTTTGTCATGAGGGGCTGTCCTGGGCATTCTTGTATTTCACAGCATTCTTGGTGTTGACCCAGTGGATGTCAGAAGCTCCCCTAGGTTGTGACAATCAAAAATGTCTCCAGACATTGCCAAATGTCCCCAGGGGGAAAATAGCTCCTGTCTAAGAATTACCGTTCTAATGAAAACCATATAGCTCTATTAGTTCACATTTCATTCCAATGTTAAAATTTTATTCTTTAGTATCTTGGACCTGATAGAGCCTACCAAGCACCCTTTCCTTCCTTCTTCCTTGCCAACAAAGCCCCAGTTTTGTTCAGCTGTTCCCCCTGCCTAGACCCAGGGAATGAATTCTGTCTCATTATGCCTGATCTAAGCTGGCTTGGTAGCCTTATTCTCCTTATCAGTGACTGGCTTTGGTTAGGACATGGAACTCAGTCCCGACCCATAGGACCCAAGGAGACATCTGCTGAAGGACTTCTGAGAAAGATTCACTTACTGATAAAAAGCAGCACATAGGGCCGGGTGCGGTGGTTCACACCTGTAATCCCAGCACTTTGAGAGGCTGAGGAGGGTGGATCACCTGAGGTCAGGAGTTCAAAACCAGCCTGGTCAACATGATGAAACCCTGGCTTTACTAAAAATACAAAATTTAGCCGGGTGTGGTGGTGGACACCTGTAATCCCAGCTACTCAGGAGGCTGAGGCCGGAGAATCACTTGAACCCGGGAGGTGGAGGTTGCAGTAAGAGGAGATCCCACCACTGCCTCCAGCCTGGGTGACAGAGCAAGACTCTGTCTCAAAAAAAAAAAAAAAAAAAAAAGCAGCACATAGGAAAAAGTACCCTTCTTCTTTAGTAGATGCTGTCAATGTTTCCATGTGTTGCCTGGAAGTGCTGTGGGGAAAAACCACTGACATGCTGAGGAGTAGGAATACAGAAGGCATGTGGCTGTGGTGACATCCCTGAGACACTGAAGTACCTCTCTCCATGGAGAGGCTCTACCTCCAGACTCCTTGCTATGGGAGGTAACACATTTCCAAACTTTCAAACAACCTTTTGTTGTTACTGTTGTGTCTTCCACGATTAGCATCCTAACAGGCTTTCTGGGAGCCCCTAAATAGTGCCAGGGAGAGGTGGTTGAGCCTGGTTCTATCTGAGCCTGTTTCAACATCCACGTTTAAGCAATAGGCAGGCCCACAGTCATAAGGACCAACTTCTGAGAAGGAATATTGCTCCAGGGAAGTCCAGCTAGTTGAAGAAGGAGCTCAACCAAGGGGCTGGAGGTCAAGAGGGCTGATTCTGGCCCTAAAAACAAGGCACACACACACACACACACACACACACACACACACACACACACAAAAGAACCAGGCACGCAAGTTCAGACAGGTAGAGGTGTGGCGGGATGCAAACTCTAGTTCAGGAACCCACGGAATAAGAAAAAAGGAGAACAGGAAAGATCAGGAAAAAAAAAAAAAAGAACTGGCTGGGCTGCTGAGTGGGCTTCCCTACTGAGTGGCCAGAATCCCAGGGAAGCAGATGAATTCCAAGCCCACCATGGACAGTAACAGGAGCTCTTGGTATACAATGACTGGCTCTGTTTTCACTAGGCTGTACCAAGCTTGGAAGTCTTCAGTACTAGTACTTTGGGGGAGCTAAAACAGGTAGGAACTGAGGGACTTAGTGCCAACATACCTTGAGGAAAGTACTTTCATACAAGAGAATGAATGAGGGTTTTGGAATTGGAGTTTCAAGAGAGATTTTGATCCCGTGTCTGACATGGGTAGATGGGTGAGTAAATGAATAGGGAAATGGGTGGATGGGTAGGACGGGAGATAGGGGGAGGTGAGGCTGGGCAGAAGGCTGGATGGGAGGAGCAGGCAATGAAAAGAATGAATGGTTGGGTGGGTCAATGAGTGGGTGGGATAGCTTACTAGAGGAACAATGAGTAACTATATAGATGAACAAATAAATAACAGCAACTCTTTTAGTTTTGCTTTGATCACAGAGAGCCATGTTCTTAAGGTGGGAAGGAACCTCCGGAGATCTCAGCAGGCCACATTCCCTTCTTGCTGCATTTCATGGACCGTGAGGGCAGAAGTGCATCCCAAAATCAGACCACAGGAGGATGCCCAGGACATCACAAGAGTCTACTGCACAAAATTTGTATATGTCATATATCTTTTAAAAAGACACAAAGATACTTCCTTCAAGTCAGATATGTAAATGAGAACTGCAAATGAACTATCAAACCGATACATATGACAGCACTCAGAAATCTAATATCATCGCTGAAAAAGCTTTGACCTGTACCGAATCCAGGATAGCTGCATTTGTTAAAATTAGCAGAACACCAGAGATTAAAGCAACAGATGTCTTTTCCAATTGGAAAGCAGTTTGATTGACACCCAAGTTTCTCTCTTAACCTCCACTATTTGCCCTTGAAGGTAGCAGCTACTTCTAACTTGTTTGCAGTGTTTCAATTTGCTTGTACTTTCTTCAGTTAGCAATGTTGCAAGGTCTTTTCAATTTGGTAGCTGGGCTTTTGATTCCTCTTTGCCTAAGTTTCCTCTCACATCTATTTGACCCCTGCCCTGACATTTCGTCATCCTCCATCTGCTCCATTGGGGTTCCCTCCTTTGTGCTCCACTGTACCCCAAATGGACCTCCATTACCTCACACCCATCAGAATCTATATGTAATTGTTTGTTTATTTACATATTTGTCCTCTAATTTATCGTAAGTCTCCTCAGGGCAGGGATCATGTCTTATTCTTGACCCAGTACCTAATACATGAAGGATCTCAAAAATGTTTTAGGTATAAAGGAATAAGCTTGAACTTATAAGACCAAATTTTATTAAAACAAGGCTTTAGAAACTTCTCTGTATGTATATTTTATTGAACAAAATGTTTTAAATGTGTTTAAATAGAACCCAGCATTATTTTAAAGATAACCATAAGACAATTTTCCCACACACTTAAATCAGTTCTCCTACTGTCAATAATTTTCACAATCAAGTAATCTAGGGAAAACACTTATTAAGTACTAGATTAGGGTGCTGTGAGATTGTTGGTGGTCACTTTCCAGAGGGCTTTAAAAATGGACTAGGGTAAAAGTATGTGGTTCAGTAGCTTTCCCAATGTTTGCTGAGAGGGCTGTATATGCAAACACAGAAGGAGCCAAGAAACCAAAGAACAAAGCAGGTGAATGCAGTTTGTCCATAGAGGGTGATTTATTGGGGAACTTAGGGACAGAAGCACAGTCTTAGGTGACCATAAGAGAGGGCGATCTCTGCATTGTGATGTTCCAGGCCTGGGGTTTATATACCACAGGGAAAGGGTATGCGAGCTTTGGAAGAAATATGTAGGACAATTGAAGTTGACCTCTTAGGAAAGGCAAGAGGACTAGTGTATTATAGCCTAAGGGTAGAATTTATGGTAAGTACAGTTTACATAACATCAAGGTTGTCTTGGCCTAAGGGCAGGATTTACAGTAAGTATGGCTCCTACACAAGATATAAAAAAATAAAGTAGAATTCTTAGAGGTGTTACTGGAACTGGGGGTGAACCAGAAGTCAACACAGCAGATTATCGTCTAAAATGGTTACTTTAGCTCCATACCCAATTATAAAAAATAACCAGCTGAAAACATGTTAAGGAAGTATATATTCTATTTACAATAGCAGCAAACACACACTCATGCACACATGCATATACACCCGTGCACACATTTAGGAAAAAACTTAAGAAGAAGAGAATTTAGGCTGGGCACAGTGACCCGCGCCTGTAATCCCAGCACTTTGGGAGGCCGAGGCAGGTAGATCACCTGAGTTCGGCAGTTTGAGACTAGCCTGACCAACGTGGAGAAACCCCGTCTCTACTAAAAATACAAAATTAGCCAGGCATGGTAGCGCATGCCTATAATCCCAGCTACTCAGGAAGCTGAGGCAGGAGAATCGCTTGAACCCGGGAGGCGGAGGTTGAAGTGAGGCAAGGTCATGCCATTGCACTCCAGCCTGGGCAACAAGAGTGAAACTCTGTCTCAGAAAAAAAAAAAAAAAAAGGTAAAAGAAAGAAAAAGAAACTTTAGATCTACAGCATAAAATTTTACTGACACATCCTGGGTGGAATAGAACCTAAAGGTCAAAGAACTGCACACATGCACACACCCACAAACACATAAGCCCCTAGATACATGTGAAACCATTTTCAATAATCACATCATTGTTGGTAGTGTTATTATTGTCATTCTGAGACTTTCCCACATATATTATGAAATAAACAAGTAATCAGGGCCTTAGAAACAAAAATGTTTAAAGTGGGAAAAAGGAGATACAGATAGGAAATCAATAAAATAAAATTAAATTAAAACTTTTTTTTTTTTGAGATAGGGTCTGGCTCTGTCACCCAGGCCGCAGTGCAGTGGCATGATCATAGCTCACTGCAGCCTCAACCTCCTGGGTTAGCTTCAGCCTCCCTGGTAGCAAGGACTACAGGTGTGAACCACCACACCTGGCTAATTTTTAATTTTTTTGTAAGAATGGGGTCTTGCTGTGTTTCCCAGGCTGAGTTCACTCTTGGCCTCAAGCAATCCTCCTGCCTCAGCCTTTCAAAGTATTGGAATTACAAGTGTAAGCTACCTTGCCCAGTCTAAAATTCTTTTATACCTCAATTTGAATAAAAGTATCAATATGAACTCATGATGTAATTTATCTTTAAAAAACAGCTATTTTCTAGGTCTTCATAAAAAAGCCTAGAAACAAAAGAAGACATTCATACAGCCAGCAAACATTGAAAAAAAAGCTCATCATCACTGATCATTAGAGAAATGTAAATCAAAACCACAGTGAGACACCATCTCAAGCCAGTCAGAATGGTGATTATTAAAAAGTCAGAAACAACAGATGCTGGTGAGGTTGTGGAGAAAAAGGAATGCTTTTACACTGTTGGTGGGACTGTAAATTAGTTCAACCATTGTGGAAGACAGCGTGGTGATTCCTTAAAGATCTAGAAGCAGAAATACCATTTGACCCAGCAATCCCATTAATGGGTATATACCTAAAGGAATATAAGTCATTTTATTATAAAGATATGTACATGCATATGTTCATTGCAGCACTATGCACAATAGCAAAGACATGGAATCAACCCAAATGCCCATCAATGATAGATTGGATAAAGAAAATGTGGTACATATACACCACAAAATACTATGCAGCCATAAAAGGGAATGAGATCAAGTCCTTTGCAGGGACATGGATGGAGCTGGAAGCCGTTATCCTCAGCAAACTAACGCAGGAACAGAAAACCAAACACCACATGTTCTCACTTATAAATGGGAACCGAATGATGAAAACACATGGACACATGGGGTAAACAACACACACTGGGGCCTGTTGAGGGGAGTGGAGAAGAGGGAGAACATCAGGAAGAATAGCTAACGAATGCTGGGCTTAATACCTAGGTGATGGGTTGATCTGTGCAGCAAATCACCATGGCACATGTTTACCTGTGTAACAAACCTGCAAATCCTGCACATGTAGCCTGGAACTTAAAAGCTGAAAAAAAGCCTGGAGACAATGAATGACCTAGCAGCAATGAACACCTTCAGTGTATAAATTGGGGGTCTCTAAATACCATTTCCTACTAAAAAGAAACAGAGTTTCTTGGGGCAATGGCTGAATCCAGATCTAGAGCAGGAAACACACAAGATGATCCTCAAATATCTTGTGAGAGCAAGGAAATAAAAAGCAAGAAACCTGTTAAAGATTACTGCAACCACGTCAAAAGGACTCAGGAGCCAACACTGAAGGGTTTCTCTAACCAAAAATTAGTCAATTTGAACATCAAAAAGAATAATAACTGCAATGGATTGAAACATATGAAATATTATGTCATTTATATATAAATAATTATCTAAATTTACAATGATATCCTCCTCTAATAAAAAACCTCATTGGTCATCTTTGGAGGATGTAAGGAAAATAAACCGTAATTTTTAAGGCAGGTAATCAACAAAACACAATCAAGCATTTGTTTTGCTTTTCCAATATGAACCGTACCACCAGCTAACCAAATAGTTGATGAGCAGAAGTTTCTCTTGATAGAAGTGTTTTAGCTATTAAATGAAGATGGGGTTGGAGACAGTGGCTCACACCTGTCATCCCAGCACTTTGGAAGGCTGAGGAGGGCAGATCACCTGAGGTCAGGAGTTTGAGATCAGCCTGGACAACATGGCAAAAACCTGTCTCTACTAAAAATACAAAAATTAGCCAGGCACGGTGGTGCACACTTGTAATCTCAGCTATTTGGGAGGCTAAACAGGAGAATCACTTGAACCTGGGAGGTGGAGGTTGCAGTGAGCCAAGATCACGTCACTGCACTCAGCCTGGGTGATAGAGCGAGACTCCATCTCAAAAAAGAAAAATAAAAAGATGGAATGGAATTAGGAAGTCATTATTTTGCAACCTCTAGTGAAATGATGGTCAGCAGTCTTTCCAGTGACTGATAACATCACAAAAAGAGAAAATCAGACAGTATCTTCCTTCTGATAGAAATTCATGGCACTTGCTATGAAGTGTTCTTGCCAAAAACATTGAACCTGAATCGAATCAATCTTCTAGACATAACTACAAATTCATAGGAAATATAAGTGACAGAAGAACAGGTTACAGAGCATCATAAGTAATATCAGCAAAACCCAAACTGTTGGAAACCCTATAGATCAAATAACTCAGTTTCTTAAATAAGCAAAGAAAAAACAATGTGTGTGTGTATGTGTGTGTATGAAACCACAGATTTAAAAAATCTAAAAGACATATCAACGTATTGCAACATATAAATCCTTATTTGAATCCTGATTTTTAAAAACTGTAAAACTTTTATGAGACAGAACTACAAAACAATGTAAGTACTAGAAGAAAATTTGGGTTAAATATGAACACTGACCAGATATTTTGTGATATTAGTAGGATTTAGCATTAATTTTTTTTCAGTGTGATAATGGCATTGTGGGAATGTTATAAAAAAGAATGCTTATCTTTCAGAGACATACACTGAAATATTTATGGATGAAATACTTCTGAGATCGATATAAAATGATTCAGGTGTAGGGAATAGATATGGATAGAAATAAAGCAAGATTCACATGTGTTGGTAATTTTTGAGGCTGAGCAACAGAGGTACATTATACCGTATACTTTCTAATGTTACACATATTTGAAATTTTCATAGCAAAATGTTATATAAACAATAACAAATGCCTTCTTTCAGAGTACAGAATTTGTATAACTGGAATCACATCAAGAAATTTAGCTGCCAAGAGTTCTGAGAAATATAGTTTCAAGCTTTCCAGTCTCTGCAGCAGTTTAGAATCAGGCTTGAAATATATGTGAGTGAGATAATCAATAGTGTCTGCTCCCAAATTTATAACTCAAACCCTGACCTCTCTCTTGAAGGACCATTACAAATATCCAACTGCCTCCTTGAAATCTTGACTTGGATGTCTCCCAGGGTCCCCAAACTCAAAGTGCCAAAAGCAAAACTAATACTATATTCTCACCAAACCTGCTCAGCTACTAACTAGCTGTGTGTCCTCAGAGAAGCCTCTAAGGTTCTCTAGTCTCCAGTTTGCGAACTGAGGGAATGACTAAATTATCTCTAGCATATTCCTAGCTCAAGGAATATAAAGGACTCAAATTTACCCCTTTTGTCAGTACTAATTTCATTATATATTGTTTTTTACAGCAAGCCTCCTTAAAGAGAATTAGCCCATAATCTTTTTAGAAGCAGCAATGCTTCATGATAAATCTTAGTATCCGTTTAGCCATCAGTGATCATTTATTCAATATTGGCAGAAAGTTCAAATAGCCTATAATTGCTTTCAGTATGGACTCATGCATCCTAGAACCAACCAGCCAAGTAACTAACTGACTGCCTACCTGTAGCAGCAGCTGTCTGCTGTTGTGAAGACAATTTAGATGGCTGGCTTTTTCAGACACTGGCTTTTGTATCTGTTTTAGAAATGTGACAGGTGTGATTTTTTTCCAAGGCAAGAGGAAGAGAAGGTTTGACCTCTAGTGCCCATTGAAACATCTACAGAGGGGTAACTTGTCATTTTTATTGCACAAGTGAGGGTGCTCCTACGGTGAAGAAAAAGAGGTGATAAATAACATTCTTGGAGGCCATTAAATGGCACTTAGCAGGCGAGAGCCTGAATGACAGCTGCACACTGCTCAGGGATCACAACAACAATATGTTCCCCCTTCCCACAGCACTCTGCAGTTGCAAAGCACTGGCACATCGATCGTGGTGTTGGACTGCATTTTCTCTCTCTGCTCAGATAGCTTACCGAATTTAGGGGGTAAAAAAAAAAAACCAAGTAAGCTTAACACAAATGGGAATAAAAGATGATTGGGAAAGGTGAGGAAAGGTGGGCCAGCCTCTTTTGGCCAGTTCAGAACTTAACCCAGGTATAAAGATAATGTCTGTTAAATCCAGTTTATCTTTTCTCAGAGAGACAGTTTACGTCTGATGTTGGCTTGGCGATCCTGTCCTTTGAGATTCTAAAGAAGTGGAACTTGAACTTCCATTAAGTGTAGAGTTAGAAGCCCAGTGCCATACATCTTGCCGGTTCTCAGGGGGCTGGCTTCTGTTTCTCCCAGTCTCCTTGATATGGTTTGGATTTGTGTCCCCACTGAAATTGCATGTCGAATTGTAATCCCCAATGTTGGAAGATTGGTTGTTCTCATGATAGTGAGTGAGTTCTCATGAGATCTGGATGTTTAAAAGTGTGTAGCCCCTCCCACTTTGTTCTCTTTTCCTGCTCTGGCTATGAAAGACACACTGACTTCCCCTTTGCCTTCTGCCACGATTGAAAGTTTCCTGAGGCCTTGCCAGCCATGCTTCCAGTACAGCCTGCAGAATCAGAACTGTGAGCCAATTAAATCTCTTTTCTTTGTACATTACCCAGTTTCAGGTATGTCTTTTTTTCTTTTTTCTTTTTTCTTTTTTTGAGACAGAGTTTTGCTCTGTCACCCAGGCTGGAGTGCAGTGGCTCACTGCAACCTCTTGCCTCCCAGGTTCAAGTGATTCTCCTGTCTCAGCCTCCCGAGTAGCTGAGATTACAGACATCCACCACCACATCCAGCTAACTTTTTTTGTATTTTTAGTAGAAAGGGTGTTTCACCATGTTGGCCAGGCTGGTCTCGAACTCCTCATCTCAGGTGATCCACCCACCTCAGCCTCCCAAAGTACTGGGTTTACAGGTGTGAGCCACCACACCCGGCCTAAGCACCTAAGTTCTTAAAGCTCATTCAAAAAAGTCTTAGCCATCTTCTGTAGTGTTTTATACATTCATTTGCTATGTCATTTACTTCCCATATCTACAGGCCAAGGTGGGTACCGGTTTCAATAGTCATCAGATGAGGAATCTCTTAGGTAACTTTCAGGGGCTGCAAGCAGACTGTGGCAGCCGCTGATGTGATTCATGCTTGGCTGACCGCACACCTGGGCTCTTTTCCCTGCATCATGCTGTGTCCCCTAAACATCTCAGCATTTCATGACATACAAATTATCACCTGAGCCTACCCAACAGCCCCATGGAGGACATGGGAGACTAATATAATCATTACTAAGTTAATAAATTCATCAATCTTGTAGATTAAGAACTGAAATCCGCTGGGCATGGTGGCTCACGCCTGTAATCTCAGCACTTTGGGAGGCCGAGGTGGGCAGATCACAAGGTCAGGAGTTCAAGACCAGCCTGGCCAACATGGTGAAAACCCATCTCTACTAAAAATACAAAAATTAGCTGGCATTGGTGGCGTGTGCCTGTAGTCCCAGGTACTCAGGTTGCTGAGGCAGGAGAATTGCTTGAACTGAGACCTGGGAGGCGGAGGTTGCAGTGAGCCAAGATCGCACCACTGTACCCCAGCCTGGGCTACAGAGCAAGACTCCATCTCAAAAAAAAAAAAACAAAAACAAACAAACAAACAAAAAACAAAAAACCCTGAAATTCTACAGAAGTGAAGGCTCATGATCAACCTGATACTGAATGGCCCTATTCTCTCTCTCACCAAAGAAATAAATAAACAAGCAAAAAGGACACATCTCTAGGACACAGCCTATCCATAAGACATTCTTAGGTATCACTAGCTTTGTGTGAATTGTCCTTTTAATTTTCAGAGCACTTAGAATCCTAAAAGATCTCGGGGAAAATGGGAGTCTGATCCCTAAATCCTCCTTGGAAACTCTGGCTTACCAGTAAAAGCCCCAGGGGGTTGCATAATTGCATAAAAGCCTGTTGCGTTTCTCGGAAGAAATGCCCTTTCTCCAAGGCACTTCGGGATTTTCAGTTGAGTCGTGCTGTAGAGAACTGAAGCCTCTTCAAAGTCAATGTCAAAGGTTGCTTCCACCTTGAATGGACAAGGACCTCACCCTAAGTCAGTAGTTCCCAACAGTTGATTTGCACAGTCCCCTCCCCACTAGCCAGGGAGAATTTGGCAATGTCGGAGACATTTTTAGTTGAGGCCAGGGATACTGCTGAACAACTTAACAATGCACAGGACAGCTCATGCAGCAAAGAATTATTTGGCCCAAAACGTCAGTAGTGTCCAGGGTGAGAAGCCTGCCCTAAGCCTAAGATAGAGCCTAGGCTCTGTTCTGCTCCTCAGCTCACTGTCAGCACAAAGGGAGTCCCCTCACATGTCCTTATTAGAAGAGGAAGAGACAGCAGGTCTCTCTCTCTCTCTCTCTCCCTGTGTGCACACAGGAAAGGCCATATGAGGACAAGGCCATAAGCCTACAAGTCAGGAAGAGAGAAGAACCCTTACCAGAAATCAGCCCTGCCAGTACCTTGAGCTTGGACTTTCAGGCTCCAGAACTGTGAGAAATAAATATCTGTTGTTTAAGCTATCCACTCTGTGGCATTCTGTTATCATAGCCCAAGCAGATCTATACAGATACTAACACCTGGCTCTCTTCACCAGGCTCTCCAACCTGGCCCATCAGCCTTGGAATACCCAGGCCACCAATGGCCAACTATAATGACATAATGTTGCCCAGCCTAGAGTGCAGTGGCACGATCTTGGCTTACTGCAACCTTTGCCTCCCAGGTTCAAGTAATTCTCCTGCCTCAGCCTCCCAAGCAGCTGGGATTACAGGCCACCATGCCCAGCTAATTTTTGTATTTTTATTAGAGAAGGGGTTTTGCCATGTTGATCAGGCTGGTCTCGAACTCCTGACCTCATGTGATCCACCTGCCTCAACCTCCCAAAGTGCTGGGATTACAGGCATGAGTCACCGCAGCTGACTTTTTGTTTTGTTTTGTTTTTCAGGCCTCAACCCACCTTACCTCTCTGTACTATCTACCACTAGTCAATACTCTCCCTCTCTTAAAAGGCTCTCCTCCTTTGCTTTCTAAAATACCACCTTCTCCTGCATTTCCTGTTACCTCTCTGAGGGATCTCAGGCGCTCTCTCTTTTATGGGCTAGCAATCCCCAGGGCTCTTCATTTTGTTTTGTTTTGTTTTGTTTTGATATGTCCTTCTCTTCTCCCTCTGCAAATTCTCTCTGAGAAAGCTGCCAAGAGACCTCTTTCCATAAGAATCTTGGACAGTGTCCTCCATACCGATGAATGGAAGTATCCAGCACAGAATAAGCTTGTACTAAATATTTACTGAGTGAATGAGTAAATGAACAAATTAACAAAGGATCCCCTATGAGATGATAATTCCTAAACCAGAATCTCTGATCTAGACATCTTTTTTGAGTTTCAGACTCAGAAAAGATGCTCACAAGAATGCCACGTAACAAACTACCCCTTAAATTCAATGACTTACAATAAGACACACATATTCTCCTTTAGGTTAACAGTGGTCGAGCTGATCTAGGCTGGGCATGGCTAAGGGGATCTGCCCTAGCTTCAGATTGTGTGGGCTCGGCTTCAGGCTGTGAGCTGGATTCAGATCCGGCTTCATTAGGGCCAGGCTACAGAGCAGTGGCCACCAACACACGATATTGTCATGGCAATCACTAAACCACACAAGTACACTTAAGGCCTCTGCCTGTGTTTGCATCACATTCGATCGACCAAAGCAAGTTGCAAAAAGAAGCCCATTATCAATAGGATGAGGAAGTAATCTCTGCTCATGGAGTTGGATAGAGCGACAGGAGTGAGTGACTATTTGGTGAACAATAATGCAAGCATCCAAACTAGCACAACTATACATCAAAATGCCTATAAGACACCTCTTTTTTGAATGTCTCACAAGCTGTCTAAACCCTCCAAGTTGTTTGCTAAGAGCTTGGTACTCTGCCAACTCCTTTCTGTAGAGCTGGGTCTTCTCATCCATATCCTACCAGCAGGGGATGCTGCTGAATTTGGACAGAACACCTACTTCCAACTGCCAACTGCCCTGACTTTTGAATCACTGCACCTTCCGGATCTCCTCATTGCCCTGGCCTACACAGCTGAACAGCTCTGCTACTACACACATGTTCCTGACTCACTCCTGTGTTTTCTATGGTTTTTGGACACTGCATCCCTGGCTGCTGTCAATGGGATGTTCATTTCTTAGTGCCCATTTTGTTCAGTGCTAGTTCTTTCTTTGCCTGTCAACCCCAGCCAGCAAGGTCCGATCATGCCTTGTGCTTCAGCTTGCCTAAGTCACAATGAGGAGACTGGATACTGGACAGTCCTTTTGAGCACTGGCCTCCAACACTGAAAATGAGATTCTCTAAATTGGGTCTTCCCTGGGACAACACCTCATAGGCTCAGCAGTGAGCCACCTCCCATAGAATTGACATTAGAATCCACCAAAGGGGAGAGAGATCAGCAAATGAGCTACTGATTAGGTCTGCTTTCCTGGCCTAGCTTTCAGAGGGCACACACACACAAACACACACACACACA
The DNA here is from genome assembly GCF_000001405.40 of Homo sapiens. Classification (NCBI taxonomy): domain Eukaryota; kingdom Metazoa; phylum Chordata; class Mammalia; order Primates; family Hominidae; genus Homo; species Homo sapiens. The sequence goes on from NC_000004.12 coordinate 17,763,421, forward strand.
GGCACATGCACCTGTACTCAGTTCTAATCTTCTCCCTCATATTTATTTAGGCTGTTACCAGATAATTTGATAGGCTTCCTTGGGACAAATAGGCCCCGCTCCAGGGGTCTAGGACAGGAATAGTAAGACTGGACGGACACACTTTGGCAGCGTGAAGAGGCTTTGCAAGATGAATGTCACCACTGTTGCTGGCTCTTGTCTGCTGTATTAATTTCTCCCTTAAAAGAAAGCTGACCCATTTTTTCCAGCCCACAGCCCTAATGGACTCTTATTCAGAGGCCATCCTTCTCCCACATAAAGAGCTGTATTGTATTTAATGATAAGCCTTTTAATGGAATTTGCTATTTCTAGGTCTCTGGGAAAATGTCATTAATGAGCTAGCAAGTGCAAGGAACAGCAGATGTTTGAGGGGCATGCTTTTTCAAGGGCAGACCACCCTGGCAGGAAAGTGAACGAAAACAAGGCACACCTACTTTTTTTTTGTTACTTTTTTGGATCTAGCTTGGCCTTACTAAAAATACCATCTAGACAAACGTTGTCTTCAAAATGTGAAGATATCACTTTTCATGCTCTCCACCCGCCCCCAACACCTACCTACATGTTTTTTACTCTGTCATCACCCACAAATATTTCTGTCATCCTAATTATAACAAAATCAGCAGCATTCAAAACTAGACCAAGACCCATGGGTAAACTAAACAGGCTAACATCTGTCACTCGTTTTCAAATCTGTATTGGGTCAATGCCAAGAGACTGAACACACCAAGGAAAACGGAAGAGGGGAGAGATTAATCTTCCTTTTACTGCCTGGAACAATTCAGCTCTGGCCCCAAACCTGCATATTTGCTCATTAAAACAGAAGGTTGTGTTTAACCAAAGGTGCTCTCCTTCACAAAGCAGTTTATCGATCACCTCTTTGCACTCCACAAGACCCCTCCAAATTGCACCTCTAATCTGGAAGGGCTCATCGAAGCACATGCATACATCCCTTAAGGGGGTTCTCATATGTTTTGCATCTCTTGGTATTTCCACTGGCACCCAGAGAGGCCTCAGTATGCCTTATTGGTAGGAGTTTTGCTGGCACACCCACCCTTTAATCTGTCTCTTACTAGCACCCACTGTTTCCTGGCATTAATGGAGGTTCTAAAGATGTAAAAAACATAAGACAAAGTTCTTGTCCTCAAAAGTTTAACAGCGAAAAGTCCAACTCATTTTATTGAATATTGTTGAGAGCAGGGCAGTATGCTAGAAGCTGTTGGGAGTTCAAAGATGAGAAAAGCAAAGTAAAGATCCTTGATCATCCTAAAGATTTGTTGTAGTCTGCAGCATCACCTGGGAGCTTGCATTAAAATGCAAATTCTCGGCCAGGCGCGGTGGCTCACGCCTGTAATCTCAGCGCTTTGGGAGGCCAAGGCAGGAGGATCACTTGAGTCCAGGAGATCGAGACCAGGCTGGACAACATAGCAAGAGCTTGTCTCTACAAAAAATAAACAAAATTAGCTGGGTGTGGTTGCACACATCTGTAATCCCAGCTACTCAGGAGGCTAAGGTGGGAGGATCACTTGAGCCCAGGAGGTCAAGCCTGCAGTGAGCTATAATCATACCACTGCACTCCTGGGCAACAGAGCAAGACCCTGTCTCAAAAAAAGAAAAAAAGAAAGTAATTCTGCCATTGTCCTTGAAACTACGAGTGTTGCTCCCATGGAGTTCTAGTATTTGGATGGTGGGAGGAGAAAGTGTAATAAATGGCTTTTAAAATGGCAAGCTTTGTAGTTACCGAGTCAGGACCTCAGCACATCTTGTCTATCAGATTGTCTTTTTAATCACTACATATTTCTTTTTCTAGGCTGGTCTCTTCAAATCTTCCTAATATTCTTTCATGGGCATTACCTGTAACAAAGGTGAATTCCGCTCACAGGAATCTACCTCAAGGAAACGTCTAGCAAATAGAATCAAACGAGGGGCCACTACAATATTGATTATAATATTGATTATATTAATATTGATTATAATATATAATGACAAACTGGGATCAACAAAGGTGGCTCACAATGAGGGATTATCTCAACCTAACTTTCACGATCCCTCGTATTGACAATATTTCACAGTTCTTAGCAGCATATCAAAATTATAATCCAGTTTTTGTATAAAAAACAGTAGAAGCTCTTTGGCCAGTCTGCCTTCAACCAACATGTGGATAAACTTTTCACCCTCTCTCTGCTGACACTGCCACCTGTTTATTCTGGTTGTATTTGTTCTTGAAATTATGTAATTTAACACTGTGGTAATGCGTCCGGAAATGGTGGGTTCTTGGTCTCACTGACTTGAAGAATAAAGCCACGGACCCTCCTGATGAGTGTTACAGTACTTAAAGGTGGTGTGTCCAGAGTTTGTTCCTTCTGATATTCAGATGTGTTCTGAGTTTCTTCCTTCTGGAGAGTTCGGGGTCTCCCTGGTTTCAGAAGTGAAGCTGCAGACCTTCGCGGTGGTGAGTGTTACAGCTCTTAAAGCAGCACATCTAGAATTACTCCTTCCTTCTGTCCGGGGTTATTCATTCCCCCCGGCAGGTTCATGATCTAACTGGCTTCAACAGTGAAGCTGCAGACCTTCCCCGTGAGTGTTACAGCTCATAAAGGAAGTGCAGGCCCAAAGAGTAAGCCACAGGAAGATTTATTACAAAGAGCAAGATTGGGAAGGTAACCTAACCAGGTTGCCATTGCTGGGTCAGGCAGCCTGCTTTTATTCCCTTATCTGGCCACACCCACATCCTGCTGATTGGTCCATTTTACAGAGAGCTGATTGGTCTGTTTCACAGAGAGCTGATTGGTCCGTTTTGACAGGGTGCTGATTGGTGCGTTTACAATCCCTGAGCTAGACACAAAAGTTGTTCAAGTCCTCACTGGATTAGCTACACACAGAGCACTGATTGGTGCATTTACAAACCTTGAGCTAGACCACAGGGTGCTGATTGGTGTATTTATAATCCCTTAGCTAGACATAAAGGTTCTCCAAGTCCCCACTAGATAAGCTAGATACAGAGTGCTGATTGGTGCATTTACAAACCTTGAGCTAGACGCAGAATGCTGATTGGTGTATTTACAAACCTTGAGCTAGACACAGAGTGCTGATTGGTGTATTTACAATCCCTTAGCTAGACATAAAGGTTCTCCAAGTCCCCACCAGATTAGCTAGATACAGAGTGCTGATTGGTGTGTTTACAAACCTTGAGCTAGACACAGAGTGCTGATTAGTGTATTTACAATCCCTTCGCTAGACATAAAGATTCTCCAAGTCCCTACTAGACTCAGGAGCCCAGCTGGTTTCACCTAGAGGATCCCGCACCGGGGCAGCAGGCGGAGGTGCCTGCCAGTCCCGCGCAGAGCACCCGCACTCCTCAGCCCCTGGGCGGTCAATGGGACCAGGCGCCACAGAGCAGGGGGCAGCGCTCATTGGGGAGGCTCCGGCCGCACAGGAGCCTATGGTGCAGGGGAGGCTCAGGCATGGTGGGCAGCAGGTCCCGAGCCCTGCCCCGCGGGGAGGCACCTGAGGCCCAGCGAGAATTCCAGCGCAGCGCCAGCGGGCCAGCACTGCTGGGGGATCTGGTGCACCCTCTGCAGCTGCTGGCCCGGGTGTTAAGCCCCTCACTGCCTGGGGCCAGCAGCGCCAGCCGGCCCCTCCGAGTGCGGGGCCGCCGAGCCAACGCCCACCCGGAACTCGCGCTGGCCCGCGAGGGCTGCAGGCAGCCCAGGTTCCCGCCCGTGCCTCTCCCTGCACACCTCGTGGCAAGCAGAGGGAGCCGGCTCCAGCCTGGGCCAGCCCAGAGAGGGGCTCCTGCAGTGCAGCGGTGGGCTGAAGGGCTCCTCAAGCGTGGCCAGAGTGGGCTCCGAGGCTGACAAAGCCCCGAGCCAGCTAGGGCTGCCAGGGCTGCCAGCATGCTGTCACCTCTCAGTAAGTCAATTATAAATGGACATGAAAAGAAAGTTTTGGTTCCTATGAAAACAGGAAAAACTCAATAAAGGCAAATTGCTAAAGGAAGAAAACCTGGTATCAAATTACATGTGACAGAGAAGTGAAAAAGACTGGGAAACAAGTTTTAAAGGTTTAGGAGAATTCTGAACTAAATTGTTTTACGTGTGTTTTAGATTTTCATTCTTCACTTAAGCCAAAATGGGAGAAAGTACAAATGCATTATGGGCATGGTGACGTTACACTTGGATCAGGCTGGAACAGTCTTTGTTTACATCTGCTGTTTCAGCGCTCTGTCTGGATTAGTGCCCCCTCCCCGCCCCCCACCCCCCGCCAGCCCCCTTTGGGTCTCAGAAGAGTCCCAGTCTGGATGAGAAATTAAAAGATCACCCTAAATATGGATGTACTTTAAACAAGACTAATAAGGTAGGGTGCCAATCAACAAGCCATTCCCAAAGAACTGAAACTGAGTCTTCAATTAAAAGATTAGTGATCCAGTGTTTATTTGCATGCTTTAATTTAGGGGTTTCAAACTTTTTCTGTAAAGGTAGTAGTTCTAGGCTTCATTCAATCTCTGTCATAACTATTCAGATTTGCTATTTTAACACAAAGGCTACTCTAGAAAACCTATAAATGAATGGGCATGGCTGTGTTCCAATAAAACTTTATTCATGGATACTAAATTAGAATTACATATAATTTTCCAACTGTCACAGAAGTTCTTTTGATTTTGTTCAAGTATTTACAGTTTCTTTTTCTTTTTTTCTGTTTTCAAATTATTTCTTCAAAGACATCAAGCAATTAAAAATGTAAAGATCATCTTTGACTTGGAACTCATATAAAAATGGGCAGTGGACCAGATTTGGCCTGTGGGCCATAGTTTTCTGAACCCCACCCCCCCTTTTATTTGAGACGAAGTCTCTTGTCGCCCAGACTGGGGTGCAGTGTTGCGATTTCAGCTCACTGCAACCTCTGCCTCCCAAGTTCAAGCAATTCTCCTGCTTCAGCCTCCAGAGTAGCTGGGACTACAGGCACACCCCGCCACGCCCAGCTAATTTTTGTATTTTTAGTAGAGACGGGGTGTCACCATATTGGTCAGGCGCTGGTCTTGAACTCTTAACCTCAGGTTTTACCCGCCTCGGCCTCCCAAAGTGCTGGGATTACAGGCATGAGCCACCATGCCAGCCTTCTGACCCCTTTATAAGTTTTAAAATAATATTGTGTATGTGTTAGTTTTTTTCTTTTATGGTTTTCAGTTTTCAATTATCCAAAATGTCCAAATGACGTCGAATAAGAGGATCTCTATTATTATATTTGTTCACATTTTTCCTACTTTTCTTGCCTATGAGGTCCACAAGATAAGGGATTTTATCTGATACATAACAGGTGCTCAGTAAATCAGTAAATGTTTATTTCTTTTTTCTTTTTTTTTTTTGAGATGGAGTTTTGCTCTTGTTGCCCAGGCTAGAGTGCAATGGCATTATCTCAGCTCACTGCAACCTCCGTTCCCGGGTTCAAGCGATTCTCCTGCCTCAGCCTCCCGAATAGCTGAGATTACAGGCATGCGCCACCACGTCTGGCTAATTTTCTGTTTTTAGTAGAGACGGGGTTTCTCCATGTTGGTCAGGCTGGTCTTGAACTCCCAACCTCAGGTGATCCACCCGCCTTGGCCTCCCAAAGTGCTGAGATTACAGGCATGAGCCACCATGCCTGGCCAGTAAATGTTTCTTAAATGAATGAAGTTAAATTATGCAATCTCCATACAACAGAATACTAACACAACCATTAAAAATTATGTTGAAGAGTTCAAGATTTATTGTGAAGGGGGAAAACAAAACAGGTTACACAATAGTTACATATAATATAACTATTTTTAAAAATATGTGTCTCCCTTTGCAGGGGAAATCATCTAGTAGGGTTTGCATAAATGTTAATAATTATATCACTATACTTATAGATTTAGGTTTCTTTAAAAACTTTTTCTTTTTGCTTATCTGTATTTTTGAGTTTTTTCAAAAATGGGTGTGTTTTCTGTCTGTGATTGATTCTCATTATTGTTTTTATTTTACAACTCTGGTTCCCTGAAGGAATTTGGATCTGATCAAATGGAGGCACCACGTCTGAATAGATCCCGTCATTGTGGTCAGGGGCTGGGAGTGACTAAGTAAGATATTAGCTTGGGAGGGAGTGGGTAAAGACTACTTGTCAGCGCTGGCCAGTTTCCTAGTGCACTTAAAACACTTGAAATGAGATGCTAGACCTTTTGAGTTCAAGGCCAGAACCTTGAATGAGGCCTCCCCACTCCCCGATAAGATGACCGTAGTTCCTGGTGAAATTTGATATATTACTTTAAGAGCAATGGGAGGTCTAAGAAGAATTTGGTTCACTTAGTCTATCAACAAATACTTGATGGGTGCCCACCACTTGCCAGGCACTGTTCTAGGCACTGGGGATATAGGAGAGGACAGAAATAGACAGAAATCCCTACCCTTAGGCAATAAACCAATAAAGGAAAAAAGGCAGATGGAGCTGAGATAGCCTCAGAGTGGGGCAGGGCAGCCGCATTAGTCTGAAGAGACATCTGAGCCAAGTTGGCTGAGTCTGGATCAGGCAGAGGAAACCAAGAGGACAAAGGCCCGCAGTGGCACAAGCTTGGCACAGGAGAAGATCTGAGAGAAGGGTGGTGTGGCAGAGGAAATGAGACTGAGAGGCGGACAGGAGCTACCTCAAGTGACCACAATAAAAAAATTTATTATAAGGTGAATACATTTTCTTCTAAGTGAAATTGGAATTGAAATTTCATCCCAAGGGAAGCCAGTGGTAGGTTTTAAACAGACGAATGACATGTTCTGGTTTATATTTAAAAGATAATTCTTGCCTTTGTGTGAGTGGGCAAGAGTGGGCCACAAGGCCAGTGCGGGCGTCATAGCAGGGGTTGGTGGCCAGAGGTGAAGGTGGCTCCGACTATGGTGGAGGTGGAAATGGAGAATGGAGGTGGACTTACTCATTTTGTTTATGAGGTAAAGTCACCAGGACTTGCCTCAGAACTAGTTGTTGTTGTTGTTGTTGTTGTTGTTGTTGTTGTTGTTTTTTCTGAGATGGAGTCCCACTCTGCCACGCAGGCTGGAGTGCAGTGGCGAAATATTGGCTCACTGCAACCTCCGCCTCCCGGGTTCAAGTGATTCTCCTGCCTCAGTCTCCCGAGTAGCTGAGATTACAGGTGCATACCACCAAACCCAGCTAATTTTTTTGTACTTTTACTAGAGACGGGGTTTCACCATGTTGTCCAGGCTGGTCTTGAACTCCTGACCTCAGGTGATCTGCCTGCCTCGGCCTCCCAAAGTGCTGGGATTACAGGCGTGAGCCACCGCGCCCGGCCAGAACTAGATTTTAACAGGAGACAGATCTGATTCAAGTTTTGTTTGTTTTCATTTTAGCAGCTTTATTGAGATATAATTCTCATACCAGGAGATCCACCCAAAAAGTGTACAATTCAATGGCTTTCAGTATCTTCAGAGTTGCGGAACCATCACCACAACCAACTTTAGAACATTCTCATTACTCCATAAAGAAACCTTGCATCTGTGAGTCACACTCCTCTTTGTCTAAGGAATGAAAGGTTTCTTTTTGTGCTTATCTGTTCCTCCGTTGATGGACATTTAGTTGGTTTCCACTTTTTGGCTATTGTGAATAATGTTTCTATGAACATTCTTGCGTCATTTCTCTTGGGTATATACCTGGGAGTGGAAAGATAAGCGTGTCCAAGCATTTGAGGAACTGACAGACCATTTTCCACAGCAGCTGCATCATTTTATATTCCCACTGGCAGTGTATGGGAATGCTGATTCAGTTTTAAGATCACTCTGGCTGCTGTGTGGAGAAAGGATAGGAGGAAGGCTGGGGCGAGGCAGGGGAGTTTTGGGGGCACTGTGGAAAGTGGAGAGACCAGAATGGTTATGCAGAAGTTCAGGGATCTGAGCAAGGTTCAAGGACATTCAACTTAAGGTGCACTCCCTACCGTTTACAGTATGGTGCAAAGATTCGTGAGCTCCTTACACAATGAATCACATCGCTAAATTAAAAGATTCCAACAGAGAGGGCTTGTTAAAACAGATCTGCCGTTTTCAAGTCTAGAGTCCTAAAGCAAACTGGCATGGAACTGCTTAAACATCTGTCCCCAAACAAGCTCCTGCAAGCAAGAGGATATTTTCAGAAAAGCGAGAGGAGCCAGTGGGTGCCATAAGATTTCCACACCTTTAAGCCATGAAAACACAGGGCTCAAGTGACAGCCTGTTGCTGAGGACTCTCATGGCAACAGGCATCACTCCTCCTGCCCTACAGCACTGCCCTGGCCTCTCAGCCCAGGGAAGAGCTGGCTTGTTTCCAAGTTCGACAACTGGGCAGCAGTCCTTGACTCTCTGAAGTTCCTCCAGTTCAGAAAGGGATGGGAAATGAACATCTGTCAGGCTTCAGATATGCCCCGTGTTGGGTTATAAGTGACTTTTCACATACATCCCTTATATTGGTAAAGCCTCACAACATATCACCAAGGTGGAAAATTTTCCCCCAACTAAAGATGAGGACCGTTGGCCCCTTTGCATGGGGAGGTCAGAAAAGGCCACTTTGAAGAGGTGGTGATTTAGCTGATACCAGCTACACAGGGATCCAGAGCAAGAACATTCCAAGTTTAACCCCAAAATTATTCATTTGCTCTCTAGATGTCTTCATTTTTATTCTTATTTAATTCTAATTTATATTCATTAGTATAAAGAAGGGTGAAAAGTTGCCCTCTAGAAACAAATCAAATTTAAATTCATTTCACGTATAACTTTGAATAGAAATGATAATTATTTTTCCTTATTATTTCTGATTTTAAACTCAGAGACTATTCTCCACTACATCTCCCAATCCTATACCCATCACCTCCCATCCCCCACCCCCAAAACAGAGACAATACTATTGTCTCTATTAATGTGTCTTAATAGATGGGTAAGGTTCTGGGACATGTGGAGACACAGTCCTCATGGTCTGGCTGTGCCACTGTGCAGGAAGCGGTGACTTTTGACCTCTTGAACTTCCCATGGAAGATGTATCTACAGATAAATACCACACTGCCACTCAAAAGTTTCCCACTCTCAGGTTAATATGCTTTCCCAAATAAAGGAATTAGTTTTCACTGTAACTCTGTACCAAATTCCTCAAAGCTAGACTCATCCTAAGATCTGTCTGTTGGATCTTTAGGATGGCCCAATAAATAACATTCCTCTTCCCCACTGATCTAACTGAAATGCAAGACCAAGGTGTGAGTCTGTTTTGAGACCAAACTATCACCGTTTTATCAACTAAAGTTAATACTGGAGACTGTGGCATATATCCACTGGCAAGCTGAATTCCTGATGCTTATCCATCCGGTCACAATGCTAGGCCAGGGCAGTTCTGCCTGCCAGGTGCACCTACCCCTGTAAAATTGATGTGTAGAAGACAATGTGTGCTTCTATAGGCAGATCACTCCAGGAGCAAGAAGGGAGGAAGAGGCAAGAGCTCTATAGGCCCAGTCCCTGCTCCAAACCTCACTAATTAACTATATATTCCCCTTTGCAGTGGAAAAAATAGTAAAAGTAATTGAGAGAGGCTATGGAAACATCAGGATGAACAGGGAAGAGACTTCCCCACCTCCCTCTCTTCAACACACACACATCCAGTGCTGGATTCTGCATGTCCTAGCTCTGTCAATATATATTAATACGATGTTGGACAAGAATACTGACACCCTCCCGGGTCTCAGATTCCCCCCTTCTCAATTAGAGATGGTTCTTCCCTCCCAGCCATGCAGAATTGCTGTGCACACAAAGGATGAGTAAGTATGTCAAAGGCTTTGCAAAGTATGCAAAACTAAAGAATCGTAAGGTGTTCCTAACATGGAGAAACTGCAACCACTTGACTCAGCATTTGCTCTTGCAGGGTCTCCTGACAAACTGGCAGAGATCCAAAACAAGAATGAGTGAGAAGGCCCCATGAGGTTATTCGACTCCTTATACTTGAGCTTGGCAGCTTCTGGCACTAAGACGCCTGCGCATTTCTTCCTGGGTACATTTCCTCTAGTTGGTCCAGATGAGAGGTAGTGCCCTGGTATCTGCTTCTCCTGTGTGTGGTCTGGGTTCTCGAGAGTCAGTCTTCAGTATATTTTCTTTTTTTCTTTTTTCTGTTTGAGACGGAGTTTCACTTTTGTTGCCCAGGCTGGAGTGCAGCGGCACAATCTTGGGTCACTGCAACCTCCGCCTCCCGGGTTCAAACAATTCTCCTGCCTCAGCCTCCTGAGTAGCTGGGATTACAGGCATGCGCCACCACACTTGGCTAATTTTGTATTTTTAGTAGAGATGGGGTTTCTCCATGTTGGTCAGGCTGGTCTTGAACTCCCGACCTCAGGTGATCCGCCTGCCTTGGCCTCCCGAAGTGCTGGGATTACAGGTGTGAGCCACCGCGCCCAGCCAAGCCTTCAGTTTGAGAGATGGTTCTTGCAGAGGAATACATGCTATCCCACTCATTTTCTTGTTTTAATACAAAAGAATCTTCATTAACACTTGTGTTTGGGGTAAGACATTCTATTATTCTTTGAAAATGGGAATTGGAGAATCCCTGGGTAGGAGGGATTCCAACCCTGCTGGGGATGAGGTTGTGGAGAGAGCTGCAAGATGAAAAACCAGGTAAGGCCGAGAGTGGCGGCTCACGCCTGCAACCCTAGCACTCTGGAAGGCTGAGGTGGGAGGATTTCTTGAGCCCAAGGGTACGAGGCCAGCCTGAGCAACATAGTGAGACCTCGTCTCTACCAAAAAAAGCCGGACGTGGCAGTGCACGCCTGTAGTCCCAGCTACTGGGGAGGCTGAGGTGGGAAGATGGTTTGAGCCCAGGAGGCAGAGGTTGCAGTGAGCCCAGATTGTACCACTGCACTGCATCCTGGGCAACAGAGCCAGACCCTGTCTCAAAGACAAACAAACAAACAAACAAACAAACAAAATCCAGCTGGAGAGTGCTGGGAGGGTACAAAAACTCAGAGAGGTGGACACGGGCCCAGAGGCAGGGCAGGGCTGGGGAAACCTGCCTGATGCTTTCAAGAACAAAAGCTTCCCAAAGGGTTTATTTACTGGGGAATGGATCTAGAACCTCTTCTTCCAAATACCTCCTCTGGGTGCATTTTACTGTTCCATCCTTCAATTGCTGCAAGCCAGTGGTTCTCAACCCTGTCAGCACATTGGATGCTCTTGAAGGGATTTGAAAAAAATACTAATACCTGTCACCATTCTCTCTTCTCCTTATAAGATGGGCCTGGGCCCTGTATGCTGTTTGGTTTGCTTGTTTTAAACTTTGACTATAATCTCAAACTTAGGGAATAACCGACAGAAAAAGAACAGTACAAAGAACATCCACATACTCTTTTACTCAGAATCGCCTATTTTACCCCATTTTGTCTCATGTATCTTTTATTCTATTTCCATATTCTGTTTTCTATATGATGAAATGAAATGCTTTGAGAGTAAGGCATCATACTTCCTTAAACGTAAGATCAGCTTCGATGTGCATTTCCTAAGAATAAGATATTTTCCTTTTCTTTTTTTTTTTTTTTTTTTTTTTGAGATGGAGTCTTGCTCTGTCACCAGGCTGGAGTGCAGTGGTATGATCTCAGCTCACTGCAACCTCCGCCTCCCGGGTTCAAGTGATTCTCCTGCCTCAGCCTCCTGGGTAGCTGGGACTACAGGTGTGCACCACCATGCCCAGCTAATTTTTGTATTTTAATTTTAATTTAATTTAATTTTATTTTTGAAATGGAGTCTTGCTCTGTTGCCCAGGCTGGAGTGTAGTGGTGCTGTCTTGGCTCACTGCAACTTCTGCCTCTTGGGTTCAATCGATTCTCCTGCCTCAGCCTCCCGAGTAGCTGGGACTACCGGTGCGTGCCACCACACCCAGCTAATTTTTTGTATTTTTAGTAGAGTCAGGGTTTCACCATGTTAGCCAGGATGGTCTCCGTCTCCTGACCTCGTGATCTGCCCGCCTCGGCCTCCCAAACTGCTGGGATTACAGGCATGAGCCACTGAGCCCAGCTAGAATAGGAAATTTTCTTGCATAGCCATAGTACAGTCAACTCCAGTAAACTTAACATCAATAGAAACACTTTTATCTTCTTTACCCAACATTTGTATTCCAGTTTTGTCAACTGACCCAATCATCTCTTGTAGCAATTTTTCTGGTCGGTATAGAATCCAATCTAGGACAGGCACTGCATTTAGTTGTCAAGTCTTCAACTGGTGTGTTTTTAAAAGCTCTCTGAGTGGAGGCTATTATCTTAAGTTAAATAACTCAGGAAGAGAAAGTCAAATATCACATGTTCTCACTTGCAAGTGGGAACTAAATAATGTGTACACAGGAACACAGAATGTGGAATAATAGACACTGGAGACTCCAAGGGTGGGAGGCTGCAGGGCGGATGAGGGATCATAAATAGCTCCTGGGTACAATGTATCCTATTCGTGTGATGGTTGCACTAAAAGTCCAGACTTCACTACCACGTATTGTATCCATGTAAAAAGCACATTTGTACCCCCTAAATCTATATAAATTAAAAATAAATACGTATTTTAGAATCTTTTGGATACATTGATATAGTAAACAAATAAATAAGGGCTCTGTAGGTGATTTTAATGGGCACCTTGGGCCTTGGGTCATTGTGTAAATAAATATTTACTACACTACCACATAGTGAGTGCCTACCAGGTGTAAAGTATTATGAATAAAATTAAGGAGCTTATTACTTTAAGGACATACTATCCACAAGTCAACTATAATATCATAGGGATAAGTATCATGAAAGAAATATTAACAAACCTATAGGAGGAAACTATAATTAAATTGAACAAGTTTACTGAGGATCTACTATGTGTCAGACTTTGTACAAACTGCTGGAGAAATGGATGGATAAGTAAATGTAATTAATACACAGTTAAAAATTAATTAACAATTTTTTTTTGGAATGGAGTTTCACTCTTGTTGCCCAGGCTGGAGTGCAATGGCACGATCTCAGCCAACTGCAACCTCCGCCTCTCGGGTTCAAGCGATTCTCCTGCCTCAGCCTGCCGAGTAGCTGGGATTACAGGTATGCACCACCATGCCCAGCTAATTCTTTTCGTATTTTTAGTAGAGATGGGGTTTCTCCATGTTGGTCAGGCTGGTCTCAAACTCCCGACCTCAGGTGATCCACCTGACTCGGCCTCCCAAAGTGCTGGGATTACAGGCGTGAGCCACTGTGCCCGGCCAGTTAACACAGTCTTAATCAGAAAAGTAAGGTTTTTAAAAGGTTTTTTTTTTAGAGGAGGTGGGACTCAAAAGATAAGCAGATTTTACTTTTAGAGAGGAAGACATTTCAGGTGAGGAAACTTCAAGAGGAAAGCTAGGTGAGTGCACAGTGGAGTAAGGAAAGAATCGTACTTCCCTGTGACCTGAGAATTGGGTGCGTAGGGATGTACTAGGAGATTGTGCTGAAGTAGGCTGGATAATGTATGGTGGTACAGTCACTTCGCAAAACAATTTGGCAATTTCTTAAAGAAGTAAAAGTTATCATACAACTTAAGAATTCTGCTCCTAGGTATCTACCCAAGAACACATAAAGACTTGCACGTGAATGTAATCTTCATAGCAGCATTATTCATAAAAGCCAAAAAGTAGAAACTCAAATGTCCATCAGCTGGTGAATGGATAAATAAAACACAGCATACCCATAGAACAGGATAAATAAGTAATAAAAAGGAACGAATTAATGATATGTGTTACAATGTGGATGAATCTTAAAGAATTAGATGGAAAGAATAATTTATTATATGGTTTCATTTAGAGATAATTTAAAGAGATAGGAAGTAGATGAATGGTTGCCTGGGGCTGTTGGTGGGAACAGAAACTGACTACAAATGGCCACAAGGGAAGATTTCTTTGGGGTGATGAAAATGTCCCTAAAACTGGATTATGGTTATGGCTTAATGACTAAAACAATGTTGAACTGAACAATTAAAACAGGTGAATTTTATGGTATGTAAATTATACCTCAATAAAGCTGTAAATATTAAAAAAACTGTTAATCAAAATTAGGCAGAAAGAAAATAGGAAGCACAATCTTAGAAATAAAAAATATAATTATTGAAATTCAAAAAACTTAATAGATGGGAAAAACTCTGGATTGGACAAATTATTTAGAAGACTGGCAAATTGGAAGGCAAGGAATTCACCAGGATGCAACACAAAGACAAAATCTTTTTTTAAAAAAATAACATCTCAGGATATAGATAGTGAGGCTTCCTCACTTACCTAATGGTAGTGCCAGAAAAGATAATGGAGGTAATGGCTAGGAAGCAATATTGCAAGAGAAAATCAGTAATAATTTTCCAGAATTAAAGAAAGCATATGCACCCCTGTAATCCCAGCACTTTGGGAAGCCAAGGCGGGAGGATTGCTTGAGCTCAGGAGTCTGAGATCAGCCTGGGCAACATAGTGAGACCCTGTCTCTACAAAAAATTTTTTAAAAATTAGCTGGGCATGGTGGCTCATGCTTGTAGTCCAGCTTGAGTATGGGAGGTCAAGGTTGTAGTGAGCTTTGATCACACCACTGCACTCCAACCTGGGTGACGTAGTGAGACACTGTCTCAAAGAAAAAAAAAAAAAGTACCTCCTCCTTTTGCAGAGGATAAAGATAAACTAACACCAAGACAGTTCTAGAAAACCTGCTGGACAGTAAAAATAAACAAAACAAATCTGAAATGTTATCAAAGAGAAAAGGCAGCTTATTTATAAGGGAATGAAAATTAGATTGGCAGTAGAATTTTTAACCAGCAACACTTAGTACCAGAAGACAGTGGAGTACTATCATCAGTGTGGTGTGGGAAAATAACTGTTCACTAGAATTTTATATCCAAATAAATCATCATACAACAGTGAGGGCAAAATTAAGACATTTCCAACAATGAATTCCCTCCCATACCAAGGCACCTACAGAAAGAACTATTAAAGGATGGACTTCAGCCAGAAGAAAAGTGAACCCAAAGGGAACACTGTAGATTCAAGAAAAAGAAATAGCAGAAAAATTGATAAAATGTCATAAATTTAATTAACTTTTAACTATAAAAACTATTTTTAAATTTAAGAAGTAAAAACAGATTGAATGCGGTGGCACATGCCTGAGCTTTGGAAGGTTGAGGCGGGAGGATTGCTTGAAGCCAGGAGTTCGAGACCAGCTTGGGCAACATGGTGAGACTCTATTTCTACAAAAAATTTTTGAAAAAGAAAATATTAGCTGGGGGTGGTGGTGTGGACCTGTTCCTAGCTACTTGGGAGTCTGAGGTGGGAGGATTGCTTGAGGCCAGGAGCTTGAGGCTCCAGTCAGCCATGACTGTGCCACTACACTCCAGCCTGGGTAACAGAGCAAGACCCTGTCTCTTAAACAAACGAACAAAAAAGTAAAAATAAAACTCTAGGCAGCAATAAAAAGATGGGAAGGAAGGGGCTGTTAAATGAGTAAAATATACAAAGTTCTTTCATGGGAAGAAACAATTACATACTAACTTTGTTAGCAAAAAAATCAGAGTTAAGTATGTATGTTGAAAAAATAAAAGACGATTCTGAGAAGAATAGAAATAAAACCTAAAGCTCTCAAACCAGCAGTGGAATATGTATCACTTTACTAATCTGATAGAAGGCAAGAATGGAAGAAAAAGAAGCAAGGAGAAAGAATGGTAAATGAAAAACACAAGATCTGATGGAAGAAGAGCCCAAATATATTAGTAATCGCAATAAATCCCTGTGGATTAAATTCATCTGTCAGAGACACAACCAAAATAAAACTCATAGAAAGATTAAATATGAAGGACAATATTTCACATACAAATAGTAGCCAAAAGAATGGTGGCCTATTAATAACAAAAACTTCTAATTTAAGCAATTAGCATAAAAATGGTAAACAGACGCACTACATAAGGATCAATTGCGATTTCTAATGCAGAATATACTTTAAGAAACACTGCCTACTGTGTGCCAAGAATCATGTATGCCTTCTATACTGCTGTGTTTTCAGTGCTTGGCACATAATAGGTGTGCCATAAATATTAATGAGTGGAATGATTGCTATTTTATATTGAAATGATCTGTTTATGTGTTTGTCATACCACAAGGGCAAGACCATATCTTACTAATTGTTATGCCATCAACATTCAGCATAGCAGCTGGCACATAGTAGGAATTCCATAAGTCCACACTGAATTCAAGGATCATCTCTTCCATAAAATCTCCCCTCACTGTTCCTCCCATACTGATTTGTCCTTTGTTTCTACTTCTATAGCACTCGTAATTGGAAACACCCAATTTAGCACCCAAGACATAGTATAGTCTTCTAGCTTTCACTCAATATTTCAAATCTTGTTTCTTTAAAACTATTTTAGATTCTTTGAAGATAGAGAAGATGCCTTGCACTGTGCCAAGTGCCTTTTCAGGTACTTGAATAAATACATGTTTTGGTTGATGTCACTATTTACATGAATGTAGGTTAGATCAATAGTACCAGCTATACATGTCAAGAACGCTAAGGGCTATCTCCAGTCTCTTTTTTCATTCCTTGACCAAAGAGAGCCCTGTTTGGAGACAGGCTCACGTGCAAAGAATGTGAAGTTAATGAGACAGGTGGGAGAAGGCGGCTAGTGTTCAATTCCAAGCCCCTGTGCTCTATTCCTCCTGGCAAAATAGTGAGGTTGGCGGGACAGGGGGAGGGGAATGTCTGTGATCCCACAAAAAAATGTGTGGGAAGTGAGAGGGAGATGGTGAGGAAAGAGAGCATGTTCCAGACGCTACAGGACAGACCTGGACCTGACCTCTCCCTGGCGGGCATGGCACCAGGAGTTTATTATGAGACCGAAAGGAAACCCCAAGGCAAACAGCTAAATTCATCCACTTGAAACCTTGTATAGGAGACAGTGAGGGATGTTGTTTTCCATCTAGACAAGGCACAGAGGGGAGTCTGTGACAAGGAGCTTCTAATTGGGGAGCTGCAGAGGGTTAACAAAGAGCACTGGTGGCATCTTTTTGCTGGTCTTCTTGAAAAAGACATAGTCTGGGAAGGTTCAATCAGAGCCCCCTGCACGAGGTAAGGAGGTGGGCTGGCTGACTTCCCTAGGTCCTTCCTAATCCCATAGTTATTTGGTGAATCGTGCTCTTCCCCATTTATGCTCCTACACACGTCTGCACCCAGTTTGATAGTAAGTCCCCTAGGCTGCATTCCAGGTTTAGTACGGTGCCACGCAAGCTGCTGGCACTCAACAAATGACGCAAATATTTGTTGAATGAAGGAATAAATGGATCAAGTGTTTAAATAGAGCCCACATGACCTCCCCAGCTGTAAAGTATGGCAGTTGAATGAAATCACAACATTCTAGGCACTTGAGCAAAGCTGGCGGGGACACACACACACACACGATTCACATTCCCACCTTGGAAAAGCACAGACCACCTGCCCAGCCAGCAGGCTGTGGGAGTTTCCTTGGCAAGGATCCTCTTTCTCTGCTGCTTTAGGATGGTGCCTCTAGAAGGTCAAGTCACCCAGATTTAGGACCGCTTCCCTTCCCGGTTGGCCTCCGAGACAAAGTTTCTGTCTGGATTTGGCCCGGGCCTCCCGGGAGGCGCATCCGCACTGACTCCCGGCTCGGGCGCCCCGGGCGTGCAGCTCGCTGGCCCGCTGCGCCCCACCTTACCTTGGTGAGCTGGGCGATCTTCTTGCACATTTTCACGTGCATCTGGGGATCACAGTCCATTCTCCAGCCGGCGCCACCGTCGGCTTTGGAGCCCTGGCAAGTGCCGGGCGGGTTAATTTTGCTGTTGAGAGCAGAAGCCATCGCTAAAACGCGCCCAGCACTCAGACTCTCTCGTTTTCTCCCTGCCCACCGTGTGCACGTGCGTGCGCGCGCGGGCGTGCGAGCGTGTGGGTTTCTCGGGAGAGGTGGCACTGCAGTCCCGTCGCCTGCACCGCCGCGTGGCCCCAGCTTCCCGAAGGTCTCCGCCTCCCGGGCCCACCCGCGCGCCCACCCTTTTTCCTCTCCTGCTGGTTCTCTGGCTGGCTGGCTCCGCGGGCACCCGCACCCTGCGGCGAGGCGTCGGCGCCCCGCACGTGCCGCTGGCGATCAGTCTGCAGTTCCCCAGCCAGTGCAGGTTTCGTGTGCAAGGGGAGAGCTTCCGCGGCTAGGAGCTGCCGGCCTTGGGGGGTTTGCGGTGGGCGGGCACTGCGCTCTTGGACACGTGGGTGGCGCGCGGCCCTGGACTTGGTGGCGACGGACCCTGCCCGAGGTGGGGATCCCAGGCTAAAGAGGAAGAAGAGCCTCCGGAGAGGGACAGGGCACAGTGACTGGCGGCCTCCGGAGAGGGACAGGGCACAGTGACTGGCGGCTCCCGAGTCTCCGAGCTGATAGCGGAGATGGCGGTGGGGGACGAGATGCTAAGAGAGGGGCGGGTAGGTGAGGGCGAGCCATCGGGACTCAAGGAGGTGTGGGATCCGGGGCGCACGGTGTGGGCCAGCGCCTGAGTTGCGCGAGTGCACAGCGGGGCTGGGGATGGTAGCCTTCCTTTTTGGATCTTGGAGAGGAGCCAGGACATTGCGGGAGGAATACCGGAGATGCCCAAAGAGGAGAAGCCAAGGGGATGGCAGGGTGCGGGTGACCGAAATCTGAGATGAGAAAGTGCGAAACGGGTAATGCGGGAAGCGGTAGGAACGCAAAGACAAAGTCGTTAGGGAGGTAGAAAGGATGGTGGCAGGTGCGGGAAAGGAAGAAGCAAAGAGGAATGGAGCAGTTAGATGAGTAAAAGATGGAACTGAAAATCTTAGCAAACCGAGCCCATTGAAAGTAAAGTGAGTCGTCCAAATCCACACTACTGGCCTTGGGCAGACTGGAGCCAGACTGTCAAGTTTTCGGATTCTGAGCTGGTGTCTGTTTAGTGTTTGGTGAGGGGAGAGGTTAGCGGGCCAAATTTCTTTCTGGCGTGTTCTCTGGTTTCAGACAGTGGACTTTAAGGGAAAGTGACAGCACCGTGATCAGCTTTTCCTAAAGCTCGAATAATAGGTCTTCATGATAGTTTGCATAGTGAATGTATATCATTTATACATTGCCTTTTATCAGAAATTTTAATAATCTTCATAAACCAAGCAAGCTTCAAAGGGTCTCAGAAACCACAGTTCCACCCATCCATACTGAAGGTAACAAAACCCATTTTTGTCGATGAGGAAAATTGACCCAGAAAATTTGTACCAAGTCAGGCAATTACAAGTAGAACTGTTTCTGAAATAGACATTCCTATTCTAGATTCTGTATCAAATGACCGGCCTCGGTTTTTGATTTCTAATTTACCATCTTAAGTTCTCTTTTTAGCACAACCCCTCCCTCCCCCAGTTCCTTTAGAAAACAGAGACAAAGCCTCTGAGGATGGGGGTCAGGGGGTCAGGAATCCACATTAAACAGCTCTCTGCTTAATTCCAAATTGTGTATTTAGAATATTTTCTGCAGGATCTTAATATATACTAAATTTTACAGGAATTCAACCACTGTGTAAACTAGAGGAAAATTAGCCTTTTTGGTCAAGAACTTTACTAAAAGTTGTTGACCATTTTGGAAAATCACATCAAGGGCCAGGTGGCTCATGATATTTGGTTGCCAATACAACACACTTATTTATTTATTTTTTTTATTTTTTTGAGACAGAGTTTTGCTCTGTCACCCAGGCTGGAGTGCAGTGGCATGATCTCGGCTTACTGCAACTTCTACTTCCTGAGTTTAAGCCATTCTTGTGCCTCAGCCTCCAGAGTAGCTGGGATAACAGGCATGCACCACCACGCCCGACTAATTTTTGCATTTTTAGTAGAGATGGGGTTTCTCCATGTTGGCCAAGTTGGTCTCAAATTCCTGGCCTTGAGTGATCCTCCCACCTAGGCCTCCCAAAGTACTGGAATTACAGGTGTGAGCCACCGTGCCTGGCCACAACACACTTCTAACTGCCATATTGATGGTGAGTCTACCTATGCAAGCATCTGATTACTACACTGTGTCCCTCAGTATCAACAGGGGATTGGTTCCAGTACCCCTTCAGATACCAAAATCCATGGATGTTCAAGTCACTTACATAAAATGGTGTAACGTTTGCATATAACCTACTCACATCCTCTCGTATGCATTAAATCATCTCTATATTACTTGTAATACCTAATACAACGTAAATGTTATGTAATTAGTTGTTACACTGTATTGTTTAGGGAATAAAAAAATAGGCTGTATATGTATACAGTACAGATGCAACCATCAATTTTTTTTCCTCAAATGTTTTTGACTTGTGGTTAGTTGACTTTGAGGATGTGGAACACATTGATATGGAGGGCCAACTGTACATATTATTTAATTATAATGAAATATCAAGAATCAAATGTCAAAAAAATCAAAGTCAAGAAATTATGCAGATTTAAAAAGGTGTGTATTATCTATGAATTTCAAGATAGTAACGTGGATGTTA
Source organism: Homo sapiens (assembly GCF_000001405.40). Taxonomy (NCBI): domain Eukaryota; kingdom Metazoa; phylum Chordata; class Mammalia; order Primates; family Hominidae; genus Homo; species Homo sapiens. Next base: position 17,783,956 of record NC_000004.12, read on the forward strand.
TAAAAAGGGTGATGTTGGATCTGAAAAGAATTGAAAGCCATTGCTCTAGATGATCTTATACACACTAAAGTTTAGAAAAACTGCAAGTCTAACCCCAAGTTTTAGTTTTTTAATAATGATTTCATTAGGTCTTGGGGCTAAAAAATGTTCCAGTAGGAAATATTATACTTTCAACTTTACAATGGAAGACAACGGGAAAATCAGATTCCTTTATCAGCTTTGTTGGCCCACAGCTGCTGTAATCAAGGCACCATGAGCCGACCTGTTTTGGAGAGCCCTCTGCAGCTCCTAGGATTTTCCAGCACTGGGATTAGTAGGTCCCTTTACACCATCAGGAATGAAATTGAGGGCAGAAGAGAATTAAGTACTATATCAAATGTGGAGGTGGAAGTACATTTATTAGGCCACTAATGTCATATTGGCACTGTGCTAAGCCCGTAGCACATGTTTTGACCTTCTCTGAGGTACTTATTGTCATTCTCATTCTACAGACTAGGAAAGTGAAGCTAAGGCAGGTTGAGTCCCCAACTGTATACAGCTAGTGAATGGATCTGGGTCTATCTGACCTCAAAGGTGATATTCTTTCCAATTGATTTGTCTTTAGATTACAAATATAAGCTTCCCAGAGCACAATGCTGGCAATATGATATTTTTCTTTTAAAAATTCTTATTTTTTAAAATAGAAACAAGGTCTCACTATGATGTCCAGGCTGGTGTTGAACTCCTAGCTTCAAGTGATCTTCCCACCTCGGCCTCCCAAAAGTGCTGGGATTACAGGTGTGAGCCACTGTGCTTGGTCAGAAAAATTTAAAATCATAATTGATTTGCCTTTTCTTTAGATTATAAACTTCTCATAGTATCCCCCCCAAACATCCTCACCCATAATAATACAAACAACAACAACAAAAAAAGAGTAGAAGCAAGCAAAAATAACCCCACATTCCAAACTCAGAGAAAATTATTGTTAATATTTTGGAGAAGATACTTCTAGACATTTCTGTGTAAACATATAGAAAATGTAACAAACATATATGTATTTCAGGAATGTTTACACACTTCTGTGTAAACTATAAACAAATACTATAATAATTTTTTTTTTGAGACGAAGTCTCGCTCCTGTTGCCCAGGATGGAGTGCAGTGGCGCAATCTTGGCTCACTGCAACTTCCACCTTCCGGGTTCAAGAGATTCTCTTGCTTCATTCAGCCTCTTGAGTAGCTGGGATTTCAGGCATGCGCCACCATGCCTGGCTAATTTTTGTATTTTTAGTAGAGATGGGGTTTCGCCATGTTGGCCAGGCTGGTCTCGAACTCCTGACCTCAGCTTCAGCCTCCCAAAGTGTTGGGATTACAGGCATGAGCCACTGCACCCGACCAATAATTTTTTTTGTTTTGTTTTGTTTTTGATGAGTCTCACTCTATCGCCCAGGCTGGAGTGCAGTGGTGCGATCTTGGCTCACTACAACCTCTGCCTACTGGGTTCAAGGGATTCTCCTGCCTCAGCTGGGATTGCAGGTGCCTGCCACTATGCGTGGCTAATTTTTCTATTTTTAGTAGAGACAGGGTTTCACCATATTGGCCAGGCTGGTCTTGAACTCCTGACAAGTGATCCGCCCACCTTGGCCTCCCAAAATGCTAGGATTACAGGGGTAAGCCACCATGTCCCGCCTATAATAATGCTTTTGAACCCTACTTACTCAGTAATATAAAGTGGATATCTTTTTGTCAATGAAGATCTAGCTTCCCATTCCTAACAACCAGTCTTCCATTACATACAATACCATTTACTCTATCTTCTACTGGACAATTTTTAAAATATTTCAAGCCAAAATCTTTAACGTATATTTGTAATGTATGCTTGCTGTATTATGAGGATATTAAATTCTGTCCTAAGGGATAGAGAAAAAAAAGAATATATGAAATTCATGTGTTAAGTATAATGGGCAAAGAAGTAGCCTGTGAAATAGGCAGTATTAAGATGTTAAGTATAGATAGTGTAGAGCAAGACATGACAGAGAATAAATGGAATATATGTAAAAAGGATGGAAGAAACAAGAGTGTTCCTAACGGACAGAATAAGGTGGGAAAGGCCAAGTTGCAATGTACAGACGATGCCACCTTCAGGCTGATAGTTCATTCCTAAAATGGCCATTCATTAATGACACCAGTTCTGGCCCTATTTCTGTTCTGCCACAGAAACACAGATTAAGAACATGGCTTTCAGTCGGGAGCAGTGGCTCATGTCTGTAATCCCAGCACTTTGGGAGGCTAATGTGGGAGGATTGCTTGAGCCCGGGAGTTCGAGGCTGCAGTGAGCTATGATCCTGCCACTGCACTCTAGCCTGGGTGATAGAGTGAGATCCTGTCTCTAAAAATAAAAACAAACAAACAAACAAACAAAAAACCCACGGCTCTCAGCAGGCCATTAGCTAGGTATCCTTGCCCCTGAGTTTCTGACAGAGCAAGTGTGCACTGGCTGTAAGCACCGCTGAGCCCCCATTTTCAGTTTTGGCTGCGGTCCTCATAACCTAATTATCAGAGGTAAAGGTTGATGTAGCAGATAAGACGCCACAACACTGCGTAACATGAAATTCAGGTAATTTTTCCTCCCACCTCTCTTGGACCCTATCCTAAATGTGTTAAACGTCACTATATCTTTCCAACTATATTTTGTTTAAAAGCGATAAACCATGTGATTTGAGCCTCTTAATTTGCGGTGTGAGGTTTCCTGTCCATGACACCTGGGACAGCCTGCCTAATCGTGTATTTTAAGGTTACTATTGCATCAAGGGAACTGCCTACATGACATTGTTGTAAGTGGGTTTTTGCACAGATGTGCAAGTGTTCCCACAGAAATATTCCCCCGCACCACTTGTTTGCTGGTAGAACTGAATACCTTCCCACAACTTGATTAGTCATTGTTTTTGCCTGGCTTTCTTGCTGCTTACAAAGAGCTCTTCCTTAATAGGGGCTTTTAGCACTTTGCCTATCATATATATTGCAAACATTTCCCGCAGTTAGCGGATTTTTTTTCTAGCTTTCTCATGCTCTATAAACATTTTGAATTTTTATGTAGGAAAATCTGTTGATCTTTTCCCTCACATTTTTTGGCTTTTTCCTCATGCTTAGAAAAGCCTTTTCTACCCCAGATTATGAGGAAAAGGGAATCCATAGTTTATCCTAGTACTTTCATGACTTCATTTAAAATATGGTTTATCTACCTGGGATTTATGCTGATATATGGAATGAGGTTAGACTCCAGACTTATGCTTTTCCAGATGGCTAAATGGTTGTCCCAACAGGTATTAAATAATTCATCTTTACCACGCTGATAATCTAAGTGTTGCCTTAGGTGATTTCTTTGGTAAAAATTTACTTCGGTAGATTTACTTAGGCTAAAGCTTTTAATTAGTATTTTTCTTTCCTAATCAGTTAAGTGGCACAGGTAACTCGATTATTGTTATTACTCCTAATATATTACTCATCTAAAACCAAGTTCACATTCTTGAGTATCTAGAAGGCTTTTTCCCCTACTATGCCTGACTCATTCCTACTCATCTTTCAGATCTCAGCCTGAATGTCAGTTCCATAGGAAGGCTGTCTCTGTAGTTGCAGATCAGTCTGCATGTCCTTAAGATATGTTCTCGTAGCTCTGCATTTCCGTATAGCACCTATACCATATTTTATTTTTAAAAGCTGATGTTTTCTGTCAAACATCTTCCCTTTTTTGAGTGAATGTAAGAACACACGTGTAAATTAGCATCATGTTTTTTTTTTTTTAACTGTAATCCTAACACACATTAACTAGTATTCAGGGTTTCATTAAACGTAGCATGGTATCAAATCTTCCATCTCATCTCCCAGGGAGTAAAATGAAAACCTCTTTTACACAATGGTGACGTTTGTACTGAGATTTCAGTATATTGACATGACACCATGGAGAATGACATTTTGGAATAAAATGTTTTATAGCAAAGTCATAGTCAGATTGTGTTAAATATTGATATGATCATTTGAGCTATGTACTAAGTGGCAACTCAAATTTTTTAATGGACTAAAGTATCGGTAATATGTCTGATCTATGGTTGAATATTGCATTGTAGTTGTTTCTCAATTTCTCTTTTTGGAATTGACTCCTGCTGTTTTTGGTGGTGGTTGTCCTCCACAGTGTCTTTGCAGACAAGTATTATCCAGAGTATTTACCTGGGGTTAGAAATTCTCAAATATTAGTAAACATAAAATTTGTTTATATTTACTAAACAAGGAGTTTGATAAAAATGAGTATTTCTGCTTCCCCATCTCAGAAATTTTGATTCATCGGTCTGGGGTCAGGCATTTAAAACAATCTCTTCAGTGATGCTGTTGTAGATGCTACCAGACACCATGTAGAGAATTGCTTCATGGCCCAACCAACCCTTGCTAGTTCCCTCTAATTGCTTTGTGATGTTCTTCTTGTCCTCTCTGCTATCCACATCCCAAAATCCTTCAATTCTCAGTTCAAATCACACCCATGAGGTAGCCCTGGACTGACTACTCCAGTCAGAGGTGCTGTCTTTGAGCTCCCGTAGCAGTGAGTTATTTCATGAAATGTTAGAAATATTGTATACTAATAACACATTATGACACAGTATTGCAACATTTAAAATAAAGCAACATAATTGAATTTATCATTTTGAGATACTGTGATTCAGAGGTCTAGTTTTAAGTTCAGAGGTCTAGTGTTAAGTTCAGTTTATTTCAACACTGACTTTAATAGCTGTTATAACCGAAAACCTATGAAATTTCATTGATTCAAGCGAAGAATATCATTACCTGTACTTACTAAGTTATGTTATAAGTTTTGCAATCTCATCCACCAATTTTCAAAAAGCACTTTGGTGAAATTCAGTAAAGTTATTATCTTCCCTGACCAATCAATTCTCAAAGCTAATCATAAAATGATGATTTTTGAACACATAATATATACTTATGGTACAATATTCAAAAGTGAAAAAATGAAAAGGTTCCCTCCCACCTTTGTTCCTGGTCACTGTTTCCACTCCCCCAGGGGCAACCAGTTCTATTAATACAGGAGCATTCTGAGCATGTAGATATTATTTTCTGACCCATTTTGTGCTTACTACCATAATGAATGCAGAAGGACATGGTTCTCCCACACCATATCTCCTCCACATTCCTCAGGCTTATTTGCTTAGAATTTCACTAACCACTTAATATGACTACAGTTGTAGTAACATTATGGTTCATGGTCAAAGAATGATCACAATTACTCCTACTTTCTTATACAACACCTGCCTCCCATACTATTTTTTTTTTTAAGTCACTACCTGATGGGGATGTACTGGAATCTGCACTGGCCTCAATGTTCAGCAAAAATCTGCTCTTAGGCACTGACCTTGGCCTTTGGGAGGCTACATAGCTAACTTCCACCTTCAATATTGTCTTTGTTATTCCAGAAATTGTACCTGATCAATAATAATGGTTTGGTTTTCAGACAAACATCATATCTGGTCAGATTAACAGCATCTGCAGTATTAACGAAGCAAGCATATTATTAAGGTGATGCTAATTGCTAAACTACACAAGTAGCTTGACATGGTTTTTTTGGTCACATTAAAGTGACTGAGTTACTGGTCTTTGGACCTCTTTCCTGTCCAAAGTGAATCAAGGATCAGCTCCTTCTATCTTGCGGGTCCACTATCCCCTAGAGCCTGACAGTCATCTGCATCCAGCCAGCAAAATGCAAAAAAGAACACAGAGAAGGTATATTCACTTCTAAAACACCTTGGCCTTGAAGTAACACACCAATTCTGTTGTCACTCCATCGGCAAAAACTGATATGCACTATCTAGATATAAGGGGATCAGGGAAATGTACTTTTTGACTGGCTAGCAATTTTTCATAACTGTACACTATGAAAAGGGAGCACACCTTTTGTTTTTTGAGGCGGAGTCTCACTCTGTCGCCAGGCTGGAGTGCAGTGGCACGATCTTGGCTCACTGCAGCCTCCGCCTTCTGGGTTCAAGCGATTCTCCTGCTTCAGCCACCTGAGTAGCTGGGATTACAGGTGTGTGCTGCTATGCTTGGCTAATTTTTTTGTATTTTTAGTAGAGAAGGGGTTTCACTATGTTGGCCAGGATGGTCTTGATCTCCTGACCTCGGGGAGCACTCATTTGTAATGGACATAAAATTAACTAGTGCAAATAATTCAGACTTATTGCAGATTATCTGTTTTTGTTTTGTTTTGTTTTGTTTTTTTAAACAAGGTCTCTTACTCTGTCACCCAGGCTGGAGTATAGTGGTGTGGACTCAAGTGATCCTTCCACCTCTGCCTCCTGAGTAGCTGGGACCACAGGTGCATGCCACCACCATACCTGGCTAATTTAAAAAAATTTTTGGTAGAGATGAGGTCTCCCTATGTTGCCCAGGCTGGTCTCACACTTCTGAACTCAAGCGATCCTCTCACCTTGGCCTCCCAAAATGCTGGGATTTTAGGCATGAGCCACCACACCTGGTCTGAACGTTCATTTTAAAATAAAGGTAAACAAAAACATTCCAGTTATAAACTGAAGTGAAAAAAAAAATCTCACTGCAATGTAAGCTTTATGAAGGCAGGAATTTTTGTCTGTTTTGTTTATTGCTAAATTCTTAGCACTTGGCACTGTGTAGGTGGTCAATAAATATTTGCTGAGTGACTGAATGTGCTTCTATTAATAAGCAAAAACATTAATGTGTATGTACTACAAAAGTAAACTGCTACAAATAATAATTGTAGAAAGTGTCAATGTTTTGTACAGAAACTGATACTGAGAACTTTCTGGTAGTTGAATAACAGGGAAGTAGAAGGATAATATTTAAAATAGTAAGACTAGATAATGTCTAAAAGAATAACTCAAAAATGTAAAAAAAATTTAAATAATAATATATGGTAGAATAATACAGATCTGGTTATTTTTCATTCATTCTAATGCAGAATTGGTGTGCTAAAATTCAAAATTTTAAACAAAATAAGTGTTAAGAACTGTTTGATTTTTAGTTAATTTATGCCACTTAGATAATTAGTTTTTAGGAAGAAGTACAATTTGGGAATTCTTCAGTCTTTTGGGGATAACTTAAAAACAGTATGTCAACTTTCCTACCCAAATTTCATGAAAACAAAAAAAACAAAAAAAACTCCAAAGACATAAATATCATATATGATAAATCCCCTTGAATTTGGATAAAGAATGTGAAGAAAAGGAGAAAGTATTAGAGAAAAATGAGATACCCACAAATATTCTCTTCTCAGTAATAAAATTTGAAATTGTATCTTAAATGTGAAAGCTAAAACTATAAATCTTCTAAAAAAATAGAAGACTATTTTCATAATATTCAAGTTAACAAAGATTTGTTAAAGCACTAACCATAATACAAAAAGAAATCTGATAAATTAGATTTCATCAAACTTGAAAACTTCTACTCATCAAAATATACCATTAAGAAAACAAACAATGGCTGGGTGTGGTGGCTCACACCTGTAATTCCAGCACTTTGGGAGGCCAAGGCGGGCAGATCACTTGAGGTCAGAGTTCGAGACCAGCCTGGCCAACATGGAGAAACTCTGTCTCTACTAACAACAACAACAACAAAAACCTACAAAAATTAGCTGGGTGTGGTGGCACACACCTGTAATCCCAGTTACTTGGGAGGCTGAGGCACAAGAATTGCTTGAGCCTGGAAGGCAGAGGTTGCAGTGAGCTGAGATCCCGCCACTGCACTCCTGCTTGGGCATCAGAGTAAGACTCTGTCTTAAAAAAAAGAAAATAGGCAAGGCATAGAATGACATAAGAAATTCATTATATAAATAAACAACTTGTATACAGTGTATATAAAAACTCCTATAGGCTGGGCATGGTGGCTCATGCCTGTAATTTCAGCTGGGGGATTTTGGGAGGTTGAGAGGGTAAGATTGTCTGAGGTCAGGATTTCGAGACAAGCCTGGGCAACAGTGTGAGCCCATTTCTAAAAAATAAAAAAAACAGAACTACAAATTAATAAGAACAAGATAATCTATTTTACAAGTGGCCAAAACCCTAGACAAGTACTTGCAAAGAGGTATCTGAATGTCTCATAAGCATATAAAAAGGTGTTTAACAACACTGATCAAAGAAAATTAAATTAAATTAAATCAAAATTAAATTAAATCAAAGTAAATTAAAGTCACACTGGGATACCATTAAACAACCACCAGAATGAGTAAAATTAAAAGGACTGACAATCACAAGTGTTTGTAAAGATATGGAGCAACTGGAACTTCCATACATTGTTGGTGAGAGTGTAAAATGATACAGTCACATTAAAAAGTGTTTGGCATTGACAAATGGGATCTAATTAAACTAAAGAGCTTCTGCACAGCAAAAGAAACTACCATCAGAGTGAACAGGCAACCTACAGAATGGGAGAAAAATTTTGCAATCTACCCATCTGACAAAGGCCTAATATCCAGAATCTACAAAGAACTCAAACGAATTTACAAGAAAAAAATAAACAACCCCATCAACAAGTGGGTGAAGGATATGAACAGACACTTCTCAAAAGAAGACATTTATGCAGCCAAAAGACACATGAAAAAAATGCTCATCATCACTGGCCATCAGAGAAATGCAAATCAAAACCACAATGAGATACCATCTCACACCAGTTACAATGGCGATCATTAAAAAGTCAGGAAACAACAGGTGCTGGAGAGGATGTGGAGAAATAGGAACACTTTTACACTGTTGGTGGGACTGTAAACTAGTTCAACCATTGTGGAAGTCAGTGTGGCGATTCCTCAGGGATCTAGAACTAGAAATATCATTTGACCCAGCCATCCCATTACTGGGTATATACCCAAAGGATTATAAATCATGCTGCTATAAAGACACATGCACATGTATGTTTATTGAGGCACTATTCACAATAGCAAAGACTTGGAACCAACCCAAGTGTCCAACAATGATAGACTGGATTAAGAAAATGTGGCACATATACACCATGGAATACTATGCAGCCATAAAAAATGATGAGTTCGTGTCCTTTGTAGGGACATAAATGAAGCTAGAAACCATCATTCTCAGCAAACTATCGCAAGGACAAAAAACCAAACACTGCATATTCTCACTTATAGGTGGGAATTGAACAATGAGAACACATGGACACAGGAAGGGGAACATCACACACCGGGGCCTGTTGTGGGGTGGGGGGAGGCAGGAGGGACAGCATTAGGAGATATACCTAATGTTAAATGACGAGTTAATGGGTGCAGCACACCAACATGGCACATGTATACATATGTAACAAACGTGCACATTGTGCACATGTACCCTAAAACTTACATAAAAAAAAAGTGTTTGGCAGTTTTATTAAAAATAAATACACAACTACTCTGATATAGCAATTTGGTGCCTAGGTATATACCCAAAGGAATGAATACACATATCCACAAAAAACCAAACCAAAACAATACACACAGAATGTTTATTATAGCTTTATTCATAATAACAAAAAATTGGAAATAAATGTCAACAGGTAAAAGGATAAATGAATTATGATATATTCATATAATCAAATAGTCTATAACAATAAAAAAAAGAAGAAGTACATTGCTGAAAGAAGCCAGGCATAAAACAATATATACTGTATGATTCCATTCACATGAAATCTGAGAACAACCAAAACTAACAGATCTTTAGAAAAGAAGAGTTATTTCTGCGAGATGTATAGACTAGGAAAGGGCATAAGAGAATTTGAAATTTTTAATACTTTGATCTGAGTGTATACATTTTTATATGATCTTGATACGAATGTATACACATGTAAAAAAATCAAGTACACTTATGATTAGTGCACTCTATTTACTGTATATTTGTGATTTCTTACTTAGAAAAAAGGAGATGGACAAATTGGCCTGGCATGGTTTACTCAATAGATTTGATGACAGAGAGAAAAACCTATCAGCATACATATCACTTGCAAGTAAATAAAAATTCACTCTCAGACTATGTAATATTAACATAAACAAAGCAAAGAAAAAAACCCTGAATCATGACTCATAAGGAAACATCTAAAATATTATATAGGAATATATTATGGACCAGCCACTGTATGTAACCATATCTTGATAGCAAAAATAGCATGGAAGATGAAAAACAGTATCGAATTTCAGAATATTATTTTTAAAAAGTAGATACAGGTTGAGTATCCCTTATCTGAAATGTGTGGGAACAGAAGTGCTTCAGATTTAACTTTTTCAGATTTTGGAATATTTACATATACATAATGAGATATCTTTGGGATGGGAAGTCTAAACATGAAATTCATTCATGTTTCATATATACATAGCTTGAAGGTAATTTTATACAGTAGTTTTAATAAACTGTTGTGTGCCTTTGTTTTGACTGACCTGTCACATGAGGTCAGGTGTGAAATTCTCCATTTGTGCTGTCATGTTGGCACTCAAAAAGTTTTGGATTTTGGAGCATTTCAGATTTCAAATTTTTGGATTAGGAATGCTCAACCTGTAATTCTTTATGCTTTTGATTCTACAGAGGCTAAAATTTAAACAAAAAGCTTGCTGAAATTACTGCTATAGACTATGCATTATTTCTGTAAATAAATACAAAATTGAGATTTCCCTAAGCAAATCAAATACGAAAACAAATTGAAAAACTTTTTATTTTCTAAAAATATCTTCTGTGGCGCACATCTTATTGAAGTCAGCATCTACTGCAATTGTGGAGTATTATGCCGTAAGGACCAATCTAATTATAGCTGACAAGACTCCAATTTGCCTATACTTTTAATGTCAAATTTTTAAAAAACTGATTACTAAATAACATACTTTCTAAGAAATAAAATTTCAAATTTCCTGCTTATTTATACACTTTCCATTGTACTCAAATACTTTGTTCCCAGTTTTCCTAGATACCTACTTCCTGGAACCTCTGTCCTACTTACTTGACACAGTAGTCATCCTGGGACTTTCCTCGTTTTCCTTTGTGACATCTTTTAGTTTCAGGATCCCATGCCTTCTCAGATTACTCCCTCATTTTGGTAAAGCACATCCTCCAAGTGGCTTCCTAAGAAAAGGTAGATGGTGAGATAAAATTCTGAGACCATGCAAGTCTTAAGGTATCTTTATTTTAGCCCCACTCTTGATTGGATTATTTGAGTACAAAATTCTGCGTTGGAAATCATTTCTTTTTAAATTTAAAGACCTTGCTTTCATAGTCTTTCCGCATCCAGTGTTGCTACCAAGAAATCTAAATGCCATTTTGAAAACGTATCCTTTTTATGTAACTTTCTCCGCTACATTTATTGGGAAGCTTTTAGGTCCTTCCATAACTCTAGCATTCTGAAATATCCTAACAATGTGCTTTGGTATTTTTTAATTCATTTCACAGGGCACTTAGTGGACCCTTTTAATTTAGAAGACTAAAGTCTTATTATTTCCGGGAAATGTTATTTTAATTTTTTTCTCTCTTCACCTTCTTTCTCTGTTCTCTCATTTTGGAACTCATTTATTAGATGTTGCATCTTATTCAGGTTTAAGTTTCTTTTTTGTTCTTGCCTGCTTTTCATCTCTTTGTTCTACTTTTTAAAATTTCTTCAAGTTATTTTCTAATACATCTACTGAATGTTTACTTTTGGTTTCCTGTTTTTCCAATAGCTTTTGTTTTTGGATTGGTCATTTTTTAAAATAGCATCCTGATCCTATTTGATGGAAGCAGTATATTCCTTTCTGAGAATATCACAGCTTCTTTATGTTCATCTTTCATGTTGAAGGTTTCCTCAAATATCTAGTGATCCTTGGCTATCTGTGTACAGTGATTCCAAGTGACTGAAAGCTGTATATGAAGGAGCAGGCCTTGTGGACTCTCAGTTTCACTGTAACAAATAATCGAGGGTCAAGCTGTTTTTTTACTGCTTGTCTTTTTCGGTCAGGTGAGCAGGGCTGGGTATAAGCCCCATTGCCAGATTCTGTAGCCAGGTGGAGAAAAGTGGACTGGAGGCTCATAATGTTCAGAATACTCACATTCTGTTAATCATTTTGTCTTCCATATAGCACATCACTACCATTACCATCCTCCCCCTGTCCTCAGTTCTAAGTCTGTTTGGTTTAATTTCTCCAGACAATAAGGCTTCAGTCATCTGCTAGAGAGATAGCTGCCTGCCTACAAAAGAAGAGCAAAAATAAATGTTCAAATAATCCCCTTGTTTCAACTTTCTTTATTACTCCCACCTTCCAGGGTACCTTGTGCCTTTAAATCCTCAAGTCTTTTGGGGGTTCTGGAAGGCAAAGATAGGTGTTCCAAATTTGTGAACCTTTTCTGTGATGAAGAATGGGTATCATAACTGTGCTACCTATCGAGTATTTTTTGTTTTTAAAGAGTGATATACTTTCCCTTCATGGTAAAGAAGAGTGAGAAAGTAACTGCTTAAAACACACACAGATGGCCAGGTGCGGTGGCTCACGCCTGTAATTCCAGCACTTTGGGAGGCTCAGGTGGGTGGATCATGAGGTCAGGAGATTGAGACCATCCTGGCCAACATGGTGAAACCATCTCTACTAAAATACAAAAAATTAGCTGGGCATGGTGGTGCGCACCTGTAGTCCCAGCTACTCAGGAGGCCAAGGCAGGGAAATTGCTTGAACACAGGAGGTGGAGATTGCAGTGAGCCGAGATCGCACCACTGCGTTCCAGCCTGGCGACAGGGTGAGTCTCCATCTCACAACGACAACAAACCACAAACCCAAACTACCTGCTGTTGAGACAGCATTTAAAAAATTTGTGTTTGCAAATATTGTAATGGTTATGTGGTTATTTTAGCTAAATACCACGTGTCTCCTATAAAAACTCTCATATCTGCAATTGGGCCTCCTCTTCTGACACTCAACAACAGTTCTAAGAAATAAATAAATAAATATATAAGAAATACAACTTGGGTCAACTATGTGTGAGCCTTCCTTGCCCCCAGTCTCTTATTATTAAATATTATTATTTTAGAGATGGGCGGTTGCTCTGGTGCCCATGTTGGAGTGCAGTGGCATGACCATAACCCACTGCAACCTCAAACTCCTCAGCTCAAGCAATCCTCCCAATTTAGCCTCCTGAGTAGCTAGGACTACGGGTGTGCACCAGCACTGCTCCTGGCTACTAGTCAATTACTTAGACATAAGAAAACAACACATACTGGAAAGAGTCAAGACAGTTCCTGGGAACAACTACATAGACTAAAACCCAAGCTTAATCCATGCCACTAACATATTTATAGGGTTGCAGATAAAATGCAGGAAACTAAATTTGAATTTCAGATAAATAACATAACTTTTTTTCTGGTATATGTGCCATATTTCATTATTTTTCTGAAATTCAAATGTATTCGGGTGTCCTGTATTTCTTTTTGCTACATCAGGCAACCCAACCCATTTAAAGAAACGTGTCCCAAGTAGGATGTGACAACACAGAAAAACTGCATTCAAAGAAGGAAACTGGGGTCTGGTCCAAAGCTTTCAAGCCATGGGAGTCTACTTAAGTACCAAGTAGGTAGACAGGGATCAATATCATATAACACACTTTGCAGTAAGTCTACATGGAATGCATTGTCTGTGGCCAACATTAATGCCAGCTTTCAATTGATTCAGAAATTAGAGTTCTTCAGGTAGTGGCTGCACCCTTCTTTCACCAGAGCTCTGCCAGTCTATCAGGCCATTCTGGTTACTCAGGGTGCAACCAGAAAGCCCACCTAGGGTCTTTTTTGATGGAAGATGGCCATGCCCTTGGGCTGTTCCACTTGTTTGGGTACCTCTCAAAGAAGTTGCCCCTACTGGTCCATTGCTTAATTAATTTATTGTAAACCAAAACCATCAGCTGATACATTGGAGTGTCAGGTGCCACAGCTGATACCATAGATGGAAGGGTAGTATCAGGCATAGGCTGAGCAGTTAACCCAAACTTAACAATTTCTCCCCAAATAAAACTATAGTACCAGCTCCTTATTTTGCAACACTCATTTGAGGAGTTTCATCTGGTTTCTGTTGCTAATTTGAGAAACTAGCTTGGTTTATGTGTATACTAGGAAGTCAGTTTTAATCTTGTTAAGCTAACCAGTATCCTGAGTCCCTCCTGAATGATTGTTGTTATATAGAGCCTAACTCCCCTAATGATCCCAGGAATTTTCATATCACGTGTCAGAATCTTCCTAAATAAACTGCCCAAATTCCAGTCAACTTCGTTTTATGATTCAACTTGAAACTGTTGCTAACGTTTTTAACTGACTCCACAGTTTAGAAGAAATAACCCTATCGCTGTCTTCCTGTTACACTGTTATTTTCCTTTTTTTTTTTTTTTTTTTTTATACCAGGTACCAGTGTAACACCAGCACTTTGGGAGGCTGATGTGGGAGGATCACTTGAGCTCAGGAGTTCCTGACCAGCCTGAGTGAAACTGCCTCTACAAAGAAATACAAAAATTGGCCTGTGTGGTGGTGTGCACCTGTAGTCCACAGCTACTGATGAGGCTGAGGTGGGAGGATGGCTTGAGCCCAGGAGGTCGAGGCTGCGGTGAGCCAAGATTATGCCCCTGCACTCCAGCCTAGGCAAGAGCGAAACCCTGTGTCAAAAAAATAAAAAAATAATAATAATAATAAAAGAAAACCAGGCATTCATTTTCCAGAGCTCATTGAGAATAGCTGGTCATAGCTCTCACAGAAGATGGGAAGCCAGCAAGTGTCAGGTCACTGTGGTATATCCTCATCCTTTCCATTTCTTGGTCTCAGTTGCAAACTTAAGTCTCACTGCGGCTGCTAATTGAAAGGAAGAGCTTGGCAAACTGCATGGAATTAGCAGACTCAAATATGTAGTCATTAACTCAACTGTATTTAAAATTATTTGAGACACATCATAGACATTTTTCTTTTAGCAACAGCAAGTTGACATAGAAGTACTGGTGGTTGGTCCAGCTAATGTAACTCCCTCAGTCCAATGGGTATCACTGGCGGACAGATACGTTACCAGCTTGCACAGTTAACTCATGAAGTCTGAGAAGTTATCCATACTTCTCAGGCTGTTCTATATGTCCTAGCTACCTGAGCAAAACACTTTTGGCCCTGATCTTTGTGCCACTACCTTGTGATTAGCAGATATAATTTAAATCTGGATACAAAATATCTATATATTTTCTCCATTTCCTTGGCTGAGTATCCGTTGTGGGGGTTTAATTGAAGTCTGCCCTCCAGATGAATCTTCATTATACTTGGATGGCTGCTCCATTCAATTCTTTTATATGATTCTCCACTATAAGCTATTTTCAATATGTGAAGGGCCAACATATGGATTAGGGTTTAGGTTTATTTAATATGACCCTAGACAGCAGAAATGGCTTGGGGTAACATATAGGTTCATATATTTTAAAACTAATTTCCTATGTGTAGTAATCTTATTTAGTTTTGCATTCCCAGTGTCTGCACTAGAGTAGGCACTTCTCCATAGCAATATTGGATGAATGGCTAAATTTCTAACAAGAGATATTTAAAACTAACAGGCTGCTCCAAAAGACATATTCTCTAACACTGGAGCCAAAAGTAGAAAGCCAGATGCAAGCCAACTTACGCATCAGAAAATAACCCAAGTGACTTCTAAAGTCTTTAAATGCTTTAGCTATTTACACTATCAAAACATTTTCATCAGAGACTTTTTTTTTAAAATATGGACAGGTGTGATAGAAGACCCAGCAGGAAGGGCTTCTATCCCCTAGAGGGGACCTATCATATGCCCTCCTGCCATGCATGTATGGATTTTTTTCTTTTCTTAGGAAGCAGATGGGATTAAAAGACGTGATTATGGTCTTTGAGGCTCAAGGTATCTGGACTGTTTTAATAAAAATGTTGCCTATGGCTGGGCACGGTGGCTCATGCCTGTAATCCCAGCACTTTGGGAGGCTGAGGTGGGTGGATCACCTGAAGTCAGGAGTTAGAGACCAGCCTGACCAATTGAGAAACCCCATCTCTACTAAAAATACAAAATTAGCTGGGCGTGGTGGCACATGCCTGTAATTCCAGCTACTCGGGAGGCTGAGGCAGAATTGCTTGAACCCGGGAGGTGGAGGTTGCAGTGAGCCGAGATTGCGCCATTGCACTCCAGCCTGGGCAACAAGAGCGAAACTCCATCTCAAAAAAAAAAAAAAAAAAAAAGTTGCCTATCTGCACTGAGAAAGTAAAAGACAGTTAATGTCCACTGGTTTAGAAATAGTTTCCTTACTCCTTTGATAAATATTTCTATAAATAGAGGATAAAATAATCTTTTTATCTTAATTATGGTGACTGCATTTAACAGAAGCCAACATAGGGAGTGCAAAGGTAGTAAATTCATTCCCAAACCCAGTGTTTATGCCACACAAAAAGTTAACTTAAGGCTTATTTAGGTACCTGTTATTTTGTGCAACCTGGAATTACTTAAAATACATAAACAAATAAGCTCACTTTGAATCTTGACTGAATATCAGACATTTTCTTCTTCAAGTGTGTTTCTTCTCTAGAGACGCCAAGTCATCTCCTGTCAGACATACTATATAGATTCAGGTACTGTATCTATTAACTCTATTCAGTACTTAGTGAATGTAGAATATGCCTTAAGCAAAGTAGGATCTATTTCATTTGTTGAGGACAAATGACCATACTCTGTTCAGCATGTACAAAGCTATTGGTTTATTCAGCTGCCAAGCTGGGGAAAGGCTTCCTTTCGAAGTGAATAGCAAAAATGCATTCATGAGCAAGGCACTTTTATACACACACAGAGAGAAAAAGGAACGTATTATGAACACATGAACATAAACATATTTTAATATTCAGACCTCTTCCCTACCTCCTCCCACCTCCACTTAAACAAACAAACAAAAAAAAAGGAAACAGTTTCCTGTAACATTTTAGAAACCAGTTTCACAGAATACCTACATAGGAACAATTTCTGATACATTCAGTTACACTAACAATATGATATGGTTTCAGGTCAATAATTTCCACTAACAAATACTTTTATTCTACAATTCCCTCTTTTTTCCTTTAGACAAGACAACTAAGGCTCAGCAGAAATATTCACTAGGTTATAAGCATTCTTCTCTCTTCTTAAAGTTGCTATATATTTACACAATTTGTGATTCCTAACCTTTTTTTTTTTTGAGACGGTGTCTCACTGTTGCCCAGGCTGGAGTGCAGTGGCGCGATCTCAGCTCATTGCAACCTCCACCTCCCAGGTTCAAGCAATTCTCCTGTCTTAGCCTCCCAAGTAGCTGCGATTACAGGCACATGCCACCACGCCCGGCTAATTTTTATATTTTTAGTAGAGATGGGCTTTCACCATGTTGGCCAGGCTGGTCACGAACTCCTGATCTCAAGTGATCCACCTGCCCTCAGCCTCCCAAACTGTTGGGATTACAGGCATGAGCCACCATGCCTGGCCTGCTTCAATTTTTTGATGCCACTTTGTAAACGGCACTTAATTATGGAAAATAGGAAAAAGCAAAACTAAAATAAGGAAGAGGATATATATATAACTTTTCACAATCTCTTTTCTGATTCCCTTTAGATGCCCAGTCAACCAGGACCACACACAGATTTCATTTTATTTGTAGAGTATATGAAAAGATTTAATAGTCTCATGCATTTTATTTTACGTATACTGATTTCTACGTTTTGACTGACTATTTAAATAAACAAAACAAGACTCATTTACAAGGGCATATACTCTTCCTTGTTTGGCCAGAAGAAAATCTATAGCTAAATCTACTTAGAAAAACAATGCTGCTAAAACTCTTAACTTCAGATTGTATTAGGCTGAGATTTTCTAATAACAAGGTTCTTTAAAATTAGAAGGGTTCAATCCCAGCACTTTGGGAGGCCGAGGCAGGTGGATCACGAGGTCAGGAGATCAAGACCATCCTGGCTAACACGGTGAAACCCTGTCTCTACTAAAAATACAAAAAAATAGCCAGGAGTGGTGGTGGACGCCTGTAGTCCCAGCTATTCGGGAGGCAGGGCAGGAGAATGGCACGAACCCGGGAGGCAGAGCTTGCAGTGAGCTGAGATCATGCCACTACACTCCAGCCTGGGCGACAGAGCAAGACTCCGTCTCAAAAAAAAAAAAAAAAAAAAAATTAGAAGGGTTCCTGAAAAGTTTGCAATGGATGTGGAAAGTACTTGAGCTTTTACTCCAGGAAATGCTATACAGATTAAAATTTTAATCCATTAGCAGTTAATGCTGAAAGCAGAAATGCTCTCTTAATCATTTTTCCATTCATCTTTTGAAATGTTATTTACTCTTGACAAAAGTCTGAGTACCAAGATTCAGGAAACACATTCCCTACAGAACAGGTGTTTGTTTAATCCCAAGGGATGATCTTATAGGCTGATTTAGTCAGAGACAGCCTGGTGGGAGACTCCGATATAGAACGTTCATGCTGTAATTTTAAGTACCATAATAAGTTTGTAGTAGTATAGGCTAGGCTTAAAACTGCACTCCTCCTGCCTCCCCGCCCCCTTCCAAAAAAAAGAAAAAGTGAAAGGAACTCTAAAGAGTGTCATATGCAGGCACATCTATATAAAAGCTGGGAAAGAAATTCATATCCCTGCCATTTTCCTTTGTGTAGTTACCCAGTTTAATTCAACTACCTCAAAAAAAAAAAAAAAGAAAAAATAAAAGGAACCCTAAAGAGTGTCATATGTAGGCACATCTATATAAAAGCTGGGAAAGAAATTCATAGCCCTGCCATTTTCCTTTGTGTAGTTACTCAATTTAATTCAACTACTTCCACAGAAATGTATGTTAGAGAAGAGTATGCTCAGAAAGGTATTATTGTGGGTAGCTAACTTCTTGCTTTCAACAATGGCTGTTCTAAAGTCTGGATAACAAAAGGGGTGGTGGTCTACTTTTCTTCATTAATAATCAGGTATCTCATTAAAGCCATTCAGAAAGGCAGAGTAAATTGGGGTGGGGAGGGTGAGAAGTGAGTGTGAAGAATATTCAACTATCTTTTGTAATATGGTCCCCTTAACTAATTCTCCTTTTTTTTTTTTGAGACTGAGTCTCGCTCTGTCACCCAGGCTGGAGTACAGTGGCATAATCTCAACTCACCGCAACCTCCGTCTCCTGGGTTCAAGTGATTCTCCTGTTTCAGCCTCCCGAGTAGCAGGGATTACAGGCGTGCACTGCTGCGCCCGGCTAATTTTTTTATTTTTAGTAGAGACAGGGTTTCACTGTGTTGGCAAGGCTGGTCTCAAACTTCTGACTTCAGCAGATCCACCCGCCTCAGCCTCCCAAAGTGCTGGGATTACAGGTGTGAGCCACCATGCCTGACCTTGATATTATCATTTTATCCACAGGGTTTGTCAAAGGGTATCCTCATTGGCTTGCCAGGGCATAAGAGAGTTTGACTGAGAAGGCATTAGTGGGCTGTGTAATGACTAACTTTGTACCACTTTCTCAATTAGCAACATCAGAGATATCAGAGCAAATGGTAGATCTTTACAGTGATGCAGTTAGGAGTTTGTTAACTGCCTTTTGGAAGTCAGTGTAAGAATAAGTAGTGTTGATGGGTTCAGTACGAGTTGTTTCCTTAACTGTTTTAGTCAGCCAGCCACAGCAACACCCAGAAACACATGAATTAGGGATCTGTTTTAGGTATTCAGGTATGGGAGTGGCTCTACTCAATGTTCGGCTTAGCTGTTTGGTGGCAAATTGCAGTGCTCCATTTAGAGTGGCATGATCTCTAGAGAGCCGGCTGGGACTTGTAAGAGGCTTTTGAAAAGGTGGGACTCCACAAGAGGCCAGAGGGGGCCATTCAGGAATTGGTTCCAGTTTGGGGACACAATGGGAACAATGGGAGAGTCTTAGACCTATCTCTCGAAGTATATGGACTGGTGTGCTTGGATCCAACAGTTTAGCATGATACAACCAGGAATTAGGATTTAAAGGTTTCCAAGTTGTGGAATATTTTAAAAGGCACTTAACCTGCCAGGCAAGACTCTCAAGAGGCGATAAGTTGGGCACCATAGAGTCCTCTTCTTCAGAGGAATCCCACTCTTCCCCAGAACTCTCATTTAGGTAACTAATATTTTCTTCTTCCTCACTTTCTGATTCTGACAAGTGGTCAGGAGAGGGATTTCTAGGACCCATCAGAATAAAACACAGTAAGGAACCAGAAAAAGGTAATAATCTAAGCCAGCAGAACACTGACTAACACTGGCAAATAGAAATAAGAGATGAAAAATCCTTTCACCAAGATTAATTTGTCTTTCAGTCCGTTACACACATAAAGTATGCTTGTGGCCCATACCACTGTGCCGTTCTTCAAGATTATGTTGTATATTCTTCACTTACAAAGAAGACATCTCAGTTTCCAGGACCAGTTCAGTGTGTAAAAGTATTAGTCACTTACCACTGGCACAGGTCAGAGTATCTCCTTCAAATCCTGGCTACCCAAGAATAGAAGGGGTCCTCATCTAGGCAAGCTGATTTACTTAGCATAGTCCCAACTGGTAGTGATACTGTGAAGAGACACTTTTTGTGCTGTTTTGCTGGCAGTGATATTATATCTACTTGACAATCAAAAGAAGCTCAGTAGTTGTCTTGCTTGTCCGCTGGTATAGCAACTTTTGTGCAGGGGGGAATGACGGGATGAGCTGTCAAGAACATCTGGTGTATAAGGATCCGATGCTTTCCATAGGTGATGCAAATGCCCTTGGAAACTGGTGATTTAGCTGTTGGATTATCTGGAAAGGTAGCCTTAACCTGTGAATGAGAAGACTAGAGACATGATATTAAAGCCTGAAAGCACTGGATAACATTATTGCCTACCTAACTTCAAGATATCTAAAATCAGAACAAATGCTGAGCAAGAAGTCTTACAGACTCTTCCCTCTCTATCTCACAGACTTAGGCCAATTTACCTGTTGGTAATAGCTCTTACAATCACAATATTGGGGAGCAAAGTCTGGGGCCATTTTAATTCTTTGTTGGTACATAACTGGGCCAGTTTGTATGCAGTTTTAGCCTAGAAAATTACTTTTGCAAAAGCTGATCCCTTATGCCCCAAACTCCAAATAGAGAGCTATAAAAGTTTTTTTTTTTTTTTTTTTTACCTTCAGAGGTGCTTGTTGGAATTAGTTTTAGGGGGCCTGTCCTGGTGGTAGAGCTGCTAGATGTTAGGACTCTTGCTGGGACCTCAGAAGTTGTGATCCTATCACCAATTCTATATAAGCTGTTCCACAAAAAAGAAAAAAGCATGAAAACTGACCAGCTACTTTTATAAAGATAATAAAAATAAATCCCAAACTTAGAGATGAACCAAACAAGAAAAGTATAGGCTCACTTCACTTGCAAAATCCTAAATATCACTTAACAGAATCCAACAGTACATTAAAAAGAATGTTATTATCAAATATGGCCTATCCCAGGAAAGTAAGAATAGCTCAAATTAAAAAAAAGTATAAATTACCAGAACTAAAGGAAAAAAAGAGAGAATTTTATTGAATGTGGATAACTTTTGTTAGTTCCTGACCACCATGTATTTATTATTTAAAAGACAAAACATTTTTACCAAACTAGAAAGAGAATGTAACTTTCTCAACTTGGTAAAGGTTATCTACCAAAATCTTTAAGCAAACATTATCCTGAATAAGATGAGATACATTTCCTTTAAAAGTGAAGTCAGGGGCAGGACACAGTGGCTCATGCTTGTAATCCTAGCATTTTGGGAGGCCAAGGGTGGAGGATCACTTGAGATCAGGAGTTCAAGACCAGCCTGGGCAATATGGCAAGACCCTGTCTCTACAAAAAAATTTTAAAAATTTAGCCAGGCGTGGTGGTGTGTGCCTTTAGTTCTAGCTACTTGGGAGGCTGAGGCAGGCGGACTGCTTGAGCCCAGGAGTTGGAGGCTGTGTGGTGAGCTATGATCACACCACTGTACTCCAGTCTGGGTGACAGAATGAGACTCTTCTCTACAACAACAACAACAGCAAAAAGTGAAATTAGCTAAAGATAACCATGTTGACTGAGACTGATACTGTCTGACACAGTACTGAAAGTTCTAATCAACATTTTTCTCTTTTTGGAAAAAGATACGTTAAGAATTGGAAGAGATAAAACTATTAGCTTACAGATGATATCATCCAATTTAAAAAACCATACAAACTATTAGAGTTCAACAATGTTCCTGATCTGAAATTAACCTATGAATATTCATTAATTTAATTACTCATATAACACTATTTGCCATGTACTACTCTAGTAACTGCACAAATGTTAACTATTTTAAAATTCTTCTAACAACCCTAAAAGTTGGTACTTTTATTGTCCCCATCTTACCTGTGGATTAAGTTACGTGATCAAAGCCATTCATCTAGTAAGTCACGGGGCCAGTGTTTCAACTCAGGCACTGTTAACTTTTATACCAGCAATACTAACTTTTATACCAGCAATACTAACTAGACCATATATAAAGACATTTCACAGAAGGAAAAACAAACAACAAAAACCTAATCCTATAAAGAACCTAGGAACTAATCATGAATATGTAAGACCTAATAAACAATATAGATGATAATTTAAAATACAGACATTCCATGCTCTTGGATGGAACAAATATCATAAAGATATCAACTTTCTCCCTATTAATTTATACAATTCCAATCAAATTTTTAAGGAACTCTATAAACAAACCTTAAAGTTTATATAGAAAGAATAAAATTCCACATATAGCCAAATGAACTGTTTAAACAGTAAGGGAGTTCCTATTCTTCAAGGTATGTCCTATGACTAAAGTCACAGACATTAAAATAAGGTAGGATTAGCATAAGAACAGACAATAGTCCAATAGAGCAGAATAGAGCTTAGAAACAGAGCTATATATAATTTGGGAATGTAATATAAAATAAGGTTGGCACATAAACTAAGGGTGAATGGATATGTTTAGTACATATTATTGGTACAACTGGCTCATTATATGAAAAAAAGTAAAACTGTATTGGAATAAGAATTAAGAAAAAATTAAGAACAAGGTTAAGAAAAAAATGAAAAGTAAAACCATTTAATACATATACATATAATGACATGTATAAGGGAGGATTCATGATGGATTAAAGACCTAAATGGGGATGGTAAAACTATATAGTTAGTTAAATATAATACAGAATATCTTTGTGAAATGAGGCCAGGGAAAGACTTCTTAAACAAAAAAGCATAAAGCACCAGACCAAAAAATGAATTTAATCACATCACAATTAATCATTTCTGGACTGAACTAAAGATACCAAGGACAAAGTTAAATCAATTTTTAAGAAAGCAACTTCAATAAAGAAATGAGCAATGGACAAAGATATCCAAATTATAGAAGAGAAAATCCCAAGGCATGAACAATATGATCACATTATGCTATCAGTTTGGTAGAATAAGAAAGCTGGATAACACCAAGTGTCAGTGAGTTCTTTTTTGGAACTGGCACTGCTGGTGGGATTGCAGAGTGGAGTAACTGTTCGGAAGAACAGTCCGGCAGCACTACTTAGGCAAACTATTTGCACATCTCATGATCTAGCAATCCTACTTTTGGGCATAGATAGCAAAGAAATTCCCGTATGAACAACATGTATGAAGATATACCCTGAAGCTACATCTGTGATGACAGGAATTAGAAGCATTCTAGGTTCCTATCGCTGGAGAAGCGGACTGGTAAAATGTGGAAACACATTCCAAGTATATACAGCAACATGGGTGGCCTTTAAAGGCATAGCTTTAAATGAGAAAAGAGACAATATCAATGTCTCGTTTATGCTACTCTGTAGGGGGGATTTCCAAAATCAAAGTCAGTGAACATTTTCATTATCGAATACACTGAGTTGTGCTAATAAGGTCATATGGTATGGCTTCAGGTCAGCAATTTTCCTCTAATGAGTATTTCTCTGGCTTTCACACACTCCTAGCACAGTGTCTGGCATATATGAGTGGCTCAGTAAATAAAAGAGTCAGAGAATGGCAAAGGCCTGCAGTAAGTAACTACCACAAGCATGTTCTATTTTACTCCAGGGAGAGAACAGTTCCAAGTTATATCTTGGTGATTTGGTAATGTTAGACAAAGACAAATGAGATAATTTTTTTAAGGCAGGATCAACATATATGATGCTACTACAGCAATATAAAGGAAACTGCTTATAACTTTAAGAAGAAACAATGTAATACTTCTAAGTTTAGATTATAGTACTATTACCTTGTTCAATCTGAAAAAGAGTATTCATTCTTTGTCGTGGACCGTAAGTCTTTATTAACTGAGACAGGAGAAGCTGTTGGCTTTTAATTGTGCTGTCCTCTAATATTTTTACTATTTTCACTTCAACCAGATTGCACCTGTGAGATTACTAATTGGCTATACTTCAGTTATTATGTTACTCAGAAAATTTTTAAAAAGGCTCTTACTTTCCCATAATTGTTTTTGTTCTGTTTCACAGTACAAAAGTCAGGAAAAATGTAAGCTTTAAGGCAGTATACTATGTTGTTTAAATTTAATCTAGCACCTTTGAAAAAATATTTTCAGATTATAATATCAAAAAATACTGAACCAATACCCCCATGGCTTTAACCATTAAAACAAAACAAAACAAAAAAAAAAACTAACCGAAATATAGTTAGGCTGACCTCTGGCGGCCAGATGTCTCATTCTTCTGTAACTGACAAAATGGTGTGATGTCTCTGTTGGTGAGACAGCCAAATAGAATATAGTAAAGAAATACTAGCCGGGCGCGGTGGCTCACGCCTGTAATCCCAACAGTTTGGGAGGCAAAGGCGGGTGGATCACCTGAGGTCAGGAGTTCGAGACCAGCCTGGCCAACATGGCGAAACCCCGTCTCTATTAAGAATACAAAAGATTAGCCAGGTGTGGTGGTGCATGCCTGTAACCCAGCTACTTGGGAGACTGAGGCGGGAGAATCGCTTCAACCCGGGAGGCAGAGGTTGCAGTGAGCCGAGATCGCGCCATTGCACTCCAGCCTGGGCGACAGAGCAAGACTCTGTCTCAAAATAAAAATAAAAAAATATATATTAGAAACGTCACAAAGCAAAATTATGGGCAACACAAATGTTACCACATTCTTAACTAGCAGCTGAATATCTACAAAGTTTGAGGAATTAAGCAGGAGAATGGATAAGGTATGGCATATTAATACAATGGAGTACTATAGCAACCTGTCTGTGCCGTAGTTTCCTCATCTTAAAAGAAGATCAAAGTTATCCTACAGGGTTTGTGAGCAGTAAACGAAGTAAAGTGCTTAGCATGGTGTCTGGCACATAATAAAGGTTAATTAAGTGCAAGTTACTATTATGAACATATCAATATGAACCACAGCAATATTGATTGAAAAAAGCCAGATGCACATATAATTATTCATTTAACGGTTAAAACATGCAAAATAGTACAATATCCTCATTCAGGGATTTATTCATGTCATTAATATATTAAAATATGTCATTAAGATATAGAAAGCTGCATGGTAAAAGTTAACAGTAAATTCAGAAAATCCATTACTTCTTCGGAGGGCAGGTAATTCAAAAGGAGAAAGATGTACAGGTGGCTTTAGTAATGTTCTATTTCTTCAGCTGGCAGTAGGTTACTGAGGTGTAGGAGAGGGAAAAACGGCTTCCCTCCATCCTCCTAGGTTCTTTGGCTGGGTTACAAATTAACCTGACATAGACATTAACAAGAAAAAAAACCCGTACTTAATTACATACGCAGAGGAGTCCCACCATGGTCAGATGATTGAATATTATACAGCATCCTACGCTACTCAAGAAATGGGGGCTTGCGGCTTTCTGGGGGATGGTGGCCACAAAGTTGTGGAAAGGTGAGGGGAGGAAATATACGGTGAATAAAAGTTGTCTTGGTATGCAGATAAGATCTCCCAGGTAACAAAAATTATCGCAGAGCTGCCCTCTTTCTGATACAGATCCTTTACTGATGTATATTTCCTCTGTAGATGTCAATTTCTTTTACAACAGGACAGATTTTCAGAGCGACTCCTGTGTCTGCATTTTATCAGAATACCAGCTCAAAATATACTCTAGAAGTATATTGTAGGGTGGCATATTTTGGTCTCCTACAGTCCTATTTTTGGATGGTGCATCCTGAGATCCAACAGAAGTTCTGTCTGATATAATTTCATTTAAAATTTAAAAACCTAGTTCCTACTCTTCTTTATTTTAACCACTACCCGAAAGACCTTTCCATTCTCTTGAGTTCTCCCTTAATACACTGTCCTTATGCACACTTGTAAACAGGGCCTACACAGCTGCACATCTAGAAACGGCAGCAGCTAAGTTAGCCCGCACCCCCCTTCGCAACGATCCCCGGACTGCCTGCACGCCCTGTGGAACCTCGCAGTCGGCTTCACCAGGGCAGGGACTAAGGCCTTCAAAAGACAGCATCCGTCTCCACTAACCTCGGGTCGCCCCGCTCAGCGGACCCAGCAGCGTCGTCTCCCTTCTCAGAGGTGGCCGGGCCTCCGGAACGCGCTACGAACTTTCCTTTGTCGCCGTCTCTCGAAGCGGAGCCCTCGTGTGGGGATCCCCCGCCCTTCGGCCACAAGGGAGGTTGTTATCCTCGGCAGATCTCCCGTTCTCACTCTTGGAGGATCGCTTTTTCTTTCTAGCCTCACGCTCAGCCGCACGACCCAGCCAGGCCTAACGCCAGCAGCCCTTCCCCTCCGGTGGCAAGGCCACTCCGCTCAGCTCCCGCGCCGACGCTACTTCCGGCCGAGTCAAGGCCCCTCCCCCTTAGAAACGCCACTTCCCTCCGTGAAAACGGCTGGACAAGGTTGAACCTAGACGCATGCGCCCAAAGCGCGGGGTGCGAGGTGGGTGGACCCATCGCTTCCCGCTCTCTTCTCCCAAAGCGCTTACGGCAGTCTCGCGGGATTTCCCCCTCTCGCGGGAATTATTTGAACGTTCGAGCGGTAAATACTCCCTGGGGCTGTCATAGAAGACTACTCGGAGAGCGCTGCCTCTGGGTTGGCGGGCTGGCAGGCTGTAGCCGAGCGCGGGCAGGACTCGTCCCGGCAGGGTTCCAGAGCCATGGGAGCGGAAAGGAGGCTGCTGTCGATTAAGGAGGCCTTTCGGCTGGCGCAGCAGCCGCACCAGAACCAGGCGAAGCTGGTGGTGGCGCTGAGCCGCACCTACCGCACGGTAAGCGCTCCCGGCCCCGGCCGCCGCCTCTCGCCCGCCCCGGCCCACCCTCCCTCAGGGGCCCTCCGTGGCCCTCGGGCTCGGCGCACCGTGACTCCAGCCTTGTTCACCTTCGCGACTCACTTCATAGGGATCTGAGGTTCGGAGAAGTCAGGGACTTACCCGAGGTCGCCTGGGCCCAGGCCAGAAAGCCTCCGAAGCCTGGGCGTCGTTCACACGGGCCCCGCCTTGGCTTTTCTGAGCCGACACCCCCAGCTTCTGGGCGGCGTGGACCGTTATTCCTTAGTCCGATCGTGAACGTGGAGAGAAACATTTACGACCACCGAGGCGATCAGACATCAAATATTGAACCGCAGAGTGGATCCTGAATGCGGGGGTTCAGTGGTCGTTGCCCCTGGGGTCATCGCTCCCCGCCGAACATCAAATGATTCTACCCTTGTCCTACGGTTACGTTGAATCCAATCACCAAATACCAAATTATTTTTAGGGCCTGGCCATTCTTATTTATGTACATACTATTTGTTTGTTTTGAGTGGAACCTTGAGAAGAATAGAACAATTAATTTGGGGAAGATGAATTATCTTGAGGTCCAAGAAAAATTGTGAGTAAACATCACAGGGCTTTGAGGATATGAGATAGGATGTGCAAGTTATCTCATAAAGAAACTGCTGGTGATAGGAAGGCCTGAATATGAGAAATATAAAAGCCAGTATTGATTTTGGGTTGTTGAAGAAGCGTATTTGTAACGTACTGGTACTAAAGGCTTATTGAGAATCAAAGATATTGAAAAAAATATATCAAAGGAATCTTTTCACTGTCAAAAGTCAAGCTTGTGTACTCCCATTATAGCCTGGAGAGAAATTCATGCAAATTGATTGCCCTTTGGCTGGTTTGGATAATTAAGAGTTTACTAAATAAATATTTTAATTTGTCTGCATTATTATGGCTAGTGCTTTCATCAGTCTTAGGGTGATGTTGGGAATAAAGGATTTTTATCGGTGCAGTTTATGAAGGGTTTCTTTTGTCTTTCAGATGGATGATAAGACAGTTTTTCATGAGGAGTTCATTCATTACCTTAAATATGTTATGGTGGTCTATAAACGTGAACCAGCTGTGGAGAGGGTAATAGAATTTGCAGCAAAGTTTGTTACCTCATTTCACCAATCAGATATGGAAGATGATGAGGAAGAGGAAGATGGTGGCCTTTTAAATTATTTGTTTACTTTTCTCTTAAAGGTACTATGAAAATGATAGCTTTGGGGAGGGATTTTAGAAAATTTTGCCACTTTAAAAGAGTCGTGGGAGTTTGTATGTTTTTGACAATGAAATATCTAGTGATTGAAAAAACCTGAATGAGTCTACCTTTCATAGGAAATATTAGAATTATCATTATGATTAAAAAGTGGACTTTAACTCCAGCATTAAATTTTTAATGACCTCTTTAAACCAGTTCTCCTTTGTTTATTTTAAATGAGTTCTGTATTTTAGAAGCCTCTACAAAGAGGACTATGTAACTTAGCAAAGACTTCTTTCAGACTGTTCATTTTGAGACTGTATAAAATATATATATTTGCTATACATATGGACCAAGGTAGCATTATAGGTTCTCTTCAGGAAATGAATTGTTGTTGTAACTTCTTGCATTCCGAATGTATAGAGTTCAGATAATATTGATTATTTGGGAGTGGTATGTGACTATGAATAAATTTTGATTTGTTTCTGTTTTAGTCTCATGAAGCAAACAGCAATGCAGTGAGATTTAGAGTGTGCCTGCTCATAAACAAGCTTTTGGGAAGTATGCCAGAAAATGCTCAGATTGATGATGATGTGTTTGATAAAATTAATAAAGCCATGCTTATTAGATTGAAAGATAAGATTCCAAATGTGAGAATACAGGCAGTTCTGGCGCTTTCACGACTTCAGGATCCCAAGGATGATGAATGCCCAGTGGTTAATGGTGTGTGTAGTTTCCTAAATCTTTTTTCAGATTTGTTGATTTTGTTAAATTCTCAGTATTTGAAATTTTTTATTATGGTCTATACATTTGAAGAGTATAGGTAATTAATATATGATTCCGATTAAACAAAAAAAACCTAAGTAGCAACCACCCAGCTTAAAAAAAAAAGTCAGTACTTGCATCCTATCCCAGTTGCATCCCTGTCCCTCAGAAGTAACTATTAAATCCTCAGTTTGGGGTTAATTAGTCTCTTGCTTAAATTAAAAAAAATTTTTTTGCATAAATCACATATGTCTATCTTAATGTTTTCCTGTCATTTTGTGTAAATCATGCTGTATGTATATATTTAGCAGCCAATTATATTTCTATATAATACCTGTTACTGTGTTTTGCCCATTTTTTCATTGGGTTTTTAATTTAAAATACTATTTTAAAAAATTCATTTGCATTCTTTATATATTTTGAAAAGAAATCCTTGGGTTATATGAATTGTAGATCTCTTCCTGTTTTAGGTGGCTCATTGGGGTATCATTGTTTCACTCCCTTTGGGGTATCTTTTTTTTGAACAGAAATTCTTATGTCAAAAATATAAATCTCTGCCATTATGATTCGTATTTTTTAATCTCTTTTTTAAGGAACTTTTTCTTACCTATGGGGTCATAAAGGTAGTTGTATTTCATTTTTCCATATATGCCTAGGTATGTTTTAGGCACTCTTCTGTCCTTTTTGTCCCTATTACCAGTTTTATAATCACTGGTATATTTATCACTATAGTAGTTGGTATTTTTTTTGGTGTTAAAAGATACCCATAATAATATTGTGTAAAACATAGGTATTTGATAGTCAACCTGTACTTAATAATTGAGGTAGGAAAGATGTGAGAAGTACAGATAAATATATTTAAATATAAGAAATGGGTTTGTTTCAATGAATAAAACCAAAAAATATTTCCTTTTAGGTCTCATTAAAAACCAAAATAATGGGCCCTTATAAAGCCATATCAGTTTAAAATAAACTGTCTGCTATAGTAAGCTTTCTCTTAAATATTGAGGAGTAGCACAGACATAATCTTAATGATGAATTTTCTGTGACTTTTAGGGCTATTTGTTTTCACTTTTGGCCTAAGAGCCAGTCCGTTGACTAATTCCCCCTTGTGTCTTTAGAAGGGAAGTTGGTGGCCTGCGCAGCAGTGACTCAGGCCTGTAA
Organism: Homo sapiens; assembly: GCF_000001405.40. Taxonomy (NCBI): domain Eukaryota; kingdom Metazoa; phylum Chordata; class Mammalia; order Primates; family Hominidae; genus Homo; species Homo sapiens. The sequence continues at coordinate 17,814,352 of NC_000004.12, forward strand.
TCTCAGCACTTTGGCTCCAACCTGGGCAACATAGTGAGACCTTGTCTCCAAAAAAAAGAAAAAGAAGGAAGTTGGTGGGAAAAAAACTTCAACTAAAATATGTGAGACTAAAAAAATGACATTACTTTCTATTACAGATGGGTTCTCACTCGGGCTGGATTGCAGAGGTGTGGCCTCAAACTCCTGGGCTTAAGTGATCCTTCCACCTCAGCCTCCTAAGTAACTGGAAGCGCCACTACCATGCCTAGCTAATTTTTTATTTTAAAATTATTTTGTAGAGACAGGGGTCTTTCTATATTGCTCAGGCTGGTCTTGAACTCTTGGCTTCAAGCTCTCCACCTACCTTGGCCTCCCAAAGTGCTGGTTATAGGCAGTAGCCATCATGCCCAGCCTATCTTTATCACATTAAAGGCATTTTAAAATATCAAAATGTGTGTTATTTTATGACTGTAGTTAAATAAATAATTTCATCAGTACTAAAATGTATTGCTTTATTTTTAGCATATGCTACTTTGATTGAAAATGATTCAAATCCAGAAGTTAGACGGGCAGTGTTATCATGTATTGCACCATCAGCAAAGACTTTGCCAAAAATTGTAGGGCGCACCAAGGATGTGAAAGAGGCTGTCAGAAAGCTGGCTTATCAGGTAAATAAGTTCAATGTCTTGTGTTGGCATATTCTTAAAGGACAAGGAGCCATTTTCTTAAAGTGCCTTTGAAAAATACTTGGCATGTAATAATTTCTTCAGTTGAGGTTTTATGGAGAACACAGGTAATTTAGGTAGAATCTTACTGTATTAAGTATGTTACCAGGTATTAATTTCTTTTGGAGATTCTGGGTAATTTTCTAAGATGGTGATATTCTTATGAAATCTATAAATTGTGTTGAGGTTAATGACCATCTTTATAAATTATTTTTAAGGTTTTAGCTGAAAAGGTTCATATGAGAGCTATGTCCATTGCTCAGAGAGTAATGCTCCTTCAACAAGGTCTTAATGACAGATCAGGTAAGATAAACAACTTTATATATACAAAACTTTAGTAGATTTTGAGGTCAGACTTAACAAGGTTTAAGAAACGAGTGTCAAATCAGGTCAAGTAAGCCTGCCAGTCCCATGAACCTGGTGAAATTTATCTTGATGTATTATATAGAAAACACAGGGCTAAAGATTTTGATATATATATATTTTTGAGACAGAGTCTCACTCTATCACCCAGACTGGAGTGCTGTGGTGCAATCTTGGCTCACTGCAACCTCTGCCTTCTAGTTTCAAGCGATTCTCCTGCCTCAGCCTCCTGAGCAGCTGGGATTACAGGTGAACATCACCATGTCTGGTTAATTTTTATATTTTTATAGAGACGGGGTTTCACCATGTTGGCCAGACTGGTCTCGAACTCCTGACCTCAAGTGATGCACCTACTTCAGCCTCCCAAAGTGTTGGGATTACAGGTGTGAGCCACCGCGTCTGGCCAAGATCTTGGTATTTTGAAGGAGCAGAGCTTATTTCTTTCACCCTTTCTGTATTTTACAGATGGAGAAACAATACTTAAGTCTGTAGAGCTAATTCATGTCAGAAGTAGGAAAAGATCTATTTGCCCTCTCTCTCTGACTTAAAAAAAAAATGCTGTTCCTTATGTGTATACTTTGGTATGAATGTGTTCTGTGTATCAGAAACAACAAATAGGAATGGTCAGACCAGTATAATTTTCTTATTTTTTTTTTTTTCTGTTAGAGTAGAGTTCCCCAACATTTTTGACACCAAGGATCGATTTCATGGAAGACAGTTTTTCCACAGAGGGCGGGCTGGATGGTTTCCAGATGAAACTGTTCCACCTCAGATCATCAGGCATTACTTAGATTCTCATAAGGAGCGTGCAACCTGGATACCTCATGTGCGCAGTTCACAATAGAGTTCCTGCGCCTGAGAGAATCTAATGCATCTGCTGATCTGACAGTAGGAAGAGCTCAGGTGGTAATGCTCGTTAGACCACGGCTTACCTCCTCCTGTGCGGCCCGGTTCCTAACAGGCCACAGACTGGTACTAGTCCGTGGCCCAGGGGTTGGGGAGCCTGAGAGAATCTGCTTATAGGAATGATATTTTTTGAAGTTTTTAACTCTCATGAGAAGGCCAAGATGGCTCTATTGCGCTGTAGTGAGAAAACCGACTTGCGTTTGAAAACATTGTCAGAGGACTAATTAGTAGGATGACCTTAAAAGCTAAGACTAAGGTTTGTTCAGTGACGTGTGCTTGTATAGTTCACTACTGCAAATAGCAATCGTGTAATAGATAAAATCAGATAACAAGTGAGATAATAGCTATTACATATTCTGGGCTAACACCTGAAGCCCATTGAACCCAGGGGAGAAGGAATGTAAAGATATTTTTGTAGGCTGTGGTATTTGGTGCTGAACCTTTTCCATTTTTATTTGTAAGTGACCATTACAGTGACTTTTGCAGTATCATGGTACTTCTTTTTTTTTACCTTTAATATGCTTAGTTGGCTGGGCGCTATGGCTCACACCTGTAATCTCAGCACTTTTGGAGGCCGAGGCAGGCGGATCACGAGGTCAAGAGATTGAGACCATCCTGGCCAACATGGTGAAACAAAAATTAGCTGGGCGTGGTGGCGCATGCCTGTAGTCCCAGCTACTCGGGAGGCTGAGGCAGGAGAATCGCTTGAATCTGGTAGGTGGAGGTTGCAGTGAACCAAGATCGTGCCACTGCACTCCAGCCTGGTGACAGAGCGAGACTCTGTCTCAAAAAATATATATATACATGCTTAGTTGTGCCTCTTAACCTCTACTATTTCTATTGTAAATACTGACTTTGTTAATTAAAACAGACAAAATACAAGAGATGGAAGCTAGAGGGAGCCTTTGTTCACCTATGTTTCAAATGACTCAATAGATGCTGTGAAACAAGCTATGCAGAAGCATCTTCTTCAAGGCTGGTTACGGTTCTCTGAAGGAAATATCTTAGAGTTGCTCCATCGGTTGGATGTAGAAAATTCTTCTGAAGTGGCAGTCTCTGTTCTCAATGCCTTGTTTTCAATAACTCCTCTCAGTGAACTGGTGGGACTCTGTAAAAACAATGATGGCAGGTACATAAAGGATTCATTCTTTGAAATGTAGTACTGATTAACTTGTGCAATTAATTTGTTTTTTTTCCTCCCCATAGCTTAAGATTATATTAATACCTTTAATCTTAACTCTCTTTTGTTTTCTTTTAGTCTGATGAATATCCTTTTATCCTTCCTTTTTCCCCTCCTGGTGTAAGAACTCATAACTTTATCATAGACTATCTACTTTAGCTATGCTTTTCCCCCCTTCAGTTTCTTACTTTGATTTTTGAATTAGCCTACCATGAGAAAATCCAGCAACATGCACCCCTAGTATATGTTTGCTTATTTGGTTCTTTTTTGTTCTAAGTTTCTTCATTCCTTTTTGTGTGGATACATTAATGACTCTAATTAAAAGGATAGTGTAGTGGTTTTAAAGCAAATCTTATTATTCTCATTTTTGTACTCTTCAATTCTTAATGATAAAAAGATCATGCTTTCTCTCACACTCTTTCTTTTAAATGAAGGAAATTGATTCCAGTGGAAACATTAACTCCTGAAATTGCTTTGTATTGGTGTGCCCTTTGTGAATATTTGAAATCAAAAGGAGATGAAGGTGAAGAATTTTTAGAGCAGATTTTGCCAGAGCCTGTAGTATATGCAGACTATTTATTGAGGTAAATTTTTTTTCTTTTAGTTTGGAGAGTGATTGTGTTGCTGCATGTGTCAATCTCCCAGTCCCCTTCCTCAAAGTCATGTTTGATTGTGAATATGTTAAAAATCCTTTTTTTGTACATGTAGGGATAGTTATATACATCGAGTCTTTTTGAATATCTTGTGCTGGTCTGTATACTGAAAGAGCAAGTCACTATGTTTAGGATCATTTCTTCAAAACTGTTAAGATATGATTATGACCATTTCTGCATAAAGTTGATGATGATGATATATTATTTCTGAAATTGGTTGGCACATTTTCTGTTAAGTGTCAGATAATAAATATCTTAGGGTCCTGTGGGCCATACCGTCTGTCACAATGACTCAACTCTGCCATGGTATTGTAAAAGCAGCCAAAGACAATGTAAGTAACTGTTTTTCAATAAAACTTTTATTGACTTTTATGGCCACTAAATAGTTGAACTTTAATATTCATGTGTTAACAAAATAAGAAATTTTAAAAAATGATCAGTTAAAAATTTAAAATAGTCTTAGCTTGCAAGCTATATAACAGGTAATAGGCTGGATTTGATGCACGGAACATTGTTTTCCAATTCACAGCGTGGATCTTTGTGGCCAGTTTTATTTATTAAAAACTTACTATCTAGCTTCATGTTTTAAAGTTTTTTCAAAATATGCCTTTTTAAAAAACAATTTGGATTACCATAATTATACCTCTTAAGAAATTATTTGGATTACTTTATTTCACTTTAAAATTATACAAGAAAAACATGAATGCATTCTTGTCAAAATTCAAATACAGAGGTATAAGGAATAAAAATGTGGAATTCCCTCTTTTATTTCCTACTTCCTCAATCCCATTGATTAGCAACTAAGTGTATATTCTAGCAACCCTTAGAATTAGCAACTAAACAATATAGGGTGTATATTCAAACCTCTTTCTCTGCATTTATATACATTTTTTGAGTACAGGTTTCTTTAAAAATATAACACTGTGTATATACTTTTTTTTTCAACTGATAACTGAGATCATTATATATTGGTGCATATATAATGTAATAGATACTGTTACAGTCTTAACAGCATATCATTCCGTAGTATGGTGGTAACATTTAATTTATTCCTCTGTTGATGGACATTTAGGATGTTTCCATTTTTCACTGATAAAAGCAAAAGTATGTTAAATTTCCTTTACATTTTTGGGTACCTTTGGGATTTTTGGGGGTTAATTCCAAGAAATAAGTTGCTACACCAAAGGATAATATATGTATATTTTGATAGATATTGGTATGTAGGTTTTTAACTTCAACTTTATGGTTTATTTTTTTTTTTTTGAGACGGAGTCTTGCTCTGTCGCCAGGCTGGAGTGCAATAGTGCAATCTCGGCTCACTGCATCCTCCGCCTCCCGGGTTCAAGCGATTCTCTTGCCTCAGCCTCCTGAGTAGCTGGGACTACAGGCACGCGCCTCCATGCCCAGCTAATTTTTGTATTTTTAGTAGAGATGGGGTTTCACCATGTTGGCCAGGATGGTCTCAATCTCTTGACCTCGTGATCTGCCTGCCTTGGCCTCCCAAAGTGCTGGGATTACAGGCGTGAGCCACAGCGCCCAGCCTGATGTATTTTTTTAAAAAAGCTTCCATATAATATGAATTATGGACCTGAATTATCTGTATGAAGTACAGTTCTCTGCTTTTGTTTAAAATGATCTCACATAAAAGTTAGGCAGCAAAGCTGTGCATGCCTCTAAATTTCCCCTCAAAAATCCTAAATCTAGGATAAGTATCTCAAATGTGAGCCAGTAGGGAAACTATAGCTCAAGCCCATGTTAACATCATGAAGAACCTGTGTGAATCTAATGAGCATTTTAATGTTAATTATTTCAGACTTTGACATTTAAGTAGGGAATTCATTATAATGCTGTTTGGGCCATGTTGAAATGTTTCCAAAAGGAATGAGTTTGTGGCAAAGTTTAATAATATATATAAATATAAAAGATGTTTATAGAAGGTAGTGAAAATATAAGAAAATATGAGGAAATGTTAAATATTTAAATGGCATAAAGGGGGAGGAGTTTTCCTCAAGGACAGCATCAGAAGGTGACTTGTAAAAAGCTTGATTCCTCCCTTCTGAAAGGTCAGGGATTAACATTTCCTTTGTCACTCTCTTAGTTTTGAAATAAGTAACTTTAACCTCTTCGACTTATTTTCTTCACCTTTAAAGAGGAAAATTTTCGGCTGGGTGCGGTGGCTCATGCCTGTAATCCCAGCACTTTAGGAGGCTGAGGCCGGTGGATCACGAGGTCAGGAGATCGAGACCATCCTAGCCAACATAGTGAAACCCCGTCTCTACTAAAAATACAAAAAAATTAGCTGGGCGTGGTGGCAGGCGCCTGTAGTCCTAGCTACTCGGGAGGCTGAGGTAGGAGAATAGCGTGAACCTGGGAGGTGGAGCTTGCAATGAGCCGAGATCGCGCCACTGCACTCCAGCCTGGGCAACAGAGCAAGACTCCGTCTCAAAAAAAACAAAAAAAAGAAAACTTTCAGAAATTTATTTTAGTGATTGTTGAAAGAATACCTAAAAAATAGAATGAGTGTCTTTTTGGAGGAACATGACTAGATGGGATTAGTATACTTGAGTACAGAAACAAAATTAAATTGAAAAATTGTTTCCTGATAATCTCAGGAATATGTTTTCAGGCATACTGTATATTTTAGGCAGTAGATTCAATGACTAAGAACTCTGATGTGAAACAATTTTGGTTAACCAAGGTGCTCACTTAAAGAGCAAACGAGGAAATGAGGATTATCAAATTAGAGTAAGTAAAAGGGACAACAATAAAATTTGTTGAAAGCCATCTTAAATATAAATTCTTAGACTTTAAAATACTTTCTTGAGTGGTCTCTTCATTATAATAAATGTCTTTATAAATGGTTAGGATTTCATGGTAACTAAAATTGGTGGGTCAGTTTTAAGTTGTATTTATGCAGTTGAGGATTTTTAATCTATTAATTAAACAACTGTTTGAATTTACTTAAAAAAAAAAACTCAGTCAAGATGCTGTGCATTTTGCTAAAGCTGGGCTGGAGAAGTGGGGAGAGATACAAAGATGAGTATAAATGAAGGTTTTCTTTTAGCCTGTCAGAAAAGAGTAACTCTACTGATTGGTTGATTTTGATAGTTATCGGTAGTGTAGTTTTCCTTAGTTTCCTACTAGAACCCAAAGGGTGGCTGATGTCTTAAAAGTCCTAATCTTGTGGCCAGAAATTTATGAGCTTTTATTTACTCTTGGTCATCACTTTGTAATACATGAGAGTATACTCATTATACATTATACCACAATTTCTGTAACTTGGTTTTTGTCACCCCCGCCTTTTTTTTTTTTTTTTTTTTTTAAGAGACGTAGTCTTGCTTTGTTGCCCAGGCTGGAGTGCAGTAGCGTGATCTTGGCTTACTGCAGCCTCTGCCTCCCAGGTTCAAGCAATTCTCCTGCCTCAGCCTCCTGAGTAGCTGGGATTATAGGTGCCTGCCACCACATTTGGCTGGTTTTTATATTTTTAGTAGAGATGGGGTTTTACCATGTTGGTTAGGCTCTTCTTGAACTCCTGATGTCAAGTGATCCTCCCGCCTCAACCCCCCGAAGTGGTTGGGATTACAGGTGTGAGCCACTGTGCCCGGCGACATTTTTGACATTTTTTAAATGACATTTTTGATCAGGATTGTTTTTCATGTTACTTCCATCTTAAAGGCACTTCGCTGTCTAAGCTTCAATTCTTAGTTCTGCTTTTAAGTAGCTTTTTTTATTCCACACAAAAAGCAGAGGCTACTGAATATACAGCCTTCTTGGTGAGGATTATAAAGGGCTTTAGTTTGGGTGGTGATGTCTGTAGTAAGAATAAAAAGTTAAAATAAAAGGTAGCTGATGGTGGTGGTGTATACAGAGATTAGTAGGGTTTCTAAGAAAGAATAATAAAAATTTGTGAAATTGTTTCTATTTTTCTGATTTTTTTCAAAAAAGATAATTGTATTCATGGATTACTTGTGTAACTATTGTTACAATTTTTAAAAATAAAAGAATGATAATTAGGCATGATGAAGATTAAATCTTTTTTTTTTTTTTTTTTTTTGAGATGGAGTTTTTCTCTGTCACCCAGGCTAGAGTGCAGTGGTGCGATCTCGGCTCACTGCAACCCCTGCCTCCTGGATTCAAGCAATTCTTCTGCCTCAGCCTCCTGAGTAGCTGGGATTACAGTAGCCACCATGCCTGGCTAATTTTTTTGTACTTTTAGTAGAGACAGGTTTTCACCATCTTGGCCAGGCTGGTCTCGAACTCCTGACCTTGTGGTGCACCTGCCTCGGCCTCCCAAAGTGTTGGGATTACAGGTGTGAGCCACTGTGCCCGGCTGAAGATTAGATCTTTATGACTAATTGGATTTTTGGGTAAGGGATTCAGAACTTGATAGATGCTTCTTGACTTAAAGTGGGGCTATGTCATAAGTCAAATGAGTTTAATTCTCAGATAAACTCATCCTAAAGTTGAAAAATTGTAAGTTGGGCCACCTGTAATTGGGGACCATCTGTAATTGGGAGAATGCTAGTGACATTGAAATAATTAGTTATCAGTTAGACATAAATATGTACCTTTTGAAAATTTCCCATAGAAAATTTGAGTCATTATTGAAAATACATTTTCAAATTCTTTTGATTCATCAATAAGTTTGTTTGCAAAAGTTAATGACAGTGGCATAGAATTGAGTTTGTAGACCAAATTACATGGCATAGATATGTATTTAGACGAATATGACCTGAAAATGGCCCTTTTCTGACCTAATGGTGGGAATCAACTCTTGTTTGATGTTTCTTAAAAGATTCTACTTTATTAATTCTGCTTGTTTTAGTTACATCCAGAGCATTCCAGTTGTTAATGAAGAACACAGAGGTGATTTTTCCTATATTGGAAATTTGATGACAAAAGAATTCATAGGTCAACAATTGATTCTAATTATTAAGTCTTTGGATACCAGTGAAGAAGGAGGAAGGTATGTCTAAATGTTAACACTCATTCTAATTTGCCCTTCTAATTTCTTATATTGAAATATAGTCCTTTTACAATATAACTAAACATATTTACCCTAGCTCTCTAAAGTGGTATAAAAAGTTTTCTTTTCCCTTCTACATATTTCCATATATACACATACATTTATATTTCTAGTTCAATTTCCTCAGAATAAATCAATGAAATTGCAGTTTTTGGTTAAAAGTTTCTGTTTAGATTTATTAAGGCTAGTAGCATTTTCTAAAAGGTTTAATCATTTCTGGTATTTTGTCATTTTATCATGTTGATTTATTAAAAATCATAGGGTGTTTTATAAAAATTTTTTTTTGTGTGGAATAAGAATATTTGACCTAAAGTCTGTACATACAGATTTTTGTACCTATTATAGTGATAAACCTAAGTGAAAGAACTGAGGCAAATGTAATTAAGTTTGCAGAGTAGGTGAATGTTAGAGATAAAACATGTTTTGTCATAATAATATTTAAATTAGTTCTTTTTGACTGCAGAAAAAAACTGCTGGCTGTTTTACAGGAGATTCTTATTTTACCCACAATCCCAATATCCCTGGTTTCTTTTCTTGTTGAAAGACTACTCCACATCATTATAGATGATAATAAGAGAACACAAATTGTAAGTAATTTTCCTCATTGTTGATAAAGAGGTTTTGGTCAATGACATTGAATACTGTCTTATTTTCTGTTTAGAACTTTTTGTTTTGTCTGTTTTGTTTTAGGTTCGTCTCTTTAATGAGTTTTAAAATTTCTTAAAACCATTATCTATCTCTTACATACACAGAATATTTGAAAAATGTCACCTTCTTCCTCTTAGTGTACCTGTTATTGTTGAATCAGTTTGAAATGGAGCAGGTTTGGTAGGAAGTTACAAGTGGGGATATGGTTTTGTCCATGAGGCACTGGGTGCTAGTGTTTTTGAGAGCTTACTCAAATTGTACATACTAGGGTTTAGAATCTCATCTGACACTTTCTGGCTTTGTGGCTTTGGACAAGTTATTCTGCTGTTTTACTTGTCTGCAAATAAGAATAGCAATGAAATCTACCTTTCATTTTTCAATGAGGTATTGTTCATAAAGGTATTGTTCTGTATTGCTTGATAAATACAGAAATAATTGTTTACTATAATACTATTTCAGTGTTATTTTTTTCTGGCATAGCCAAAAAAGACAGATCTGTATCATTTATTTCATAAAAATCACATAATTTCAGTTGCAGGTTAATTCACAGATCATCTCTTCCATCCTCTCCTTATATATACACCCCTTCTACAACATGCTTAGTTGTTATTCAGCATCTGCTTAAATACTTTCATTTGGGAGGCAGCCTTTTCCTGATCAGCCAATTCCAATATACAAGTGGTTCTGAAAGGAAAGTCCTTCCTTATGCTATTATTATTTATGCATTGTCTACCCAAAGGAAGAATAAAAGGATATTCCATTTTTCTGTGTTTAACTCCTACAGAGCTGAACAAGAGAAGGGTTGAGGATTTTAGGCAGAGAATTTAAGTGTCTCATCTTAAGCACCATAATTCATATTTCTGTTTTTCAAACATTATATGAGGGATAATTTACTTTCACTGTCTGTGTGCCTATTTCCCTTCCATTCAAATAATTTCATTTTGTAGTCAGATATATTGTTTTGTTTTGTTTTTTTCTAAAATTGTCTAGCAAACAGAATGTGTGCTATTTCTACCAGTATGTTTTTGCTCCATTATTCAATATATGGTGGATACTACTTGGAGTTTTATATAGAATTTTGATACTATTTGCTGATATATCAAACATATATTAAAGCATGTACTCTGAACTTACAGGTTACAGAAATTATCTCAGAGATTCGGGCGCCCATTGTTACTGTTGGTGTTAATAACGATCCAGCTGATGTAAGAAAGAAAGAACTCAAGGTAAGTCTCTTTTAAATGAAAGAAGTGCTTGAGTGTAATGTAGCTGGGCAAGTCTATTCTTTCCTCTTGCTGTGCAGTTCTGAAATGTTTCTCACATAATCAAATTATTGTTTAATTGTTAAACTATAAGAATATTTAAAATGTTACCACATATGTCAGTCTCAGAGATATGCAGATCTCTGTGTCAGGAAAACTACAAGTTTGCATATGCCTGACTCATTAAATTCTGGGCAGTTGAGATATTAAATAATACTCCTGAGTTGCTACAGATATTCATATTAACAGTTTTTGTTCAGTGTTGAAACAATTTATATCTTCCCTTAGATGGCTGAAATAAAAGTTAAGCTTATCGAAGCCAAAGAAGCTTTGGAAAATTGCATTACCTTACAGGATTTTAATCGGGCATCAGAATTAAAAGAAGAAATAAAAGCATTAGAAGATGCCAGAATAAACCTTTTGAAAGAGACAGAGCAACTTGAAATTAAAGAAGTCCACATAGAGAAGGTACAGGTAACTTTTTTCATACTAAATCTCAGGTGTTATTAATCATCTCAACTAAATCTTATTTTCTCTAACTTCTAGAATTGCCAAAATATATTTACTTTGAGCACTTTGTAATAGTGACATGAATTAAAATGAAAAAAGTTTTTCCCTGTTTCTATTTTTGGACTTTGAAAGGCCTTAATTAACTTTAATTATTGGAGGTAGGACTTTATTTGCTTCCTTGTCATGCTAATCTCTAGAATCCGAAGTCTTTCTTACCAGGGAAGCTAGCTTTCCAGTGGTTCACATCTGAGTTTTCTGTTTTTTGTCTTGAATGGTTTAAAAAAGGAAAATACATCCATTTTCCTCTTATTTGTGGAGGATCAATGACCTTTCTTTTTTATTGCTAGCAAAATAATTTCTATGGTAACGTGCATTTTTTTAAAGCTAAATTACTTTTGTGTTTTTAGAAAAAGCTACGCAGCTTTGTTATTTTTAATGAAATACTGAAATATGTCTAGTAACATTTAAAGCTTGCTTTTCAGTAGTTCGTTTTTTAAAAAATTAGTTTGTTAAAGTACTCTCTTAAATGGAGTATGTCTTTCCTTCTGAAAGAAATTTTTTGTTAATGGTATCGATACCATTCTGTCTTACAACAAATGATAAATATGTAAACATAAGATAGGTATCAATTAATATTTGATATTAACTTTAATTTCTTTTGGGATCTTGCCTTTTGTAATGAACATCATTTATTGTTGTACTTTTGGGATGTGCTGATTATTCTCATAAAAAGAATGCTAAATAGGAGACTCTTTTATATAGGAGAGTTTCATGAGTTATGTTTCTGATCTCTTTAGCCATAGACATCCCAACTCCAACACCCACCTTCCCAGAGTGTATGCCTGAATTTTATTTTGATAGCTGGTGGCTTCTTTTATTTGACGAAGTCTGTGGGCCATTATAGGCTATTAAATTTGGAAAGCAAATTTAAAGCAAAAACTGAAAATATCATCTGAAAAATGACAAACTTTAGGTCAAAATTATAAAATTAGCAAAAGTAGTCTATCATGGTTAATATCGTCTGTTTAACTTGACTTGCTTTGACCATTTATGTGTCTATTTGTCCTGTTCGAGGGCTACAAATCTGTTAAAATGCAACTACAACAGAGCATAATAAATGCTATGGTCAGGGAAGTATAGAGGTTTTATGGAGAGGTTTCTAGTGCTGGTAGAGTATTGTTGGCTTCCCCAGAGGAAGACATGTTTTATCCTGAGATTAGAATAAAAATAACAATATAATCTAACAGTCAGAGGATACTTTTTCTGTGGTAGTCACAGCATTAATTACTTCACAAATGTGAATTCATTCTTTTCTTCCTATAGGCCTATGAGGTTGGTACTATTATTATCTTCATTTTACAAAGGGCAAGTAACTTGCCCAAAATCACACAGATAGTAAATGGTGGAGGCAGGATTTAAACCCAAGAAGTGGCTCTAGACTTGTGCTTTTAACTCACTCTGTGCTGTCTCTCCTCAATGAATTATGGAAGGAATGTTGTAGACAGATGGAGCAACATCTGTGATGGTCCAGAAGTTAAAGAATGCCTATTATGTTTTAAAACTTCAGGTCCATGTGACTAGAGAATTGATGGGGAGAAGCAGGAGAAAAATCTGGGGAAAAATTAAGGGCTAGGTCATGTAAGGCTTTGCGTAAGCAATATTAAAAATTTTGTATTCTAAGGATTGTGGTGAACCACTAGTATTTTAAGTGGTTAGGTAAGTCTTATGTCTCAGATCACTGTTGTTTAGGAAATGGATTGGAGAGTAGTAAAAGCTTAGACAGGCATAATAGTTGGGAGACTTACAGTAGGGTTGGGAGACTTACAGATGATGGTAGTCTGAACAAGATAATGACAGTGGATTTGGAAAGTAGTGATGAACTTGAGAGGTATTTAGAAATTAGTAACGGAGAAAAGGGAGTCAGGAATGTATCTTAAGTCTTTTGGTTTAGACAACTGGGTAGATGGTGATGACAGTATGAAGATAGAGAACAAGGAAGAGGAGAGATTTGTGTAATGATGAGTTCCCTTTTGGACATGTTGAGTTTGAGGAAACTGTGGAACATCAAGAGGAAATGTCTTTTAGCAGTTATATATATGAATCTGAAACTTAGAAAATAGCTGGGCTAGCTCATAGATGATAAACGAGGTTGTCAGGTTTTTTTTTTTTTGAGGTGATAATTAGGCAAGATGAAGATTAGACTTTTTTTTTTTTTTTTTTGAGACAACGTCTCCCTCTGTTGCCCAGGCTGGAGTGCAGTGGCATGATCTCAGCTCACTGCAACCTCCACCTCCCGTGTTCAAGCCATTCTCGTGCCTCGGCCTCCCAAGTAGCTGGGACCACAGGTGTGCACCACCACACTAATTTTTGTGTTTTTAGTAGAGATGAAGTTTTGCCATGTTGACCAGGCTGGTCCTAAATTCCTGACCTTAAGTGATTTACCTGCCTTGGCCCCCCAAAGTGCTAGGATTACAGGCGTGAGTCGTTGCGCCTGGCTGAAGTTGCCAATTTTAAAATCCTGCCTCTACCATTTACTATCTGTGTGATAGCTGTAAGATCACCTACAGAGTCTATATAGAGTGACAGTATGCCCTACACAAAGCCCTGAGAAAGCAAACATTTAAAGGATGGGGAGAAGATATTACTAATGCTGAATATTTTGTCTTCATTTTAGAATGATGCTGAAACATTGCAGAAATGTCTTATTTTATGCTATGAACTGTTGAAGCAGATGTCCATTTCAACAGGCTTAAGTGCAACCATGAATGGAATCATCGAATCTTTGGTATGTTGATGGCCTCTTGGGCTTTATTTTAGTCCACTCCTTTCTTATTTTGTAAGTGATATGTTCTTTAGAAATCAAAATAATGAAAAGATTACTGTCTTAAATATCTGATAAGTATAAATGATAAAATATATATATATAGCAGCTACTTCATATTGTGAGGATTAAATAAGATGTCTGTAAAGGACCTGATATGTAAATTACAGTCTTTTACATATTTTAAAAAATGATTTTATACTGGAAAGAGATACAGAATATCTTCATTTTTTGAATAGTAAGAGAGGAGATACTGAAACATACCAAGAATATTTAAGTACTGGAATTGTGCTACGTAATGAGACTGAGACAATCACATTTTATGCCCTGGGAAAGGAATTTATTTATTATATTTAAAGGGCTTTTAAAATAACCCTTTGTAGGTAATTCCCATAGGGACACAAGTACTGTAAGACTCTAGAACATTACTTTCTGATAAGGAATATAGTGCAAACCATATGTAACTTTACATTTTTTAGTAGCCACATTAAAAAAAGTGGCTTTTTTTTAAAGCCACTGTTTTAAAAAAAAAAAAGAGGATAATTTTAGTATATTGAATATATCCAACTGTATTATTTGGATATGTCCAATATATCCAAAATATTAATCATTTCATTATTTACTCACTATTAAAACTGTTGCAATGTTTTACATTCTGTTTTGCATACTAAGTCTTATAGCGCATCTTAAACTGGACTAGTCACATTTCAGGTGTTCAGTAGCCACATGAGGCTAATGGCTACAGTATTAGTGCGCTGTTTTGTTGTTGTTGTTGTTTTTGATAGTACTACTCATTCAAAGCAAATTCTGTATGTAGCCAGGTTCTTACAGAAGTCTCTCAAAACTGTATTTACTTGGTATTAGTGAGAAATAGCCAATGAATGTAATCTGAAGTCTAATTCCTTGGGTTGTCATGAGTTCCTGAATGTAGTAAAGAAAACCAATTTTAATAGTTTAGAGCTTCTGGAGAAATACTGTTTTGTACTCAACCATTAGAATTTAGCTTTATTTTTGGAAAAGCAGTTATCTTTAGTGAAAAGTGATGCTTAATTTGTGCTTGGGCATTTTATGTCTGGTCCTACAAAATTGAAGTAGTAAATACGAAGACTGTATATATGTGGGAAAGGATATACAGTGTTATGTGAAGAATAAACACAAAATTGAATGATCATAATGATTTTAAATGTATAAAAATCTGGTTAAAGATTGAAAGAGATTAGTAGAGGAATATAAAAGATGTTTGGATAAAAGTTATATTTTTATGAAGTTACTGTGTTTTAAATAAAAGATTTAATTATTCATTGGGAAAATACAAATTATTCATTGAGCAAATATTTACTGAACATCTATTACATACTAAGTGCTGGGATGGTACATGGTATACAAAATAGATATAGATTGCCCACGTTGATCTGGTCAAGTGAGAGGAGCATCGATTAAGTAAAGAAATAAGTGAAACTTTGTGCTATTAGTGCTTGCTATGAAGAAGAGCTATATGGCCGTATGTGAACTTATAATAGCAGGATTTGAACTATTCATGGAAGGTGACCCTGGTCTGATATTTGAGTAGACATTACATGTATGAAAAAGTGAGAGAAGATTGTTTAATATGGTAGCTGTCAGCCACACATGGCTTTTAAAAACTAGACCAAAATGAGATATGCTGTAAGGATTAAAAACATGTTGGGGGTTGGGCGTGGTGGCTCACACCTGTAATCCTAGTACATTGGGAGGCCAAGGCGGGATGGCTTGAGCTCAGGAGTTTGAGACCAGCCTGGGCAACATGGTGAAACCCCATCTCTGCAAAAAAATAGAAAAATTAGCCAAGGGTGGTGACTCGGGCCTGTGCTGTCAGCTACTTGGGAGGCTGAGGTAGGAGGATCACTTAAGCTTAGGAGGCTGAGGTTGCAGTGAGCCGAGATTGCGCCACTGCACTCCAGCCTGGGTGACAGCGTGAGACTCTGTCTCAAAAAAAAAAGAAAAGAAAAAAGAAAAAACCATGTTGGGTTTCAAAGACTAGTACAAAGAACAGAAGGTAACTTATCTTGTTAATAGTATTTATATTGATTAAATACTACAGATACGATGTTTTGGTTATATTGAGTTAAATATATTAAGACTAGTTTCACTTTTTTTTTTTTTTTTACTTCAATGTGGTGGCTACTAGAAAATTTAACATGACATATGTGGTACCCATTTGTGACTTCTATTATATTTCTGTTGGATAGCATTGAATCCAAGCCAGACTAGTTGAACAAACTGAGCAAGAGGTAGCATGGTATAAGAAGATTGGGAAAGAAACTACACAATAGGGAATAGTATATATCATGTTAAGGAGTTTTATCTTGTTCTGTGAGCATTGGGAAACCATTGAGTCCCTTTTAGCAGGTGGAGGGGAGGTATCATGGTCAGACCCTATTTCAGGAAGGTCACTCTGGCTATATTGTTCTGTTTTAGCAATTTAATACTTACCTTTTCTTTAAAAGTGAAAAATGACACCTTTGAGGTAATAGACAATAGGGAAATGAAGTAGATCTATGAAATCATATGGAAAATTTCTGATTCATTTTAGATTCTTCCTGGAATAATAAGTATTCATCCTGTTGTAAGAAACCTGGCTGTTTTATGCTTGGGATGCTGTGGACTACAGAATCAGGATTTTGCAAGGAAACACTTCGTATTACTATTGCAGGTAGGATTTATCTTGTGATAAATCTCAACTGTATTTCCTGAAATACTCTGTGGCGATAATGCTAATACTCTGAATTTATCTATTCTGATTCTTATTGATGATGATTATTATGGATAATCTTTGGAGACACAATACTTTTATCTTTTGATTTCTTATTAAAATGTCTTTGTAGAAAAAGATGAAACGCCAATTATGTAAGATATTCTTTTAATTATTCACATAGCAAATACTTATTGAGTGCGTATTATGTGCCAGCAACTGTTCTAGACTTAGAAGAAATAAAGTAGGTAGGTAGTGAATAAAACAAGATAAAATGTGTTGTCTTAATGGAGCTTACATTCTAGAAGGGGAAACACACAGTGAAAAATAAGTATACAATGTATCAGATAGAGAAAAATAAAGCAGAGAAGGGGATTAAGCAGTGGGAAGGAGGAGAGGGAACTGTTTGGTTGAGAAAGACCTCACTAATAAGTTGACATTTGAGCAAATACCAGAAGGAAGTACAAGAGCGAACCACGTGGTTATTTGGGTTTCCAAGGAGAGGCAAGAATAAGGGAATAGGCACTGGGGTGTAGGACTTTGGGTGTGTTCAAGGAATAAGAGAACACATGGCTAGGAAAGATTGAGCAAAGGGAAGAATAATAGGAAAAAGGGTTTGCTGGCAGCAGGATGTCCATGTCTTCTAGGACCTTATAGACTGTAAAGATGTCAGTTTTCACTATAAATGAGATGGAAAGGAATTCGAGGGCTTTGAGTAGAAGATTGTTATGATCTGACTGGGCATAAAGTGGTGTAGACCAGGGAGGGTTTGGCAAACCTTTTGTGTACAGGGCCAGAGAGTAAATATTTTTAGATTTTTGTGGGCCATATGATCTGTCTGAACTCCTCAGCTTTGCTTTTGTAGTGTGAAGACAGCTGTAGATAATACATAAATGAATTAGTATGGCTGTAGTCCAGTAAAACTTTATGGACACTGAAATTTGAATTTCATGTAATTTTCACATGTAATACATTTTTTTAAACCATTTGAAAATGCAAAACTTCCTAACTTGCAGGCTATGCAAAAACAGGTGGTTGAATGGATTTGAGCTGTTTGCAGATCCCTAGTATTAAGTAGGGGTACAAGTATGGAAGCAGGGATACTAATAAGGAGGGTATTTGATAATCTAGGAAAGCGATGGCGATGGTTTGGACGAGGGTTGTGGTTACTGAGGTTGTGAGCAGGATGGTAATCTAAGTTTGAAAATAAAGTCTAAGATTTGCTAATGAATCTGACATGGTATGTGAGAGAAAGGTGGAGGATAATTTAAAGATTTGCGCCAGAATAACTGGATGGATGAATTTGCGTTTTCCTATGATGGGGAAAGCAGAGGAGCAGGTTTTGTAGCAGATAGGATGAAATAAGGAGTTCAATATTGGGCATGATAAGTTTACAGTTTAAGGTACAAGTGGATATATTGAATAGGCATTTATATATGAGTTTGGAGTATAGGGGAGAGGTCCAAGATGGTGAGATGGAAGTCTTTATTCTTTTGGTAGTATCTGATAGTATGCAACGCTTAGAGATAGGATGTTGCCTGAGGAATGAGTATAGACTGAATGAGTGTAGGGTCAACTTTATAGGACCCTAAGCCTCAGATAAAGGTAGGGGAGATGAAGAGGAACCAGTAGGGGCTAAGGTGAATTGGACAGTAAAAGAGGAATGGTGTGATTTCCTGGAAAGCAAGTGAAGATAATATTTTAAAGATGATAGAATGACCCAGCTGTCCCGTGTTGCTTCATAATGGACCATTCTGGATTTATAATGGACCATTTCTGGCAATCAGGAACTGCTCTTGAAATTTCTTTAAAAGTTTTGAAAAATTGAGCCATTTTTCTCAATTCATTATTTACAGGTGATATTTATTTGTTCTAAAAGCCAAGTTATAGAGCCAAGTTATTTTACCAATTACCTAAATTTAATTACATTAAAGAATATAGTAAATTGGCACACACCCGTAATCCCAGCACTTTGGGAGGCTGAGGCAGGTTGATCATGAGATCAGGAGTTTGAGACCAGGTTGACCAATGTGGTGAAACCCCCATCTCTACTAAAAATACAAAAATTAGCCAGGCATGGTGGTATGTGCCTGTAATCCCAGCTACTCAGGAGGCTGAGGCAGGAGAAACCCCCATCTACTAAAAATACAAAAATTAACCAGGCGTGGTGGTATGTGCCTGTAATCCCAGCTGCTCAGGAGGCTGAGGCAGGAGAATCGCTTGAACCCGGGAGGTGGAGGTTGCAGTGAGCTGAGATTGCGCTATTATGCTCCAGGCTGGGCAACAGAGTGACACTCCATCTCAAAAAAAAAAAATATATATATATATTTTTGTTGTTGTTGTTGTTGTTGTTGTTATATATATCTTATTTTTCCTACTGGATTTTAAATTTGGATAGACATTTTTATTTTACTTTTTTAATATCTTAATTAAATCCTAACTTTCACTATCATACTTAATTTCTCACTATATATATATATTTTTTGTAATATAAATACTGAGCTCTGTATTTTTTTCATGGCTTTGAAATTTGGTGGGCATTTTTAAACTTAAGATAGACTCATACAAAGTGCTGTGTTTCGTGATTTACGTCTTTTCATAAAGGAGTCTAGTTGAAAACTGAGTTTACTGTTAAGGAATTCTAAATTCATTGAGCTAATGAGAGAAAAATGAAACTTGATAACCTAGAAGAATACTGTTCTAATGAATGCCTTTCATTGCTTAGAATGTAATGTTTTTCTCTTGACAGATGGGCTAGAACACTTTCAACATAATTGAACAGTTTTTCTGGATCTTAAAAAAATAAAATCATAGTTGAAGGCATTGTTGATTCTTTTTTAAATAAAAGGAACAAATAATATAATTCAGCCTGACTCCAACTCCAGAAATTTTTATTGACTGTGAAGATTAACTTTGTCTTAAAGTATATAGCTCTATTATATGTTATGGTTCAAATAAATAAAAATAACATTTTTTTAAATTGAAATTTTAACTGTATTTTTGAAAAGTGATGTTTTCTTTAGACTAGACACTGTCATTAAAATTTGACTAAGAAAAAAACAAGATACATATTAATTTTATGTAAACAGAAACAAAACAGTTTACTGAATTTACTTTTTTTGGTGGGGAATATCTTGATTTAGGTTTTGCAAATTGATGATGTCACAATAAAAATAAGTGCTTTAAAGGCAATCTTTGACCAACTGATGACGTTCGGGATTGAACCATTTAAAACTAAAAAAATCAAAACACTTCATTGTGAAGGTACAGAAATAAACAGTGATGATGAGCAAGAATCAAAAGAAGTTGAAGAGACTGCTACAGCTAAGAATGTTCTGAAACTCCTTTCTGATTTCTTAGATAGTGAGGTAAGAAATAATCCAGTCCTGTGATTATGAAATGTCATTTTCAGCATGTATTTGTTTATTATTATTATTTTTTAAATTTATTATAGTTTAAGTCCTGTGATACATGTGCAGAACATACAGGTTTGTTACATAGGTATACATGTGCCATGGTGGTTTGCTGCACCCATCAACCCATCTACATTAGGTATTTCTCCTAACGCTATCCCTCCCCTACCCCCCTATCCCCTGATAGGTCCCAGTGTGTGATGTTCCTCTCCCCTATGCTCTTTATATCTTATTTTTCCTACTGGATTTTAAATTTGGATAGACATTTTTTATTTTACTTTTTAAATATCTTAATTAAATCCTAACTTTCACTATCATACCTAATTTCTCACTATCAAATTGTATATGCAAAGAAATGAAGTATAAACAAAAATGAAGTGATTAAAGTGGGTTGTTATTTTTTATTTCTTTATGTTGTATTTGTGATATAGAGACTCTAAGATTTATCCCCAAGACTTTTAAGAAATAGTTTAGAATAATTTTATATTGGGTGGGTAGAAGATGTAAGATAGGGTATGGGATTGGATCTCTTTTAAGTACTCTTGAACTACTATTTTTGTAGCACACATGTAAACCAACTGATTAAAAATTTTTTATACTGATTGTAGTTTTTCATTGAGTTAGAAGTGATATAACAAAACTTAATTTTATTTTTTTGAGATAGGGTCTTGCTCTGTCATCAGGCTGGAGTGCAGTGGCGTGATCATAGTCCACTGACCCCTCACCTGCTGGGTTCAAGCAATCCTCCTGAATAGCTGGAATGACAGGCATGTGCCACCATGCCCGCTGATTTTTAAATTTTTTGTAGAGACAGGGTCTCGCTCTGTTGCCCAGGCTGGTCTTGAACTCCTGGCCTCAAGTGATCCTCCTGCCTCAGCCTCCCAGAGTGCTGGGATTACAAGTGTGAGCCCTCGTGCCTGGCCCAAACTAATACTGTTAATGTGAACAATTCATTGGCATTTAGTACATTCAAAATGAAAGGCAACTACCACCTTTATCATCTAATTTAAAACATTGTCATCATCCCAAAAGGAAACTACTCATTAAGCAGTTGCTCCTCATTCCCCCTTCTGCCAGCCCTGACAGCAACCAATCCGCAGTCTGTTTCTATGGATTTAACTGTTCTGGATATTTTGTGTAAGTGGAATCATACAGTATGTGACCTCTGTTTAGCTTTTTAAATTTAGCATAACATTTTCGAGATTCATCCACATGGTATCTTGTATCAGTACTCCGTTCCTTTTTGTAGCCGAATACTCCATTTTATGTATATATGGTGATTTGTTTATGCATTCATCCATTGAAGGACAGTTGGGCTGTTTCTACCTTTTGGCTATTGTGAATAGTGCTGCTTACTATGAACATGGCATGTATATGTATTTGTTTGAGTAGCTGTTTCAATTCTTTTGGGTATCTGTATACCTAGGAATTGTGTTGCTCAGTCATTTAACTTTTTGGGAACTTGACAAACTGTTTTCCACAGTGATTGAACCATTTTAAATTTCCATCTTCAGTGTAGAAGGTTTTCCATTTCTCCACATCCTTATTGACACTTAGGTTCCATTTTTTAAAACATTATAGCTATCCTAGTATATATGAAGTGCTACTTCATTGTGGTTTTGATTTGCATTTCCTTAATGACTAGTGATGTTGAGTATCTTTTCATCTGCTTCTTGGCCATTTGTATATTTTGTTTGGATAAATGTCTGTTCAAGTCCTTTGCCCATTTTTAAGTTGGGTTGGTTGTCTTTATAGAGTTCTTTATATAGTTTGGGTAGTAGATCCTTATCAGGTATAATTTGTAACTTTTATTTTACAGGTTGTCTTTTTACTTTCTTGTTAATATACTTAGATGTATTAAACATTTTTAATTTTGGAGATACACTCATTTTTTTCTTTTGTTGCTTCTGCTTTTGGTGTCCTATCTAAGAATCCAGTGCTAAGTCTAAGTCATGAAGATTTATCCCTGTTTTCTTCTGAGAGTTTTCTGGCTTTAGCTTTTATATTTAGGCTGTTGATGCATTTTCAGTTAATATTTGTATATGGTCTAAGGTCCAGCTTCATTGTTTTGCCTGTGTACATCCAGTTGTCTTTTCCTTTGTCTTCTCTAGACTTTTGTTTACTTTTTCTAGGAATGCCTTCTGCTTCAACACCTTCTGTTCACATTCTATCCATTATTCAGACAAATTGCACTCCTACATATGGAGCTTTTGCTTATAGATAGGCACCTTCCTCTAATACCAGGGGCCAGGGTTTTCTATGTCTTAGAAACCCTAAGCATTTAAATATATGTTTTGCTCTTTTTTTCCAACAGTTATAAAAGGCCTTTTGGTTCTTCTAAAAAGTTTTAAGATAATTGAATTTTTCATGGCTAGACTAAGCATTTGTCTAGTCTCCTAGTCTTTTAGATTTGTCTAAAATTGTTATTCTAGCTTTGAAGAAACAGTCTTTTTATTTGCCTTTAAAGAATTTGTAATAACTCGAATGGTTTTTGGATGGTTCGTGTAAAAATACTGTAGGACAGGCTACATTGAGAGGCTTAAAAAGGAGATACAAATAAATTTCTTCTAATGAATGTCATCTTTGTTAGGTATCTGAACTTAGGACTGGAGCTGCAGAAGGACTAGCCAAGCTGATGTTCTCTGGGCTTTTGGTCAGCAGCAGGATTCTTTCTCGTCTTATTTTGTTATGGTACAATCCTGTGACTGAAGAGGATGTTCAACTTCGACATTGCCTAGGCGTGTTCTTCCCCGTGTTTGCTTATGCAAGCAGGTATTGAGTCATACTGATAAATCAAAAATCTGACTTGACATCAAATTCAAGTCCCCCATGAATTATATCTATAATGATATTTTGTTGTTGATACTTTTTCTGTCTTTAGTAGATAAATGATGAAATGACAAGAACGATACAGATTTTATCTATCTGAATTTTTGGCTCTTTCCTAGATGAAAATGCACTTAATGAGTGAATTTCCTACATAGTAGTTTTGAATTTCATACTTTTTCTCTCATCAAATAATGTTCTGCCAACATACTTTGAATTTGTTTCTCAATAGGACTAATCAGGAATGCTTTGAAGAAGCTTTTCTTCCAACCCTGCAAACACTGGCCAATGCCCCTGCATCTTCTCCTTTAGCTGAAATTGATATCACAAATGTTGCTGAGTTACTTGTAGATTTGACAAGACCAAGTGGATTAAATCCTCAGGCCAAGACTTCCCAAGATTATCAGGTGAGTGACTGTGGTAACTGCATGCAGATCACTGTTTTGGTAAAATAATCTCTCTCAAAGATCCCTTGAAATACTGAGGAACTGCATTTTGGTCTTTAGACTTCTGTCTCAAGCATATACCACAAAGCACGAAAGAAACATGACCTTGGGAAATGTGGAGAAATCATATGAAAACAGAAGTAATCAATGCTAACATTTTTGCTACTGAAAAGAAATTACTAAAAATCCACCACCCACACCATGCCCACCTAGTACTGACTGTTAATCTGAAGTAATAACCTATGTTATCTAGGACTCACAGAGTCTTCAAATGTTGGCTTACCTGCTATGCTTCTGGCACAAGAAAGGAGAATTCAAAGACTAGAACTCACCTCAAGCTTTTTTGGCTTTTAATTCAAAGAAGATAAATCAATTGCACACTGACTCACAGACTGAACTTAAGCTGGGTTGTTTTAATCCTTTAATGGCATTTGGTCAAACTTGTTACCATTTTTGAAATTTAATGTATTAGTGATTTCAGATGCTAACAGATTAAGTTGAAAGTATTACTCTATTTTATTTGATATTTAGTGATAAGCTACTCTGTTCAATTCATATGTTGTATATTATTGGAAAGATAAGATTACAAAGGATATTAGGCAAAATTAGGTAAGGGTCAGTAATAGAGCTATTAAGCACTTCATGACTTGAGACAAGGGCAAGAGTCATGTGGTAGGAATGATGAGTACAGCATTAGTTTTAAAACTCATTGACCAAAATTCAGTTAGGCCTTGTTGGTATTTGGGGAGTGGTTTGGGTAGAGGAAGGATGTTTTAGTAAAGGTGATATATGTAGATGGTTATGCAAATATTGGGGAACTGTAGAAAGATGACTTTGGCTAAGGATCCTGAATAGGACTGTTAGGGCACAACACTGGGGGTAGATTATAGATTGCTTTAAAGGCCAATGTAGGGAATTTGGAGTTGGCCTTATGTGCAATGGATAATTATGCAGGGCTTATGATGAAAGGGTTAATGTCATGAAAACCACTTATTGGAAAGATTAATTTGGTGGTCAGTGGTGGTTATATGAGATGAATTGGTGAGCAGAAAGAAAAGAATATTAATAAAGAAAGCAGCTGAAAATCTGTATAATTCGCTTGTAGAAAAAGTACTAGAAAGTAATAGTAGAAAGAATAGAAATTGACCTAATAAAGAATTATGGGTACAAGAATCTAAAAGAAAGAGCTTGAGAGGCAAGGGAGATGGAGGAGTCCAGGAAAACTCTAAGTATGTGTAACAGCAGACTTCAAAGGAGCTGTTGACATAGTTTAATTGGGGAGTACTCTCATGATCAGTGTCTTGGAAGAGTAAGGGAAAAGTAGATTGGGGCATAGCCCTAAGTTCAACTACTGCTATGCAAACAAAGGCCCCAGCCAATCCCATAGGGAGTTCCGGAACTGGGATGTTCCTTTGAGTTGTCCAGAATGGAGACAAGCTGAAACACTGTACTTGTGCACGGGCCAGTCATTGGATTTGGACAAATCTTTGGGAGAAGAGGTATGATCTTGGACAAGGTCCACCAAAGTCCACCATTGTCAGCCTGGATCAGTACTGCAGCTGGGAACTTTTACCCTCCAAAACATGCAGCAACTGGGGGATGAGTGCATCTTTCCTAAAGGGAGTGGAACTGGGCCCTATATCACAACATCCACAACAAGAAGTCAAGAAGGGGAGCTTATTTTGGGGGTAGGGAGGATGTTAAATTTGGTTTTAGACATTTTATATTTGGGATTATGGCAAGAAAATTAGTTGGAAATATTTGTTAGATGTGTAAGACTATATAATAATCATAATCATCTTCAATTTACAGAGAATTTTCTCTTAATTTTTTAGGCCTTAACAGTACATGACAATTTGGCTATGAAAATTTGCAATGAGATCTTAACAAGTCCGTGCTCGCCAGAAATTCGAGTCTATACAAAAGCCTTGAGTTCTTTAGAACTCAGTAGCCATCTTGCAAAAGATCTTCTGGTTCTATTGAATGAGATTCTGGAGGTAAAGTAGTTTCTCATTACTCTAAATTAGTTTGTGTTTATATTTATACATGTAGAATTTACATGGTTGTATTAGATTATACATATGTTAGCATATTGTGACTTATTTGAAGTATTTTCTTCATAAATTTCATATAATTTAGTGTTTTTAAACAACTTGATATGTATTGGTACTATTTTCAAAGATTAGGGAATGCGGTGTTTACAAAATGTTAATAATGTTTTCTTTTATAGCAAGTAAAAGATAGGACATGTCTGAGAGCTTTGGAGAAAATCAAGATTCAGTTAGAAAAAGGAAATAAAGAATTTGGTGACCAAGCTGAAGCAGCACAGGATGCCACCTTGACTACAACTACTTTCCAAAATGAAGATGGTAATCACATACTGAACAGAATATTTATAAGGTTCTGTTTTTTTTTTTCCATCTTTACTGAGACATATTTTTTTCTACTCTAACATGTTTGGTTGGACATCAGAAATGAATGAAATTTTTTTTCTAATTAATCCTCTTGGGAAAGAGCATTACTGATAAATGTTTATTCTGCTTTTCAAGTGTTTTTTGGCATGCATTTCTCAACATATGACCATCTTTTTAAGAGTTTTGCTTCTTTTTCCAATATTCAAATTTTCGAAAGGGTGATTTATAACTTTTCACTAGCTGCTAGAAGGACTTTGTCATTTCAGTTTTATAAAAACTGGTCTTAAAAAGACAATTTAAAATATTTCATGAGGTTATCTTATTTATATTGTTGTATTATTCCCTTTAATAGAAAAGAATAAAGAAGTATATATGACTCCACTCAGGGGTGTAAAAGCAACCCAAGCATCAAAGTCTACTCAGCTAAAGACTAACAGAGGTAGTGTGTGGATTGACCATCTTTATGATAAAAGTTTTAAATTTTATCTTCCAATGAAAAATACTTGTTTTGCAAGTTTTCTTATCTTTGTTTCCTTAGGGATAAAGATTTTTTTTAAAATGTCTTTGGTATCCTTTCTTTTTAATTCTTTCTGTGGATGTCAGTTTTTGCCTTGTGTCTAAAGATTATAAAATCAGTGTTGCTCTTGGTGCTTTAGATTGAAAGAAGTATGATGCAAAAGATATTACAAAAGACAATTTGGGTTAAATTAAGATTTGGTTAAATGATGGTTTTATATTAGTTATTTGTGTTCTATCCTTCCTGTAACTAAGCATTTTTAAAAAATCCCTGTAGTATTTTTCTGGGCTTTGTTTTCCTTCTATTCCCATCTTATTTCATATTTTCCCAACTTATTTCCCAAGGGCTATCCAACAATAGGGGATCTGTTGGCAAAGTAAATGCTGACTATTAGGGGGTCACTTGGAAAAAAATCTGAAATTCAAGATCTTTTTATTGTTTTATTATTTCCTCATTACAAAAGCAATGCATGCTTATTACAGAAGAATCAGAAAGTACATCCAGACAAACTACTATAAGGAACACTAATAATCCCACCCATGAGCCAACCATGATTTTGATTTTAGAAATCTATTTTTTAAGGCCCTTTTCGATGCAGATTTAATTTTTTCTAAAATGGAGTCTGGTCATAATATTGTTTTGTAACCAGTAAATTATTTAAATACCAATTGCTGGATATTGTTCCAAATTAGTCCCATATTGTTGGATGTTTTCTTGGGGATAAATGCATTAGTAAAAGCAGGTAAGGAGTAGAAAAAAGTGTAACATGAATGAAGTAGAGTATATAATTTTCAGACTGTCACATTGAACAGTTTGGTTTTGATCAGATTTTTTTTGTGGTATATCACACCATGAGAACACCATCCTTTTTAATAGACCAAACTTCATATATTCATATTGTTTTATTCCTTATAAATGAGAAACATCACAAGCCAAACTTTGTCTTACTCCTTAACCTTGTAAATTTCTAGTAAGTAGAATCTTATAATCCCCAGTATATAAAGGTTCTAGTTTTTACATTGAAATATATTTTAGAACACATTTGAATTGGTCATGTATGTTATTTTACAAGAAGCCATTATTACCTTACTATGTTTTATCACCTTCCAAGAAAAAAAAAAGTTGTTTCTTTAGCACCTGTTTATGCACCTAACCTACCTTTCTAACCCTTAATTTTCATGAGTCTCCACAGACTTTGTGCTATAGCAATAATAGAGGTACTTCATTATAACACATTTTTCATATACTGTCCTCAAATACATTGAACTAAAATTTGCCTTCTTTTAACTTGCTTGAAATTTCCTTATTTTCCCTTACTCATTATTAGTGCTTACAAAATAAATTAAGTTTTAATCTTGCTTGGGTTCCTTTTTCTGTGGCAGTGATAACTGGTACCAAGATGGCTAGAACAAGTAGGAGATACATGTGTTGAAAGGATTGTTGTGTTGAAGACAAAGGATTTAGTTAGCCTAGAAACTAGATTAAAAACAAAAAGCAACTGATAATAAATCCTGATAATGAATTATACTATCTTCAAGGACAGAGAAAAGTGACAGTTTCAGCTAGGACGAACAGGAGGTGTCAGACTGCTGAAGCCGACTCTGAAAGGTATGTCATGCATGTCTAGAATATATGGAGGCCTATCTTCACTTTTTATTTCTACAAGTAGAAAAAAACTAATTTTCTTGCGAATGAGAGAGAATATATAACAAGATAGTGAAAACTATAAATAGCTGTCTTAGGTATATAGTCTAAAATTCCATCATCAAGAGCATTTGACTTCTTACGGCGTGTTTGCTTTTGCCTATTAGCTGGCATGGTCTTTAGTACTATCTTTAATATGTTGTTTCAATTTTTAATTACATGATGTGACTCCTCTTTGATCTTCAGTTAGCAAACTCTTGATTTTGATAATATTTGGGTTCTCTACACTTACATACTGATAGAATAATTCTGTCTATAATTTGGGTATATTGTGTGGTAGAGTGTTTTATTTTTGGCTTCTGTCAGTCAAGCCACTGTTAGAGCTGAAAGTTGGTAGCTGTCTTGTATTCATTTGCAAAATTGTATTGTGTGTATTTTCAGTACATAGTTTTACACTGTTGATTAAATTTGTCTTTTTTGGGGGGAAACTTGTTTTTTACTATGTTTTTGGAATTTATTGCTTAAATCAAGAGAGAGAACTTAATTTTTTTGTCACTTCTTGAGTTTCAAAGAAATCTCTTTTGGACAGTTATGGTCCTCGTTTAATTACAAGCTTCATTACAAGTTTGTGGCTTTTTTTCCTGTATAACACCAGGTTCTGTTATAGTATATAAAATCATTAGCTAGATTTTCCCTGATTCACTTTGCTAGATAGCCAAGTCAGTGTTTTTTTGACATTGAGATTTTAGTTTTAAGCTAAGTCAATGGAATCAGGCTATCAATTAAACACTGATAGAATGTGAGTCAGAAACAAAAAAGTTTTATTTATAAATAAACTGGTTTTAAAGCTTGTATCTAAATTCGTGTATTTTCAACATCTATTTAGTGATCATGAAGTTCCAGAACCAGAATCAGAAATGAAGATGAGACTACCAAGACGAGCCAAAACCGCAGCACTAGAAAAAAGTAAACTTAACCTTGCCCAATTTCTCAATGAAGATCTAAGTTAGGAAAGACGATGGAGGTGGAATCCTTTAAGATTATGTCCAGTTATTTGCTTTAATAAAGAAGAAGTTACCCTTGTCAAAATCAGAACAAACCTGATGTCTTTCTGAAGATTTTCTGCTGTGCGCTTCCACGTTACTTTGGCCTGTATTAAAGCAGTAGAGCAGCATCAGTTATTATAGTCCAGAAAAAGTGTGCATCAGTCAGTCACACAGATTTATCACAATCTGAGGTGGGCCTAGGAATCTCATTTTTAAATAGTCTCTCCAAGTGATTCTTATGAACTCTTTATGTTTAAAATCATGTCATTATGGAAAACTTACAAGTGTAACTAGCTAGTAGCTTGCATTTGAGAAGCTTATGACTTAGATGGGCAGAATCAACAAAGATGAAACCGCCTGAGGACACATTTAACAAGTAACATTTCTAGGGAAAATGAAGGAAGTACCACAAACTGGCTAGAAAGGAGCTTATCAATCACCAGTGAGGAAGACCAGTATAACGTTCAACAACAGTTATTTTGACAAAAACTTATTTTGTGATTCCTACAGTGAAAACATTTTTGGTGATATCTGCCTGGGAAATCTCTCTTCCTAAAGTATTTGTATATGGGAGTCCTTGTTTGTGAATGTTTCCTGGATTAGGGAGGTGTCAACATAAATGTATTATTAACCATGAAGCTGCTCGCTATATTTTTGGCATAACAAAATAATATTTATTTACTGTGGATAATAATTCTAGTGGGAATATAATGTGACAGGAACTTCTCTTTATATACGCTACCAATTTATGAGCACTATTCACTGTCAATTTCATTTCTTGTCTTTTGAAATTGACACTTGGCCTGACTTACGAAACTTGTACTATATGAAATTGGTCCTCTTTTCTGCAATACCCAACGAAACACCTTTTCTCTTTATTATTCAGAAATGTCCTAACATGGATCTGTTTGTTTTAATAATTGTGCTTTTTTTAGGCTTATCATCTACTAGAGGCCATTTACTTAAGGTGAAATTTTAAGATGGAGCTAAAGTAAGATCACTGGTTTTTAGAACCAAATTGCTATACATATGTGCCTCATAGAACTTATAAAAGGAGTCAAAGTTTCAAAGCAAGATAGTTATTAAGCAAAAGGAAAAATGGTAATGATAGAAAGTCAGTTAAAAATAGATGATTGTTCTTCATTCTGTTTGTTGGCTCTGTGTTCTCCTGTGCTTCAGATTCCTTATGTGTTGTTGTTTTAAAGACAATTTGCAGGGGGTTGGGAGAAGGACTGAAAAGGTACATTAAGTGTGCTGTAAGGAAAAGTCTTAGAAACATAATAAGCTAAAATCCCATTCACACATGGCCAGGCTATCCAAAAAGAAAGGAGCCATGTTCTCATGTGGTTTACCATACCAAAGCTTGCTTTCTCTGGCATGGGAAAAATAAATTTAAGCACCAAACCTTTAGTATTCTGAGTATTCAGTTTTTAGACATAGTCATGTAGCCATTGCTGAAACTGTGCTTTGCACTATTAAAGGTAGGGAATGTCCTGCTTTTAAAAGTCATCCCTTTAACTTTAAAATAAAAGGCTAAGGTACAATAAAACAGATGTAAATCCATTTACCATTTTTCATTCAAAACTGGTAACTTACAGAAACCACATAGTATTTTTCTCTATCAAGAGGCACAGATTTGCTGAACAGTAAACATGCAATTGTGCCATTGCTCTTAAAGCCCACAGACTTAGATTTAAAATACAGAGAAAGAACTGATAAGCTCACATTTTCCTGTGAATGGGAAACATGCTACTTGACAAAAAGCTATGATCAACTTTTTTTCTTCTGTACATATATAACGTTGAAGGAGATTTACTTCTAAGAGATACCTTTGCCTTTTCTTTCACCAATTTGCTTCGAGGTAGTTGGTATCCACCTGTTTTACAACTGCTCATGGGTCAGGTTATCATCACAAATCTTTACAATACTAGCTTTATAAATCACAATGTGTTATATATTAAAACTTTGTGCACAGAAATAAAACTAGGGACAATTACGTATTTAAACTTAGGGCATAAAAAATTCACATAATACCACTAAAAGAGAAACATCAAAATCCGTTTACAAAATTCCACAATGATCTGATGTAAAACATGTAAAAAAAACATATAAAGAATATAATCAAAATGATTAATGCTAATGATTTAATATAAAGACAAATCACAGGACTAGAAATACTTCAAGATCAATTGATAAATGCTTATTGTTCAGAAGGAATACTGACATACAAAATAAAGATAGTGCAAGAAGAACTGCAATCTATTTCTCTTCGCTTTTGAGATTTTGGTTATGAACTGTACAGCTCGTTAGAGATGCTGTTGTCAAATTCAGATTCCATTCAATGGGACGATTAAGGCACATCTTAATGGGGCTCAAAGGGCAACTTGCTGTATTCTCATCAGACACATTCAGTTTCTCATCAGTTTTCACTTGTAGCATGCTGGAAGAAAAAGTGTAAGGCATTTTAGTTTTACTTTAATTTCAAAGTAATTATCAACCTTGTAAAAGAACATTTAGTTGTAGTAGTGTTTGGACCTCTAAATTTTAGCATACATAAAGCATTTATCCTGAAAATACAACAGTTTTCTCTCCCGCCTACTTACTGAACTAAATACAATGAATAATGCCATGTAACCTGTGTAACTTGAGAAGTTACATATGACTGAAAAAGTAACATTGCATATATGGATTACATCAGTATACATCAGAAATTATTTAACCTTGTGAGCCTGGTAGGATTCAACCCTTTTAACTTGCCCTTTTGTGGATCAGAATGAGAGCCACTTTGAGAAAAAAAAGGGATCAACATTTGTTGAATGCCTATTACGTTCTAGCCACCTTCACATGTATTGTCTCATCTGAATTTTGCAAAAGCCAAGTAAGGTTGGTATGCTTATCCTCATAGTAAACAATAAAATCAAGACTCTGAGAGTTAAGTACAAATATGCCTGAGGTCATACAGTCACCTGCCTGGAACTGGAATACAGCCCTTTCTCTTTTCCTTATGCTTGTCTACTAAGCTCTCTGATGAGGCTGGAAAAACATCAGGAATTAAACTTATGGCCAGCTCATCAGAGGAGCATGCGGCATCCACAGGATACTCTGGTTGTTTTTTCTGTTGAAAAAAATTTCCAAGAATTTTTTACATTGATGGGAAAGTTGGCTTATTTGGCTTTACATTAGGTTGGTCAGATCTCTTCAACATTATTCTTTAATATACACCCTCTGTTCTGGACTGGTGTCTTATTCCACAAGTTCATGAGCACAGTCCTGTCTGTTCCTAAATGTTCCCACATAGGGAACCTTGCTCACCACTCTGCTTAACCAAACCTTTACCCATGCCTAATCCAATCTCACATCTCTGAACTTGCTCTCAGTAAAACATTGCATTGGATTGTGAACTATTTGGGGTTCTCCACTATTGTTTCATGTCTAATAGTCTGATAACCCCCTCTAGATCAGAAGGAAAGGATGGTAACATTCTTTTCTCTGTGAAGATAAGCACAGTGCTAAATACACAGTAATTACTCAAAAATTCAATAAACATTTATAAAAAGCCTGTTGTGAAACATCTGGAGCAGAGTGCTACTCTTCAGAATCACAGACACGTGACAGTCAAAAGGGGAGCTAGTCCACTCTGTGTAATGAATACGCCATCCCTAGTTTTAAATATTACTTATAGTCCACATATTCAGATGTGAATCCTTATGTTTATAAACTATTCAACAGCTCTCTAATTCACTTGACATTTAACTATGGTTAGTTCATTTGAACTACATCATTCCTAAACTTCCTCCAACTGTAGCTCTACAAGTCTTCCTATTAGCAATGAGGTTCAGGGTCTCATATTTAAGTGACTTGGTAGAGTTGGGAAATGGGAGCGTCCAGACTCCAGTAGATCTGTCCTTGCAACCTCAACCAACCAACTCATATGCCATTCAATAAGCTAAATCCGTTATATCCTGTTTTACCACCACTAACATATCTAACTGCATTCTCCCCAAACAGTCCCAGTCCCACAGAATACAGTTTCAATTTGTATAAATAGATACTAGACAAAATGACAAACTACCAGGTAGCTTAGTATGCATCAATAGTAGTAAACCACTTTTTTGAAAAGCTAAAACGGATGTGATTAAAAAATAATATAATTAAAGTATATGTGACAAAGAGATCCAAAGTACAGTATTTTCATACATATTAGAAATGATAACTGAATTTAGAAAAAATTTACATTATTATTAAAATGTCCTCAGGGACCTCATTTTTGTTTTTCAAGTTAGCAAAACTCAGATAAAGCCATTTCCTTCCTCCAAGGACTGCTAGTCTTCATATTTGTATTGCTTGTATTTTCAAAGCAAAAGTTTGATGTACACCTTTTTGAGAAACTCTAAGGCAAGCTATAAAAACACAATTATATTAATCAAGATAGCTTGGTAGGCAAGTATAGTAAGTATTAAACTCCAAAAAATAAAATGAAGGCATAGAACAAATAATCATGGTCACAAATAAAAACAAATTTTGTTTTGTTTGCTATTTGACTAAGGTGTTTTCACCAGAGAAGAATACTTTAATAAACTACATGATTTTCCTTTTCAAAAACATACGGCGGTTTTCTTAAGTAACTTTTCTAGAATGGTATAGTATAAATTTGGGTACACAGATCCCACAGGTGCACAAAACTATACTTATGTATGGGAAGAAAATGTCAGTTTTGAAAAAAACCTAAATTTACTAATATACAGCTTGACATTTAATTCATATATACTTAAAAAACAGTGGATATGCAAAGTTTGGGCAGTACTGCTCTACAGAATTCTTAGAATACAGCTATCTTAGGAAGTGCTGGAACCAGGGGCATTAGAACATTACAGCTAGAAAGTATCTTTCTAGATGTTTGCTTTTTGAGACAGCGTCTTGCTCTGTGGCCCAGGTTGGAGTGCAGTGGCACCATCATGGCTCACTGCAGCCTCCAACTCCTGTGCTCAAGCAATCCTTCTGCCTCAGCCTTCTGAGTAGCTGAGACTACAAGTGTGTGCCACCACACCCAAATAATTTTTAAATTTTTTTGAAGAGACAGGGCTGGAGCCAAGATGGCCAAATAGGAACAGCTCAGGTCTACAGCTCCCAGCGTGAGCGACGCAGAAGACGAGTGATTTCTGCATTTCCATCTGAGGTACCAGGTTCATCTCACTAGGGAGTGCCAGACAGTGGGCGCAGGACAGCGGGTGCAGTGCACCGTGTGCGAGCCGAAGCAGGGCGAGGCATTGCCTCACTCGGGAAGCGCAAGGGGTCAGGGAGTTCCCTTTCCTAGTCAAAGAAAGGGGTGACAGACGGCACCTGGAAAATCAGGTCACTCCCACCCCAATACTGTGCTTTTCCGACGGGCTTAAAAAACGGCACACCAGGAGATTATATCCCACACCTGGCTCGGAGGGTCCTACGCCCACAGAGTCTCGCTGATTGCTAGCACAGCAGTCTGAGATCAAACTGCAAGGCAGCAGCGAGGCTGGGGGAGGGGCGCCCACCATTGCCCAGGCTTGCTTAGGTAAACAAAGCAGCTGGGAAGCTCGAACTGGGTGGAGCCCACCACAGCTCAAGGAGGCCTGCCTGCCTCTGCAGGCTCCACCTCTGGGGGCAGGGCACAGACAAACAAAAAGACAGCAGAAACCTCTGCAGACTTAAATGTCCCTGTCTGACAGCTTTGAAGAGAGCAGTGGTTCTCCCAGCATGCAGCTGGAGATCTGAGAACGGGCAGACTGCCTCCTCAGGTGGGTCCCTGACCCCCGAGCAGCCTAACTGGGAGGCACCCCCCAGTTGGGGCAGACTGACACCTCACACGGCCGGGTACTCCTCTGAGACAAAACTTCCAGAGGAACAATCAGACAGCAGCATTCGCGGTTCACGAAAATCTGCTGTTCTGCAGCCACCGCTGCTGTTACCCAGGCAAACAGGGTCTGGAGTGGACCTCTAGCAAACTCCAACAGACCTGCAGCTGAGGGTCCTGTCTGTTAGAAGGAAAACTAACAAACAGAAAGGACATCCACACCAAAAACCCATCTGTAAATCACCATCATCAAAGACCAAAAGTAGATAAAACCACAAAGATGGGGAAAAAACAGCAGAAAAACTGGAAACTCTAAAAAGCAGAGCGCCTCTCCTCCTCCAAAGGAACGCAGCTCCTCACCAGCAATGGAACAAAGCTGGACGGAAGAATCAATATCATGAAAATGGCCATACTGCCCAAGGTAATTTATAGATTTAATGCCATCCCCATCAAGCTACCAATGACTTTCTTCACAGAATTGGAAAAAACTACTTTAAAGTTCATATGGAACCAAAAAAGAGCCCACATCGCCAAGTCAATCCTAAGCCAAAAGAACAAAGCTGGAGGCATCACGCTACCTGACTTCAAATTATACTGCAAGGCTACAGTAACCAAAACAGCATGGTACTGGTACCAAAACAGAGATATAGATCAATGGAACAGAACAGAGC
Source organism: Homo sapiens (assembly GCF_000001405.40). Taxonomy (NCBI): domain Eukaryota; kingdom Metazoa; phylum Chordata; class Mammalia; order Primates; family Hominidae; genus Homo; species Homo sapiens. The sequence goes on from NC_000004.12 coordinate 17,849,960, forward strand.
CCTCAGAAATAATGCCACATATCTACAACTATCTGATCTTTGACAAACCTGAGAAAAACAAGCAATGGGGAAGGGATTCCCTATTTAATAAATGGTGCTGGGAAAACTGGCTAGCCATATGTAGAAAGCTGAAACTGGATCCCTTCCTTACACCTTATACAAAAATCAATTCAAGATGGATTAAAGACTTAAACGTTAGACCTAAAACCATAAAAACCCTAGAAGAAAACCTAGGCATTACCATTCAGGACATAGGCATGGGCAAGGACTTCATGTCTAAAACACCAAAAGCAATGGCAACAAAAGCCAAAATTGACAAATGGGATCTAATTAAACTAAAGAGCTTCTGCACAGCAAAAGAAACTACCATCAGAGTGAACAGGCAACCTACAGAATGGGAGAAAATTTTCACAACCTACTCATCTGACAAAGGGCTAATATCCAGAATCTACAATGAACTCAAACAAATTTACAAGAAAAAAACAACCCCATCAAAAAGTGGGCAAAGGACATGAACAGACACTTCTCAAAAGAAGAGATTTATGCAGCCAACAGACACATCAAAAAATGCTCACCATCACTGGCCATCAGAGAAATGCAAATCAAAACCAGAATAAGATACCATCTCACACCAGTTAGAATGGCGATCATTAAAAAGTCAGGAAACAACAGGTGCTGGAGAGGATGTGGAGAAATAGGAACACTTTGACACTGTTGGTGGGACTGTAAACTAGTTCAACCATTGTGGAAGTCAGTGTGGCGATTCCTCAGGGATCTAGAACTAGAAATACCATTTGACCCAGCCATCCCATTACTGGATATATACCCAAAGGATTATAAATCATGCTGCTATAAAGACACATGCACACGTATGTTTATTGCGGCACTATTCACAATAGCAAAGACTTGGAACCAACCCAAATGTCCAGCAATGATAGACTGGATTAAGAAAATGTGGCACATATACACCATGGAATACTATGCAGCCATAAAAAATGATGAGTTCATGTCCTTTGTAGGGACATGGATGAAATTGGAAATCATCATTCTCAGTAAACTATCGCAAGAACAAAAAACCAAACACCGCATATTCTCACTCATAGGTGGGAATTGAACAGTGAGAACACATGGACACAGGAAGGGGAACATCACACTCTGGGGACTGTTGTGGGGTGGGGGGAGGGGGGAGGGATAGCTTTAGGAGATATACCTAATGCTAAATGACGAGTTAATGGGTGCAGCACACCAGCATGGCACATGTATACATATGTAAGAAACCTGCATGTTGTGCACATGTACCCTAAAACTTAAAGTATAATAATAAAAAAAAAATCAGTGAAAAATGTCATATAATGGAAAGAAGTCTATCGGTGCTCCAAGCCCCTCTTCTGGGGCAACTATTGTTACCATTTTATTGTCTATTCTTCAGATAGTCCCCTCACATTGAAATATGTAGGTATCTGTGTTTCAACTCTCTCCTTGTACACAATTCTACCATTCTATATACTGTTCTGTATCTTGCTTTAAAATATGTATTTTGGATACTGTTTCATATTTGTACAATGAATACTCAATTCTTTTAACAGCTAAATAGAATTCTACTTTATGGATAAATCTTAATTGATTTTATCAGTCCTCAATTGACAGAATTTTTGGCTGTTTTAATCTATTGCATAAAATAGCAATGATGCATTGAATATTCTTGCATGTGTTCAAGTATATCTATAGAGCTGACGAGGAGTAGAATAGCTGGGTCAAAGGGTGCTTTTACATTTTTGATATTATCAAAGTGCCCTTCGGAGACTGTACCATTTTACAGTCTAACCAACAATGTGTGAAGAGGTCTTTCATTCCTCTTACTCTAACCAATAATGTATAATAAAACTTACAGATCTTTGAAAATCTGATGTTAAAAAGTGGCATACCATTGTTTTAATTTGCATTTCTCTTATGAATAAGGTTAAGCATATTTTAATGTTTTAGAAGCCATTTGTGTTCCCTTTTTATGTGTTCTTTGCCAATTAGTATAATGTTTTTCTTGTGTTATGAAAATCCTTTGTTCTATAGTGATTTGTGATCCCACTCTCCTCCCACCCTATCCAGTTTATTAGTTTATATCTCTTATGGTGGTTTTCTCAGGAATACATTCTAAATGCTATGTCATCAGATTTATCACTCTTATGTCATGGCTTCTCTGTTTCATAAAATGATTAGAAAGCTGAAAGCAGCAGCAGTTAAGTCATCTGAGAAAGTGACTTTATATATCTATATCCTGGATTCTAATGAAAGCTCAGCAATAGTATGTATACAGTGGTACTCTTGAGAGTAGAGTTGGGGGGAAAAATGTAAAGACCTGGGCTCAATTTCTGACAATAATCACAATAATAATGACCCTGGACAAGTAACCTTAACCTCTTGCCTCATTTTCTTCATAAGAAAAAAAAAAGGTACTTTCGCTGCTTATCTTACAGATTTGTTGTGACAATTTAATGAGAGCCAATTAGCATGCTTTAAAAACCATATGGAGCTCTATACAAATACAAAGCCTTAGTTTTGCCGCATGTTTTGGTGAAAAGAGAAAGAAGTGGGAGGAGAAGTGCTTATCATAAGTAAGGCCTCTTCTCTATCAAACTAGGAAACTAATGCAGGTGAGGGTTGAACAAGGGCAAGAGGAATCTGAAATGGTTACGTAGGCATCTAAGCCTATTTTCAATACTTTGGTAATCCCATGGACCCCAAGATAGAGTCCATCTCCACCATCTGAATGGAAGTTTACAGAGTATGTGCATTTGCAAAGTGTGAAAGATGGAAATCTTTTGGGAGTCATAGAAATCCAAATAATTATTTGTGATTTAAATTAATGATTATTGATAAGTCTAATCTTCACAAAAGTAAAATTGTATCTAGCTCTAATAATTTAAACTTGCATTACTGGAGATATGCAATGTTCATTTCTGTCATAGGGACAATAAACTTGAATGTTACCTAGCCGACTCTTACAGGAATCAAATTTTGGTGCAACCAAGACAGGTCTGAAAATATCACTTACAGAACAGTAGCTACGTACCAGGCAGTGTGCTAAAAGCTTGATTTTTTTTTTTTTTTTTTTTTTTAACAATACAACATTCAGTCCTAACAACTATTCACTGAAGCTCACAGAAGTAAAATGACTTACCCAAGCCACATAACTAGTAAATGGAAGTCTCCAGGGCCTATGATCTATCACCTTGTACTGCATACTAACTCTTGGATTGTTCTAATTCTGTCATGATTCTCCATGTTAATACCCATTTTTCTATTCTTCAGAAGGCTTAACATGTGAGATTAGTGGACAAGTGTATGGTTTATAGGTTTCAAACAGAAAGATATGCCTAAGGCTATAGTTGTAACCCCATCCAGGAGAGTTAAATATTTAATGCATGAAGTTTCCTCATGGCATTAACTAAATAAGTAGCAGCTACTCATATCCTTCAATTCCTGAAAGAGGAGAATAATGTTCGGGCATAGACTGACATGTTTTTGAGAGCTAACAGAGTATTCTTTAGGTCAAGAGTTTCAGGGAACACCAAGTTCATCTTTTCAAAGGGAGAAGTCAGCTGTATCACAGATAAACTGGGCTCTGGTACAGGATTTGGACTTGGAATAGTTAATGTACTTGACACTGTCAAATCTGAACTCATCTATTTAACTCCAAATTCTGGATGACAGCTTACTTTCTTCTGGAATGGTGTCTTCTAAATATTACTAGAGTAAAAATTTACTGACTAGCTATTACAGCTCAGCTCTGTCCTGCAAATTGATGTCTCCACAAATCTATCCAAATATCACGATAGGTTTGTTAAGTGCACGAACCTAGATGAGAGAACCTTCATGAAGGTCACTTATCCTTTCTTCTAACCCTCAAGCAGTACTTACTTAACATATTAGGAGTATTTAAAAAAAGTGATGGTATCTATCTTTCAGGGGTTTGCGGCTTGGTAAGGAGGCAGAGTGAGAAAGTATTCATAAATTACCAGAATAAAACAGCAGCATGCAATAAATATAAAGGAGTAACTAAGGACTAAGGGATTACAGAGAAGGGAAAGATTAATCCCAGCAGAGCAGGGAGACAAGGGGAAGAAATATTTGATAACGGTCTTTAGGGATAAGGATGTTGGTAAGCTGGGGCAGAAGGAAGATTTGTAGAGCTCGAGTTCTGATCCTGAGTCCAATCACTGGCCAGCTAAATGCACATTTCTTAATCTTTCTAAGCTTCAGTGAAGATAATGAAAGTCACTACCTTTTATGGGTAATGGGATTGTTAAAAGAATTTATGTAAAGCACTTGGCACAGAGAATAGAATGCACATAAAATGCCTGGCATTTTGACTGGACACATAATAAGGACACAATAAATGTGAGTTAATGTTAGTACTATTAGCAAAACATAAGACAATCAAAGATATCCGTGTTTTCACTGGGGATAAAATATGGCAAATATGTGTATGATTTGTTTCTGCATTGAACCATATTAGGTTATTCCTGTAATTCTCATAATCAGATATAAAGATTAAATTTGTGTAGACAGATAATACAATCGTTTAATTTTGAGTCCCTGGGCTTAAGGGAGATCAAAATATCTAGCCAGGTAAACACAGTTTCTAAGGGTGACCATGAGGTCTAAAATTTGAATAAATCCTTTCTTTTGGTTGGTAAACAGGTAAGTTTAGACTGCAATTGCTTTTTTAAAAAAAAACAAAAACAAAAAACTTAGTTTTTCTCAAAATTTTCCTTTGGTAGGATACTGATGAATTTAAAGGCTTTGGTAGATTAAGTAGAAGATTTTATAGACTTTTTCTCTACTTGCTTGTGATTACTGTATTTGGAGTAGAAGAACATGATGGTTAAGAACCAGACTCTGAAGACCAACAGTCTTGGGTTATAATCTTAGATTTGCAATTTGATACAGCCAATTTTAGGAAAATTATTTATATTAACTTTGTTTTGAATATAAAGGTGACACAAAGATTGGCACTCTGGTGCATAGTGTGTGCTTAATAACTAGTAAGTATTATGACCATTAGAGCAAACTATGGCAGTCAAGAATTCACAAGAAAACATTTAGAATAAAAAAAACAGTTTTCTCCTTAGAAATGGGAGAGCCACCTGAATTTTTAATAGAATGGAAATGAAGGAAATTATAGTCGGATTAAGGGCAGAGAACCAACAATCTTCAGAAACTAATGAACACTGCACTGTTATGCAACTTAGAAATGACCCTTGGCCATGTAAGAACAAAAAAAGACTCCCTGAATTTCTATAATAAGGTATTCAAATACCCAAGAAATATATAAATATGATTCAGCTACATTTATAAAAAGAATAAAAATAGGAAATTTTAGTAATGTGAAATTAAAAACAATTAACAAGTTGTTGATCTAAAACACTGCCAACCAACTGTAAAAGACTGCAAAAACTGACATGGTTTATAACGTTCCGAAACCCTGTTTGCATCTATCTGCCTTCTCAAGAACTTATCAATGATCATAATCCTTTTTTTGATATACTATCAATATCAAATTGATTGCATTAATAGTCCCAACTCTTTACTCATCCTTAAATTTACTTTCTTTGCCCTATAATTTTGCAGTGTCTTCCCATTCTGCCTTACCCACGTGATTTGCTCTGGCCAACAGGATCTTAGCAAATATGATGGAAGCTGAAGCTTGAGAAAAATTGCTTGGGCAAACCTGCTGAGTTAGTGTGAGGGACACATGGAGCAGAGATAAATGTCCCACCTGTCAGTCAGCTAACACCAGGACATATGAGGGAGCCCAGCCAAGATCAGAAGAACATCCTAGCCTATCTGCCAACCACAGACTCATGAATGAAATAAAAACTGCTCATTTATTTAAGCTAATAAATGTTGGGGTAGTTTGTAATATAGCATTATTGTGGCAATAAATAAACCACCTCTTCTCAATTGGATCCTCACCATGATGCTTAAAAAAGTACAAGGTCTCTCATTCTTTAAAAAATAAGACTTTACTCAATCTTTCGTTTTCCTCAAGATAACAGTTTTATAACTAGATTACTTTAAGCAGTTATCTTATACTTGCTATCACGATTTCCTTAGCTCCTCATTCCTTAAACGATTCCAGTATGGCTTCTAGTGCTTTTACTCCATTAAAATAGCACTTAGTAAAGCCATGAATGACACATTGATAATTCCAATGAATTTTAGTTTTTGCCCCCTTGGCAGCATTCAATATTGCTGACCATTTCTTCTGCTATGGACTTGAGTTTCTCCTAAATTCATATGTCGAAGCTCTAACCCTGAAGGTGACTGTATTTGGGGATAGGACCTTTAGGAGGTAATTAAGGTCGTAAGAGTGAAGCTCTAATCTGATGACGCTGGTGTTCCTGTAAGAGGAGGAAGGGGTACCAGAGGGTCCTCTCTGCCATGTGAGGACACAGCAAGAAGGTGGCTATCTGCAAGCTATCTATCAGCTTGCAAACCAAACCTGCTGGACCTTGATCTTGGACCTTCCAGCCTCCAAAACTTTGAGAAAATAATTTTCTGTGGTTTAAGCCATGCCATCTATGTTATTTTGTTGTGGTAGCCCAAGGAGACTAAAGCACCCTCTTTCATGAAACTAATTTCTTTTGGCTTTTGAGACAAAACACACTTTCCTTTTGCCTCTTCCATCCCAAGTCATCCTACTTTACTTGGATAATAAAAGTTCGAATTTCTCAAGGATGAGTCCTAGTCTTTCTTTTCTCCTTTATTCTACACAGTCTCTTTGGGGGTCCTCATCCCTACTCACAGTTTCAGTCATCAATGATAGCCTAGATGTCTCAACTCCATTCATAGGTTATGCATTACTTATTCAGAAAGGATTTCCCAGACAACTCAACCTAAAGTAGCTCCCCCTAGAAACTCCTTTCTATCATCCAATTTCATTAACACAATTTATCACTGCTTTGTTTTCTATGTTTGTTTTTCTCTCTTACTAAAATACAGACTGGTGAGAATAGAGATCCTCGTTGTTCTTGTTCAGCATTTTATCTGCAGTACTCGGCACATAGAAACTGGACAAATATTTGCTGAAAGAAAAAATATGATTTCTGCTTCTGGCCATGATGAAGTAACAGGGTAGCAGGGACCAGATACGTGGCTTACTGCCTGGAGAGTTTTCAGGCTGCATGATACGGAGAGAACCCCAACAGAGCTTGGAAATATTCCTGAGTTGGGGAGACAGTGACTGGAGTTCACGAAGTCCCAGGTGACTAGAATCTGTGGGTTAGAGTATAGGAGAGACATGGGGGTGGGGGGAGAAAGGAGAGAGAAGGAGACAGACAGATCTGCAGAGGATTTTCCTTGGGTTAAAGATAAATACTGATCAGTGGATAAGTATTTCCCAAGTCTGTGAAAAGAATCAATGAAAAGAACCAGGTAATAATTTTCTGGAGGCTATATATAGCTGGATATAATTGACCTTCTGACACATGGAGCATTTGGTAAAGTCCGCAGGTGGGTACTGGATTGCCTCTATAGTGAGGTCAACTTAGCCCTACCACAGGGCTTCTTAACATCAGCTTCACTAACATTTGGGACCAGATAATTGTTTTGGGGGGCTGTGCTAGACACTGTAGAATTTTTAGTAGCATCCCTACATTTGGGACCAGATAATTCTTTGTTTTGGGGGGCTGTGCTAGACATTGTAGAATTTTTAGTAGAATCCCTAGACTTTATCCACTAGATGCCAATAGCACCTTCTAAATGTAAGAGCACAAAATGTCTCTGTATATGCCCAAATATCCTCTGAGACAAAATCATCCCTGGTTGTAAACTACTGTCTGAGATTAAAGGGTGTTCTGGCTCTGGCCAACAATGCTTAAGACATGAAAGAATCAAGATATTTCTCAATAAGTTAACAGTGTCCCAGAACAGAGCCCAAGAACATTTAACATTGCAAAAATCCCAGCTCACAATAATATAAAATTCACAATGTCTGGCATCCCACTGAAAATTACCATGCATGCATGCATGCAAAAAACATATATGATCCATAATAAGGGGAAAAGTCATTAAAGAAATAGATAAATAAATAACACAGATTGTGAAATTGGTACATGAGGATGTTAATGGAGATATTTTAAATACACTTCATAAGTTCAAGAAGTTGAAGAAAGCATGAGCACGACGTGGACAAATATGGTAGATATAAAGAATACTGAATTTGAACTTCCAGAGTTGACATACCACTTACGAAATAAAAAATATCCTAGATGGTATTAATAGCAGATTAAACAATGCCAAAGAAATGATTAGTGAACTTAAAAACACAGAAATAGTAATATGCAGAATTAAAATAAGGAGAGGAAAAAAAAAAACTAAACAAAAGTGAATCGCGTATCAGTGACCTGTGGGATAAATACATGTGATTTATATTCCAGAAGGAGAGGAGAGAGGAGAGGGACAGAAATACATTTAAAGAAATTGGCCAGGTGCAGTGGCTTATGCCTGTAATCCCAGCTCTTTGAGAGGCCGAGGCAGGTGGATCACCTGAGGTCAGGAGTTCGAGACCAGCCTAACGTGGAGAAACCCTGTCTTTACTAAAAAAAAAAAAATACAAAATTAGCCAGGCATGGTGGGGCATGCCTGTAATCCCAGCTACTTGGGAGGCTGAGGCAGGAGAATTGCTTGAACCAGGGAGGTGGAGGTTGCGGTGAGCCAAGATCGCGCCATTGCCCTCCAGCCTAGGCAACAAGAGTGAAACTCCATCTCAAATAATAATAATAATAATAATAATAATAGCTAAAAAATGTCTAAATGTGATTAAAAATATAAACTGACATATTCAAAGAGTTCAACAAACTCCAAGCAGAGAAAACATAAAGGCAACCATGCCAAGCCCTTTCATAATCAAACTGTTGATAACCAGTGATAAAGAGAAAATCTTAAAAGCATCTGGTGGAAAAAAGAACATACAGAGGAGCAAATATAAGAATGCCATACCCATCTTCTGAAACAATACAAGCAAGAAGCAAGTAGAACAATATCTGTAAAGTACAGTCTCTGGCTTAGGATGATTTAACTTAGAGTTTTTCAACTTTACAGTGGTGTGAAAGTGATAGGCATTTAGCAGAAACCATGCTTTGAGTACCCATACAACCATTTTGTTTTTCAATGTCAGTATTCCGTAAGTTACATGAGATAGTCAACATTTTATTGTAAAATAGGCTTTGTGTTTAACGGTTTTGCCTAGCTGTAGGGTAATGTAAATGTTCTGAGAATATTTAGGGTAGGTGAGGCTAGGCTACGATGTTAGATAGGTTAAGTGTATTAAATGAACTTTTGACTTACAGTATTTTCAACTTACAAGGGTTTATTGGGAAGCAGCCCCATCATAAGTTGAGGAGCATCAGTACTAAGAGAAAAATATGGTCAAATCTGATATCCATATTCAGGAAAAATATATTTTTAAAAATGTGATATACAGACTTTTATAGACATACAAAGGCAGAGTGAATTAATCAACAGCAGACGTGCACTACAAGAAATGCTAAAGGAGTTCATTCAGGTAGAAGGAAAGATATGGGATAGAAATCTGGATCTGTCCACAAGAATGAGGAGCACTAGAAATGATAAATTCATGGGGAAAATACTTATTTTCCTATTTTAAAAATCTCTGAATGATAACTGTGTAAAGAAAAAATAGGAACAATGTACTATGAGGTTTATAACATTTACAGAAGTAAAAGCACAAAGACTTGGAGAAGAAATGCAAATGTATGGTTGTAACAACTTCAGTAAAGTTTCAGGATACAAAATCAATGTACAAAAATCTGTAGCATTTCTATACACCAACAACAGTCCAAGCTGAGAACCAAATCAAGAAAGCAATCCCATTCACAATAGCCACAAAAGAATAAAATTTGTAGGAATTTATTCTTCATTCTTAGGTATGGCTAACCGGAGAGGTGAAAGTTCTCTACAAGGAGAATTACAAAACACTGTTCAAAGACATCAGAGATGACACAAACAAATGGGAAAACATTCCATGATTATGGGTAAGAAAAATCAATATTGGGATAGGAAAAATCAATATTGGGCCATATTGCCAAAAGAATTTTAGAGATTCAATGCTATTCCTATCAGACTGCCAATGACATTCATATGGAACCAACAAAGAACGTGAATAGCCAAGGCAATCCTAAATAAAAAGAACAAAGCTGGAGGCATCACATTACCTGACTTCGAACTATACTACGAGGCTACTGTATTAGTCCATTTTCACACTGTTGATAGAGACATACCCGAGACTGGGCAATTTACAAAGGAAAGAGGCTTAATGGAGAACCTACAGTTTCACATGGCTGGGGAAGCCTCACAATCATGGTGAAAGGTGAAAGGCATGTCTCACATGGTGGCAGACAAGAGAGCTTGTGCTGGAAAACTTCCCCTTATAATAACCATCAGATTTTGTGAGACTTACTATCACAAGAAGAGCATGTGAAAGACCTGCCCCCATGATTCAATTACCTCCCACCAGGTCCCTCCCACAACACATGGGAATTCAAGATAAGATTTGAATGGGGACACAGCTAAACCATATCATTTTGCTCCTGGTCCCTCCCAAATCTCATATCCTCACATTTCAAAACCAATCATGCCTTCCCAACAGTCCCCCACAGTCTTATTTCAGCATTAATTCAAAAGTCCACAGTCCAAAGTCTCATCTGAGACAAGGCAAGTCACTTCTGCCTATGAGCCTGTAAAATCAAAAGCAAGTTAGTTACTTCCTAGATACAATGAGGGTAGAGGCATTGAGTAAATACAGCCATTCCAAATTGGAGACATTGGCCAAAACACAGGGGCTAAAGGCCCCATGCAATTCCAAAATCCAGCAGGGCAGTCAAATAAAGCTCTAAGATGATCTCCTTTGACTCCATGTCTCACATCCAGGTCACGTTGATATAATAGGTGGGTTATCATGGTCTTGGGCAGCTCCACCCCTGTAGCTTTGCAGGGTATAGCCCCCCTACCCTGGCTGCTTTCATGGGATGGCTTTGAGTGTCTGAGGCTTTTCCAGGTGTATGGTGCAAGCTTTTGGTGGATCTACCATTCTGGGGTCTGGAGGACGATGGCCCTCTTCTCACAGTTCCGCTAGGCAGTGCCCCAGTAGGGACTCTGTGTGGGGGCTGTGACTCCACATTTCCCTTCTGCACTGCCCTAGCAGAGGTTCTCCATGAGGGCCCTGCCCCTGCAGCAATCTTTTGCCTGGGCATCCAGGCGTTTCCACACATCTTCTGAAATCTAGGCAGAGGTTCCCAATCCTCAATTCTTGACTTCTGTGCACCCACAGGCTCAACAGCATGTGGAAGCCGCCAAGGCACTGGGGCTTCCACCCTCTGAATCAACAGCCTGAGTGAGCCGTACCTCGGCCCCTTTTAGTCACAGCTGGAGTGGCTGGGACACAGGGCACCAGGTCCCTAGACTGCACACAGCACGGGGACCCTGGGCCTGGCTCATGAAATCACTTTCTCCTAGGCCTCTGGGCCTGTGATGGGAGGGGCTGCTGTGAAGACCTCTACCATGCCTTTGAGACATTTTCCCTGTTGGCTTGGAGATTAACGTGTGGCTCCTCATTAGTTATGCAAATTTCTGTAGCCAGCTTGAATTTCTCCTCAGAAAATGGGTCTTTCTTTTCTATCAAATTGTCAGGCTGCAAATTTTCCGAACTTTTATGCTCTGCTTCCTTTATAAAACTAAATGCCTTTAACAGCACCCAAGTTTCCTCTTGAATGCTTTGCTGCTTAGAAATTTCTTCCGCCATATACCCTAAATCATCTTTCTCAAGTTCAAAGTTCCATAAATCTCTAGGGCAGGGGCAAAATGTTGCCAGTCTCTTTGCTAAACATAACAAGAGTCACCTTTGCTCCAGTTTCCAACAAGTTCCTCATCTCCATCTGAGACCACCTCAGCCTTGACCTTATTGTCCCTATTGCTATCAGGCTTTTGGTCAAAGCCATTCAACAAGTCTCTAGGAAGTTCCAGACTTTCCCACATTTTTCTGTCTTCTTCTGAGTGCTCCAAACTGTTCCAACCTCTGCCTGTTACCCAGTTCCAAGGTTGCTTCCAGATTTTCAGGTATCTTTTCAGCAGCACCCCACTCTTGGTACCAATTTACTGTATTATTCCATTTTCATGCTGCTGGTAAAGACATACCTGAGACTGGGCAATTTACAAAGGAAAGAAGCTTAATGGAGAACCCACAGTTTCACATTGCTGGGGAAGCCTCACAATCATGGCAAAAGGTGAAAGGCACATCTCACATATTGGCAGACAAGAGAAGAGAGCTTGTGCAGGAAAACTTCCCCTTATAATAACCATCAGATTTTGTAAGACTTACTCACTATCACAAGAAGAGCATGTGAAAGACCTGCTCCCATGATTCAGTTACCTCCCACCAGGTCCCTCCCACAACACGTGGGAATTCAAGATGAAATTTGAGTGGGGACAAAGCCAAACCATATCAGCTACAGTAACCAAAACAGCATGGTACTAGTACAAAAGCAGACACATAGACCAATGGAACAGAAAAGAAGGCTGAGAAATAAAGCTGCACATCTACAACCATCTGATCCTTGACAAAGCTGACAAAAACAAGCAATAGAAAAAGAAGTCCCTATTCAGTATATGGTGCTGGGATAACTGGCTAGCCATATACAGAAGATTGAAACTGCGCTCCTTCCTTACACCATATACAAAAATCAACTCAAGATGGATTAAGGACTTCAATGTAAAACCTCAAAGTATAAAAACCCTGGAGGATAACCAATGAAATACCATTCTAGACACAGGCCCTGGCAAAGATGTCATGATGAAGATGCCAAAAGCAATTGCAACAAAACCAAAAATTGACACATAGGACCTAATTAAACTAAATTATCAATAGAGTAAACAGACAACTGACAGAATGGGAGAATATTTGCCAACCATGCATCTGGCAAAGGTCTAATATCCAGAGTTTATAAGATGAACTTAATTAATAAGCAAAAACCAACCACATTAAAAAGTGGGCAAAGGGGTCGGGCATGGTGGCTCACACCTGTAATCCCAGCACTTTGGGAGGCTGAGGTGGGTGGATCACCTGAGGTCAGGAGTTCGAGACCAGCCCGGTCAACATGGTGAAAACCCATCTCTACTAAAGATACAATAATTAGCCAAGCATGGTTGTGGGTGCCTGTAATCCCAGCTACTTGGGAGACTGAGGCAGGAGAATCACTTGAACATGGGAGGTGGAGGTGGCAGTGAGCTGAGATTGTGCCACTGCACTCCGGCCTGGGCAACAGAGTGAGACTCTGTCTCAAAAAAACAAAATATGTGAGCAAAGGACATGAACAGACACTTTTCAAAAGAAGACATTCACACAGCATATGAAAAAATGCTCAATATCACTAATCATTAGAGAAATGCAAATCAGAACCACAATGAGATACCATTTCTTATTAGTCAGAATGGCTATTATTAAAAAGCCAAAAAAATAACAGATGCTGGCAAGGTTGTGGAGAAAAGGGAATGCTTATACACTGCTGGTGGGAATGTAAATTAGTTCAGCCATTTTGGAAAGCAATGTGGTGATTTATCAAAGAGCTAAAAATAGAACTACCATTTGATCCAGCAATCCCATTACTGGGTATATACTCAAAGAAATATAAATGATTCTACCAGAAAAGACACATGCACATGTACATTTATCACAGCATTATTCATAATAGCAAAGACATGGACTCAACCTAAATCCCATCAATGGTAGAATAGGTAAAGAAAATATGGTACATATAGACAACGGAATACTATGCAGCCATAAAAAGCAATGCGATCATGTCCTCTGCAGCAACATGGATGGAGCTGGAGCCCATAATCCTAAGCAAACTAATGCAGGAATGGAAAACAAAACATTTATAAGCATTCTCACTTGTAAGTGGAAGTTAAATACTGAGTACACATCGACCAAAGAAGAGAACAACAGAAAGCAGGGCCTACTTGAGGGCAGAGGGTGGGAGGAGGGAGAGGACTGAAAAACTACCTATTGGGTAGTATGCTTATTACCTGGGTGATGAAATAATCTATACAACAAATCCCCGTGCCATGCTGCATATGTACCCCTGAACCAAAAATAAAGACAAAAAAAAATTTTTGGCTACCCATGAAGTACTATATTATTATTTGAAGGTAGAACCCTGATAAGTTAATGATGTATACTATAAACCCTATAGAAGCCACTTTTTTTTTAAAACAGTGTCTCATTCTGTTGCCCAGCCTGGAGTACCATGGAATGATCTTGGCTCACTGCAACCTCCACCTCCCAGACTCAAGTGATCCTCCTGCCCCAGCCTCCCCAGTAGCTGGGGCCACAGGCACGTGCCACTACATCTGGCTGATTTTTGTAGAGACAGAGTTTCACCATGTTGCCCAGGCTGGTCTTGAACTCCAGGGCTCAAGTGACCTTCCACAGTGGTGGGATTACAGGCATGAGCCGCCTCACCTGGCCAGCAACCACTTTTTAAAAAGCAAATCAGGAGATTAAAAAAATAATAAAACACACTGTATTGATCCAAAAGAAGGCTGGAAAAGAGAAAAAAGGGTGGAACAAATAGTAGGTGGGACAAATAGAAAGATGGCTGATTTAAACCCAACCATGTTAATGGTGACATTAAATGTAAGTGGTCTACTGAAAAGGCAGAGATTGTCGCACTGGATACAAAGGCAAGCCTCAATTCTGTGTTGTTTAATAAAAGAGATCATCTTTAAACATGAAGACATAAATAGGTTAAAAATAAAAGTATTGTGAAAAGATACACTATGATAACAGTAGTGAAAAGCAAGCTGGAACAACTCTAGTAGTTATCAGATAAATTAGATTTCAGAGTAAGGAACATTTCCAGGATTAAAGAGGAGGTTAATTTCATAACGATAAAAAAGCCAATTAATAAAAAGTACCTAACAATTCTAAATGCATATGCAACTATTTACAAAGCTTCAAAATACGTGAAGCAAAACCTAACAGATCTGAAAGGATAAAAAGGAAAATACACAATCATAGTCACGGATTTTGATATCCCCCTTTCAAAAATAGAACAAGTAGACTGAAATTCACCAAGATGGAAAAATCTTGAACAGCACTAGCAACCATCTTGCTTAACTGACATTTATAGAACACTTCACTCAACGGCAGTAGAATATACATTATTTTCAAGAACACACAGAACATTTACTTAGATTTGCATAGATTCTCGGCCATATAAAACATCACAAAAAATTCAAAAAGACTGAAATCACAAACAGTATATTAGAATTAAATTAGAAATCAGTACCAGAAATATATCTGAAAAATCCCTAAATATTTGGAAACTAAACAACACATCTCTAGGCAGGGTCTTGCCATGTTGCCCAGGCTGGTCTTGAATTCCTGGGCTCAAGTAATCTTCCTGCCTCAGCCTCCCAAAGTGTTGGAATTACAGGCGTGAGTACTGCGCCCAGCCAACATGTCTCTAAATAATCCATGGGCTAAAGAAAAAATCACAAGAGAAATTAGAAAATATTTTGAATTTAATTAAAATGAAAACACAGCAGAGCAAAATTTGTGATATAGCTGAAGAAGTGTTTAAAGGGAAACTTATAACATTATGTTCATATTAGTAAATAATCTTCCTTCTACCACTATAACACTTACACTCTATTACCAGTGGTTCTCAAAGTGTACTTCCAGGTCCAGAAGCATAAGCATAAGTATCACTTGGGCCCCACCCCATACTCAATCAAACTCTGTAGGTGGATCCGCACAATCATTTTAACAAGACTTGCTGGTGATTCTGATGCACACTAAAGTTTGTGAATCACAATGGTCTAAGTGTGGTTAGGTGTCTTGCCCTACACCCTTCCTTCTTCACAATGCAACCAGGGAGATCTTCTAGAAAGCAAAATCTGATTATGTCATATCTTCCCTGTCCACTTCCAATTTAAATCTCCGCCCTAAGTGCAATGGGGAGCCACTGAAAGTAGACAAACTTCTTGGCATGGCTCATAAGAACTTGTATAGTCTGTTCCTTTGCTTCCTTCTCAATCCTCCCTACATCTGACATCATCTCCTTCTTTCTTGACTAGACACACTGGCCATGACTTACACCTCTAACCTGCCAAGAATCCCACACCTCAGCATTTTTTCCACATCCAAATCCTTCTTCCTACCCTACTGGTTCTCCACCACTTGGCCTAGTTAATTCCTCCTCACCCTTCACAGCTTAGCTTAATGGCCATTTGCTCAGGGAACTCTTCCTTCACTTGGTAAAACCTCCCAAAATTAAATTCCTATAGCACCACATACTGAGAATGTAACAGATTTGTGTATTTACTCAATGTCTGCCTCTCCAAATAAACTTGAACCGTGAGGGTAGGAACCATATCTGGTTTTGCCCCCACTATTTTGCATGTGTCTAACATACTGCCTAGCACGCAGAAGACAAACACTTTTGAATAAATAAAAAGAGTTTATAGGTACAGGCTTTTAAAATCTAGCTTTCTATGTTTGCATAACACAGAAAAAAAGTAGCAAATAAATGCATTTTCCAGGTTGCCTGGAACTGGGAGAAGGAAAAAGAAGCCAAGGTCTGGTTTAAATAAAACAAACACAAACAAGAAAAAAAAAAGTGGCAAGATGAAATCATTCAGACACCTACCCTTGCCTTTTTTGTTTGTAATTAAACTATAGGTGAATTCACTAGGCTTAACGTTACGATAATCACAGAATGCTCAGCTCCATGACAAGAAAACTGTTACTGCCCAGGAAAAACGAGAAGAAAAAATGGTAGTTAGGAGAGCTGAACTAAGAATTTTGAATTCTTAAGAAATAAAGAAGGAAGAAAAAAGGAGAAAGAGAACATTTAGACCTTGAGGCAGGAATTTATCATGGTGTGAGGCATTGAAACCAATCTCCTTCTAGCAGGTGGTAGCAGCTGGTTAAAGAAGAAAAGGGTGACCCTTGAACTTACCTCAGATAGAGAAAGCAGGTCTGGAGGCTGCAGGGAGAGAATAAAGATTTACAAAACAGAATACAACTGGTGTTCATGGCTCCCCCAGCACCACTCTGCTGGATAAAGACAGATATTGACCCGTAAAGATCAAACAAAACAGAACAGCTAACATGTCAAATACATTGTATTGTGTTGAGGGAGCGAGTGTTGAGGAAGAAGTGGATGGGGTGTTGGGGACGAACAAGATAGGATGACCTTAATATATTTTTTAAAAGCCAACAACTTATTTTTTATTTTTTTCAAGCCACACCATATCAAAATTGTAGTGATACGAACAGAGTCGGCAAACTTTTCTGCAAAGTGCCAGGTAGTAAATATTTTAGACTCTGTAGGCTTTATGGTGTCTTGTTGCAACTATTCAGCTTCTGCAGCACAAAAATAGCAATAGGCAATATACGAGTGAATGAACATGGCAGTGTTCCAATAAAACTTTATTTACAAAATAGGCCATGGGCCAGACTTCCCAATTTAGAGAATTAAATCTATGTCTGAAAATAGTTCTGTTCTCTACAACCACCAGTATGTGGAATCAGCCAAATTATGTTTCTTTTACTAATTATGTTGCCAAAGTAAAAACTTGAAATATCTTCTAGATAAATTCCTTGAGTTCCTTTGTGACTTGAACATCTAACACAACACCTGATACATCAAAAGAAAAAGTATCCAATGTTTGTTAAATAAACTGAATGATTTTCTGAGAAAGATATGGGGCAATTAGTAAAACAGAATATCCTGAAAACTCAGTAATAGTTGAGAAAGCAATGGAATATAAAATATTCAAGAAAAATTCTAAGAAAAAACATCAAGACAAAGATTGTTTACCTGTTTTACATTTTCACAAAATATTATGGCAAAAGTTAGAGACTCTTTAAAACCTAAACTCTTCTCTTAATTCCTAAGAAAATTACAGGGGAAAAACTCAAATATAAACAGAATGTATCTTTATTAAAAATTCCTCAGGGGGGTTGGGTGTAAAAAAATTCCTAATTTCATTAGAATACTTTAACAGAATCAAATCTTAACAGTTGTACTTAAAGTAATCATTTCCTTTTATCTTGTGTTCAGTGTTCAAAATATGTGTTAAAATGCTCATAAGCAAGATCAGAGGAGTATGTATGGTTAGTCTTGGTTTCTGGTAGTTGAAGGAGTATATTACTTAGTTAAAAATCAGCCATCAGTTACAAACCTGTGTGAAAACCAGAATTCTGAATGGGAAAAATGTAAATTCAGTTATTTTTGACGACAGATGGCAAAATAGAAGAAGCTGACAAACTTTTTTTTTTCAGTCATCTCAGAATTCGATTCAAAGTGTCAACTGAATTCAAAATTTTTATGGGAAAATTTAATGTTTTAGGATGGCTACTATTATTACAGGAGCTTCAAGACCACATTAGGTTATTTGATTCTTAAAAGTTTACTCAGAGGTGTCCAGAGTCAGCTTATTTATATCGAGATGTTTATCAATTAGGAAAAGATATACACCTGCTTTGGGAACTCAAAAGATACTGACATTAAAAAGGTCTATATTATTTCCAACAGTCGCACTCCATTTTTAGGCCATTACCATCTCAAAAATCATCTCCTGCAACTGACCTTTCACACATCACATTTCCCATCCTCCACCCCCTGGATCTATATTTGTGCTACTATTAGAAAAGATTCTCTAGAACTCTGCTTTGATCATATAGCTTCTCACTATTCACAGAACAGATATATTCTTGGCTCGATCTCTTTGTCCTGTCATCCCCACGTGGTGAACTTGACTATTACTAAATCTAAGGGCCCACCTTTCTCCAGGCTTACATTCTGGCAGCTGAGATAAAACCAGTTGTTCTATCCTATATTTCTTGAGACAGCTATTTCAAACCTTGTCCATATTCCCCAATTACCCAATCCCACATACTACTCTTGATTACCTCTTGATTCACAGAAAATGGACTCTAATATCTCAGGATTCTGCCCACAAATTACCGATTTGCCTTCCCACATATTGTTCCCACTACCTTTTTTTTTTTTTTTTTTTAGAGAAAAGTGACCCTTTTGGCTAAGACCAATCTCTCTAACCATGTCCTAGATCCTATACCCAATAATCTACACAGGGGCTTCACTCCATTTCCATTGGTTGCCATCTCATTTCTTTATCTTCAATTGTTTATTCCCTATTGGCTTTTTTCCATTAGCATGTAAATATATATCTTTTAAACCTGTCTTCAACCCCAGCTTAATCTAGCTAACCTTTGTATATTCTCTCCATTCATGGTCAATTATAGTTTTCTGTGCTAATTTTCTTTCTCTTCCTTCATTTAACTCATCTAGCCTTGAATATGACTTGTGGCTCTGTTAGTCCACCAAAGCTACTCTTTCCCAACAACTAAGATAAACTCTTGTTGCTATATTCAATGGAACCGTTTCAGGGCTCATCTTAGTTGACTTCTTATCAACAGTTTACATTGCCTTCTCCCTTCTTACAACACATTTCCATTCACCACATTCTCCAGGCTTTCCTCTTACCTCTCAACTACTGTCATCTGTCTCCTTTTGTATACATCCTTCCTTTTTCCTAAATCTTTGAGGCTCCGACTCCCTAGGCTCTTTCAATCTTACAATGAGTAATCTCATTGTAATCTCTTCCACTCTCATGGTTTCAGTTATTTGTTGATTCACAAATCCTTATTTCAGCTCAGGCCTTTTTCTTGGGAAACAGATCCGTATGTTTAGGAAGCATATCCATAACTGCTTCCTAACATCCTTTCTTGGATATCCCACTGAACACCTCAAATTTCTCACATCTAAAGAGCATTCTATCTTAGTAGATCTTACTATCCTCTACCCAGATGTTCAAGGCAAAAACCTGGATGTTCTCCCTTTTTTCTTCTAATCTTTAAGACATTGATTTTACTTTATAGATCTCAAATCTATTCTTTTCAATTACTGCTACTATTAGGGCTTAAAACATTTTTTGTTTCATTATTTGATGCTGACCTCACAATATGGGCTATGCTTCCCTCAGTAGCTTCATTGTTTTACCATTTTCCCACTCCCTCCTGATCCATGATTCCTATTTTATGCCTCAGTTCTGATAAATTACTCAATATTCCACATATGCTTGCTCTTTTTTAAAAAAAATTTTTGAGATACCTAGGTTGGAGCACAGTGGCACAATCATGGCTCACTGAAGCCTCGACCTCCCAGGTTCAAGCAAGGTGTGGGCTACCACACTTGGCTAATTTTGTTTGTTTGTTTTGCAGAGATGGGGTCCCGCTATGTTGCCCAGGCTGCTTGCTCTCTTTTGTCATCCAAATTTTCCACATCGTTTGCAACTGCCTGAAAACACTCCTCTTCCAACTTCTACTACATCAGCCTCCTTCAAGCCTCAGCTTAGATGCAACAATGTAGGAAACCTTGCCTAATTCCCTAAATCTGAGTTCAATTCCTCTTTAATGTGCTCTTACAATCCATCGCTCTCTCTCTGATCATAGCAGTCATCATCCTTCTACTGGAATTGGCTATCCATTTTTCTATCCTTCATGACATGGAGGAACATATAAGAGCAACAACCATAAGAGCAACAACCATGACTTTAACCATTCTATCCCCTTAAGGCATATAATATCCCACTTAAAAAATGAAATACATTCTATTTACTGAATAAATGATGTAGCTCTTGTTTTCTCCCTTAGATGGAAAGGAACTATTTGAACCTTCCACAGTGCTTAAGAGCATATTGTAGACATTCATTAAATACTTGTTGAAGTAAGAATAGAATGGGATTGCATTTTTCTGCCTCCTTTCCATGTGCACACTTGATATATACAGCAGTACAAATGTGGTGAAGTATAAATTTAAAAACTCATAAATTATATCTGGACAGTTCATCTCAAAATGTACCAAACAAGATATTTGTGATAGAAGCAAAACTTTTCATCAACAGTAATATTTCAAAATCTCATATACACTGCCTTAGAAATTTTTCTAGAAAAGTCTGGTTGTTAAGTCTCTTAAGTCTCCAGTCAGTAATTTATTCTACAAAGAAGAAAAACACATATAAAACTAATAATGAGTTTTAGCATCATTTCCAAAAAGGCAAAAAGAAGTATGAGATACCAAGAATGAGAAAAAAATAATACTTTAAAAATCAGATAAATATTAACAAATATTTCTATAAATACAACTTTATAAAAATAATGTCCTTGTTGATTGACTAAAAAAAAAGAATGTTAAAAAATAAAGAAGGAAAGTTATCAGTGAAAGATAGATAAAACTTTAAGCAGAACAGGAAATAGTATTAGTAATTTTAAAAATGAGAAAGATCAAAAACAGCTCTTCAAATGATACTAAAAATTTTAAAACTGCCCAAAAGGATTTTGAAATTAATTTGAAAAAGTAGTCACTAGGCATCTTCCATCTTATTTTTTCTAGGATGATTTCATATTTAGTGGGGGTAAATAATCACATTAAAATAAGCTTGATATTTATTTCTTAGGAAGATACAATGATTAAGAAGCTAAAAGGACAAAATACGGTTCTGTTGTAAAATGAATTAATGCATTTACTTCTGGTTAACTGTAACAGCATGATATGAGGATGATATAAAGAATTAAAAATGAAGCTTTACATTTTATTCTCCATTCATGACAGTCTTTAAGAATTATGTGTGTATATTTTCAGATGAATTATAATAAAAAAAAAACCACTATCAGGTTTTTTTGCCTCTCTTTTTCCTGACATGGCATTTGATATTTTTAGTTATCCTAAGAACAAGAAACAGGGCACTTTTTAAAGTTTTGATTCATCGTTTATAATGGAGAATCTACTTTGGCCAACCTTTAAAATTTTAATCATTGCATGTTAGATATTTGAAATTTTAATCACTACTTTCTGAAATAGGTTTTAAAGTTATATAGTTGAATAACTGAATCTTGGGGGTCATAAAATCATTAACTTATTAAAAATCAAGAATTTACTGCTTTTACTATTTTAATATAAGACCTGATACTACCTATTTTAGCTTTTAAACAAGTTTTAAAAAGAGTAGTAAAAATAAAGCCAATACTTCCCCAACCCCCCCAAAAACACCCCTAAAATATATAATGATGCAACTATATAATATCTTTAAATTTCCAAATGTAAAATTTCTTTCATGTTAAGCAAGTAATCAATAAGTACTTCCATACTCCTCAATATCCCTCATTGTCCAGTACTTATCAATAAGAAGAGCTGGAAATGGCTACACTGGCAACTATAGTGTTCCTATATTATTTTTACTAGGTTTTAGCAGGGGTGTCTAATATTTTGGCTTCCCTCGGCCACACTGGAAGAATTGTCTTGGGCCACACATAAAATACACTAACACTAACAATAGCTGGTGAGCTACAGAGACAAAAACAAAAACAACAACAAAAAAACACAAACAAATCTCATAGCGCTTTAAGAAAGTTTACAAATTTGTGTTGGGTCACACTCAAAGCAGTCCTGGGCTGCATGTGGTCCACGGGCTGTGGGTTGGACAAGCTTGTAGGGTCCCTGAGTCTCCCTGAGGCACCAACATCTGGTCAGTATAACTGAGTAAAGGATGTAATTGTTTGCTAAGGTAATTCTGGTTTGCATTTTGAATTTGGCATTACCTTAACAATAACTTGTATATGATTCTCTTTTGCTAGTTATGGATTACCTGTGAAAAAGAATCCTCATCTTTATATCTGTGGAAATGAGCTCAATGTCTGATATCAAAAAACTACTCAACAAGTTTGCTGATTTATTTTAAAAAATATTGTTGCTCTACCACTCTTCAAATCATCAGTCTTAAAGTGAGCTCCAAATGACATAACAACTTGGTGGGTGATGTGAGATTAGGATTATCCTAGGATATGTTACAATCTATCAATTTAACAGATAGTCTTTACTTTTTTAAAAACATGGTCTCATAGTTGTGGTTGATTTCTCAATTGAGTAAATATTTACTAGTTTATAGTGTGGTACTTAATTTTTAGTTAGTTACTTGGTTATATTTATCTGTCAAACTGCTTACTGCTTTTATTAGATCTACCAAATGCAAAAGGAGATAACATCTACATTATTAAAATAATATATTTTAAAGATGATTTCTATGTCTCTACTATATATATTTTTATTTGTGTGAAATCCTGGACATATTAAGAGGTGGGGAAGCGCACTGGTACATTTAGCAGCACCTAATTTCACGAGTTTCATACTAGGTGCCAAGAAATTAGGTTGTCCAAATATTTTGGAAACTAATTAAAACTGCATCAGCTGTTCCTTTTCTACCTGTTATACTTTACTCAAGGCACCTACAATGAAACTTTAAAATTAAGTAGAGAAGAACTTACCTAGGGATTTGGAAAAATAGTTTGCCATTTGTCCACTGTTGCAAGACTGTCGTTTATGTCTTTTTGTTGACATTTCTGTGATCTTCCATGGTGGTCTTTTTCTTTTGTTCAAATTGCTAAGAACTTCAAAACTATCAGGATTCTTGTCAAAGTTAACACATTTGCTTAATTTACTATTGCCAAGATGGTCAGCAAATTCATCAGCTGAAGGATTATTTGTGTTAGCATTTTCTATTTCTTTAGATTGCTTTTTAAAAGAATTTTGCCTAGCAGAATGAGATCTTAAAGTAAAGCGCTTTGATTCTTCCATATGAGTCTGATGAGTATTTCCACTGTCAGTAGATTCAGGAGAGTAAATGATTGTATTTAGCTTAAAAGTATTTCTGTGTTCAAGACAGTTGAGCTTCCTCAAAAATATTCTACAGTCTTTTAAGGTTTTTGACCTCCAACTATTAGGACATACATTTTCTAGTCTTGGTCCCTTTTGAAAGTCTTTTTGGCTGCAATTTGTTCCATTCTCTTTTGCTTCTGACTTAAATTTATTCTCAAAACTAGCATGTATTTTGAAGTCAGGCATTACTACCCTCTGCTGCAAGTCACCCCTGATCTCAGGTGGCAAAACACACTGATTATCTACTATGCTTTTTCCTTGGAGTGGGATGTCAGCATTTGTTTCTCCCTCAGTCTTATTTAAAAATTGGTTCTGGCAGAAAAATCTTAAGTTTCTCCTTTTAGAGTTCCAGTCAACTGTTCCATGGTTGTGCAGCTTTCCCTCTCTTTTCCACCTTTCATGATGCAACCTCTTAAACTCAGTCCTTTTTAATCTAGCTATTGCTAAATTACTTTTCACATTTAAGAGTGGAGAGTTAGCCACTTTATGCAGTATATGCAATTTCTCTGCTGATTTTGAAGGAGAAGAGAGTGCAAATTTTTTAAAGTGCTTTCTGAAGGGGCTGGCATTAAAGTCAGAATATTTGGTCCCTAATTTGATTCCCCTGGTATTTATTACTTCCAAAGGGTTTCGGGCATTTGCTTTTCTAACTAGTGAAAGAGACTGTGTTTCTGTTGTTTGCATAAACCAAGTACAGAGTTCATTCAAATCATACTTTTTCTGAAAAAGCATTTTTACAGGTGAAACTTCAAGTTCTAAAAGACAAGTTTCCAAAGGGCTTGCTACTTTGAAATGATCATTTTCAATGTGTTCTCTTTTTTTATGAATACAATTTTCAGCTTCATCTCCACTTACTTGCACCCAAGCATTTGTTATTTGCTCAAATCTATTGTTTAATTCCTCTAATAAGGAATCATTTGAAGCAGAAGTAGCCCACCACCTGAGCAAAGGGTTTGATGAAATTATAGGATCCAAGGATACTTCAGAAATAGGTACTAATTTATTATCTTCCAAACACTTTTTTGCATTCCGCGAAAGTCTGTTTCTTGGGGTATCTTTGTAAGCTATTTTCATCTTTGAGTGCCTATGTTTTTCCTTCTGACTTTTATTTTTCTGCAAATGCAGTTTATATGATTTATGGAGCAGAGCGTTTCTATAAATAAGTGAGCTAGAAGATGCTAATGAATGTAAGAAATGCAGAGATGGTTTTCTATCCCTAATAGAATGTCTCAAAGGTACAGTAGCAATCATACGTTTTGATCCATTTTTAAATATATCAGCTTCAGTGTGCCTTATTTTATCCATTTGAGTGCACTGTTGGTCATACTTTTCTTCAGGCAGATTTTTTCCTGACGTATTATCCTGTTCTAAAGGAGGCAAGCAGCTGCTAATACTTACTTCTCTTTCCTGAGGTGAAGTTCTATTAATAGTCACAGATATGCCAGAGATTTTCACTTTTGCCGGTCTACCAGGCTTCCTACTTATTGCCAAAGGCTTCTGATTTGGTCGAATAATGTTCTTGGAAGGCTGAGGTATCACAGATTTGTTCTTGATGGGTCTCACATATTCAAAGCCAGACCCCAAGATCTCACTTTCAGTAGTCAAGCTTGCTACAGCACTTATTCTTTCACCCAAGTCAATTTTGTCTTCACTAATATTTCTGGGACTATTATATTCAGTTGGAAAATCACCAGCATTATTGTTTAAAGACATAAGGTTGCTTATGTTTACCCTTCCTTCAGAAACATGCCTTTTAGTTCTTCTTGACCTTCCGTAAATAACAGTTACTGTAATACTCTTTTTATAAATACCTTCTTTTACTTCTGATATGAGACATTCTGGGCTTTTCCTTCCAGCACTAAAGGGCTCATTCTGGCAAACAGTGATGTTTGTTTGATCAATTTTAGGCTTTGGTGGTCTTCCAATTGGTCGCTTAATCTGTTTCACAACTTGGGGACCTATTTTTTTTGGTCTACCTGGTTTTCTTTTAAAAGATGGATCAGTAGCACTGCTTGAATTGTCCTTAGGTTCTTCTTGTGGCTTATCACTATTTATATCACCTATAAACATTGTAGAGGATCCTGCAGTTTCTTTTGCATGACTGAATTTGTTTAGTTCTCTTTGAAAAGTATCAGTATCATAATGACTGGAGTGATAATTTTCAGAGTTCGCATTTGAGATATCCTCATTTGTTTCTGTTTTTTCTTCAGTTACGTGATGGGTTGTAGGTTTTTCAGAAGGGAGAACAACATTTGAATGGGAAGTGCCAACTGAAGTTAAAGTATATTTGACCCCTTCACTACTTTTAACCTCAGATAAAAACATGAGTTTGATAGGACTAGAATAGTTGGAAACAGATGAACTTTCAGTACCTTCATATTTTGCTGGTACATTTTCAACACTGGAAATCAAGCGACCCATATCTAAAATAGATGACTTTTTCAGATTTTCAAGTCTTTTGTTATTCAAATCCACTGTAGGCATGCAGTGACTATTGATAATATTGCCGGATGCTACCACAGATTTTGATAAGCTCTGTTCTTTGCATGTCATTCTATTTAGAGTAAGAGTCATATTTCTGTCAGCATGTTGGTCTTTACCATCAATTTCTATCAATTTCTTGGATGCTTTATATCCTTCTGATAATGGCTGATTATTCCAGGATTTTTTGGCTATACTTATTGTATCTTCCAAACGCTTCACAACCACTTGTAAATTAGAATTCATTGCAATTTTGTTTAGGTCTATATTGTGTGAGCTTTCAATGTGAATATTTTTCACTGGATCGTTTTTTGTTGTGGATTCGGATACTTTTTTGGCTTTAGGGGATTTTTTAAAAACATAATTATTTGTTACATATACAGAATACCACCCTGGAGGCACAATATTTCGTTTAGTTCTGCTCAAAAGTCCAGAAACATCATTTCTCAAAAGAGTTTGAGTATTACCTAACTTTGGATTTTTCCTATCATTTTGCAAAAATTGTTTTCCATCTGCAGATTTCTCCTGTGGCTTTCTTATGCTCATTTTCTCAGGGGAAGTTGTTTTAAAGCTTTCTGAAAATTCATTAAAAGACAAGTTAGTTTCTGAACTATGAAGAGGTAGTTGCAGTGACTGTAATGCATAATTTGGTGAAAATGATGTTTCAGCATGATTTTTACCTTGAAGTCTTTTAGAATTTTGTAAAGAAGGCCCTTGGTCATGATAGAATTCTCCTTTGTCTGATGAAGATATCTCATTGTTTTGTGTCAATTTCCTTGAACTTTTTTCGGTGTATTTTTTTCTTGTAAAATTTTCATCAAGACTAGCAAGTTCTCTTTTTATCTGTAAAGACTGCCTTCTAAACATGGGTGAATCAGAGGAGTTGCGCATTGCAAATAAAGTTTCTTGACGCTTTCGAAATCTTGTCTGAATAATTTTATTTTCTACCTTTTTATCATGTTGACTCAATAATTCCATAAAACTATAATCACTGGCTTTTGCATTATGCAAGAGAGATGTTATGAAATCTCCCAATTTTAAATCATTATATGTATTATAATCACTGCTAGATAATTTTACAAGGCTTGTCATATCCGTGGTTTCTATTGATTTTAGTTTTTCATTAATGCGATCCATTAAATCTTGAAAAATTACAGCAGTTTCACCTTTTTCATGATTTGTAGTAGAATTATTGCTGTCATTTGAGAGTAAAGAATAAGAGTTACTGGATTTTTTAGTTTTAAGTATTTTATCTTGATGATCACTCTTATTGCTGCTGATTTCTGCTGGTGTGAGAGATGGAGGCTGGTTAATGTTTGCTTCAAGTTTGTTATTTTCTAAGGCTGAAATCTCTGAGATGACGTCTTTCAATTTTTCAAATCCTTCAGTTTCTATAGGTGATAATGGTGGGGGTGAGGGACTTCGAGATCTACAGGCATCTTTAAGAGTGACTGAAAGATCACATACTTCCTTTGACAAAAGAGGACTACGAAAGGCTGATTTTGTAGAGTGAATGTTTGGTAACAGTCCAGAACAGCACCTGTGAGAATTATAACTGTCTGCAATTCCTCTATTCACTACTGGCTTAACGTGTTCAACAGTTACAGTTTGGCAAGATAAACAATGTAAATCTTTAATACAGACTGGCAGAGGTTCTAAACCAGGGCTTTGTTTTTCGTTTTGTAAACAACCTCTTTCTGCCAGCCTATATTCACAACTACAGAACAGACCACATAAATCATCTTCGATTAAGGGCTTTTGAGATTCTGAAGACACAACACATGATGTATTACAACAGCAAAGAGAAGCAGCATTCTGCTCTTGGACTAGAAATTTCAACATAGCCAAAACTTGTTGCTGGTGATGTATGCACAAAGATTCCAAAACTTTGTTTAATGCTGATTTTCTTTTTTCCATTTTAGTAGCTTCCTCTGATTTTGCATCAACAGTTGAACTAAAAATAAAAATCAAACAAAAAATGAATTGCAGCAAAAATACCACTATAAGGAGTTATAATTTTAACAGTGTTTGAAAAAAGATATTTTGGTATTGCTGGACTCCTGACTCCTAGAGAGCTGCAATAATGGCATTTTGATTATTGTTTAGCAAAAATATAATGAAGCACTGATAATTAATTTCCTATGACAAAGTATAAGTCAAAGCAAAGCCCTATTTTTGCAATATAAAAGCTGATGATTATACATATGATTACATTTATATATTGTCTGTTTTTAATGTATTAAGAATATTTAATGGAAAGTGCTTCAGAAGGAGTTAAATTTTTATGAAGTAGCCATTTTATAAATTATTCTGATACATAATTATCAGTCTACATTAGTGCAAATAAGGAAAATAAAATGTAGGAGTACAATCTTTATTTAAAATAGATATTTTTTCCAAGGCAGTGAAAATAATAAAAGCTTTCCATAATCACAAGGAAAATTAAGGGATTTAGATTTTATGTAAATAAGAGAATGTCTTTCCTAAGATTAAGCTGCAGGCGTTAGCTATTTAAAAATAAAATCTATTTTTAATTGATGTTAAATACTAAAGTAATTTCATAAAAGCTAAAGGCATTACTTACCTAATTATTAAGTTTCAAATGCTGGAAAATGGCCCACTACAGAAACTAATATACATCTAACTTTAACTAAGAACCGGGCTTGCTTATCGACCAATATAGAAGTCTACACATTTTTTTTTAATCCAATACCAGCAGCAGGAAGAATAAAATATATTTAAAGAGTTCTGTTTCAGAAAAGTATTTTAATTAAACATATCACCAAACTCTGTACATGAAAATTGCCTTTCACTTACAGTTTATTACATTTGTTGTTTTTAATAGTTCCTGATTTCTAGAAATTTTAAGGTTGGAATAATGCTGATTATGAACTACTATTGAAGAATGTATTTGTTTAAATGCAGAATTATGCTCATCTATATTAAAAATTATAAGATTTTTACTTTAAAACAGGAAGTGGAATATTTTTATTTTGCTGCCTAAAACTGACATAGCCTGTTTCAGAGGTAATATTTCACTTATATTTTATAAAAATTATGTTATTTGAGTAGCAAAAATAAGGAAGCAAATTTTAAACATGTGATCAAAACTTTTCTGGAAAAAAAGATAACTTTACTAGATTCATCCAATGTTCCACTAAAACTAGTGATCTGACATAAAGAAGCTATCAAACAAAGTGAGAAGAGATGTGAAATTAAAATAAAACTTTTAAAGTCACTGCCGCCTCTAGACAGATGAAGATAGGACATGACCCCAGTATCCTTTCCTTTTTGAAAATAATTTTTTATAAACTTTGTCATGGTTGGGAGTGTAAAATGATGCAACTGACTCCCAGGATTCAATTACATAGTTTTAAAAAATATATGTAGAGAGCAAGGGCAGGAAGAAATGGTTAACTACCAAAGATTACAATATATTTTTTTCCAGCAAATTAAAAATGACTAATTTTCACACAAGCAAAAGAAAACCCAGAATGTTGTGAGAGATGCACTTCAGTAGTTTCTAAAGTGATGTTATGGCATAATAAAGAGAGAATTTACATGTTTCTTGGAAAAATATGTTGTATTTTAACGATTAATAATTGTTTATAACTCTTCCTGAAATGCTCAAAGGCTTTTTTCTGTTAATAAAGCCAGGTATGTGGTACAAGTAATCAAAACTAATGACTAGTGTTAAGTATTCTGAAACAATGTTATAATACCAACTTGATTAAGCTCACAAAATTACAAAAACCACTGCTTTTTATATCCCTTTTCTGACATTCTAAGCAAAGCTTTTAGAGTTTTCTTATTCAATTTATTAATAATGGAATTTCAAAAATACTATGGTAGCCAGTAATTCCCATCTAATGCTATAAGAACAGCTTAAAAAAGGTATAAATTAGATATTCAGATATTAGATTCTATCTTATGTATCAGATATCAGAAACTAAGATCTCAAATTACAGAACTTCACAATATGCTTATTTGGCTTCAAACATTCTCCCCCATATTTCTTGCATGTTAGGATCTTAAAGAAAAACCTAGTAATGAGTAAATAATAGTTGAACACACATATAAATATCCAGTCTAGAATTTATTCTCAGGTGATTATATAAGGTTCTAAAATTGTATTTTTTTTGTAGATCCTTTGCTTTTAAAGTTTTCTAACCTTTTCCTGTTTGATTTATAAACCAAACATACTGCCTATTTTTAGTATGTTACTATCCATTTTGCCCACTAGAAACTTGTTGGAATATTTCTTCAGAAAAAGTAAATTAGAATACTATATTTAATAAAACTGCTTCCTAAAGTAAATCAAACAAGTCAGTGTAGTCAGTTTTTTTCTTTTCTTTTCTTTTTTTCTTTTACTGAATGAGTAAATCAATCACACACCAACAGTGTTGTAAATTTAAGTGCAAAAGCATTGAAGTGCTTTACTACAAATTACAACCTAGAAACACGTTAACTGAACAATTAAAATTCATACAATCAGATTTAGATATATAACAACACAAAGTAGGAACAGAATTACAGTACATTTACAACACAAGACAGATACATGAATTCATTAGAAAATATTGTAATAAATAATTCATGAATTATAGTGCAATTGATTTATGCATAAATATAACTAATTGCCTAACAATCAGTTTATATTAACAAAATCTGTCAAAATCAAGGCAGCCACAGAGTTTTACTAAATTACTGCGACATTGGAAATACTGCAATTAAAAAACAAATACAAGTATTTGTACTGTAAACAACTAAAAAAATCAGTCTCACTAAAGTTAGTATACAATTTAATATAAAATTGTCATTAGCTACCAGAAATGGTTTAAACAACTTTACTGAGCAGTAGTTTTCTAAAAACAGAGGCACTGTTTTCTCTTTTCCTTCTTTTTTTTTTTAATATAAAATACTTGAGGAACATTCAAATAAGTAGAAAGCACATAAGGGTTGCTTTCACCTTCATTAAGTCTGCTGAAACGGGATTTTTCAGAAAATTGTCAATTAATAAATAGTAACTGGTAACTAAATTCATAAAGTACTTTGAAAGTTTAACATAAAGGTCATCTTAATAGAATCACTGGGGAGAAGGGGAATTTCCCTGCCTTTCCTAGTTTGTATAATCAAATGTTAACTCAATAATAGAAATGTTTTGTTTCTTTTAAAAGTTATGGGTTGATTATTACCTATAAACTATCAAAAAATATTTTAATTTACTATTTCTGACCAAAAATAAATAATACAAGTACTAAAATGCTGCAAATTAACTATAATATTACCTATAAAACTACTGATTACTGTGAAGTCAATAGCAAAATGATCCCTGATTTATGAATCCTGTAAAGTTTTTGGTCAGGTCATCTTTTAAATGATACAAAAGTGTTCTGTAAGTTTCCCTTTACTATAAACTTCTCAATCAATTTATTAATGTAAATATAGTGTGAGGAATAAAAAAGCTCAATACAATATAAATATTATGTAATGCATTCAAAGCCCCCAAAGTTTTCCAAGTAAAATTCTGTATAAAGAGGTCAATAAAATTGTTTTGAAATATGTACTTTACCTTTAACTTTGCTTTCCATTGGGGGAAGGGGGAAATATACTAAATAATGCAAGTTCTGGCCCTCACAAAATATGGCTTAATTCTTTAAAAAGAAAGATGACCCTGACATCTGCTGTTCTGTAATCTATTATGTATATTTTCTTGGGGTGAAAAAAAAAAAAAAGAGGATTCATACCCTAGTGTGCAGGTAACATTAATAGCTGAAGAGGGTTAAGTATAGATCTCAGAGACCAAATAACTGCTTGGTTGTGTAGTTTCTCACTCTTCAGTTTCTTTAAACATGTAAGCAGTTTTAAAATTTAATAGCTGAAAATCTCTTTAGTATTACACGTATATATGATTATTAAATACACACAAACACAAGTGTAAAAACACAAGCATTTGACAAGGTGCACTTATTTTTTAAATTCAGCTAAAAGTATTCCTTTTGGACTTAGGAAAACTGGCTTAGAAAAATGATCAGAACCTGAATTTTAACAGAGAAAGGGGGCACTCAGAGAATTTTGAATACATAAAGCAAATCCCTATTCTTTATATGAAGGCATATGCTTTATAACATTTTACCACTACAGTTGCATACTCCATAAATCCAACAAGGATACTTTGACCCATATTTTAAAACTGCTAGGTAAAAATGACCAGTCTCTCTTATGAGTCTAGTAAAAGTTAAAATGCACTGCCCAGCTTCTAACTACCCAATTAGTAGAGAGTTTACATTACTGAAAGTTCAAAACAGCTTCAGTGTTAAATATTTGTAAATCTATTCAAGACCCTGAACAAACTGCAAATTTGGTTATTAGCAAAATGATAATGTATCGCCCACCAAAATGAAATCTGCAATTCATTTTGATAAACTGAAAATGTTTTGAAATGTCACAGCAGCAAATATATTAAAGTTACACTGAGGTTTTTCAATAGTAGGAGTGTGTCACAATCCTTAAAATTTAAAGTAGTCATAACATCAACTAACCAGCACATTTAAACCAAAATTATCATTCTCAAGCTTTTTCTGTGCACATTATAAACATGCTCTAAGTTGCATTCCAACTTTCTTTTCTAACCTTACACATTAGCTTATTTTTCAAATGAAAAACAAAACTAAATTATTTTAATAATTAAATTTAAATTATTTTTTGTTCTTAGTACTCCATCTTATTATATTAAAGGGTTCTATAGCTGCTGGGGTTAACTATGTGTCAGTTTTTTTAAAGTATATACCTTATAAACCCCAACTTCTTGCTAAATCAACTATTAAATGATAAATATTAAATTTCATTATACATATCCTTTAAGGTTTTCTTTTCTATTCCTGGTGGATGCACTTGAGTGCATTTTGTATTTCATAGAATGCACTGTCGTGTACTAATACTGTATATATTAATTTTTCTTAGTATGGAGATAGCTATTTAAACTTTGATTGGTTGCTTGACATACATACAACAAGTGTTAAGTCTGTTGTATAGAATGTTTATAAACTATGAATATCATATTTCCATTATAAGATGGTTCAACTGAATGGCTGGAATGGTCTTTCACCAATAAAAATGTTTCACTTGACAATTACTCGTTTTCCCACAACGCTTTATGCTATTGACTACTAAAGAAAACCTGAATCTTTTTCACCTATTTATACAAGGATTAAATACAAACTATCAGAATTAAGTAAGCAACTATATAATTCTGTCCACAGTGAAAACCCTGAATAAAACTTTTTTTCAAAAGGCATGTAAGTGGTTTTTGAACTGTAAAATTTCATGTCTCCTGTCAGAGTGAGCATTTGTAATTCCCACGTGTGTATATAGACACACAAATACACACCTGTGCACATACACACACACGCAAACACACACACACACACACACTCACAAACATTTTCCTAACAAGTAATCTACACAGGCTTGCTGCTGTTTTTGCAGCTGCCAGTCCCTGAATCTGTCATATTATATAACCCAGTGTCTGGTAATCGTAGTTTCTTCTTCGGAGGAGTCTTCAGTGTTCCAGATCTTTCTTTTACCTTGTATTCTAAAGTGCTGTGAGGTACCCCATAAATTCCTTGTGCTTTGGAAACACTCATTTTTCCGCTCATTACCATTGCAATAGCTTCTTCCATTATTTCATGATCATATTGCCGATAGCGGCCACGTTTTTTCCTGGGCTGCTTACTGTCTTTTCGATCTAATCCATCTTCAGTATTTTCAGAGGTTCCATCAACTGTTCCATTTTTAGAATTAAGACACAAAGGAGAGAGGTCCCCATGTAGAAAGTAAGAGTCAACACTTGAGTGAGTTACAGGCCCAGAACATTCTATTTTGTTCTGTTTAGGGAGTATATTTTTCAGTTTTTGGAGAGCTGATCCTTCTAGGACTGAAGAGGTTTTGGAAACTTGATACATAACATCCAACAGACCAGAACCATCAGGTTGTGATTTTGAGACAGAACTTACTCGTAGCTGAGGAATTTTTAACTGTACAGTAGGATTTGAAGTTTCATATTGGAGGCTTTCATTTTTTTCTTTAAACTGAGTGACCATTTTCTGTAGAGTTAGCTGATGGAGGTAAGTGGAAGCTGTTGGGAATTTTATTTCTGAGGTTTCAAGTAGATTGAGTTTACTTTTTTCTGTGCGCTCTGCTTGAGCTCTTGCCCACAAGGCTACTTTTTGCAGCACTGCACAAGTTTCTTTACTGTCCTTATATGAATAACTATCATGGAAATCTCGAGTTTTGTTTTTAAAAGATGCAGGCTTCCCTGCTGGTAAGGCTTCTAAGTGAAGAAGTAAAGTTTTTTGAGGTATGCCATAAAGTATGCCTGCTTTATTTATGTCCAGTGCTCCAGACTGAATGTCTTTCAAAGCTTTTGAGAGCAAACCATCTGCAAACTCAGCACTTCTTTCCACATAGTCCTCTCTGTTTCTGTGTAGTCTCCTGGATGGATGGAATGAAACGATGGTAAACTGATGCATGAGAGACTCTCACACAGCTATGGAAGGGGAGGGTCCACTCCTTTATTATACTCCTTGCTTAGGTAACATCACTGCTTATGACACTTTTAAGTCTGTGAGATGTAGTAGTTACTCCTTATCAAAGCAAACGCTACAGTCCTGGTAGGACAATGTGACAATGATACGGTGGCCTCAACGGGCAGACCTTCCAAGAACATAAAATCCTAACTCAGTATTTGTAAAAATATTCTCATGATGTTGCTATTCCTCTGATAGATGCTTGCAGAGCAACACTTATAAATTTTATTTATACAATTAGAGCTCCATTATAAAAAGTACCCAAATCCTAAAGGAGTTTTTGTTAGTACAAACGTGACGTTACCGCTAAACAAGTAATAAAAGAGTCAACCCCTTTAAAGGAAATTTGTAGCAGCAGGAATATTTCCAAACACAAACATCCCATATTTCCACAAGACTAATTTTTCT
This sequence comes from Homo sapiens, assembly GCF_000001405.40. NCBI lineage: Eukaryota > Metazoa > Chordata > Mammalia > Primates > Hominidae > Homo > Homo sapiens. The sequence goes on from NC_000004.12 coordinate 17,885,256, forward strand.
CTAGACAAGAGCTTAAAACTTGAAACAAGTAGATGTTATATTTGAATAATTTAATTTTAGATATTATAAATGTCACTATTTCAAATTATCATTGTAATTTTCAAAGTTTCTCAAACAGAAAGCTTACTATACCTTACGACTCAAATACTACTACAGCCGTAGTTGAAACAAATTACAATCTACCTCTAAGATTTAAATGTGACAAAAAAGCTTCCTATGCAGTTAGTTAATGGGAAGATGCAAAAAAGTTGTAAAAAAAAATCCAAAAATCCAACAGAACAGCATTTCACTACTAATTATTTATTTAATGATTAATGACACTTTTCAAAACATGAGAGGACTTTTTGTGGTGATTACTAGATATATTTAAGTAGTTTGCCACCACATCTAAAGTGCAATAAAAAAATCTAAACACTATAAACTAGCATTAATTAGTAAGTACAGTGCTTTTGGAATTTGTTCATTGTTTTAAAAAATTAATAAATTACATATTTCCCTTAAAATTGCGTCCTGAGTATTTAATTTAATATTCTCTTACTCGTCCTGCTTCTTAGTTTGTATTCTATAAGTTGGTAGTTCATTTTAGTAACATGAACTAAAGTTTGGTGATTGTTCTGATAACTTTTCTTTAACAGAAAGAATAAAAAAGAAAGAGAAAGGACAAATGAAAGGTATGAGAGAGAGACACTTATGAGTGACAAAAATTCTGGAGGAAAACTATATACGTCAATACTACTCAGAATAGTATTAAGAGTTCTCTGCAGAGATAATTTTATATTAATATTAAATTATATTTCCTAGATATTGCTTACCCAGCCACTGAATTTTCAGAAGAAGGATCACATATGGATGACTCTTCAGATTTTATGCTGGTTTTCTTTGTAGAGAGATCTAACACTCCATCCCCTATAATTTTTGCAAGAGAAAAAACTTTATATTTGCAACAGATAGGCAATCCTTACATTTTAATATTTCATATTTTGTTGATCTAATTCATAACACTAGTATTTGATATGTGGCCATTACCTATTCATCTTAAACGGGTTTAGGAACAGGATATGACTGGGAAGGCACTATATAGGAAAAAAAGAACAGAGGAGGAGCTGGCATTGCCAGGTGATAGGAAGAAACTAACTAAATATATGATATAAAATTTGTCTAAGATAAACTTTTAGTCACCTCTCCACCATTTTGTAGTGAATAGCCATTGATTGCTCATTCATGACTGTTTTCCATTCAAAGCTGCCCAGATAATGCTTTGGGAAGGTGGGAGTGATGTAAATTGTACAAAATGGAGAGAATAGAAAATGTGATGATGAGTAAGAGAATTGAATAATTAGCATTTACTAGGACTAGCAAAAGGTAAACTGTGGCTGTACGTATAAACATGTATTTTCTAGAACTCATAGTGTAAAATTTTACTCTTTTAAATTATTGAACTATACAATAGTTAAATCATTGCCTACATAATAAATTGTGCTTATATCTACGACTAAAGACATAATTTACGATAATGCAACTTTAGAAAAATAATGTTATAAAATAACTGCCTACGCATGTTATTAAAATGTAATTATAACATTTACATAAATAAAAACTCAATGATTCAGACTTGTTAATCTGGCATGCTTCAGGATCAAAAAGGATAAAAATAAACCATGAATTTAAAACCCAGCAAAGAATTCCGTGAATGTTTTTATTGTTAGCTAAAAAACTGAAAGTTTTAGCTCTAAGAAAAATTATTATTGAAAAATACATGTTTAAAAATATACTAATTCAACTGGGCTTAAAAAATTCAACTGGGTTTTACTGTAACCATAATCAATCCATGAAATATGTATGTTCCTGGGCAGATACAAAGATGAAAAATAAAACAAAACATCCTATCTATAGCCTCCTATATAGACTTCGACAATAATTTATTGAGCGCTCACTATATGCAAAGCACTATTTTAGGCACTAGAAGAGCATCAAAAAAAAAAGTCATACAAAGTACCTATTGTCATAGTCATAGTGCTTAGGATCTAATGAGATAATTCATACAACACCACAACCAGCACCACTACCACCAGCAATTATGATAGTGCCACCCTGGAAAATAACACAGAGTAAGCTGATAGAGTAATGAGGGTGGGGCTGAGAATGCTGCTGTTTTACACAGTGTTATCAGTGCAGGCTTCTTTGATTTGAACAGGGCCCTGAATAAGGTGAGGATCACCAACTAATCAGATACATGGGAGAACGTTTCCAAAAGAACAGTCTGTATAGGGGCTGTGATATGGAACCATGTCTGGAATGTCAGAGGAATAGCAAAGGCCAGGGTATCTGAAATGAAGGAAGCCAGGCCAAGAGTGAGCTGAGATCAGAAATGTTATAGGAAGAGGTTAAACAGGGCCATTGGGCCATGGCAAGAACTTCGCATTTCATTCTGACAGAGACAGGAAGCCACTGGAGAATTCTGGGTGGAAGACTGACATGATTTCAATTTAGGTTTTTAAAAGATCAATCTGCTATGGGAGAATGGACCGCAAGGAGCTAAAGGTGGAGCAGGGAAACCTGCTGGGAAAGTGCTATGCTATTTCTCGTTTCTGGGCTTTCACACTTGGAATTGGTTTCCTCTGCCTAGAAGATTCATACTCTTCTCCTCCTGACCCCCGCCTCACCCCGGCAACCCCTCCTAATTCTCACCAAATCTAACTCATCAGCCCCACTCAGAACACAATGTAGAGTTGGCTGATCATCATAATAGGTTACTATACCAGTAACACTTACTTACAGTATTTAGTGGGTTGTAATGCTAGTTGTTCATATACCCACCAGTGCTAGCCACAGACTATAAGCTATGTGAAGGCAGAGACCATGCATATTTTATTCATCAATATATTCCTGCTGCTTAGAATAGTGCCTGGCATACAATAAGTATTCAATAAATGTTTGCTGAATAGAATTTCAAAGAACTGGAAAAATTCAGTGTGGCTAGAGGTTAGAGTCCACAGATTAGAAGGGTAAAAGGGGGAGACTGAAGAAGCAAAGTACCTGGCACAGAGTATCTCGAAAAATTATTAAATACAGTTTATTGCCCCAGTTTACCCATCCAGCTTAATTTTAAGCTTAGTCTCCAACTCATCTCAAACCTCACGTCTCATTTATCTATGTAACTACTTGAATTCCCTCAAACGTGCTATGCAGTGTTATGCCTCTCAAACTGCAGTACATTGTTCCCTCTGCCTAGAATGCTCTACTTATTCAACTTGTCAAACTTCTACTCATCAAACTTCTACTTATCCTTAAAGACTCAGATCCCCTGCCCAGGCAGAAGATGCTTATTTTGTCTTCCTGCGTGGACAGCATCCTATAATACTTATGAAACTATCATGCAATTATTGATTTATAAATCTTTTTCTCCCATGAGACTGAATCCCTCAGGGTTCAGGATCTTGACTTATTCATTTGTATTACTAAACATTGGTAGAGTGCTAAAACCTACTAAAAGGAGAAAGAAATGTTTCCTCTGTTCTGTCATCTCATTTCTCTTTTTTGGCAATTAAAATTTTACTACTTTAAGAACTTATAAGAAAGGATAACTGCCAAACTCATATTCAAGTTTATAACTTTATTCACTCATTTTGATTTTGCTCATTTTATGTACAGTTTATGGCATATAAAACACATTCCCCTAAGTCTGTTACTCTTAGTCTCAGAATGAAGTAATGAAATTTCCCCCATTCTAAGCTCTCTTAGACTTGATATGCTCCACTTAAAATTATTTCATAAAATAGAAATTATGGAAGGAGGTACAGGAACCCCTTTCTCTCCTTTACAGATACTATAAAAACTAGGCTGCAGCTCTCTACTTGGGGCAATAAAGGTTTCTTTTCTTTTTTTGGACTACTCACACACGAAGCACCAACTATAGCGCATTTTAATCTGAATGAGCTACATATAAGCTCTACTCCATCTTTCAGAAACCTATGCAAATAGGCTTATACTTCTGATTCTTTCTCTTTAGGAAGTCTAAACAATGACCCTATTGAGAAATGCTTTTATCTCTTCTTCATAGCCCTTTCTCCACATCTAGGCTATGTTAAAAGTTTTATTCTAAAAGGATTTGACAAATAAAGTAATATATTATGGTATCTAGTGAAAATGAAAAATGTACTCCATATTTCTGTCACATTGCATTAAAATTCTTTTATCAATTAATGTCTACATAGTAAACACAAAATACATAAATATGTAATAGTTGCAATACCATTAAGAATTTTAGATCAATTTTAGTTATCTATGGAAAATCTCACTTTTTGTTAGCAGTATTAACCATCTATACTATTTTGCTGATAGCATGATTCCCTTTTCTTCATAAAGCCTGTAGTTCAAGGGCTGGAAAAGTCAAAAGAAGATACTCCTAGGATTGTCTGAATTAGAAAAACAAAAACAATGAGACAGCCAGCTTGGGAAGGATAGAGAAAGCCCAGGAATGGTGGGGGTGGGGGAAGGATATTTTCTTTTTCCTCATAATTTACATTTATCTGAATGGTGATTACATCACTCTTTCACAATGGAGATATAACTAGATTTTGTGTGTACATCATTCCAAAGTACTAAAATTAACTCTAAATATATGATAAAAATCTGTTTAAAATCAACTCTTGGTAACCTCTCCCACCATTTTGTAGTGAATAATGTAGATAAAATTAAGCGCCCAGCATGCTATTACAAGATAATACAAACTAAGTAAGGTGGAGGGGGAGGTAATTAATTCAATTTTACTAGTATATTCTCTGCAGTCTATCTTATTACACTGTAATTTATTCCCCATTTATTTACTGTTGGTATTCAGGTTGTTTTAGTTTTTCACTGTTACAATGCTGAAATGAATATCCTTCTAAATTTTTCTTGTGTTCATGTACAATAATTCTCTAAGATAAACTATCAGAAGTGCTGAACAATAGATATTACCAAATTTATTTCCCACATCCTTGATAACACTTGGTGTTGCTGTGATTTTTAATTTTTGGTGAATAAGTAAACTTCAGGATTAAGTGAAAAAGACAGTGTATTTATTATGCCATTTATGTGAATATTTAAAGCACACAAAACTATTTTGTTTACAGATACATAAATAGGTGGTATCATTGGTTGCTTCCAAGGGTAAACAAAAAGATCTAAAAGGATCTTAACTGTATTTCTAGAAATACTTTAGTTCCTTAAGAGAAGACAAATCAGAGGTAAATATGAACAAGTAACACGTTTATTAATTCTGGTTAACAAGTACAGGATTATTACATTGTATTTTTCTGTATATTCAAAATTTTTACTAACATTTAATAAATACAAAATTGTTTTCATTTACTGGTTGGAGACGGGTCATTTAACACTATAATTTAATTATTTCTGACCAAACGCTATTGTAAAATGTACAGAATTAAAGATAAGCCAATCTAATCTTTGAACAAGGTCAGGTAATTGTCTATATAACACTACCGGAATTCAATTTAAAAATAAACTGACGTTTCAAAAATTGAAGTCATGGCCACATTGGGCAATTTCTTGAATACTGACACTTTATTGGGTTTTTAGTTAAAATTCAGATTTCAATTTTTCATTTATAAACTGTTTTCTTTCCTGTATTGTCATGCAAATTTCTGATACAGGATCTATTCAAAAAGGACAACTGGAACCTTCATAATATAGAATTGTTTTCCACCCCTCCAAGGAAATCATTCTGTTTCATCTCTTATCTGGCCTTTTGCTATTCTCCTCTCTAGGAAATTCTTATGGTTTTGTTAATTATATTCGACTGATTGCTAGAAAATATTAGTAACTTACATTAAACCTAATGTGTTTAAAACTCTATTTTTCTATAGTGTACTTAAAGTGTGCGAAGCATTTGCTACAAACATTACATGTCTTAACTCATCCAGTTCTCACAACAACCGGATGGCATAAATAGGTTTATTAATGTGCAAATTTTGATAATAAAACTGAAAATGAAAGAGAAATCAACTACTTGAGAGGCTGAGACGGAAGAATTACCTGAGCCCAGAGTTTAAGTCCAGACTGGGCAACATAGTAAGACTCCTGTCTCTTAAAAAACACAAAAACAAAAAACGATGTAGCCATATGTCTTCAAAAATCTTAAAAATGTTTACACTCTTCTAGGTATCTATTTTAAGAAAATAATATTTAACATAAAAAAGGTTCTATATAAAAAGATATACCGTAGATTGTACAATTTTTTAAAAACACTAAATATTTAAAAAATGGTTACATAAATTATGGTCCCTTCACTTGTTTGAGAATTAGATTTAACACTGCCAGTAAGGCATTAATAAAGCATGAAAAAACTGCAAATGCTACTGTAACGTTTTTAAAAGGTATGATATAAAAATCTGATATACAGATGATGTAAACATGTAAATGCAAATGCTACTATAACATTTTTAAAAGGTACGATATAAAATTTGATATACAGATGATGTAAATATGTTTTGCATGTAAAACAAGAACCCCCAAATAAAATGAAATATAGAATAAACTGTGGAAGTAAATATACAAAAATGGGAACAATGGTGATCTTTGGTTGATAAAGCGTCGAGCAGTTAAAATATGTGATTGTGTGCATGCACATACCTAGGTATGTATGTGCCTACATATACACTTACACATACTTTTCTGCCTTTCCCAAGTTTCCATAATAAAAAAAATCCGTAAACTTAATTAGCAAAAAAATCAACAAAGTGTAAAAGCATTCCCTGGGTTTATCCAAATTTCGATTTTAAAAATTTGAAGTCTTATGCTCACTGCAAATAAAATTGTTTTGATTGTTACTGTTTAACTATGGCGTTTCAGTCATGGGAGAAATAACACAAGAGTAGCACATTATTCCAGCCTTAGGATTGGTTTTTCCTTCATTTGCCTACCTCTGCAAGTCAAATAGTATTTTTTTTTTTCTTTTTTTTTTTTTTTTTGAGACGGAATCTCACTCTGTTGCCCAGGCTGGAGTGCAGTGGCACAATCTCGGCTCACTGCAACCTCCACCTCCTGGGTTCGAGTGATTCTCCTGCCTCAGCCTCCCAAGTAGCTGGGATTACAGGCACTGGCCACCAAGCCCAGCTAATTTTTGTATTTTTAGTAGAGACGGGGTTTCACCATATTGGCCAGGCTGGTCTCGAACTCCTGAGCACCAAATGATCTGCCCGCCTTGGCCTCCCAAAGTGCTGGGATTACAGGCATGAACCACCATGCCCGGGCTCAAATAGTTTTTTAACTGGAAGGTTATTTTCTTCCCGATGTGTTTTGTTTTGTATATATATAGCTGAAATACTACAGAATTCATTAATCTACTATTTATTCACGATGAGATGATATAAATCAAAGTAAAGTGCTTATAGTGAATTTAAGATGTAAACATTTATAATAGCAAATTTAGGAAAATGCTATAGGTGAAATTAAAATAAGGCTTCAACATTTCCACCAAATGCCACTTTAGACTTATTGTAATTCTTTTTTCTTTCTTCAGTTATTCCTGCAAGTACTGAATTAAATCATGGCTTCAAAAGGTTTCAAGTCAGTACCTATGAAAAACATTTTAAAGAACATGTTCTCTTTTATCCTCTATATTACATTACCTTATTCTGTAAAAAGTTTTAGCCAAATATATTATTTAAAACATGGTTTGTATACTTATTGCAACATCATAGTGGAAGACTTTAGATTTTTTTAACCATGCATTTGAGACTCCTTGTTATGCTCCTCCAAAAATGATTACTTTTAAAAAACCTTTTATAAATGTTTTACATAAAAGTACAATCTAACTATACAGTTTAATGAATTTTCATGAACTCAACCTTCCTGTATAAAAACTACACCTACTTACCAGTGTCAACCCTGATGCTCCCCCACCTCAGTATCTTCTTCTGGTCACCACCTTGCCCCTACCCCTACTACCATAACTTTCAACAGCATTATACATTCTTTTAGATCCAGCAATTTCACTTCTAGGAATTTGTCCTGAAGTAAAAATTAAGATTGAGTTTAAAACCTTAGCTCAAGAATGTTTATTTATATATACAAGACACACAATATGTGATCCTTCCATACTATTGAGCTAAGTAAATGAATTTAAGTATTAAAATGATTCTGCAGAAAAATACTTAGTAACATAAGGATGTCAAAAATATAAATTATGCAAACAGTTTACAGAGGATATATATCTCATGTGGTAGGTCAGTGGGGCTGAGCACTGCGAGTGTGTTTTGTGCACAGGTAGATATTCTTCAGAAAATGGTTTGGAAGGACTGAACACAGGAGCACCTGCAGATAGCTCTGGGTGGAAGAATACAGGAAAATTGTTATTTTCTTCATTTTCTTATTTGTTTTCTAGTTTTGCTACAGTAGGTAAAGCTATCTTCTAATGCATAATTTGCATTGAAATTTCTTGAGTCCAAAATGTGTTTTTACAGCTGGTATCTTCAACTAGAATCAAATAATGTCTCTGTGTTACATTTGATTCTTAGTGTGACACATTTGATTCTAAGGTTATTTATTTATTTATTTTTGAGATGGAGTCTTGCTTTGCTGCCCAGGCTGGAGTGCAGTGGCATGAACTTGGCTCACTGCAACCTCTGCCTCCTGGGTTCAAGCGATTCTCCAGCCTTGGCCTCCTGAGTAGCTGGGATCACAGGTGTGCGCCACCATGCCTGGCTAATTTTTGTATTTTTAGTAGAGATGGGGTTTCACCATGTTGGCCAGGCTGGTCTTGAACGCCTGACCTCAAGTAATCCACCTGCCTCAGCATCTCAAAGTGCTGGGATTACAGGCGTGAGCCACCACGCCTGGCCATGGTCTCTAATTTAGGGCAGCACTTTCCCCAATTTATGATGGGGCTATGTCTTGATAAACCCACTGTAAATAAAAAAATATAGTAAGTCAAAAATGCATTTATATCCCAATACACCCATTGTAATGTTGAAAAACTGTAAGTTGAACCATCTTAAGTTGATGACCATCTGCACTATTTTCCTGTGGTATCATTTACTTTGCTTCAAAAAATTTCTTGTATAATAATTCTGATAAACTTGGAATTGGCAATAAAGCAAGTAACTCAAACTTGGATTTCACAATTCCTTTTTACTCTTAAAAATTATTGCAGACCTTTTATGTGGGCTGTATCTACTGATATTTACCATAACAGAAATTAAATAAAAGGATTTTAAAAGTATTTATAATTGATAACAATAACAACGCTAAAAATGTTAATGTTCATAAAAACACTTATGAAAAACGTTTTCAAGATGAGTAAAAAGAATTATATTTTAAAAACAGTTTTGTAGATCTCTTTAATGTCCAGCTTAATAGAAAACAGCTGAATTCTCACATCTGCTTCTGCATTGATTGTGTTGAGATATCACACATCATGTAGCTTCTGGGCGACTTTACTATACACACTTGTGAGAGAATGAGAGTAAAAAGAACAAATAACATATTACTAATTTTAACCTGGTATATCTCCTGAAAGGGTTTCAGGGATTCTCAGGGCTTCCTGACTATGCTTGAGAACCAGCGGTCTAATAATTGTTTAGATCCGTGTTCAACATTTTTGGTAAGAATACTTCACAGGTGAAGTGACATATCACGAGGTACATAAAGTCTATTTTCAATGATGCTCAAGTGATCAGTGTGTTCTGATGGTGACAGTCTGACCCCTCTGTTGTAAAGTTCTCAAAATAATCTTTCCTCTGATATTTATCTTTATATATATATGTTTATATATATAATATATATAAAAAAAGTTTTATTGGTTTGAATTGACACATAATTGAACCTATTTATGGGGTACATACATGTATACATGTACACATTGTACAGTAATCAGTGTAATTAGCATATTCACCTCAAACACTTGTCTTTTTGGTGACAACATTCAAAATATTCTTTTAGCTGTTTTGAACTATGTTACCATTAACTATAGTCACCCTATTGTGCAACAAAACACAAGTATTCCTCCTACCTAACTTTGTACCTGTTGATCAACCTCTGTCCATTCCCCTCCCCACACCCTTTTCCAGCCTCTGGTAATCACTATTCTACTCTCTACTTCTATGAGATCGACTTTATTTAGATTCCACATGAGTGACAAATACACATATTGTATTTGTCCTACTGTGCTGGACTTATTTCATTTTACTTAATGTCCTCCAGTTTCATCCACGTTGTTGCAAATGACAGGATTTCATTTTTTATTGGCTGAAATAGTATTCCACTTTGTATATATACCACACTAAAAAAAACCATTCATCTGTCGATGGACATTTAGGTTGATCCCGTAATCTTGGCTATTACAATTCAGCAGTTTTCTCTGTATTCAGAGTTGTGCAACCATCACAATTTTAGAATATTTTCTCCACCCTAGAAAGAAATCCTGCACCCTTGGGCGACTGCTCTCCCTTGTCCTATGACTCCTGGCCTTTGGCAACCAGTAATCTACTTTCTATGCCTATGGATTTTCCTATTCTAAACATTTCATACAAATAGAATCATATATTTGGTCTTTTTTGACTGGCTGCTTTTACTTAGCACAATGTTTTTAAGGTTCACTCATGTAGCATGCATCAGTACTCCTTTCTATTGTTGAATACTATTCCATTGTATGGATGTACAATATTTTACTTATCCTTTCTTCAGTTAATGGACATTTGGGTTGTTTGCACTTCTTGGCTATTATGAATAATGCTGTTATAAACATTTGTGAACAAGTTTTTGTGTGGACATATGTTTTCGATTCTCTTGAGTAGGTTCCTCAGAGTAGAACTGTTGGGTTATATAACTGGATGCGCAACCTTTTGAGGAACTTCAGACTGTTTCCAAAGGGGTTGCATCATTTTATATTCTTACCAGCAATGTATCAGGGGTCCAAATTTTCTGCATCTTTGCCAACACTTCTTGTATCTTTTAGATTCTAGCCATCCCTAGTGGATGTGAAACAATGTCTTTCTTTCTTTCTTTTCTCCTCTCCTTTCCTTCCCTCTCTCTCTCTCTCTTTCAAGAGGGAGTTTCGCTCTTGTTGCCCAGGCTGGAGTGCAATGGCACAATCTCAGCTCACTGCAACCTCCGCCTCCCAGGTTCAAGCGATTCTCCTGTTTCAGCCTCCCAAATAGCTCGGATTACAGGCATGTACCACCACACCCAGATAATTTTTTTGTATTTGGTAGAGACAGGGTTTCACTGTTAGCCAGGCTGGTCTCGAACTCCTGACCTCAGGTGATCCACCCGCCTTGGCCTTCCAAAGTGATGGGATTACAGGTGTGAGCCACCACGCCTGGCCTGTGTTTCTTTTGTAAGTTTTAATTTTTGTGGTTACTGAGTATGGGGTACATGAGACATTCTGACACAGACATACAATTGTATAACGATCACATCAGGGTAGACGGGGCATCCATCACTTCAAGCATTTATCCTTTGTGTTGCAAACAATATAATTATACTCAGTTATTTTAAAATGTACAATTAAACTGTTATTGACTACAGTCATCCTATTGTGCTCTCAAATACTAGATCTTATTCATTCTACTTTTTTGTACCCATTAACTATCCCCACTTCCTCCTTACCCCACCCCCCACTATCCTTCTCAGCCTCTGGTAACCATCCTTCTACTATCTCCATGAGTTCAATTGCTTTAATTTTTAGCTCCCACAAGTAGGTAAGAACATGAAAAGTTTGTCCTTCTGTGCCTGATTTTGCTTAACATAATGACCTCCAGTTCCATCCATCTTGTTGCAAATGAAAGGATCTCATTCTTTTTTATGGCTGAATAGCACTCCATTGTGTATGTGTACCACATTTACTTTATCCATTTGTCTGCTGATGGACACTTAGGTTTCTTCCAAATCTTGGCTATTGTGAATAAAACTGCAATAAACAGGGGAGTTCAGACTTCTCTTTGATATACTGATTTCTTTTTTTTTTTTTTTTTTTTTTTTTTTTTTTTTTTTTTAGGGTATATACCTAGCAATGGGATTGCTGGATCATATAGTGGCTCTATTTTTAGTTTTTTGAGTAACCTCTAAACTGTTCTCCACAGTGGCTGTATTAATTTACATTAGTCTTTATCTTCTGATTCTGTTGTTTGATTCAATTATCTTATTGGGGTGGAAAAACAGTAATATTTTAAGTCTATTATGCCTTCCATATTTATTAGCCAACATTCTTCAAGAATTTTCTTTAAATGATTTGGTTGTCCTGAAACACAATTTGTATAGAAAAAGCAAAATAAATACTTAACACTTTCCTTTAATTGTTAATTTTCACAGTAAAGAACTGGTGTGGTGTGTACCTCCAATAGAGACTACTAACTCTGGGGGACACTTTCAGTTTCTGGTTCTCATAAATGAGTACATTTTAAAACATTCAATATTTTTCATTCCACCGAAATTGTTCTTCTACTGATGATCAAATATTTTCATACTTGACCACCTGGGAACCTTTAACATTGACTCCTGTATTCTTTTAACAAATTCGTCTTTGGGCTTCCTTGCCTGCTAGCACAAGATGTTCCAGGCTCATCTTGTACATTTCCTAGTCCAAACCTGAAGTCCAAAGAGGCCTGCTTCCTTTCAAAGGGAAATAATGTTTAGAGACCACACTCCAGGTTTAGGTTCAATGCCACTGAGTTTTCGTTGCTTATAGGCTATTTCAGTGATCAGATGAGGAAATGTGTATTTTTGAAAATAATTCATGGTTTGCACTGCGTTTCCAATCCACATGTAATATAAGGTTTTTTACTTGATGTTGCTTGTTTTTTCTCTTACACTGAAAATACTGGTTTCATAATGATGTTAACATGATTACATATTTGGTTTGTTCTACAGACTCAAAAAATAATGACAACATTATTACTAGTATTACTAAAAAAAAGGTTTAAGGGTTCCTTAAAGTATTTTTTTGCCCTTGGAATATATTCTATTGCCCTTGGAATGTATTTCACTAAGAATGTATAGTCAAAATGCTGGGTAAAATCACTTGATATAATTCTTTTCTCAATGTTATGTTACTAACATTATGTTACTAATTTGACCCAGCCAGGTTTATTTGTTATATTCTACTTCAAGTTTTTGGGATTGCTCTACTTTAAAAAAATGTTTATCCTTTGGAATATACAGAATATTTACATAAAACTCAATAACAAGATCTGTTGAGAGCACTTCCATTCCTGTCTCATCTGCCTCATTTACTTCATCCCCTTCTTGGTAACCACATTCATTGTCGTTAGTTTTTGGCTTATCTTCCCTGCTTTTCTACACAAAAGAGAGCATGTAATATATGTATTTCTGCAACTTGCTTTTTATTACCTCACAAGAAAACCTGGAAATTCACTATCAAGAGATCATTCTCACCGTTTTTTTTTTTTTTTTTTTGATGTTTGCCTTCCATTGTGTGGATATAAATAATTTAACTAACCAGGGCACTACTGATGGATATTTGGATTATTTCCAATGTCCTGCTATTACAATTAATGTCCCAGTGAATCACCCTGAATGCATATCATTCCATATTTGTGCAGGTGTAATTAAAGGCTTGATTCCCTGAAATGGGATTGCTAGGTCAAAGGACAAACGCTTATAAAATGTAAGATACTGTCAATGCCTCCATAAGGACTGCACCAGTTTGTATTTCCACAGTAATGCATGAAAATGTCTGTTGCTTAACAGCTTTGACAAACAGGGTATATAGCTAAACTTGAATTCTTATCAGTGTGACAGGTGTGAATCACATGAGTATGGTTTAGAGTATTTTCCTATGTTTAAGGGCTTTTAAAATTTCTTCTATGAACTGACAGTATAATTATGCTCATTTTTCTATCAGGCTGTTCATATTTTACATTTCAATTTTTTGAAACTCTTAATAGATTAGAATCATTCATTTTTTATTTTATAAGGTGCAAACATTTTTTCACAGACTGCCACTGTCTTTTGATTTTTCTAATACTGCTTTCTTCTGTGTCATGAAGAAGTTTCTTTTGTTTATACATTGAAATTTGGAATTTATCATTTTCTTATTGTTAAGGGGATACTCTAGCTAAGACAGAAATGATGAACAGGGGGCAAGCCAAAAAAAAACAAGAATATGTGAAGGCAGAGTAACCCAGGCAAAGGGATCAGCAGCCCTGAAGTACAGTGGGCTTGGCAAGTGTCAGACATAGACAGTGTGACTTACACCTAGGCGAAGAAGAGAAGGAAACGGAACAAGTCCAGAGTGGTAGGCAGGAACAAAATCTTGGCAGAACCTAGTAAGTCATTAAAAGAAATGTAAATTTTGTTCTTAATGTAACAGAAAACCAAGAGGAAGATTAAATACAAACTATCAGCTTTATTACAACTGGGCATAAGAACCCAATTTTGGCATATTGATAACTTCAAGGTTATAAAGTAGGTACGAAAGTTATCTCTTTGGGGAGAGAATACTTGGAGAAATTACAAGGGAAAAGAAAAAAACAAGAATTGACACTTGGAAACCCACAGGGTTGGTGATCAACTTTATATCATATGAGTACTTAACATGAACTGCTTCATGCACAAAATTATTTAAAATATTATATAAAATTACTTTCAGACTGCTTGTATAAGGTGTATATGAAACAAATGAATTTTCTGTTTAGCCTTGGGCCCCATCCACAAGATATCTTACTATGTACATGCAAATATTCCAAAATAAGATAAAAATCCAAAATCTGAAACACTTCTGGTCCCAAGCATTTCAGATAAAGAATACTTAACCCATATAACAAATTTTTGTAAAAAACTGAATGGCAACAGAGGACACTAATTTCTTTTTTCTTTTTCTTTTTGCTTTATATACCTAATAATTAAGTTAGTCAAGTGACATTTTAGATAGCATTTATGGAACTTCTGAATTTAAAAAGTGCACTTTTTAAAAAAATGACATTCTTTACAAAACAGAAAAAAGAAAAATCCAGCTTATATATACTGTAACAATTTTATTTCTTCACATTCTATAATCTCACCTTATTAAAAAAGCTTTGAACAATCTCTTGATTTTCACCTGAGACAATTTTCATACAGTTCCTCAAATATATCTGATATATTCCTGCCCTGAGTTTTGATATTGTGTATTTATATTTGATATTTCTTCTGACTTAAATGCCCTGACCTTAGATCTTCATATGGAGGACTTCCTCTCATTATTCAAGTCTCAGCTCAAACTCACTTCTTTATGGAGGTCTTCCTCAACGATCTTATCTAAAATAACCTCTCAGTCACTTTTGATATCTTGCTTAGTGATTCTTTTGTAAAATTATGGGCATGCTGACAGGCATATTTGGAAAAAGTAACAATTAACTTCTGGAAATGAAAAGTATAATGACAAATTAGAAACTCAAGACACAGGTTAAATCATGATTAACATAGCTTGAAAGAGAATTAGTAAATTGGGAAATATTTCTGAATAAACTAATCATGATATTACACAGAAACAAAGAGATGGAAAATGTGAAAAGGAAGAGGTAGGGAGGATAAAATAAGAAGATCCAAAATATGTCTAAATGGATTTTGACAGGAAATAAAAGTGAGAGTAAAAATATATTTGAACAGATAATGGCTGAAAAATGTCCACAATTGATGAGATTTCTCCTTAGTTTTAGGAAACATATAACTCTTAAGTAGAATAAAGAAAGGAAATCTGCTTCCCCTGTCACCTCATCAAACTGCTTGTGACCCATGCTGCCTTGGTTGGATTGTGACCCGTGCTGCCTTGTTGGATTGCCGGAATGTAGACAGAAATGTATTGTTCTTTTTTTTAAAAAAAATGTAATTGCTACTTGGTAAGGACAGAACATTATTCTAGTTTCATGTTTAATCTGAATTAAATATATTCTGTGGCTTATATGAAGAAAAAAAAAAGAAATCTGCTTCCAAACATATCCAAGACAACCTGCAGAATACCATAAACAAAACAGGGAGAGAAAGAGTGAGAGAGAGCCCAAAAGTAGAGTGTGTAAAGTTACCTATAAGGAAAAGACTATTCGTTGGCAGTCACAACAATCATACCAAACAGATAATTATGTACCTAGAGAAAACGTCTTTTAAGAATGAAAGTGAAAAAGAAAATGAAATAAAAAAAAAAACAACAAAATCCTGAGAGTTTACTACCAATAAACCCTTATTTAAGGAATGTCTGATCCCAGAAGAACATGTGAAATATAAGAAGAAATGATAAGCAAAAGAGATGATAATCATGTATGTAATTCTCAACAAAAATTGATGATATAAAACAAATGGTTGTGTTTAAGTTGTGATGTCACAAGAAGGGAAACACAGCACACAAGGGAAACACAGCACTCAATATAGCTGTAAGTGTCAGGGCAGGTGACTCTAAATTTTTTATATTAACTATACCTTTAAAACCTTCTAAGGTAACTACAAACTTAATAGCAGTAGAGTATATAACTTCAAAGTAAGCAAAGAAAGAAAAGTGAGGAAACCCAATCCAAAAGAAAATAAGGAGGAAAAAAAAGCATAACAAGACCAAATAAACAGCAGATAAGATGGTTGAAACAAATAATTACAAGGGTAACAAATGCTACAAAACAATATAGGATATTATATAAAAATACTGTAAGAACCCCAAACTAAATATGAGTAAGAATAAGAATATCAATGTGTGTGTCTGTGTACATCCAATATGGGAGGTGTGGAGGAGGCTTTCCTAAGAAACTAATGTTTAAAAGGAGACCTGGAAAAAAAATAAGTAATATGTACTTACAAAAAAAAACTGGTTGGGGGTAGAAGGTAGCTTTTTTGTCAGTGTTCTGAGGTTCTGAGAGTGTATGACATATTTAAGAAAATGAGAAAAAGCCAATATGAAGACTAAAGAAAGAGAGACACAAGATGTGGCTGGATAGGTGGGCAGGGGCTGGTTCCTGGAGTTTAGGATTTTAGACGTTATCTAAAGGGCAATATGAAGCCATTAAAGGATTTTCAGCAGGAGAGCGTAGGCCTAGATCTGGAATTTTAAAGTATCACCTGTTTCTTCTATCCCTGCAGTCAGAGGAGGTTAGATTAGAAGGGACACATAACCATCTAGACATATGTTTTATTTTTCAGGTCGACTAAAACATGGCATCTTCCCAAGCATGGAATATAACATTTTCTTCCACATGTTTTTAGCCACAGAAAACAAAAGCTCGGCATAGAAAAACAAGATAGACAATTTCGTTAGCGGACATAGAAATTTTTTTGAACTGAACTTTAAAAACTGTTTAGTGATTTCCAAACAGAATTACAAAACTTAATTTATAAACCACATAATTAAGCATACATAACATCATAAAACTATACGTGACTCTCTTACACATAGTAACACCTACCTTAATCACAGCCAAGAAAGCACAACAGTGGTGGTGGCAGCAGCAACAAAGGATACTTAATGACAACTAAATATGCGGCTGAAATTCATATATTTTATTCAATATAGTCTCTCAAATAGTCACTTGAAGCCTACTTAGTATTAGTCCTATACATAATTTGTTAAAAAGAAATTTAAACTAGAAGTTATGGATTCCAAAGTTGACCCTACTGATAACATTTTGAAGTAATTAAAAAAAAATCTTACTCATCTCTTGCTAATTAAGAGAAAATAATCCTAAAATTTTCAAATCATTACATGGTGGTACAATAGTTAATGTCCATTATCATGACACAATGTTCCACATGGCATTTTAAAAAGTATTAAAAAGTATATTTCAGAATATTTTGCAACCAAAATGTTTAAAATGGAAAATTTCACTGCAGAAACGCCCTAAATGCAATGGTCAAGTCTCAACTCTCATTTTAGTTATCTGTGGCGTCTGAGGATGGTGAAGATTTTTAATTTAATAAATAAATCCAATATACTGTGTACCATACCAAGCAGTGGAGACACAAAAGTGAAAAAAGACAAGTTTCCTGCTCCCAAAGGCAGATAAACATGCAAACAATTACAATGCATTGAGAGGTTTACTATAATGAAAGTTCTACCAGAATATTCATCGGATCTTATGGCAGAAGACTGTATTAACAAAGTTAATGAAGTATTCCATCTCTGCCCAATCTGATCTTGTTCTGTATAGGATTGCCTATGCTTCATAGTTGTTACAGTAATGATAAAGGTCTCTAAGTTGCAAATTTCTTCTTGTACATTGGAATTTAGGAGTTTTTACTCTGGCCCTAGATTAAAACTGATATTTAAAAAATATATACTTGACACACTAATGTTATTTATATCTGTTTCTTAACTCAATGTACTAGGACAAAAAAGAATCCTGGGTATAGGCAATGCATGCCTCACCCTTCTACCACTTTCTGAGGCTCAGAGTATTTATACAAATCTAAATAATTTAAAATGCACAAAGAAATATCCTCAAATATTTGAAATGCCTGGATAGAAAGTACAATGGAGAGGAAAATAGGCATGTTTTCCTCAGGGTAACCATATTTTAAGTGAGTGTAGAGTTTGTGAAAGAGAAGGCAATGACAATGAGGAGGATGGAAACTGACTTATGAAGAACAATTAAGGAAGTTGAAAAGATTTGTAGAGTAAACAGACATTTGAAGAAACCTAATAGTTTCAACAAACATTTACAGCATTACTATGTCAAAGGACTAGAGTTTCTCATATTGTTGCAGAAAGAAAAACAAAACAAGATGGAAGAAAACCCTAAAGGTTATCATGGAAAAGGGAAGTCTTGGAGACATAATAATTTTTACAAGTATTTACAGTAAAGTAAAACGCTGTTGCAGATAAAAAAAATATAAAACAATGAGTATATTCTTCATAGATATGAGCCTAACTATTAGAGTTGTCAAAGATTTTTGGTAAATACTTATTCACTCAGAGGCTGAATTACCATCTCTTATAATATAGAATAAAAGAATCCTATATAGGGAAGGAGGCTAGGCAAGATATTCTTATAAGTATCTTTTTCTTTGCTTATTTGCCTATTCCAATATCTTCTTCTGAGACTTGTCTTTGCCTATTTTTCTTATCAGTTGTCTGTCTCACTGGCTGTAGTTTTGTTAGCTGAATGCTTTCTAGATACATCAGTTACAGATGAGGCTTGACATTTCACTTTCTTCAGTGACTTTATACTTAAGTTTTAGATTTGAGTATAGTCAAATATACAAAATTGTTGTATGGACTGTGATTCTTGCATTTTAAGAACTTCTTCCCTACTTTGAATTAAGATATTATCCTATAATTTCCTCTCTTTTAGTTTTGCTTTTCACATTTAGCTTTTAAACCCAACTAGAACTACTTTTATGAGTGGTGTAAGGTAGGGATCCGCCCCTTATCCCCCTTTTGGGTAATCAATTGCCCTGGAACTATTTATGAATACAGTATCTTTCCCCGTGATTTATAATGACATTTCTGTCTTGCACTAAGATTCCACTAATGTTTGGGAGCTTCTGGGCTTACTGATCTGTCCTACTTATTTTTATCCTGGCCAATAGCACCCTGTTTTAATTACTGCACTTAATTAATGCTGCTACGTTTAGCAAGACTTTATTTATCACCTTGACTTGGTTACTCTTGGCTCTTTAAGTCTTGCTTGCAAATTTTAGGATCAGCAAGCCACATTTAACAACAAATCCTGTCAGAATTCTGCCTGGAATGACACTGAATCTGTAAGCATCAGTCCTCACATTCATTTAAAGTATAATCATTCATTTTGCTGGTCTTCTTTTACTTCCTTCAATATATTTTTATAATATTCTCCATAAGACCTGACATAGTTTATCCATTTCATTCTTAGGCATTTCACTGTTTTTCCTGTTGTTGCAGCTATTGCAAATGTAACTTTTTTAAAACTAGATTTTCTGATTGGGTGGCTGAGTAAGGACCTCTCATCAAATGTTTAAAACTGATGATAGTGTGCATTTTTTGTGTTATCTTTTATTTTAAATCTTTAGGTTATAATGTCTTTGGTAGTGGAAGTGCCCATCTATTATTCTTTGTTTGATATTTTTATCATAAATATATCAGCTTTTGTAGAATAACTTTTTTTGTATCTATTAGGACATAATTTTTAATTTAGAAAATTAAGAAAAGTTTTCAAATGCTTAATCATCCATGCCTCCTTAGTCATTATTTATTATGTTCTTATACCTCACTTTACTCAATTTGCTGATATTTATTAAGGATTTTTGCATCTAGGTTTGTAAGTTGAAATATTTCTTTCTTTTGCTATCTTTGTCTGGTTTTCGTATCAAGATTATACCAACATTTCTTTTTTTTTCTACTCTTTGAAACAGTAGAAAAAAAGGAAAGCACAAAATAGGAATTATTTGTTGCTTTAAGAGTATATAAAGTTACCTATAAAACTATTTGGCATGGAGAATTTCATAAACTTATGGTTTATACTATCCATAAATGTATCTACATCATTTATGGATAGATTATCTATTGGATTTATGGATTGTCATCTAATTTGAATAAAGCAACTCACCAAATAAATAACTGGCTTAAATGAGTATTGCTAAAAAATTACAGAGTGAGAATAATATGAAAAATGTAAGCACTAGCAAATAGCAACATAAAAAAAGGCATAACTGACACTGCTATCACTAGTATGAGCTCTTCATTGACTATACTATGAAGTAAAAACAGTGAAATCAGGCCAAAAAAAGGTTAAATTCTTAAGGAAGCTATGTGAAATATGGGTTTATACTTTCTATCATTGTTAATGAAACTCTTCTAAAGTATATTATCATTCAATAAGATACTGGCAGTGAAGTCATCATGATTAGCAAGACATTTAAAAATTGTTTATAACAACTTTGTTTAAATCCTAAAATATTTATAGAAAGACTGGTACACATACTGTGTTAGTGGGTACATATACACACATCCATATGTACACACAAATGCATCAAAGGGTATGTGCTTCATTTTTCCTTGTTTGGTATGCAAGTAGACAAATTTTAAGAAACTACCCATCCATACCATGGCAGAATGCTTTCATAAAAGAAAATCTGATCTTGTTACTTTCAGTCTGGTAGCTTTCTATGACCCTAAGAAAAGTCAAAATTTGGTCCCTACCTACTTCTTTAGCTTCATCTACCATCACTCTTCCCCGTGCCCTCTATACCTCAAACCACATTAAACTAAATAATTTCTATCCTCAAGAAGACTAGAATCACATATGACAATAAGTCATTCAAAAACTTAAAATTATCAAGAAGACTAGTTATAGATTTATATCCACTATCACTACTCTTTCCAAACTCAGGATTTTCACATATATTTGCACTTTGTTTAGACTATTACAATAATTTAAATAATTACATGACTTGTGTTCTACATATACATGGATCTGTCTTGCCACTTAACTTCATAGAATCAAAGATCTAAGGACTGGAAATTTACTTTTAAAATGCCTTTTTTTTTTTTTTTTTGAGACAGAGTCTTGCTCTGTTGCCAGGCTGGAATGCAGTGGCGCGATCTTGGCCCACTGCCACCTCTGCCTCCCGGGTTCAAGCAATTCTCCTGCCTCAGCCTCCCAAATAGCTGGGACTACAGGCATGTGCCACCACGCCCAGCTAATTTTTGTATTTTTAGTAGAGACGGGGTTTCACCATGTTGGCCAGGATGTTGATCTCTTGACCTCGTGATCCACCCACCTCAGCCTCCCAAAGTGCTGGGATTACAGGTGTGAGCCACCATGCCCGGCCAAAATGCCAACTATTCTAACCACTCATCTGATGCTTTTCAATACCTCCAATGACAAGGCAATCAGGGAATCATTCCTTCCTTCCTTAGCAATTTCCTTAGAAATATTCTTTCTTATCTAGACCTGAAATCTGTTTCCCTCTAACCTCTAGCTAGTGATCCTAACTCAACTCACTGGACCATTCACAGAAAACTCAGTCCTACGTTACTGTAACAGCCATACAAGTATTTATAGATCACTATCACGTTACTTCTAAGGCTTCTTCTGTGGTGATGAGGAACGGGGGGTAGACAGTGCGGTGAGAGTAGTATTTGAGAATCTTTCATGAGTTTGTTACTAAATATTTAATTCTCACATTGTTCCAATGGGTCCATTATTATTATGGCCAAATTACAATTGAAGAAATTAAAGGTCTGACAGGTAACATTACTTGTTCAAGTAACTTAAGTAAGTAGCAGAGCTGGGATTTCAACCACTAGTCTGTCACATACCAAAGCCTATGTTCTAGTCTCTTCAGAAATCCCCAAAAGGAGAGGAGATATAAGGGAATATAAGGCATGGAAAAGCAAATAAAAAAAATTCTAAAAATCCTCTATTTTCCGAGTTCCAAAATTCTAAGTACTGATATTTTTTTCCTTAAGCCTTCACAGGTGTCCAACCCTTTGATTGTGAGGATTTTTTTTACCCATCTGTGGTGGCAGATATCATAAAAATAACACAGGGAACCCCCCCACCGGCTTTTTAAAGCTCATCAGCTATAGTCAGTGTGTTAGTGTATTTTATGTGTGGCCCAACACAACTCTTCTTCTTCCATTGTAGCCCGGGGAAGCCAAAAGGTTGGACACCCATGCGATATCATAGTTATCTTTTGACATTTCTTTCCCTATCTTATAAGCTATTATCTTAAAATCTGTCAGATATTGTCACATAAATACTTGCAACCTAGTATTAGGGAACAAAAAAGGAATAATTATTCCCATATTTCAGCCCCTCTAAATTTTAATCTGATTTACACACTGAAAAGACTGTATCTTCAAACACTAACTAGTATATTCTTCTTTTTTTTTAAGAGACAGAGTTTCGCTCTTGTTGCCCAGGCTGGAGTGCAATGGTATGATCTCGGCTCACGGCAACCTCTGCCTCCTGGATTCAAGCAACTCTCCCGCCTCAGCCTCTCGACTAGCTGGTATTACAGGCATGTGCCACAGTGCCCGGCTAATTTTGTATTTTTAGTAGAGATGGGGTTTCTCCATGTTGGTCAGGCTGGTCTTGAATTCCTGACCTCAGGTGATCCACCTGCCTCGGCCTCCCAAAGTGCTGGGATTACAGGCGTGAGCCAGCGCGCCTGGCCTAACTAGTATATTCTTCTTAAGAGCCCCAAACTAACATCACTGCCTTCTGGAATCAAATTTAATGATGACTTTTTTCTTATGGCTTCAAAGACTGACAATACTATTCCTAGTCCATATTAACAAAAGCTACCTAAATTGTCCTTTGTTCTGATAAACACTTAAGTCCTTCGCACACACTTAAAAGGCTCTTCTTCTTGCCTTTCCTCTGTGAAGTTATGGTTCTCTTTTAATTAAACTCTATAAGTCCAACATGGTCTTCATCATTCAGGTTCCTTATGACCAATGTTTCTCCATATAGTTAGTTACATGATAACATTATATTTGTCACAGACATTCCATTTCCTCTGTTCCAAGTTATATTATAAACAACTGGAAGATAAATAATCTATTTTTTTCTCACTTAAATACAAAAAAAACGAACAAGCAAGTGCTTACTGTTTTCAGCTTTCCACTATAAAAATAATTATTTCTTATAAAAATCTATTTATATCCTTTGTTTATATGCTTTATTTTTAAGCTGTTTATTAGGATACACTTTATTGCAAAAGGAGTTGAGAGCAACTCAGATTTTCTCTTTTATAAACAAAGATGCAAGTACAAAAGCTGTAAATAGGTACTTCTCTCCAGCACATATTACATAAGCAAATTAAAAGTCATATTACATCCAAAATAAATTTCCCTATGAATATAAAAAGTTATAAATATACATTTAACGATATAAAACATCAAATTATATATTAAATGCACACAAAAAATCTTACCTTGCTGAGTATTTTGTTCTTGCATTCGATTCACAGTGAGGTCTAAGGGGCCTTCCTGCTCTTCCTGAAGGGAGTTTTCTGCTTGATTCATTTGGATACTTTTACATACTATACTTGGTCCAATTGAACCATTTCTATTCTCTTGAGTTTTACCACTTTTTGAAATGTACTCAATCGCAAATTGACGTATCATCTTTTTCATTAATTCCTGAGCAACTAGGGGAATGTTAGGATCACAGTTCTGAGGAAGATCTAGGGAAGAAATAAATATAATAATCATTTTAAAAAGAGAAAGGCAAATCACCAACATTTAAATTTATTTTTATTACAAATTAATGACTTCAGAAGTCTTTTAGCATCAGTCCATAACTCCCAATGTTTTCTGGGAATTAGCAATAAAAGCTTTGTAGATTTAATCAGCTTTATAATAATATATCAACCAAAAATGTGGCATATTTAATTACTTCTTACAATTAAACATTCTCTGGTCCCAAACTAAAATACAAATAAAGAATTAGACATAGAAGCGGAACAACTTATTCTCAAGAGTTTTAATATTCATTCAGATATATTTTACTAGACATTAAAACACTCAGTATGTGAATATAAATTGTATAAGTAACCAATTTTTATCCTAATATACAATGTGCATGCATTAACTAGGAAAACGTCTAAATTCTTATAATTCTGTATCCATTAAATTCAATTCTATAAAATGTGCATTTCATATATAACCTGAATTTCATCATCAAGGATTTTCTTTTGATTTTTTATATAGAAAAATTTTGATTATAAATAAAAAATGAAAGAATAGTACAATGACATAGCTTCCACTAATATTCAAGAACTGTCACTAGTCTGCCAAATTAGCTTTCTTTTTACTTTATTTTTATTTGTAGAACCACTGAAACTGTAGAATAATTACAATTTACTTCTAAATATTTCAGCACGGATATCCTAAGATACTTCTGTAAAATGAGAATATCACTGAGAGTTTTAACCAAAACATTTTGATCAAGTACAACTATAATAAAGTTCAACAGTAATAATACAACTCTGTCTGAAACTTATATAATTGGTAAAACAACTGAATGATTTTAGTAAGAAGTGTGGGATAAGAACAGATCACTTATATACACAGTGCACAATAGCGATACAGAGATTTAGTATTGGGGGTGGTGGCTTTTACACACACATTTCTGGTTTGGCTCCATTCCCTTTATTTATTCTGCCCCTTTAGATGTAAGGTGATTGGTAAATTGGGAAAGATGACTAGAGAAACTTGTTTTTTGAGTAGGGATATACTTTTTCCTCTTAGAAACGGGCCTACTTGTAGAGATACTAGTTCTCTACTCCTTAAATGTCTAAACCCTTACTCAGGTAGATCAGTGTTATATGAATAGGCTTTCTCTGATCCATGGCTGTCAGAGACTGAAGTGGAAGTCTCCCTAGTTTTGTGTTTCAGTATTAGTTAAAATACTTGTCTAAAAGACTTAAAGAGAAGTCTTCCAAACAGCATCTATCATTAGTTGGTCCATGGCTGTAAAATACAAGAAGGTTTCAAAATACACTATTTGGAGGTGAGGAGAGGCAACAAACCCACTCTCACCACAACTATTGTCACATTTGGTAGCAAAACATGACTTAAGCTGATATAAGCTGGTCCTGCATAACTGTCAATATATTTGATCACAGGGTGCTATCTCAGACTTGTTGGAGATATTACAAAACATTGTATTACCTGTTTCAAAACAAATAATTTTGAATTCTGAAAAACATCTGAAAGAGGGAACTATGGGCCTATAAGAAAAATACAATTTTATCCTTCACTTCCATTGTTTGTTTAGAACCTGATAGGAAAGAGGGACACTATTCGTTTTGGGGCAGTGGCGTAAAAGACCTAGCTATAGTTTGGGATCTTAGCCATCTTTATGAACTTAGGCTAGTTACATATTCTCTCCATGCCTCAGTTTCTACATTCATTAAGACAGAAATAATAATAGAACCTGGGATACTATTTATGGGGCTTGCTCACTGGATGCTGTAAGGATTATATGAGATTGTAGATAAAATACTTAACTCTGTACTTGGCATATTAATAGTCCAGTAAATGTTAGCTGTTAGTAGAAATAATATGACAAAAAAAAAGATGCAGGCTGAGCACTTATATTTTATTTAAATCACCAAATGGCAAATAAGTAAAAGTACGAGGGGTCTTCAAAGTTCATGGAAAACGCATATTATAAAAAACCTATGCATAGGTTTCAAAAATGTTTTGCACCAAAATAAACTACTAACTTGTTATAACATGTGTAAACGGCATCTAGTTTGAGGCACTAAGAAGGATAAGACATCAGTCTGAAAACATCCAGTATCAGTGCAACATGAGTTCTGCTAAAATTGAAGCAAGAACAAATATTAACTACACGGTAAAGCTTGGGTGGAAGAATGGTAAAATCACTGGTAATTTTGAAAAAGCTTATGAGGATAATGGCCTAAAGAAATCAGCAGTTTAAAAATGGATAACTTGGTCGTTGGCAAAGTCTGAGTCCTGTCCTCTCACTCTCCTCCCTGGACAGCATGAGCTTCACCACTTGCTCCACCTTCTCCACCAGCTACTGTTTCCTGGACTCCGTCCAAGCGCCCAGCTATGGTGCCTGGCTGGTCAGCAGCGTGGCTGGCGTCTATGCAGGTGCCGGGAGCTCTGGTTCCCTGATCTCCATGTCCTGCTCCACCAGCTTCCAGGGCGGCTTGAGGTCCGGGGACCTGGCCGTGGGGATGGCCGGGGGTCTGGCAGGAAAGGGAGGCATCCAGAACGAGGAGGAGACCATGCAAAGTCTGAATGGCCAGACCATGCAAAGCCTGAATGACTGCTTGGCCTCCTACCTGGACAGAGTGAGGAGCCTGGAGACCAAGAACTAGAAGTTAGAGACCAAAATCTGGGGGCACCTGGAGAAGAAGGGACCCCAGGTCAGAGACTGGAGCCATTACTTCAAGACCACCAAGGACGTGAGGGCTCAAATTTTCGCAAATACTGTGGACAATGCCCGCATTGTTCTGCAGATCGACAATGCCCGTCTTGCTGCTGATGACTTTAGAGTCAAGTATGAGACAAAGCTGGCCGTGCGCCAGTCTGTGGAGAGCAACATTATGGGCTCCTGCAAGGTCACTGATGAAACCAATGTCACTTGGCTGCAGCTGGAGACACAGATCGAGGCTCTCAAAGAGGAGCTGCTCTTCATGAAGAACCATGAAGAGGAAGTAAAAGGCCTACAAGCCCAGATTGCCAGCTCTAGGGTGACTGCGGAGGTAGATGCCACTAAATCTCAGGACCTTGCCAAGATCATGGCAGACATCTGGGCCCAATACGATGAGCTGGCTCAGAAGAACCGACAGGAACTAGACAGGTTACTGGTCTCAGCAGATTGAGGAGAGCACCACAGTCATCACCACACAGTCTGCCGGAATTGGAGCTGCTGAGATGGTGCTCGTGCAGCTGAGACTTACAGTCCAGTCCTTGGAGATGGACCTGGACTTGATGAGAAATCTGGAGGCCAGCTTGGAGAATGGCCTGAGGGAGGTGGAGGCCTGCTATGCCCTGCAGATGGAGTAGCTCAATGGGCTCCTCCTGCACCTGGAGTCGGAGCTGGCACAGACCCGGGCAAAGAGGCAGCACCAGGCCCAGGAGTACGAGGTCCTGCCAAACATCAAGGTCAAGCTGGAGGCTAAGATCGACACCTGCTGGAAGATGGCGAGGACTTCAATCTTGGTGATGCCCTGGACAGCAGCAATTCCATGCAAAACATCCAAAAGACCACCAGCCACCGGATAGTGGATGGCAAAGTGGTGCCCGAGACCAGTGACACCAAAGTTCTAAAACATTAAGCCAGCAGAAGTAGGGTCCGCTCTGGGGAGGAGGAGGCCAATAAAAAGTTCAGGGGTCAAAAAAAATGGACAACTCATTTTAAAGGATGAGATGATGTTGAAGATAAAGCCTGCAGTGACGGAACATCCGCATCAATTTGTGAGGACAAAAATCCATTTTGTTTGCATCCCAACTGAAGAGGACTGGTGATTAACAACAGGAATGACAGTCAACACCACAGACATCTTGACGGACGTTAGCTTACACAATTCTGACTCAAAAATTAAAGCTGAGATTTCCACTCAATGGGTGCCAAGACCATTGCGACCAGATCAGTTGCAGACAACAGCAGAGCTTTCAATGAAAAATTTAAACCAGTGGGTTCAAGAGAAGCATGTCTTCAAAGAATTGTAAAAGGTGATGAAACACGGCTTTACCAATATAATCCTGAAGATAAAACACAATTAAAGCAATGGCTACCAAGAGGTGGAAGTGGTCAAGTCAAAGCCAAAGCAGACCGGTTAAGAGCAAAGGTTATGGCAACAGTTTTTTGGAATGTTCAAGGCATTTTGCTTTTGACTTTCTGGAGGCCCAAAGAAATAACGTCTGTTTATTATAAGAGTGTTCTGAGAAAGGCAGCCAAAGCTTGAGCAGAAAAATGCCCAGGAAAGCTTCACCAGGGTGTCCGCCACAACAATGCTCTTGCTCATTCCCTTCATCAAACAAGGGCAATATGGCAAGAGTTATGATGGGAAATCATCAGGCGTCCACCTTACAGTCCTCATTTGATGCCTTCTAATTTTTTTGTTTCCTAATCTTAAAAAAACTTTAAAGGTCACCCATTTTTCTTCAGTTAATAACGTAAAAAAAATTGCATTGACATGGTTAAATTCCCAGTTCTTTCCAGTATGGACTAAATGGCTGGTATCCTTGCTTACAAAAGTGTCTTGAATTGGATGGAGCTTATGTTGGGAAATAAACTTTGTATTTTTTATTTCTACCTTTGAATTCCATTTTTCCACGAACTTTTTAAAGTCCCCTCATATTTGTTAACTTCGTAACTGGAAAAATATAAAAGACATACTTTATAAACCCATGTGATACTTTTTTAGTCCAAACTAGATTATATTAGCACATGTAACCTAACTAAAGTGCATTATCAAAACAAGAAATATCCATGTTGCAGAAAGGATTTCAAAGATATACCATTGCTTGATGATTATCTTTAGAAATCTTTGAAGGCTTCTATGAACATTCTTCTTCACCTTTTTTCAAATCTAATCTTGCTTTGTATTATGTATTTAAAGGAGATACCAGCTTTACTTTTAGGTATTTTAGCTAACTGTCCTGAATTGTATTACTAACATCATCACTTTATCAATTCAATATGATTATATCTGTCATAAAGGACAGACATTATTAGACCCATATCATGTGACTAGGGCTATACTTTAGGATTGAATTTACAGCAAAGTTTAAAGCACAATACATAGTGCTACTCTGTTTTATTCACCCACTCACTTTTTGTCCCTTTATACTATATTGTGGAATAAGTCCATGTTTGAGACCAAAGGACCTGGCAAAAGAGAGGGAGCAAAACAGACAGACAGACAAAGAGAATGCTTCTCAGCTGCTGACTGGTTAGTCAGCCTCTTAAATCACTTGCACAAGTTGTCATAACTACAAAAAAGCAAATAACTGAAGATCTAGATGTAGGTTAGGAATTGTAAACTCAAATTTTTACAAGGATCAGGCTAGTAGTAAACATTTGCCTAGAAGAATGTTGCCACCCGGAAATAGGGTTTACTGCCCCCTATCAGACAAGAACAATTATTTTTTGCCTTATTTCTTCACTTCCCAAAGTTAACTAATTTAAAAAGACCTGTGTGGCTGCTGCTTCAAGATGGTCCTCAATAATTCCTGCCTCCTGATATAACACTGCTGTGCAATACCCTCTTAGCCTCCATGTTGTATCATGGGTGGTCTGTGTAACCAATAGCGTACTGCCCAAGTATTTGTCACTTTGGAGATTATGTTATAAATGAATGAAGTTTTCATACTGGACACTGATGAACATTGATGCTCCTGGTTGTTTTCTCTTTTGCCCCTCTTCTCCCCTCCTTTTATTTTCTCTTTCTCCCCTTCTGTTTCCCTCCTCCTCTATCTCCTTCTCCCCTTCATTTGTCTATCCCTTCATCTCTCTCTCTCTCATCACTCCAGAGAAAGCCATAACTATGAGCAGTCCCATGAGGTGGCTCATGTGAAGAAAGATGGAAGCCTCCTGCAAGCAGCCAAATGTGTGGACTTGCAAGACATTCTACAGCAATCAAATCTCCTATGACCACAACCCAGCTCACTCCTTGATTGTAGCCTCATGAACAAGTGAGCCAAAACCAACTAGCTGAGCAATTCTCAGGTTACTGACCCCAGAGAAAATATGAAATAATAAATGTCTGTTGTTTGAAACTCAATTTTGAAAGTAATCTGTTATAGAGTCATAAATAATATAGATTTTGGTGCATATTAGTGGGATGCTGCTGTAATAAAAAACTGAAAAGGTAGGTGTCACTTTCAAACCAGGAAGTGGCCTTTGGGAATAGTATTAATGAAAGTCTGAAGTAACTTCAATAAGCTGTTAATAGCCACAGCCTTTAAGAAGGCTGCAGAGTAAGAACCTCTAGAAAAATGAGGTAAATATTACTGGAATTATGTAATGGGAGAGTTTCACAACACTATTATCTTCAGTAACTTAGGAAGTAGAAAATGTGTCCAATGAATTGGATGATCTATCTAGGGAAATATCTAAGCAAAGTGTGAAAGGTGGCCCCTGGTTTCTTCTAGTTAATTAAAGTGCAAAAAGAAAGAGATAAAATCAAGGAAGAACTGTGATATGGTTTAGATGTTTGTCCCCTCTAAATCTCATGTTAAAATGTGATTCTGAATGTTGAAGTTGGGGTCTGATGGGAGGTGATCGGATCATGGTGAAACCAACCCAACTGCCCCCACAGACTGTTCTTTTTGATAAACATAGAAATTGCCCCTTCTGGTCTTAAAAAGCTTGAAACTTGTATTTGTTTTATCTGAGTTCCTTCCTCAGAAAAGAACCTTCAGGCCTCTCAAAGAAAGTATCAAAGAACTGAAACTCACCAGATGATGGCACCACATCATGAATCCCTCATTCACCATGATTGCGTCCTTGACCCTTCCCTAATTTTTGTTTTCTTACACACTGTTACGTTTCTCCCCTGCTATACAAACTCTTAGTTTTAGTCAGGCAGATGGATTTGAGACTGAGCGCCCATCTCCTTGGCTGCAGCAACTGATTAAAGCCTTCCTTGGCAATAACTGTTGTTTCAGTGATTGGCTTTCTGTGAAGCAAGCATCAAGACCTACATCAAACCACTGGTGTTTTGGTAATAATGGGGCAGATCCCTCATGAATGACTTAGCCCCATCCCCTTGCTGATAAGTGAGTTCTCCCTCAGTCCACGTGAGATCTGGTTGTTTAAAAGTCTGGGACCTCCTCTCTCTTTTTCTTTTGCCATGTGATGTGCTGGCTTCTGCTTTGCTTTCTGCCATGATTGTAAGCTTCCTGAGGTCCTTACCAGAGCTGAGCAGATATTGGTGTCATGCTTGCACAGACTTACAGACTGCAAAAGCATGAAAGCATGAGCCAATTAAATGTCTTTTTTTTTTTTTTTTTTTTTTTTAGATAGTGTCCCCGTCACCCAGGCTGGAGTGCAGAGGCATGATCTTGGCTCACTGCAACCTCCACCTCCCGGGCTCAAGCAATTCTCATGTCTCCATCTCCCGAGTAGCTGGGATTACAGGCATGTGCCACCAAGCCCAGCTAAGTTTTGTATTTTTAGTAGCGGCTGGGTTTTGCCATGTTGGCCAGGCCAGTCTGAAACTCCTGGCCTTAAGTGGGCTGCCTGCCTTGGCCTCACAAAGTACTGGCGTGAGCCACCATGCCTGGCCAAAGCTCTTTTCTTTATAGATTACTCAACCTCAGGTATTTCTTTTTTTCTTTTCTTTTCTCGAGACAGTCTCACTCTGTCACCCAGGCTGGGGTGCAATGACAATCTCGGCTCATTGCAACCTCTGCCTCTTGGGTTCCAGCGATTCTCCTGCCTCAGCCTCCTGAGTAGCTGGGATTACAGACATGTGCTACTGCGCCCAGCTAACTTTTGTATTTTTAGTAGACGGGGTTTCACCACGTTGGCCAGGCTGAGTTTTTTTTGTTTTGTTTTGTTTTTTTTTGAGAAGGAGCCTCGTTCTGTCACCCAGGCTGGAGTGCAATGGCACGATCTTGGCTCACTCTGCCTCCTGGGTTCAAGTGATTCTCCTGCCTCAGCCTCCCCAATAGCTGGGATCACAGGGGCCTGCCACCACGCCCGGCTAAGTTTTGTATTTTTAGTAGAGATGGGGTTTTGCCATGTTGGCCAGGCTGACCTTGAACTCCCGACCTCAGGTGATCTGCCCGCCCTGGCCTCCCAAAGTGCTGGGATTACAGGCATGAGCCACTGCGCCAGCTGAGATATTTCTTTATAGCAATGCAAGAGCAGCTTAATGCAGACTGTTAAACAAAGAGACAGCAGGTTTTGATTGTTTTGAAAATTCTCAGTCTATACAGAAAGCAAATGATGCCAACATTAAGAAATGCTTATTGAGCTAAGATTAAATCAGGAAAACAGCTAGGAAAATATACTTCAGAAAGGTGACTGGTTGTCTTCCAGTTTTGACACTTAATGTTGTGGGTCTCTTGCGGGTTGTTGTTGCTGTTTTGCAGGGTGGGAGGCGGAATGCAACTTCATTAAACAAAAGAACTCTGGGAATTAACCAAAAGCTTATAGCCATCAAGGAATGTCTATTAAAGAAAATCAGCTGAATCTCAAAATCAACTGAATCTCAGTAAGTACAGCAAGCTATCATGGCACTTTAAATTGCACTATCCTTCCTTTGCGCTGAAGTTACAGGTTAACAAAAACAAAACAAAACAAAACAAAACAAAACAAAACATCACTGAAACAAACAATTGCACTATTCTCAGC
This sequence comes from Homo sapiens, assembly GCF_000001405.40. Taxonomy (NCBI): domain Eukaryota; kingdom Metazoa; phylum Chordata; class Mammalia; order Primates; family Hominidae; genus Homo; species Homo sapiens. The sequence continues at coordinate 17,918,009 of NC_000004.12, forward strand.
CTTCCTCCTCAAGACACATGGAGCCCCCATGGCAAACACTGAGAGTCTTACGATTGTAGACGTATGAGGAAACATCTGTTCAATCATTAGTTGATTGATCACTAAGCTAACTAGGTGAAGATGTCAGTGGGCACAGAATACAAAGAATACTATCTTCACAGAATTAGTTTAGAAAAGTCGCTAAACAAAGAATAACAACAATGACACAGCAACAACAAACCTTGGGGTGGAGGATAATCTGATTTCCTGTTATCACGCTGTATTATTTTAAATATTTTGTTTTTAAACAAAACATTATGGGACATGCAAAGACATAAAAACGTACCACACATGGGGGAAAAAGTCCACAGAAAATGTCTCTGAGAAAGCCCATATATTGAACTTATTAGACAAAAAAAACTTTAAATCAGACATTTAAAATAGGTTCAAAGAATGAAAGGAAACCATGTATAAACAACTAAAGTATGAGGAGAATATTTTACTAAATAGGCAATTATATAAAGTTATAATAAAGAACCAGACAGAAATTGTGATGTTGAAAAGTATACAAATTAAAATGAAAAATTCACTAGATATACACTGGTAGATTTGACCTGGCAGAAAAAAGAACCAATCAACTTGAACATAGGCAGGTTGAGATCATTCAGTCTAAGGACAAAGATGCAGAGGGTAGGTAAACAAGTAGGTGAACAGAGCCTCAGAGACCTGTGGGACACCAATCAAATGTATCAAGATTTGCAAAAGGTATTCCCAAAAGGAAAGAAGAGACAAAAGTAGAAAAAATATTTGAAAAAAATGGCAATGCCCCCAATTTGAAGAAAACATTTATTTACACATCTAAGAAGCTCAACAAATGCCAAGCAGAATAAACTCAGAGATCACATTTAGATGCATCCTAATCAAACCAAAGACAAAGAATAAATTTTGAAAGCAGCAAGAAAAAAAAGTAAAATAAAGTCATCACAAGTAAGGGACTAAACAAACCTTTAGCTAAACAGACCAAGAAAATAACTAAAGAAGGCCTGAGTTATTTTCTAAAACCAGAAATGAAAGAAGATATATCACTACTGATCTTAAAAAAACACAAAAGATTATCAGAAAATACTATAAAAAACAGTACACCAATAAATTAGATAACCTAGATGAAATGGCCAAATTCCTAAGAGGACACAAACTACCAAATTGACTCAAGAAGTAACAGAAAATATGAATAAATCTGTAAAAAGCAAAGGGACTGAATTCATAACCAAAAATTTACCCCAAAGAGAGGCCCAGGAACAAATGGCTTCAATGGTAACCTCTACCAGATATTTAGAGAGAAATTAATCCCAATCCTTAAAAGCTCTTTAATAAAATGGAGGAAACACTTTCAACTCTATTTAAGGGTCAATATTATCCTGATATCAAAACTAGAGAAAGCAAAACTATCAAATAAAAAAAACCTATCCATTAGTAATACACATATTAGATATTGCAGGTTCAGTTCCAGATGACTGGAAAAAAGTGAGTATTGCAATAAAGACAGTCACAAGAATTTTTTGCTTTCCCAGTACCTATAAAAGTTATGTTTACACTATAGCCTATTAAGTGTGTAATAGCACTATGTCTAAAGAAGTACCCATATCTGTGGTATAATGCTACATATTGGTTCTCATCCATGTTTCTTGGATCATAACTTCCACAGCCCTTGTTACAGTCTTTTATTAGGGTGTTGTGTTGGGTGTGTTAGGTCTCAGGAGCAGGCCCCAGGAAATAGAATCTCTCCTGCCCTCCTTTCACCTGCCCTGAAGTAGGACTCCAATTCCCTGCCTTTCTAACTGTGGGTCTTAAGACCATCCTTAGAGATGGTCTTGCCCTATACTCTGGAAGACAGAATGCTGATGTCATGAAGCTTCCATAAAAACCCAAGAGGGCTGGGTTTGGGAGGTTCCAGATAGTTGAACATGTGAAGTGCCCTGGAGGGTGGCACACCCAGGGAGGGCATGGAAGCTCCACACTCCATTCCCCATGCCTTGCCCTGTGCATCTCTTCATCGGTATCCTCTGTAATATCCTTCAGAATAAGCCAGTTAAGTGTTTGCTTGAGTTCTATGAGCCATTCCAGCAAATTAATCGAACCCAAAGAGGGGGTCATGGAACCCCAACTTGAAGCCAGTCACCCTGTGAGATGTAACACTATCTCCAGGTAGATAGTATCAGAATTGAATTAGAGGGCACCCAGGTAGTAAGCACTGCTTGGTATGTGGGGAAAACCATCCAGGCCTCTGGTCACAGAAGTCTTTTTCTGCATTATGGTGGTATGGAAATAGAGGAAAAAACGCAGACATTGACAGAGTTTTTCCTGACCAAATACCTTAATTTAAGAATACCTTATTGTTAAAAATTTCTAACAATCATCTCAACCTTCAGCAAGTGGTAATCTTTTTGCTGGTGGAGGGCTTTGCCTCAATGTTGACACCTGCTGAATGCTCAGGGTGATGGCTGCTGAAGGGTGGGGTGGCTGTGGCAATTTCTTACATTAAGACAACAATGAAATTTGCCCACTGATTGATTCTGCTTTCAGGAAACATTCCTCTGTAGCATGTGATGCTATTTGATGGCATTTTACCCCAAGTAGAACTTCTTTCAAAATTGGAGTTAATCCTCTCAAACCCTGCCACTCCTTTATCAACTAAGTTTATGCGATATTCTAAATCCTTTGGTGTCATTTCAACAATGCTCACAGCATCTTTGCCAGAAGTAAATTCCCTCTCAGGAAAGCACTTTCTCTGCTCATCCATAAAAAGCAACTCTTCATCTGTTAAAGTTTAAACATGAGATTGCAGCAATTCAGTCACATCTTCAGGCTCTACTTCTCTTTCTAGTTCTCTTGCTGTTTCTACCACATCTGCAGCTGCTTCCTCTTGAAGTCCTCAATGTTATCTATGAGGGTTGGAATCAACTTTTTCCAAATCAACTTCTTCTGTTAATTCTGATATTCTGACTTCCTCCCATGAATCAGTAATGTTCTTTTTTTAATTTATTTTTTATTTTTTGAGACAAAGTCTCACTCTGTTGCCAGGGTGGAGGGCAGTGGCGCAATCTCGGCTCACTGCAACCTCCACCTCCTGGGTTCAAACGATTCCCCTGCCTCAGCTTCCCGAGTAGCTGGGACTACAGGCACACACCACCACACCTGGTTGATTTTTTTTTTGTATTTTAGTAGAGACAGGGTTTCACCATGTTGGCCAGGATGATCTCAAACTCCTGACATTGTGATCTGCCCCCACCTTGGCCTCCCAAAGTGCTGAGATTACAGGCGTTGAGCCACCGCACCCAACCGAATCAGTAATGTTCTTAATGGCATTTAGTGAATCCTTTCTAGAAGCTTTTCAATTTACCTTGTCCAGATCTATCAGAGGAATCACTATCCATGGCAGCTACAGCCTTAAAAAATGTATTTCTTTTATAATAAAACTTGAAAGTAGAAATTACTCCTTGATCCATGGGCTACAGAATAGATGTTCTTGTTTTCAGGGCATGAAAACAACATTAGTATCCTTGTATATCTCCATCAGAGCTCTTAGGTAATCAAGTGCATTTTCAGTGAGCTATAATATTTTGAAAGGAATTCTTTCTTCTGAGTGGTAGGTCTCAACAATGGATGTGATGGTTAATATTCAACTTGACTGGAATGAAGGATGCAAAGTATTGTTCCTGGTTGTGTCTGGGAGGGTGTTGCAAAGGAGATTAACATTTGAGTCAGTGGACTAGGAGAGGAAGACCCACCCTCAGTCTGGGTGGGCACCATATAATCAGCTGCCAGTTAGGCTAGGATAAAAGCAGATAGCGGAATGTGGAAAAATTAGTCTGGCTAAGTCTTCTGGCCTCCATCCTTCTCTCGCGCTGGATGCTTCCTGCCCTCGAACATCAAACTCCCAAGTTCTTCAGCTTTTGGACTCTTGGACCTACACCAGTGGTTTGACAGGGGCTCTCAGGCTTCTGACCACAGACTGAAGGCTGCACTGTCGGCTTCCCTACTTTTGAGGTTTTGGGACTCAGGCTGGCTTCCTTACTCTGCAGCTTGCAGACAGCCTATTGTGGGACTTCAACTTGTGATTGTGTGAGTCAATACTCTTCAATAAACTCCCTTTCATATATACATCTATCCTATTAGTCCTGTCCTGACTAATACAGATTTTGGTACCAGGAGTGGTTCTAGAGGAATAGAACTTTAAAGATGGAGTTTTTAAGTTGGTTTTGGGGTTTCTGGAATTGGCTGCTTAATATGATTAGACCCAAAAATGTTAAGGACTCTACTTCTAAAAGTATGGAGAACACTGATAGTCCTTGGCATGAACTGTTTAAAGAGTTAGGTAAAATAAATGCATTTGATACTCCTGATTCACTGCTTGTGAGAGGCAAGTTTAGTGACTCTATACATAATACATTTGACCATATGTAAAGAACCAAGGAATATAATGAAGTCGGTTGGTTGCTCCTAAGTTCACTAGAGAAAGTGATGAAAGAAAACTATGAACTCAGGGATTCTATCTCCCGGCTCAAGAGGAACATACTGAGTCTCAATCTTCTAAGATTGCCCTGAGTGACAGTTTTATCTCCTGTCAAGAAAGAGCTGAAATTGTGGAAAATCAGACACAAGCTCTTATCATGCGAGTGGCTGACCTTCAACAAAAGGTGCACACACAGCCTCGCAAGGTATCTAGTGTTAAAGTGAGGGCAGTGACTGTAAAAGAATGGGGCCTTGCAAATTGGAATGGGGACTTGTGGGAGAAACCTGATGAGGCTGGGAACACTGAGCTCCTAAATTCTGATGAGCTTTTAGTCAGAGGAAACAGCCTCCCCACTCCCAGTGGTGTCAACATCCCCAACACATCCCTTCCCCAACCTGGGCAGCCATCAGCATTTCCACCTTTGTCTGAGGAGATTAATCGTGCACTGCCTGAGGCAAAAGTGATGGCCCCCCCAAGGCAGCTTCCAGGAAAGACAGTGACGATTCTCCTCAGGACCCAACCCCAACACCCCTGTTTGCTTCTAGACCTATAACTAAAGTCCCGGCAGGCCCCTAGAGGTGAAGTTCAAAGTGTGATCCATGATGAGGTGTGCTACACTCCAAAATAACTGCTTGAGTTTTCTAACTTATATAAGCAGAAATCTGGAGAACAGGCATGGAAATGAAAATATTAAGGGTGTGAGATAATGGTGGAAGAAACATAAAGTTGGATCAGGCTGAATTTATGGATTTAGGCTCACTAAGCAGGAATTCTGCATTTAATGTTGCAGCTTGGGGAGTTAAAAAAGGTTCTAATAGTTTATTTGCTTGGTTAGCTGAAATATGGATTAAATATGGGCTCAAGGCCAGGTACAGTGGCTCATGCCTATAATCCCAACACTTTGGAAGGCCAAGGCAGGCGGATAATTTGAGGTCAGGAGTTCGAGACCAGCCTGGCCAACATGGTGAAATCCCATCTCTACTAAAAACACAAAAATTAGCCGGGTGTGGTGGCGGGTGCCTTTAATCCCAGCTACTTAGGAGGCTGAGACAGGAGAATCGCTCGAACCCGGGAGGCGGAGGTTGCAGTGAGCCGAGATTGTGCCACTGGACTCCAGCCTCGGTGACAGAGTGAGACTCAATCCCCGTGCCCCACCCTCCCCCAAAAAAAGATGGCCCTCTGTGAGCGAGCTGGAAATGCCTGATCTTCCTTGGTTTAATGTAGAGGAAGGGATCCAAAGGCTTAGGGACATTGGGATGTTAGAGTAAATTAGTCACTTGAGACCCACTCATCCCAGCTGGGAGGGTCCAGAAGACATACTCTTGACCAATACTTTGCAAAATAGATTTACAAGGGCAGCACTGCGTCTTTCCCGAATTTCTTTGTCACCAATTTCCCAATCATGATTCTTCCAAGTCCATGCAGTGTGGGCTTTCCCTTCCAAGTCTAGGAAGGGAAATCTTCCTAGTGGGCAGAACTTCGAGCAGTGCAACTCGTTGTGCACTTTTCTTTGAAGGAGAAATGGCCAGACGTGTGATTATATACCGATTCACGGGCTGTAGCCAATGTTTTGGCTAGATGGTCATGGACTTGGAAGAATCATGATTGGGAAATTGGTGACAAAGAAATTTGGGAAAGATGTTGTGTGGCTGGACCTCTCTGAGTGCTCAAAAATTGTGAAAATATTTATATCTCATCTGAGTGCTCACCAATGGGTGACCTCAGCAGAGAAGGATTTTAGTAATCAAGTGGATAGGATGACTTCTTCTGTGGACACCACTCAGCCTCTTTCCTCAGCCACCCATGTCATCGCCCAATGGGCCCACGAACAAAGTGACCATGGTGGCAGGGATGGAGGTTACACATGGGTTTAGCAACATGGACTTCCAATCACCAAGGCTGACCTGGCTACGGCCACTGCTGAGAGCCCAATTTGCCAGAAGCCGGGACCAACACTGAGCCCTCAATATGGCACTATTCCTCGGGGTGATCAGCCAGCTACTTGGTGGAAGGTTGATTATACTGGACCTCTTCCATCATGGAAAGGGCAACAGTTTGTCCTCACTGGAATAGACACTTACTCCAGATACAGGTCTGCCTATCCTGCACGCAATGCTTCTGCCAAGACTACATTCATGGACTCATGGAACGTCTTATTTACCATCATGGTATTCCACATAGCATTGCCTCTAACCAAGGCACTCACTTTATAGCTAAAGAAGTGAAGCAGTGGGCTCATGCTCATGGAATTCACTGGTCTTACCATGTTCCCCATCATCATGAAGTAGCTGGATTGATAGAATGGTAGAATGGCCTTTTGAAGTCACAATTACAACTCCAACTAGATGACCATACTTTGCGGGGCTAGGGCGAAGTTCTCCAGAAGGCTGTGCATGCTCTGAATCAGCATTCAGTATATGGTACTGTTTCTCCCATAGCCAGGATTCACGGGTCCAGGAGTCAAGGGGTGGAAGTTGAAATGGCACCACTCACCATCACCCCTAGTGATCCACTAGCAAAATTCTTGCTTCCTGTTCCTGTAACATTATGTTCTGCTGGCCTAGAGATGTTAGTTCCAGAGGGAGGAATGCTGCCACCAGGAGACACAATTATTCCATGAAACTGGAAGTTAAGATTGCCACCTGGCTACTTTGGGATCCCCCTACCTCTCAGCCAACAGGCTAAGAAGGGAGTTACAGTGTTGGCTGGGGTGACTGACCCAGACAAACTATGAAGATGAAATTAGTCTACTGCTCCACAGTGGAGGTAAGGAAGAGTATGTGTGGAATACAGGGGATCCCTTAAGACATCTCTTAGTATTACCATGCCCTGTGATTAAGGTCAATGGGAAACTACAGAAGCCCAATCCAGGCAGGATTACAAATGGCCCAGACCCTTTGGGAATGAAGCCTTAGGTCACTCCATCGGGTAAAAACCCACAGCCCACTGAGGTGCCTGCTGAAGGGAAAGGGGATACAGAAGGGGTAGTAGAAGGTAGTAATTAATACCAGCCAGGACCACGTGACCAGTTGCAGAAATGAGGACTTTGTCATAAGCATTTCCTCCTCAATTTGTTAAGAACATGTTGTGGCTGGGTGCGGTTGCTCATGCTTGTAATCCCAGCACTTTGGGAGGCCGAGGCAGGCAGATCATGAGGTCAGAAGATCGAGACCATCCTGGCTAACATGGTGAAACCCCGTCTCTACTAAAAATACAAAAAATTAGCCAGGTGTGGTGGCACGCACCTGTAATCCCAGATACTCGGGAGGCTGAGGCAGGAGAAACGTTTGAACCTGGGAGGTGGAGGTTGCAGTGAGCTGAGATTGCGCCACTGCACTCCAGCCTGGGTGACAGAGTGACAGAGTGAGATTCCATCTCAAAAAAAAAAAAAAAAAAAAAAAAAAAGAACATGTTCTGCATGTATACACTTGTACTAAGAAAATACCTTCATTTCCTTTCTTTTCCCTTTATCGTGTGTCATAAGATTTACTGACCTAATATCGGCATTGAAGTGCTGTTAACTTTATGTAATAGCATTTGGATTGGGGACTGGTGCACTGTATGAAGGATAGCTGTATTATGTTAGGCATAATTATTACATTACTGTCTTTATTTGAATATTATGTGTGATTTCAGATGTGTATGGGCTCAAGTTGACAAGGGATGGACTTGTGATGGTTAATACTGAGTGTCAACTTGATGAGATTGAAGGATGCAAAGTATTGTTCTTGAGTGTGTCTGTGAGGGTGTTGCCAAAGGGGATTAACATTTGAGTCAGTGGACTAGGAGAGGTAGATCCACCCTCAATCTTGGTGGGCACCATATAATCAGCTGCCAGCTCGGCTACGATAAAAGCAGGCAGCGGAATGTGGAAAAATTAGTCTGGCTAAGTCTTCTCGCCTTCCTCTTTCTCCTGTGCTGGAAGCTTCCTGCCCTCGAATGTCAAACTCCAAGTTCTTCAGCTTTTCGACTCTTGGACCTACACCAATGGTTTGACAGGGGCTCTCAGGCCTCTGGCCACAGACTGAACGCAGCACTGGTGGCTTCCCTAACTTTTGAGGTTCTGAGATTCAGACTCCTTTTCCCTACTTTTGAGGTTCTGGGATTCTGGCTTCCTTGCTCCTCAGCTTGCAGACAGCCTATTATGGGACTTCACCTTGTGATCATGTGAGTCAATACTCCTTAATAAACTCCTTTTCATATACACATCTATCATATTAGTCCTGTCCTTTTAGTGAACGCTAATACAGTGGGCTTAAAATATTCAGTAAACCATTCTGTAAACAGATGTGTTGTCATCCAGGCTTTGTTGTTCTACAAATAGAGCACAGGCAGAGGATATTTAGTGTAATCCTTACAGGCCCTAGAATTTTTGGCATGGTAAATGAGCACTGGCTTCAAGTTAAAGCCATAGTTGCATTAGGCCATAACCAGAGAGTAAGCCTGTCCTTTGAAGCTTTGAAGCCAGGCATTGACTTTGCTCTAGCTATGAAAGCCCTAGACGGCGTCTTCTTTTAACAGAAGACTGTTTCATGTATTAATACATTGAAAATTTCTTGTTTGGTACAGCCACCTTCATCAAAGACCTTAGCTAGACCTTCTGGATAGCCTGCTGCAGCTTCCGTATCAGCACTTGCTGCTTCACCTTGCAGTTTCATGTAATGGAGACAGCTTTCTTTAAATCTCATGAACCAATCTCTGCTAGCTTCCAACTTCTCTCCTGAAGCTTCCTCTCAGCTGTCTCGGCCTCCAACGAATTAAAGAGACTTAGGCCCTTGCTCTAGTTTAGGTTTTGTCTTAACGGAATGTCATGGCCGGTTTGGTCTTCTACCCAAACCACTCAAACTTTCTCCCTATCAGCAATAAGCCTGTTTTGCTTTATTATTCATGTATTCACCGGATTAGCACTTTTAATTTTCTTCAAGAACTTTTCCTTTACATACACAAGGTGATGCATTGTGCAGAAACTGTTCGATGCAATAGGAGTAGCTTTTGGCCTATCCTGACTTTTGATATGTCTTTCTCACTAAGCTTAGTCATTTATAGCTTTTGATTTAAAATAAGAGGCATATGACTCTTCCTCTCACTTAAATACCCAGAGGCCATTGTAGGGTTATTAACAGGCCTAACTTCAATACTGTTGCATCTCAGGGAAGAAGACAGCCTGAGATGGGAAAATGACTGGTCAGTGGAACTGTCAGAACACACACATTTCATCTTCTCATATGGGAGTGGTTCGTGGTGCTCCAAAATAATTACAATCATAACATCAAGGATCACCATAATAGATATAATAGTAATACTAAAAAAGTTTGAAATATTGTGAGAATTACTAAAATGTGACACAGAGACATGAAGCGAGCACGTTATAAGGAAAACGGCGCAAACAGACTTGTTCAATGTACGGCTGCTACGCACCTTCAATTTGTAAAAAAATGCAAAATCTACAAAGCACAATAAAGCAAAGCATAATAAAATAAGGTTTGCCCCTCTAGACTCAGTACTCAATAAAATGCTATCAAAGAGAATCTAGTAACACATTAAAAAGAATTATACACCACGAACAAGAAGGATTTATGTCAAGAATTCCAGGTTGGTTTAACATATAAAAATCAGTCCACCCTGGCTGGGCATAGTAGCTCAAGCCTGTAATCCCAGCACTTTGGGATGGTAAGGTGGGTGGATCACTTGAGCCCAGGAGTTTGAGATCAGCCTGGGCAGTATGGTAAAACACCGTCTCTACAAAAAATACAAAAATTTAGCCAGGCATTAGTGATGGCTGGTGCCTGTGGTCCTAGCTACTTGAGAAACTGAGGTGGGAGGATCACTTTAGCCCAGGCAGGCAAGGCTGCAATGAACCATGGCTGCACCACTGCCACCCCAGCCTGGGTGACAAAGCAAGAGCCTGTCTCAAAATAAAAACAAAACAATCAATTCATATAATTCAGCATGTTAACAAACATATTAACAGAATACAGAACAAAAGCTACATAATCTCCATACATGTAGAGAAAGTCCTTGACAAAATATAATTTCCTTCCATGGCAAAAACAGTGAACAAGCTAGGAACAGAAGAAAATGTCCTTAATCTCATTAAGGGTATCTGTAAAAAATCCACTGGAAACATGGTACTTAATGGTGAAAAGCTAAAAGCTTTCCCCCAGAATGCTTTGTCAGGAACAAAACAAGGATATATGCTCTTATCACTTCGACACTGTACTGGAGTGTTCCAGCCAAGGCAATAAAGCAAGAAAAATAAATAAGACATCTGGATTGGCAAGGAAGAAGCAAAACTCTCTTTTTATAGAAATAATATAATCTTGTGATATATAAATTTAATTTAGATTACCATTGTATAATCTTGTATATTTGCATATAATCTTATATACATAAATTTCTAAGGAATCTGTATACAAACAAACATTAAGAACTAATAGTCAAGTTCACAAGGTTACAGGATACCAAATCAATATACAAAAATGAATTTTATTTCTAACCAATAGCACAAAACAATTCCAAAATGTAATTTTTAAAAAATCACATTTACTACAGCATCACAAATAAAATACTTACAAAAAATAAACTTTAAAAGGCAGAAGAGTTGTACACCGAAAACTGGAAACATAATAAAGACTTAAAATAATAGGAACATGTCCTCTGTTCACAGATTGAAGAACTTAATATTCTTAAGATGGTAATACTCCCCAATTTTTATCAACAGGTTCAACAGAATCCCTATCTAAATCCCAGTTGGTAGTTTTATAGAAACTGGCAAGCTGATCCTAAAATTCACATGAAAATGCAAGGGACCCCGAATAGCCAAAATAATCTCGAAAGAGAACAAAATCGGAGGATTAGCATTTCCTAATTTCAAAGCTTACTATAAATACAATAGTCAAGACTAGGTGTTACTAGATAGACATGTAGAACAATGGAAAAGAATCGAGTCCAAACATAAACGCACTCATATACAGTTAATTTATTTTTGATGAGTACTAAAACAATTCAATGGGTGAAAGAATAATCTTTTCAACAAATTATGCTGGGATGACTGGATATTTCAATGCAAAATATGAAGCTGGGCCTCTACCCCACACTATATACAAACATTAACCCAAAATGGATCAAAGATCCAAATATAGGAGACCAAATTATAAAACTCTTAGAAGACATATGTGTAAATTTTCATGACCTTGGATTAGGCTATGATTTCTTAGATCTGACACTAAAAGCACAAACAACAAGAACAGAATGGATAAACTGAACTTCATGAAAATTAAAAATTTTAAGCTTCAAAGGACACTACCAAGAAACAAAGACAGTCCACACAATGGGAAAAAAATATTTCTAAACCATGTCTTATAAGGGTCCAATATCCACCATACATGAAGAACTCCTACAATTCAATAATAAAGACATGCCAAATTTGAAAAATGGGCAAATGATCTGAACAGACATTTCTACAAAGAAGATGTTACTGATGGCTTATAAGTACATGACAAGATGCTTAGCATGATTAGTCCTTAGGAAAATGAAAATCAAAACAATGAGATACTATTTCATACCCAGTAAGACTGTTGTAATAAAAAAAATACAGATAATAACAAGTATTGTGGAGGATGTGGAAAAACTGGAACCCTCATACAATGTTGGTGGCAATGCAAAATGCTATAGCCACTTTGGAAAACAGATTAGCTTTTCCTCAAAAATGTAAATATAAGCCAGAGGAAGTGGTAGAATGCCTGTAGCCCCAGCTACTCAGGAGGCTGAGAACCGAAGACTGCTTGAGCCCAGATGTTTGAGTCCAGCCTGGGCAACATAGTGAGACTCCGTTTCCACACACAAACACGAAGTAGAGTTTTCTACTGTTTAATTGCACAAGCCCAAAACTTCAATACAGTGTTAAATAGTAGAAGAGACACAGGAGAATAATGTCTTGTTCCAATTTTAGTTGGAATGCTGCCAGTGTTTCCACATTAAGTATTATGCTGGATTTAAACCTAGGATATATGTGTTCTACATTTAAAAAATACATCAATTCCTGTTCTACTGAGTATTCATTTTTTGTTCCTCTTTAGATTAACAAGTGAATAATATCAAAGGATTTCCTAAAATTGAACCACTTTTGCATTAATGGAATAAATGTCATGACTGTCATGTATCATTTTCTTAATGTAGCATAGGATTACGTTTGACGCTTTTGTATTGACATACGTGAGATTGTTCTGTAGTGGTATGTATGATTAGTCCTTAGGAAAATGAAAATCAAAACAATGAGATACTATTTCACGGATACACACACAGTGTGTGACTGTCACATGATTTTTATCTAGATTAATACCATACTCAAAAGTAATTTGAAAACTGTCTTTTTCTATGTTCTGGAAAAATGTATAGAGCATTGAGATGATCTGATCTTAGAAGTTTTGGTAAAACATTCCTTTGAAACCTTCTGAGCTTGGTGCTTTTACTGAGCTTTCTTGATACCTTTTGCTATTTCTTCTGAAAAATTTCATCTGTTTAACTTTTCTATTTCTTCTGGGACAATTTTAACAAACTGGATTTTCCAAAGAAATAATCCATTTCACTTAAGTTGTGCAAAATAAAATCTTATCATTTTTAAAATTCTCTGTTTCAATAGTTGTTATTCTCCCCTTGTCATGTCTTGCATTTTAATACTTTCTCTCTATTACCCCCTCTCCTCCTCCCACCTCTACCACCACCAATTAGGTTAACTAGTGGTCTATTTTGTTGACTTTTTCAAAGAATCAGTATTTTTTTCTATTTACTTTTTAGTCCTATTGTTTTTGTCTTCAACCTCATTAATTTTTTGCTTTAATCTTTATTATTTCCTTCCTTGTTCTTTATTCGGATTTACTTTGCGATTTTTCTTAGCTTTTTTTGATGAAAATGTAATTTATTTTTCTTTAATTTATGGCTGTAAATACATAAGGCTGTTGAATCTTTTTCTAATCTGTTTTAATTATATCCCCTAGATTCTTATATGTAGTTTTTTTGTCATTATCAATATTTTGAAGAAATTCTGCAACTTTGCTTTCTTCACTATACACCTAAAGTTGTTTAAAATAGTATTAATACTGCAGGTAAATAAGACTTTTAAAATGTTTTGTTATTGATGTCCATCTTTATTGCATTATAATGAAAAAATGCTTTTTGTATTGTTTCTACTTTATGGAACTTAGGATTTCTTTTTGACTTAATATATAAAAATTTTTTGTGAATGTTCCATGTATACTTGGGAAGAAAATATATTTTATGTTATTTGAGAATTGAGTTCAATATATATTCATAAAATATCCCTTGCTGTGCTTTTAGGTCTTTTATATCCTTACTTACTTTAGATTCACTTCACATATCTTGGACTAAAAGTGATGGGTTAATTCTGTGTATTTGTCCTTCTGAATTCTCTGTAGTTTCTGTTTAGGAGGATGGTTGCTAATGTTATCTGGTACACAGATACTAGTAAATGTTACATCCACACACATTATGAATTACGGTCTTTAACACTATGAAGTAGCCCTTTCCGCCGCTAATTTCTACCCTGGGTAACATTAGAATTAATCTTGGCTTTCTTTATTGTTTTCAATTTGCCGTCCATACTTTTTCTCACTCCTTTTAGTCTTTTAAAATCATTTTATTTTAGGCATGTCTTGTCAATATATACACCTCAAACCTGAGTCTTGCTTCATGAACCATTCTGGACATCTGTTTAACAGGGGAGTTCAATGTTTTCACATGTCCTACAATGACTCATATATTAGTGTCAGCTTACAGATTTAAGTTTTATTTTTCTCTCTTCCTGTGGTCCATTTTCTTTGCTTTGTAAAATTTTTCAGTATTTAAGAGAGTTTGTCTGTTTGTTAATTACCAGTTTTACCTACTACTTCTTATGATGCCATTAGTCCCCCTTTCCCTTAGTTAGGCTGTTTGGTATTCAGGCTTCAAATGATATCTTTGATTCCTAAATAATACATAAGTGACACTCAGTGAATTTTTCCTACTTCATTTCCCACTCTTCCCAACCTTCACTCTGCTTTAGCCTTAAATAAAATATGGCCAATGCTCACAATCACTCCTTTTGCCATTTATTCATTGCAAGAAATGTGCCATAGAGTACGAGGCTGAGCAAGCAGGGGGACATACGTGGCCCATCATCACTTTTTGTAGATAAAGTTTTATTGAAACACACCCATACTAATTCATTAATGTACTGTCTATGGATATTTTTGTTATAATGGCAAATATGGTGAATTGCAACAGAGACCATATTGCCTGCAAAATCTCCAATATTTATTCTCTGGGTCCTTCACAGAAAATGTTTGCTGACTACAGCTCCAGTAGATTATTCTAGCAGTGCTTTAAATACAGTATTTCTTGAGTTCTTACACATTTAATTATGTTTTGACCATCTTCATACATGAAATAGAACTTGACTGAACACAAAAGTTTCACTTATTCTTTAACTTCTTTGAAAATGTTGCTCTGGGGCTGTCTTTCTTTAAATGTTCTTGTTGAGAATTTTGATTTACCTGATTTTTATCTTTGTGACTTAGTATTTTTGTCTTGAGGTCCATTGGGTTTTTCCTTTTTTAAAATTATCATACTTTTACCAGGATGTCTCAAAATTTGTTATTCTGTGTCAATAATCCCAGGTATGTAGTGAGCTATGTAGTTTCAAATATATTTCTGGAAAGCTATGTAGTTTCAAATATATTTCTGGAAAGTTTTCTCAAATTATAGTTTCAACATGTTCCACTATTTTGTTTTCTTCTTTGGGTCTCCAATTACACCTGTGTTGGACTTTTTGTTGTTGTTCAAGCACTGTTCTAGCAACAACTTTTTTCTCTACCTTTTTACCATTTTATTTCATTTTCATTCTCTTAGCCATTTTCATAGCTTTCTCCAAAGACTCTATATTTTCAGTCAAATCTATTCTCCTTTGAAATTAAGTCTTTATTTCTAAGCAGATTTTTTTCTAAAATTGTATTCCTAAGTTTAGTCAATTCTCCATTCCCATTTTCCTTTTTATCTATTTCTTTTTGAATGCCTGGATTTTGTGTAAGGTGTTTTATCATATCTGCCAATGCTTCTTTTAACAATATATAATTCACTTTGAGGTGTTATGATGTACTATTCTTCTGTTTTTCTGCTTGTTTTGTTTTTAGAGAGAATTTCATATGTCCTATACTCTATTCATTTTGAATTACTTTATATTCCCAAACCAGCAATTACTGTCATATGTAAAAACTGTTGTATACAGAGATAATCTGGATGAAAAGAACCCTTATGCTGGTATGGTATAGTTTATTTAATTAGTGGTGCATTTGAATGGTAGAATGGAATGAAGAGTTGATATGTTTTCAGTTTTGTGATTCTCTTTTGTTTCTACAGGACCCTTAATTTCTTCCTTCTACTTATTAACAAGATTCTAAGTAACAGTCCTTTTAGCTCACCCTTCTCTTCATTAGAAATGGTACCTTGCCAAGACTGCTACCTCTGGTCCTATGATTTTAAGACTCTTCCTTTTTATTTCCTAGTATCAAGTACTCAGACTTCAGGGATTTTTCACAGATTACAGGGATTTTTAGGGAAGTGATATATTATGCATGATACTGTAATGAAGGATACATGACTGTGTATTTGGCAAATCCACAAAACTGTACAACATACACAAACTGATTCTGATGTAAACTATGAACTTCAGTTAATAATAATGTATCAGCATTTGTTCATCAAATGTAACAAATGAAATACACCAATGAAAGGTGTTCTTGGTGAAACTGAGGGTATGGGGGAAAAGTGATTATATGGGAATTCTGTACTTCCTGTTTAGTTCTTTTATAAACCTAGATCTGTTCTAGTAATTGAAAATTAAAACAAAACAAAAAATTGAATTAAGTGAAAATCTATTATTTGATTTCATGTTTTTTCCTTTAAAAAGCATTCAGTAGATGGCACCAGAGATCTTTTAGAATAAGGAATCACTAGATGCACTGTATAATTCATAAAGCTTAGTTCTGATGTTGATACATGCTTTAGAGATGCTATTTATTCCTTAATGAATAATGTAATTGATGCTCTGAGAAAGGTGTGTTGAAGACAAATTTAGCTGCAAGTTTTATCATTCAGTAAGTAAATAATCATGGAAATGCAGGAATGCAGATCTGCAGAATTATGGAGCAACAGTAATTCTACATTATGGGTAAATTTTTAAATTCCAATTCACATTTTGACAACTACAGAGCACCTTCATCTGGCACTTCTTTACTACTAGTGAGCAAGTATCTCATTAGTAAAACTGTTTTTCTTCATAGACTAAAAGCATTCACGAAACATGGTATCAAGGTATTTTAAAATATATTTTATCCTCAGGCTAGAACAGAATAAAGTATTAAGTCTTTCTAAAAAACGGAGGGTGAAAACCAATCAGTTACCCACTATGTAACTAACTGCCCACTCACTGGCATTCAAACTGACATACTCAATATGTAGTTTCATAGAGAACAAATGAAACAGTTCTGACTAAAAAAAAGTGATATTATACAGATGCCTGGTTATTACATACTTTGCCCATTAATGAAGTCTCAGTATTATATAGGGCCGCTTTGGTAGGTACAGAAGAAGAAAGAAGGAATCAAAGTAACATCTGGAGAGAAGACTAAAATGTGTTCTTGTTCTTCCAGATTTAGAATCCAATTTTCAGAAAACTATCAATGATAGCAGTGCTGAAATAATACAAATCAAATATATTAACCATTACTTGCCATTATAGTCTTTTGTAGCTTAGAAAATAACTACTACTTAACATATATTTCCATGAAAAAAAATACTACTCATGAGTTCCAAATGAATTAATCAGTAACATGGTTTAGATGTTCTGTCCCCTCCAAATCTCATGTTGAAATGTGACCTTCAATGTTGGAGATGGGTCTAGTGGGAGATGTTTGGGTCATGGGGCCAGATCCCTCAAAGATGGCTTGGTGCTATCCTCAGTAATAAGTGAATTCTCACTCTCTGGGTTCATGTGAGATTTGGTTGTTTTAAACAGCCTTGCAGCTTCCCTTTCCCTCCCTCCCTCTTCCTTTCTCTCTTGTTCTTCCTCTCTCACCATGTGATACACTGGCTCCTCCTCCACCTTCTGCCATTACTATAAGCTCCCGGAGGCCCTCACCAGAAGCAGATGCTGGCACCACACTTCTTGTGAAGCCTGCAGAACCGTGAGTCAAAATAAACCTCTTTATAAATCACCCAGTCTTAGTTATTCCTTTATGGCAATGCAAACAGACTGACACAATCAATAAATTTTTAGAGCATAATTTAACTACAGTTGAAAAATAACAAAAATATGGAATGAAATTAAGTGTAGGTACACAGTAATTGAAAAGCAATTTTGGAATTAAATCCTCTGAAAGTATATTACACATTACTGGGTAATAAAAAACCATGACCACTTAAAGAACTCTGAATTCTCCAGAAATAAATAAGAGTACTAAACTTACAAGAGTAAACTATTCACCTATACCTTTGGAAATACACATTAGAAAACATATAGCTAATGATTTCCAATCTTGTATAATGTAATTCCCTACTTTTAATTCAAAGACATTTTCAATAAGACACAAGTAGCTTGGTGTGGCAATTTTTATAAAGAGTAATATCAATTTGATCCAAATATAAAAGAAATTTGTTTGACCTACAGTCTTAGTGCAGATAATTATATGACTTCTTAAGGCTTTTTGAAATGTTAAAAATAGCTCCTAAACTTTTATCCACTTTTCAGGACCACTAGAATTTTGGAACTACCAGATTTTAGATAAAATCTAATCCAGTCTCATAATGAAAAAAAAAAAAAAAAAGAAACAAAAATCCAGAAAGATCAAATCAGTGATAGTGGCATAGTGGCATAGTGGCAGGGCGTAGAACACTGGTTTTCCCATCTTCCAGATCAGTATTTTTTTTCCACCAGATCATGTGGTCTCACCAACAAAAACAATAAAATGTGTATCACTTCTTATTCAAATCTATTTAGTTCTTGAGTTCACATAGTTTGAAGAAAAAGTTCAGATAGCAATGGATATTGCAGAATCTGAATCTGTTTGGTTCTTGAATTTTCAATAGCAAGGAATTTATTTGAAAATTTATGTGAACTTATTTAATTCCTGAGTTTAGATATTTTATGAGAGGTTAACGGAGAATATTTTGATGCATCACTTTCCTTTTCATGTATGTGTTTCTAATTCTATCCTTCCCTCCCCTTCCTATTTTTTGCAGTAGGGGTGGCACAATAACTTAGTTTAATTAGAAAAGATCATTTCAGTTTCCCCCAACTCCAAATGTCTCTTCACACAGAATATTGCAGGAAGTTCCTAATCACCACCAGCAGTAACATGTACAATAAAGTTGAACAAATATGTAAGTCAATATGCTCAATAGTCATGGGTCATTTTTTATTATCCTGCAATAGTTTCATAATGCATTACATACATTTTATAATCTATGTAATTTACATATAGGGCTAAAAAATTTATAAAATCACATATATGAGATACCCCCATAATCCTTCTGAACAATTCACAGGTATTCATCCCCAGCTTAGGTGGGTCTTTGTTTCTTGTCCCCATTTCTTAATGCCAAAATAACACTGCTCTGGGTTAACATTTTAGTCATTTCCAAGTTTTCTGAAAAATTTTGCCAACATTCTATTGCAATTGTTTTTCTAGCACATTGTAATATGCTTCCACTGCTAGATACAACTCAACGAAACAAGCTCTAGCAGCCATACTATATCAGACAACTGGGGAAAAACAGTAAAAAGGCAGTGTCCATTAATAAAAAGTGTTATCTTCCACAACCATTGTATTATATCATCAAAACCTGGTAATCCCTCAATATAAAGAGTAATATTAATAAATCTAACTTTTTAAAGCATTTGTCACAATAGAATATAAGAATAGCAATAATCTGAACTTCTCAAAGTCATAATAAACAACTGATTTTTCACTAATAATTTCATTCTTCCCTTACCGAAACCTCCTGTGATGAAGGGAATAAATGAAAAACCTTACAGACTTAGATTTCTTCTCCTTTTTCACATCATTCTCCATAGAAACATATTAACAAGTATGCTAGTTAGAACACCAGAAGGGAAACAGCAGCATGCACCCTTGCCCCCATAACTAAGAGGTACAGTTAAGCCATATAAAAAGACAAATTTAAATTCATTATATTATTACTTTATCTATGGATAAGCCTAGCTGTATATTTTTCAAACAAAAACAGGAACTAAAGGGCAATACAATAGAACAAAATCTGGTCTACTTTCATATCTAGCATGGAAGCAGCCAGGGGAGTCATTTGACCTGGGCTGCACTTTATAAATTTATAACATATTTAGAATTTTAATATAATTTTCAAATTAGGTTACATATTTACATGTGGCAGGAATAAAAGGAAGCTTTAGACTTATAAATTTAAACAATTTCTTTTTTTTTTTTTTTTTTGAGACAGAGTTTCGCTCTTGTTTGCCCAGGCTGGAGTGCAGTGGCGCGATCTCAGCTCACCGCAACCTCTGCCTCCTGGGTTCAAGCAATTCTCCGGCCTCAGCCTCCCGAGTAGCTGGGATTACAGGCATGTGCCACCACGCCTGGCTAATTTTTTGTATTTTTATTAGAGATGGGGTTTCTCCATGTTGGTCAGGCTGGTCTCGAACTCCCAACCTCAGGTGATCCTCCTGCCTGGGCCTCCCAAAGTGCTGGGATTACAGGCATGAGCCACCACGCACAGCCATAAATTTAAACTTCTATCCTACTGGACTTACCTTGATGTTACAAATTAATAATAGATCCTTTAATGATCTTGGGTGTGTAGTTTTACTTCATTTTGTAACTGTTTCTTTCTTTTTTTTTTTTTTTTGAGATGGAGTTTCGCTCTTGTTGCCCAGGCTGGAGTGCAATGGTGCGATCTCGGCTCACTGCAACCTCTGCCTCCCAGGTTCAAGCAATTGTCCTGCGTCAGCCTCCCGAGTAGCTGAGATTACAGGCATGCACCACCACACCCGGCTAATTTTGTATTTTTAGTAGAGATGGGGTTTCTCCATGTTGAGGCTGGCCTTGAACTCCTGACCTCAGGTGATCCACCCGCCTCAGCCTCCCAAAGTGCTGGGATTGCAGGTGTGAGCCACCGCGCCCGGCCCTGTAACTGTTTCTAAAGTTTAATTTATTATACAAAATACTTAGAAGATAAAACAATTTTTATAACCCACTCAAAAAGTAAAGTTGCTAAGGCTCTCTCAATCTGTTTCAGAGTTCCCCTTTCTTATTTTCTTAGTTGTCTTAGTCTTAATTTAGTTTCTCCTGTATGTCTAGTTTCTTTACCTACCCTAGGGAGGGCATCAGAACTAACACATCTTCAACCTCACAAGGTTAATCTACCCAACTAATTAGGGACAAAGTCTATAAAAGCACTTCAACCAGGCTAAAGCATTATTCAACAAACATAAAACATTAGTAATTATCTGACAAAGGACTTTTATCCAGAATTTATAACAAACACCTACAAATCAACAGAAAGCAAACAACCCAATTAAAAATGAGCAAATGACTTGAACAGATCCTTTAAAAAGGAAGATACATGAATTGTCTGTAAGAACGTGAAAATGTGCACAACATCATTAGTCATCAAAGATATGCAATTTAAAGCAAAATGAGATACCATTTCACACCCACTAGAACAGCTAGTAACGGAATGATAACATCAATTGCTCAAAGGCATGTGGAGCAACTGTAATTCTTACATATTGCTAGTAAGACTCAAATAATATATTTTCTACAACAGTTTGGCAGTTTCTGATATAAATAGCTTTCATATTAGATAATATAAATAGGTTTTATGTTTTATATTTTAAATATACATTGATCCCATAACCCAGCAATTCTACTCATAGGTATTTTCCCATGAGAAATGGAACAGATGTCTAAAAAAGAGACTTACACAAGAATGTTCATAGCAGCCTCATTAATAATCCCTAGCTATTTATTATAACTCCTTTCAGAGAAAGTAGTAAGAAGGTACAAAGAATAAAAAATTATTCTTGCAATTTAACTCTGGGTGAGTAGGAAAGTGTCAATGGCACTAATTAAAGGAGAACACAGCAGAAAAAAGAACAAGTTTTAAAAGCAAAGTAAGTTTAGTTTTAGATCCAGTGACTTAAAATTCTTCCCATAATATATATGTGAAGGTGTCTAGAAAAGAATAATGAAAGAGGCGGTGGTTCATCTAAACAGAGGTGAAGTGTTGAAGCCAGGAGAGGGGATGAAATCTGGAAAAAAATAAACCTGGGGAAAAGGAATAGGTACATGTACACACACACACACATATATGTATATATACATATATGTACCTACATATGTATATGTACTATATATTCATATACTATATACGCATATACACACTATATGCATGTACTATATATGCATATATACACTATATGGTATATATGCATATATACACCATATGCATATATATACACACTATACGCATATATACACTATATGCATATATACTATATATACATATATAGGTAGATATATGTGTGTGTATATATATATGTATATGTGTATATATATGTATATATGTATATATATGTATACATGTATATATATATATATACACACACACACATATACAGGTAGATATATATGTATATAAAATCTAAGGACACTGTCCTTAAGGTATGACATTCTAGGGACAGTATAAAGATTAAATAGTAAAGGAGGTAAACAGAATTCTTAACTATTTTGTGCAAGGACTCCTCTGTCAGTGTGGTTAAGCCCACGGGCTCCTTCTCTGAATCATGTTTTTAAATGCATGAATATATAGGAAACAAACTATATTAAAATAGTTTTATATTACTATAATATAGTAATATATATGTAATATATATTATGTAATATATGTAATATATATGTATTATGTAATATATGTAATACAGATGTAATATATATGCCTCTTTTAATGCATTAAAATATAAAATCTAGTAGTAAGTCCAATGTCTACCATAATTTCAAAGTAGTTGAGAATGTAAAAAATAATTAAAGATATGATATAAAAATATTTATGATTTCTATTATCGGAACAGGTACTACTAATACCACTGTTGTTTGTTGTCTATGCTTACAGTTGAAGTAAATGTTACATTTCAACCAAGGGTCAATGAAAATAAAAATGTAATTTTTTCAACCATTCAAGTTCATGGACCCATGAAATCCTATCTATGAACTTTTGGGCAAACTATGTGGATCCCAGGTTAAGAATCTCTGAGCTAGAAAGTAAAATTAAAGATATATAAAAATCTGATAAATAGTATCATGAAAATTACAGCAGCAAAGTAGTATATGCTGATTTTAAGTTGCAATTACGAAATGTTATATCCACTGTTTCACTTCTTGTAACTGTGAGGTAGAAAAAGAGAGGTCAGAGAACAACCTGCCAAGCAAAATAAAGTAGAAAAGATTCAGAGGTTTCTGAATATTATCAGAAAAAGAAAACAAATGTTTAAAAATGCATCCCCATCAGGGCCGGGCGCTGTGGCTCACGCCTGTAATGCCAGCACTTTGGGAGGCCGAGACGGGCAGATCACGAGGTCAGGAGATCAAGACTATCCCGGCTAACACGGTGAAACCCCATTTCTACTAAAAATACAAAAAATGAGCTGGGCATGGTGGTGGGCACCTATAGTCCCACCTACTCGGGAGGCTGAGGCACTATATATGCACATATACACTATATGCATATATACTATATATGCACTTATACATTTTTATATGCTACTCAGGAGGCTGAGGCAGGAGAATGGTGTGAACTCGGAAGGCGAAGCTTACGGTGAGCCGAGATTGCACCATTGCATTTCAGTCTGGGCAACAGAGTGAGACTCTGTCTCAAAAAAAAAAAAATCATTGATAACCACCATAACCATAGACTGCCATAATTATTCTGTATCAATGTTCTCAGACATTCCACTCCCATCCTGCTTCATCTAGCTTCCACTTCTTATATAAGCTAACGATATATTCCACCATGCAAGACAAGTTCAGAAGAGATGAATAATAATGGCACAAGTCTTCCAGCTAGCCTCTTACCCTTGATATACAAAACACTTAAGTATTGTAATTGAAAAGGAAGGGTAAACCATTTTCTTCTTATAGGAAAGCAGTCAAGCAATTTACTCTAGATACATTACCCCAATGTTCATATTTCTCTGCACAATAGTCTGAGTTGTAGTGGAAATTTGACCAGAGATTATTTGGAATGCTGAATCATTTCCCATGATAGAATTTTTTTTTTTTTTTGCCTCCTCAGCAGTGAT
The DNA here is from genome assembly GCF_000001405.40 of Homo sapiens. NCBI lineage: Eukaryota > Metazoa > Chordata > Mammalia > Primates > Hominidae > Homo > Homo sapiens. The sequence goes on from NC_000004.12 coordinate 17,941,885, forward strand.
GACACTTGCTATTAAGTATCATAAATCTCTGAACCATCAGAGTCATTTAGATAATGCCTTATTCCTATCACAGCCACTTTCAACACAGCTTTAAAGTTATTGTCTAGAGGCTATTGTGGAGAATTATAGTTAGGGGTGCCACAAATATCTGACTTGTTAGAACATAACCAGTCTAACCAGTATGGTACTCAAGAAATGTCAAAACCTTTATATAAGCTTTTAGATCTACTATAGCTGGGGCATTCTTATGAACAAATGTAAAACAAAGTAAAAGTGTTAAAAAGCAGATTTGTTTCCAAAGAAAAGCAAATATTTTGACAATAGAGTGAAACCCAAATAAGGGTAAAAAGTCAATTCTAAGTCAGTTAAGTTTTGTAAGGACCACTATGGACTACTATAGGATTTAAATGCATTATTCTCTGGTCATGACAAGACCATGCAAAATATCTAAATGCTACAAAGCAAGCAGAAAGGTAAACTGAGGAATTAGGCTTAATAATCAACTACCAAGACTCATACTATTGCTCTATTTTATCTACTGAATGAGCCATAAAAGACCCTCCCAAATGTTGCTTTTTAATCATCTTTAATTTTCAAATAGCATAAGACTGTAAGCAAAATGCAAACAAATTACTATTAGTATTAAGAAAAGCATTTACCTAGAAAATACTGTAATAGGATAATTACAGAGGCACAGAGCTGGGTTTCAACTAGAGATCATCTTTCATTTTTATAAGTTACTAAAAATCAATTATCAAAACTCTAATATAACTATGATACTTGCTCAGGGTAATAAAAGATACTGAGAAAATCTATGTATTTTCTGCTCTCTAGGAGTTAACAACCTAGTATGGAAGAATACAATATAAAGATTATATATTTCTTGGAGACGTCCCCGACCCCTAGGCCACAGACTGGTACCAGTCCATGGCCTGTAAGGAACTGGGCTGCATAGCAGGAGGTGAGCAGCCAGCAAGTGAGCATTACCGCCTGAGTTTGCCTCCTGTCAGTTCAGCAGTAGCATTAGATACTCATAGGAGAACCAACCCTATTGTGAACTGTGCATGAGAGGAATCTAGGTTGCATACTCCTTATGAGAATCTAACCAATGCCTGATGATCTGAGGTGTAACAGTTTTATCCCGAAACCATCTCCCTGCAACACCTTGCCTGAGAAAAATTGTCTTCTACGAAACCTGTCCCTGGTGCCAAAAACGTTGGGGACTGCTGATCCGGCGGCTCATTTTGTCTTCAGTTTCAACACCCCTGAGATGACAAGAGAATCAAGAGCTCATATATTATTCTCCCTATTGTATCTCCACCGTATCCTACTGTAACAAGCAATGTCCTCCTTGAGACTAAACACTAAACCTTACTCAACTATTTGGTGATCAACCATGGTAACCACAACTCAGTAAGGTAACTCAGTGAGTATCTCATAAATGAAATGACTCTTCACTCTTCAAAGGGAATAAGGACTGCATTAATAATTGAGCAATAAACTAATCTTTTAAAATTGGTAGTTCACAGAAAAACAAAAATGAGAAAACATTCCTTTATTCTCTCACACCTTATACCAAAAGTTACTAACACTCGCTGAAAGGAATTACTAGAGAAAAATGATTTTTCTTCTGGAAGGCTTATGAGTTAGCTGGTTCAAAGGCTGGCAAGAATGAAGACTTAACACATTGCTTATGTTGCTTTCACTTTGGCTTACTATTTCACCACTGATATGCGCTGCAAAGAATAAATACAAAATCAAGGATAAAGTAAGTGGACATGGGCTTCCTGAAATTTCTTTTTATTCTACAGATTTGATGGTCTCAATAGCCCATGTAGAATGAGGAATATGCCAGGTCACAGGAATATAAAGAATACAGAATCATAGGACCTTTGGTTTTTAAAACATTTTAGGAGTTTTTGGCGGGGGTAGGTTAAGGGGTACAGACACATTATCATAAGAATCCATACCATTATCACAAAAGAAAACTTGCCAGACCCATTATATACTTCCAAATTTCATTTGTTACTCACACTTTACTTAAGGTTTTAGTGAAAGCCATGTCCTACCATAGCTTAATGAAGCTACCCACCCTAGGTGGTTTTCCTCAAAAGAGGATATGGGCATGGTATCTTCTTTTAGTCTTAAATCTAGTTTACCCATACTTATTCATGCCACTGTCCATAGTTTTTTGCCTAATTAAAGCCAGGACCTGACCACTGTATTTGTGAATGTCCTAGACTTGTTAAAGCAGAAGTCTGATTCCCTTGTGACTACAGTTTTCCCTATTACATTCTTTAGCAGATACATAGTCTTTTTAAGTAGGCTCATTGATTTTAGTTACTTTAAAATGTACAATTAAATTATTATTGACTATAGACCCCTGTTGTGCTATCAAATACTAGGTCTTACTCATTCAATCTTCTACCTTTTCTTTGTACCTATTCACTATCCCATTCCACATTTTTTAACTGGAATATTTATTTCTGTAAGAAAGAACTGCCCCTTCCTTCTCATTTATTTATTCACTTATATCAGTATTAAAACATGGATATTAATTTTATTCTACAGGTAATAATCCAAATTATTGTTATAACTATTGTTGTTTACTTTGTTGCTCAAATTGTTGCAACTCTGGCCATCAGGAGCTCTTTCAGGATGGCTCCTGTGTTCCCATACTTTTTTTTGAGCACTTCCTTACTTTCTGGCAACACAAAATGCTCCAAGCTCATCTTTATTTTCCTAGCCCCAGCCATGCAAACAACCACTTCTCCAAGGGGCTTTGGTTCCTTTTATTGGAGAATTCTTATTTTATGAAGGATATATATAAATAGAAGTCCTGCACTTCAGCGGACATCTTAGATAATAACCCCTACCTATACGCACATACTATTTTACAGAGCACTTGTCTTAGTCTATTTGGGTTGCAATAATAAAATACTTTAGACTGGATAGTTTATAAACAACAGAAATTTGTTTCTCACAGTTCTACAGGCTGGAAAGTCTACAGATAAACTTTACAAAAACAGTATGAGCAGGCTGTGGATATAATATACAACTAGCCAATAGCAGACAGTAAACTGCAGCAGACAGTTCATAATTATATGTAAAATAAAAATGGTGAAATAATATACAAAACTAATTTATCACACTTCCCAGGTACAGTATTTAATCACACCCTCTGCAAGAATTATAGATTCCTTATATCTTAGCAAATTAAGAAACACAGAGAAAGAATAAGACGCTGAGGTTCCAAAGTACTTTAGAGATAAGGGTAATTCTTGACAGCAGTTAACTACATCACATTATTAAATGAGGTACATGGGAAAACTCATGTATTATTAGAGCATGTTTTACAGAGTACTATTATTATAAAAATTACATTTAAAAGATGATAATCTTTTAAATTATGTGAGAATACAAACAAAAAATATCAGAATCACTCATGACACGACAGAACTTCAACATTTTATAAAATAGTTGAGATGTTGGATTGATTCAGACACTGACTGGCTTATAAATTGGGGTTTTTTTTTTTACACTAGAATTTATCGTCAATACAACTAGAATATATGGAGTATACAGAGAAAATTATCTGGCAAAAAAATAGCTGACCCAGCAATATACCCCTCCTTTTCTCCCTTTCCAAGTAAAGGAGACTTACAATATTTCAGTCCTTGGTTAATTTCTACAAGCATTACAAATTTTACTTTTTCCTTAAAAGGCCCTGAACTTAAGATTCTAATACCACCTAATTTAGTATGTTGGGCTATCTTAAGTTTGTAGGCAGACTACAATCAAATTAGTCTTATGGTTAAGATATCAAGAGGAAATAAAGTTTTAAGAATTCTGGATTAGAGTTTTAGATGCATTATATATAGTGGCTATGAAAATTTTCTGTATTTATGCTTTGACAACGTATATGTTAAAAAAAAAAACTAGGCAAAATAATTGTCACAGTAGTTTCACTCTAAAGTTACCTAACAGCCTGCTGTTTTTATGACAGACATAACCACTGTTTTAAACACATTTAAATACCATGAAGAACTTAGAAACTTAATGAGACAAAATTTAAAAAGAAATAAGAAATAGAAAAATCAGAGAAAAGCAGACATCTAAGACATATAGATTTTTCTGAGGAGTTTAAAAAAACCAAACTCTTGTTTCCACGGCATCCTCTAACACAAAATTTGTGGCAGGAAAACTGCATATGTAAACATCAGTTCTCATAACAAAACAAAACCATGAAAACCCACCTTAGAAACTATTATTTTATAGAGCAAAACGTTAAGATATCTAAACATATGGCAACTAAGAAGGTGAATGCTGACCAGTAAACTGCTTTCACACCATCTTTTGAGTAGGTTCCTCCTTTATTTCCTTGGCCTTTTAGCAATTTTTCTGAACTGTATTACTGTATATGGTATCCTAAAATTTGTTAGACTGCTTTAGCCATGCTATTTTAAAAACCACACACATGCATGTAATGTGTATAAACATGCAGTTTTTTAAAAAAGATTTCATTTTCCCACCACTTATACCTAAAATATATAATTTAGTAAATTGAGAAGCAAGTATGTATCCCATGTTGAAGAGTATGTTATGTTTTTGTTTTATGTCACAGACTTAAATTCATTTAAAACATAAATGTATTATACAAGGAACTGAAAATATAAATCTTATTTAGGTATTCCTTGCCTTTAAGGAGTTTAAAATTTACTAAGATCAGTACTCTTAAGAAGATAATGACAAAATAGTATCTAAAATTGACAAAGAAAGGTAAAACTCATGGTAGAGTCAAAATTATCCTTAAAAATCCCTTAAATAGCCCATAAGTGCAGTCTGCATCTTTTAAGGCCTACAATCTCATACATCATTGTGTATTAGGAAACATAACATCTTTTAAGCATGGGAATTACACTCTATTTGCAGAGATACTTAGAGTATGTGAGGCATATAGAAACTAAGAGCTATTAAAAGAAGAAAAAATTGCAGAGAAAAGGGAACCCATGTGCACTGTTGGTGGAAATGTGAATTAGTACAGCCATTATGGAAAACTGGATGGAAGTTCCTCAGAAAAACTGAAAATTGAATTACTGTATGATCCAACAATCCCACTTCCGGGTATTCACCCAAAAGATTTGAAATCAGTTTGTTGATAAAATGTCTACACTCCCATGTTCATTGTAGCATTATTCACAACAGCTGAATCATGGAATCAAGCTAAGTGTCCAGCCGCAGATGAATCTGAAAAAAGAAAATGTGGTGTGTGTACATATGTGTATGCGTACACACACACATACAATGGGATACTATTCAGCCTTAAAGAAGGAAATTCTGTCATTTGCAACAACATGGATGGAATTGGAGAACATTATATAAAGTACAGTAAGCCAGGCACAGAAAGATAAATATTGCATGTCTTCACTTATATGTGAAATCCAGGAGAATCAAATTCAAGAAGCAGAGAGCAGAATAGTAGAATACAAGAAGTACAGAGTAGAATACAAAGGCTGGGGGTATGGGAAATGGGGAAACAGAGTCAAAGGGTACACAATCTCAAAAGGAATATGGATTTGTTGGTTTTTTTTTAGATTTATTGCACAATGTGATGAATAGAGTTAAAAATAGAGTACTATACCTTTCAAAATCACTAAGAGAGTAAATTTCAAATGCTGTCACCACAAAAAATGTTAGGTATTTGAAGTGATGGATGTATGAACTAGCTTTATTTAATTATTCCAAGTTGTGTCCATAGATCACTTTGTACCCCATAAATTTATGCAATTATAAATTGTCAATTTACAATAAGAACATTTTTTAAAAAGACCAGTAAATCCATTAACTCCAGTATCACCATCTGTATAGAGTGTATTCTCACCAATCAGAACAGATACCCACGTGATATAGGTTTTAGTTTCTTATTATCCTCTCTTTTTGGCAAAGCACATCTAATTTATGTTCCATTTTGCATATACAATGTGTTACAGGAAATCTAAGAGGGAAACTTTTATTTTTGCCTGGAGGTAATGAAAAGAAAAACAGGAAAGGAATCAGGGAATATGAAACATTTCTTCCTTGAAAGATGATTTAGAGTTTATCAAGCAAACAGGAAATGAGAAGCAGCAAAAACACTGAAGTACACATAAATATAATTGGATTTTAGTGTTGATACTAAGCAGCAGCAGATAAGGGAATAATGGCTTTGTTTTAAAAGAAAGTGATAAATATGTGGAGGGTTATAGTGAAGCCAAGAAAATATGAACACCTGCATGGTCGATAAAAAAATAGTATTTTAAGTAGAATCAATAGGATTGAGGGGACCTGGTAGATTCAGTTACTCAACAAGTATTTAGTGTGAAGTTTCTAATCAAGGTAACTGGAGGTATGGGTTATTTATGTAAGGAATCTGGGCCACAGAGTAGGGTTTTAAACTTCTCATTTTCTGGAGAGCAGAATAGGAAACATTCATTACACATGTATTGAGCATAAATACACGTGCTAAGTACTAGAAAAAAATGATGAAATAAAAGACAGTGTCTATCCTCAAAGATTTCATATTTTAACGGAGGAGACAGGAGTAGAAGTCAAAAGGAATAACTAAAATTTTCCAGTGTTATACATATTACCTCCTTTGAAATTCTTGTGGGTTGTATCTGGAAGTTGATAACCTAGAAGCAGCCAGGAATATGAACTTGAAAAATCAGGACTAGCAATGCAGATTTTCTATCACTATGATGTGAGAGCCTGAAGCTTAAGGTTGTTCAGGGAGAATGCATAAAATTAAAAGGAGGCTGAGAATTGAGCCTTAAGAGAATAACATTTAAGGGATGAAACAAAGAATAAGAAAATCTACCTTACCTGACTTATTATACCTTCCTCCTCATATCAGGGAAAAAAAAAGGGAGAAAATGGGAAACAATTTTCAGAGGAGTAAAGAGACAATTTTCAGAGGAGTAAAGAGACAATCTTCAGAGGAGAAAACGGTACAGTGAAAGCCAAAGGAAAGAGAGTTTCCAAGAAAGAGAGGAGTGATGAATGAAGTCAAATACTGTAGGGTCTAAGCAGCGTAAGGGCTGAGAATATGTCCTTGTTTTTGGCAAATTAAGGGGTTTAACAGATATCTGGCTTTGTGTGTGTACTGTCCAGCAACAAAGTCTCCTATTTTTAGTACCCTAATTCCCCCTTTTCCAGGATTTAGCTAGCAGGTAGAGAGTACCATCATAAAAAGCATACACACTTCACCTGACAACTCTAGAATCTTATGCTTTTTATACACTTGGTCTCTTTGGGCATATTCATTTTCCAGAGTGCTACTCTCATCTTTTGACTACGTGTACAATTGATGTGGAAGAGGCCAGATCCCTCCTCTCCTTCTCAGCCATAGTGATGCTAAGGGTGGGCAGACAGATGTTTTAGAATGGGCCAATTAAATGAATCCTCTCAGGACTTGGAAAAACGAACACATTATGGAAGCATAAACCTCAGGTCATGCAGACTTGTTTATTATAATGCGTCCTTGACTGTAGTTCCTCTGTATTCTTGGATTTTTTATTTGCCAACCTTGGCCCTCTAGCCTCTAGATAATTGTGAGAGCCCTGAATAGTCTCCCAATAACCCCCTCTTCCTTAACATGGCCAAAGTTAGTAACTTTAAATCAAGAACCCTGATACGGGAGCTATCCATTTTCCTTTGCTTTCTTTTACTGAGGGAATTCTGCTCAACTGTTATCACTATTGTAAAGCCTGTATTGGAAACAATACACTTTCTTCTCCTAGCTCTTACTTCAAGTAGAATTTATACTTCTTGTAATTCCATAAAATCTATTTCTTAAATTCTGTTATAACAAACAATCACACTGTATTTATAGTGTACCTCAGCTGAAGAAGGCAATGATTCAGTAAAAGAGTTGAGTTTTAAAGGATGTACAGAGGGGTTTGAGAAACTTAAGAACTGTACAAACTACATAATTTGAGGATCACAGTTCAGTGAGTAGTTTCTGCTGTCAGTGAGGCTGTAGCAGCACTCCTCACTGAATGTGAAAAACTACAGTATTGACAAATGTGTTTAAACCACTATGCACATTTTCAATCCTGATGAACTAGAGCTTTTATGGGGGAAAAATGCCACCTCAATTTTTTTTTAGACAAGAACAGCATTAGAACATCAAGAGGTCAAAGATAACTCAACATTACTTTTTAAGTGGAAAGTGTAAAGATGATATTAAGCTAAAACCTTTTTTAGTATACCACTTGAAAAACTCAAGAGCCCTTAAAGTAATGTTAAAGGAAGCAATGCTTATTTTATGGTGTTCAAATCATAAAACTTGCATATGAAGGTATTCATGATGTTGTACAGAACCATTCTTTATTATTCATCAAGGAACATATGGAGAAAGAAAATCTTAAACAAGGCACTTCTGATAATAGAACATGCTTATGTATATCTCTTTCTGGTTAACATTATTTCTGAAGACAATATTTAAATGGACTCTTTTGCCTTCCAATTGAATGTCATTAACGCAGCCTATAGACAAAGGACATATCACGCTTCAAGCATATTGATGATGAATATCTGATGTGGGGTGCTAATACATTTAATACTTCTTTAATGTAGGATTTATAAAAGAGTTTTCATAAGATGATACTATTAGCCAATCAGGCTTGGAGGAAAATATCACTGCAAACAATGAATGGAGTACGGAAGAATCCAGTACATATTTTGCTAACTTCCAGGAGTTAATGGAAATGTTGACCATAAAGCAAAAGTCTTACATCTTGCTAAAGGAGGCTGAATTTAATGAAATGGACAGTAGAAATGTTGATGTTTATAAGTGAAAAAATCTTTCCACTTGATGTTCATCATTAGTCAAGCAAAGAAAAAGGAGTCACAAATACTTGACACCGAATCTTAAAAAAAAAAAAATTTAGACCACACAAATAAAATGTTTGTTGTTACAAGTGAGTTTGATCATGACAGGAGAAGACTCACCACATTAAAAAATTAAACTACAAATAGAGTATTGGGCGACCAGGAGCTGAAAAAGTGCAAGTAAAGTAACTTTAAACAGTTTATTCATTCTGAGTTTTTTCATCCAGTTGGTTTGTCTATGGCTTCAGTTGATGGTTCAGAGCTACTTCCATGGATTCAGACATGGATGAACCTCAGGCATCTATTTCACTACACCAGTTCACTCTGGCTTAACTCACTACCAAACAGCAATGGGCGCTAAAGCTCCTATTTCTTTTTTTAACCACTATATTTCACTCAACCAACTCTATAATCAATTAATCAGACATTTTAAAAATTGCCTTATTTATTTTGCAAAGTGCTATTGACGATCATTAATTATCTAACATTATTTCGTTATTTGTTTACACTATAGTACATGTTCATTGGTGAAGTTAACTATTTCTTTGTATGTAAAGAAACACAGACAATCTCTAACTCCTCTTCCTGCTTTAAAATGCTACAATTTTAGATTGTTCTTTAGAGAAAAACAAACATTCTATAAAACTAAAGAATGGGAATGGCAATCACCTACCACATGCCAAATCCATAATTTCTCAAAATTGTTATTATTTTAATTCCTGAAATATATTTCTCCTAAGATCTCTATGGTTTGCTACCTCAACTTTTTTTTACATCTCTGCTCAAATGTCATCTGATTACCACTTATAAAAATGTAATCACCATCTCCATGCTTTATGTCCCTCTCCATTTTGTCTCCATGGCATTTATCTATATTCATATACAACCAGCCTGTGAGAGGTTTGGATGTGTGTATATACACATTCAACCACAGGTATAATTTACTTGTTTATTATCTGCCTCCCTTCACTAGAACATAAAGGTCCACGAAGACAGGGATATTTTTTCTTTTGTTCACTAGAGCAGTGCCTGGCATGTAGTAGGAGCTTAGTAAATCTTTCTTAAATTAATGAACTAGTCATGGACCAGAAATATGTTTTATAAAGACCAACACGCTAGTTGTGCTTGGGAGAAAAGTCACAATTGGGGAAAAGAAAAAACTAAATTAGTAGCATTCTATACAAGAACACACAGGTGATGATACAGTTGGTAAATTCATGAGTTACTCAAGAAAACTGGGAAAAATATCATTAAAAAGCCTTATTTAAGACACTATAATACTAACCAGTCATATAGCACATATTAGTTCTTCTGTTACTTCCACATAAAAGTGCTTCTTCCCATAAAGTACTTAAATATAAAGTATTTTGAACAGCACATACAGATTGCTATATATTAAATATAGGCTAATTTTACTGACTGCCATATTAGAGACAGCACAGGGAAGAAGCATTACCTAAACACAGACGGTAATTCAAAAAACAGGGCCCCAAATAGAATTACATCTCTTTTGATGATCAGGTCTGCATTCTCACCTACTATACTTTCTCAAATGAATTAGAATACACATTAGAATACAGAAAGAAATTATTTAGAAAAACTCCTAACAAATTATATAAAGATAAATAAAAAACCCATTTTCTTTCCCCTCAAAAACAATTTTTTTTTTTTTTTTTTTGAGATGGGGACTTGTTCTGTCGCCCAGGCTGGAGTGCAGTGGCGCGATCTCGGCTCACTGCAAGCTCTGCCTCCCAGGTTCACGCCATTCTCCTGCCTCAGCCTCCCCTGTAGCTGGGATTACAGGCAGCCGCCACCACGCCCGGCTAATTTTTTGTATTTTTAGTAGAGACGGGGTTTCACCGTGTTATCCAGGATGGTCTCGATCTCCTGACCTCGTGATCCGCCCGCCTCGGCCTCCCAGAGTGCTGGGATTACAGGCGTGAGCCACCGCCCCCGGCCAAAAACAATTTTTTAAAACTTTTATTTTACGTTCAGGGGTACCTGTGCATGTCTGTTATTACAAGCAAACTCATGTCATGGGGGTTTGGTGCACAGACCATTTCAACACTCATGTACTAAGCATAATACCCGATAGTTATTTTTCCTGATCCTCTCCCTCCTATCACCTGCCTCCCATCCTCCTCCCTCAAGTAGGCCCCAGTGTCTATGGTTCTCCTCTTTGTGCCCATTAGTTCTCATTACTTTAGATTCCCACTTATAAGTGAGAACATGTGATACTTTTTTTTTTTCCTGTTCCTGCGTTAGTTTACTAAAGATAATGGCCTCTGGTTCCATCCATGTTGCTGCAAAGGACATGATCTCATTCTTTTTCATGGCTGCATAGTATCCTATGGTATATATGCACCACATTTTCTTTATCCAGTCTACCACTGATGGGCATTTAGGTTGATTCCATGCCTTTGCTATTGTGAATAGTCCTGCAATGAACATATGTATGCATGGGCCTTTATGGCAGAACAGTTTATATTTCTTTGGGCATACACCCAGTAATGGGATTGCTTGGTTGAATGGTAGTTCTGTTTTTAGCTCTTTGAGGAATTGCCACACTGCTTCCCACAATGCCTGAGCTAACTTACACTCCCACCAGCAGTGTGTAAGTGTTCCCTTTTCTCCACAACTTCGCCTGCATCTGTTCCCCTCAAATTTAAACATTTACCCCAAAGGATATTAGGGATGTACAAAATCACTGAAAGAATAATGACTAAACATTTCTGAAAGGAATTTAGAATCACTTATATTTTCAGTATTTTTGGCTGATCCCTAGAACACCTTAGAATATTAGCACTTACTTGTCATCTGCAAGGACTCCCTCATGATGTTTATCTAAAGGTCTAGCATACTGCAGCTGTGAGTTACGTTTTTAAAAAACCGTTGAAAGGCCATCATGATTTTAAAGCATTGCTTTTGATTCTGAAAACATTTCTTTTCTAAAAGATTTAAATGCACTCAATTAACTGATTGAGTGTTAATGGTGCCAGGTACTATTCTAGGTGCTAGGGATATAACAAAACACAAAATCCCTGCCTAATTTGTTCTTATATTCCAGAAGTGGCAGATAAACAGATTTTAAGAGGAGTAAGGGAGAGTTTATAAAAATAATGTGAGGGCCAGGCGCGGTGGCTCACGCCTGTAATCCCAGCACTTTGGGAGGCCGAAGCGGGCAGATCACGAGGTCAGGAGATCGAGACCATCCTGCATAACACGGTGAAACCCCGTCTCTACTAAAAATACAAAAAATTAGCCAGGTGTGGTGGCGGGCGCCTGTAATCCCAGCTACAGGGGAGGCTGAGGCAGGAGAATGGCATGAACCTGGGAGGTGGAGCTTGCAGTGAGCCGAGATTGCGCTACTGCACTCCAGCCTGGGCAACAGAACGAGACTCCATCTCAAAAACAAACAAACAAAAACAAACAAATAAACAAAAACGTGAAAGAGTGACTGAGATGAATTATCAATAGGGTGGTGAGGGCAGTGCATCGTCAGGAGAGAGGCAATATTTGATGATATGAAGAAGTTAGCAATGTGCACTGGTAGAAACAGGATTCTAGACAGAAGTAACAGCAAGTCTAAAGATCCTGAGAAGAAAATAAGGTTAGCTCATTTGAGGAAAAGCAAAAAGTCAGTAAGTATTCAAAAGAACGAATAATAAGATGTGGTCAAGGAGGAGACAGAACCAGACCACATAGAGTCCTTGAGAGATTTTATTCTAAATAACATGTAAAGCCACTAAATGTTTTTGGACAGAGGAATAATGATCTGGTTGAGGCTTTAGAAACATCATTTTTCTTTTTGCATAGAAAGCTGAATTGGTAAGATGGGGGGAGAAGTAGAAACAAAAGGACTAGTTAGAAGGCTCCTTAGTAGTATAACCAGACCAGATGGGCCTCAGATTAAGGTGGTAGCAATGGAAATGATGAGACATGGTGAGATTTAGAGTAGATTTGAAGGTACAGACTTGATAATAGGTTGCATGTGGGCTGTAAAAGATACTGAGAAACCAAAGAAGGCTCCTGGCCTTTCAGCTTGACCAACTGAGTCACGAGTGATACCTTTCACAAAGATGGAAAAAGCTGGGGAAGGGAAATAGGATAAAATCAAGTGTTCTGTTTTAGACAGGTCATTGTGGGATGCCTATTAGCCACTGTAGTGAAGAATTATCAACTAGGCAGTTAAATATATGAGTTGGTAAAGCAGGAGGAAAGGTCAGGATTAGATTGAATATGTAGTTATTATCAGCACACACATGATAATTAAACCCATAGGACTGAGTGAGGTTATCAAGTGAGTGAATGTATATCAAGAAGAGAAGACAGCTGAGGACTAACTCTTACGGCTCTTCAACATTTAAAGGTCAAGAAGAAGAAAACCAGCAAGGATCATGTGAAAGAAGCAATCTGTGAGAAAGGCAAAAAAAATCCAAAGGGTATAATTTTCCAGAAACCAAGAAAGTGATCAGCTCTATCAAACGATGCTGAAAGGCTAAGATGAGAAATGACTGGCATTCCTTTGAATAGGACAAGATGGAATTACCAGTGAAATTGATAAAACAATTTCAGTGGAGTGGTAGGAAAGAAAGTCTAACTAGGATGGATTGAAAAGAGAAGGGAAGGTGGAAAGTGGAGATGGCAAAAGTATGGACAATAACAAATATTGTTACTAAACACCTACTGTGTGCTAGTTCTTGAAATATATTAGTTAACAAAAATTCAGTTCCTCATGGTGCTTATATTCTAGCAGAAGGCAACAGATAACAATAAACAGAATAAGTAGAGTATATAGTATAATAGAAGGTGATTGTTCTATAAAAAGGAAGGAGAATTTTTAGTCGGTGGAGGTTTGAGGAGAGAGAGAAAATAACTTCCTATAAGAGAGGAAATCGACTAAATAAAGGAGACTTAGAAAAACAGCATGATTGGATGTTTTCCTCATCAAGTTCAGCTATTCTAGAGTAAGTGTGTAGTAAAAGAGAACTGAATTAAAACACAGATAAGATTCTGAGTGTTAAATATGACAAAGGCAAAGAGAGGAAAGGGAGTTAAGATCTTACATGAAAAATGATCATGGTTATCAAGCACAGTATCTGAACTGAGTACAGAGAGAAGTGAAATCATGAGGAGATAGTCAACAGTGAAAGTGGTGTGGTCTATACATTGAAGGCTGCAATGAGGTGAAAAAAGACTGGATACCTGCATAAATAATCCCATTAAAAAGTGGGCAAATGACCTGAATAGACATTTCGCAAAAGAAAGCACACCAATGGACAACAGGCATATGAAAAAAATGTTCAACATCACTAATCACCAGGGAAATAAATGCAATTCAAAACCACAGTGAGACATCATTTTACCCCAGTTAGACTGGGTATTATAAAAAAGACAAATAATAACAAATGCTGGCTTGTGTGAAGAGGAAAGGCAACTCTTTTACAGTTTCTGGGAGTGTACATTGTACAGCCACTATAGAAAATAGTGCGGAGGTTTCGCAAGAAACTAAAAATAGAACTACCATACAATCTAGCAACCCCACTACTGGGTATCTACCCAAAGGAAAAGAAATCAGTATATCAAAGAGATACCTGCATCCCCATGTTTACTGCAGTACTATTCACAATAGCCAAGTTATGAATTCAACTTAAATGTCTATGAATGGATAAAGAAAATGTGGTATATCTACATAATGGAATACTATTCAGCCATAAAAAGAATAAAATCCTGCCGTTTGCAGCAAAATGGATGGAACTGGACAGCCATTATGTTAAATGAAAAAAGCCAGGCACAAAAAGACATATATCACATGTTCTCATTCATATGTGGGAGCTTAAGAAAACGCTGACCTCATAGAGGTAGAGAGTAAAATGATATTTATCACAGGCTGGGAAGGGTGGGAGGGGATGAAAAGGTTGGGTACAAACCTACACAGTTAGCTAGAAGGAATAAGTTTTAGTGTTTGATGGTACAGTAGGGTGACTACAGTTAATAACAATATATTGTATTTTTCAAAATAGAAGCAAAGATGTGAAATGTTCTCAACACAAAAATAACTATTTGAGGTGATGGATATTCTAAATACCCCAATTTGTTATTACACATTGTATACATGTATCAAAATATCACATGTATCCTGTAAATATGTATAAATATTATGTATCAGTACAATAAATAAAAAATAAATATTGGAATGAGAGTATTGGGATAAGATGGTAGTCAGAAAAAGGGATAGGTAAAATTAGATTTGGGAGGTGATAAAGGTATAGGAATGTGGGAAAAGGTGGCTAGAGTAGAATAAAGGAAAACAGCGTTGGAAATGAAGAAATCAAGTAATGGAGAGGCCAGGGTGTTGGATGTATCAGCTACATAGAATTTGAAGTCAACATGAGCTATGATGGGAATAGTATTTGGGAGGAAGAAAGCAAAAAGCCTGGTAGAGACAAAAATGTAGATGGAATACTTTAATGCCATGGCTTCAAAGAAGGTTACGGTTTTGATCAAGCAGGGCAGATATAAAGATCTTGAAAGTTGCCTGCCAGTTGCCTCCTTATGTTACATAAAGTAAGGAATTAAAAACAATAGCAAGTGAGAAGTCTACAAAAGCATCCTTTATGAACACATAAGTTTCAATTAGAGCAATAAAGAAAGAGGAACACTCAGAGAAGAGACTGAGGGATTCTGTTGATGGAAGACCAGAAGCTCCAGAAGACAAAGTAGAAAGAATTTGGGTGATTGTAAAGGGGTAGGAGACTGGGTCAAATTAGGGAATTAAAAAGCCAAAGGAAGAGGAGAATCTGGGTGATGATGGGATGAACTGGTAGATTTCCTTTAATTCCTTCTATGGATGGACTTGCAAATAAAAGGGAGATTTTTATCAGAAATGTAAAAAGTCTTCAATCCAGTTCTAATTTTAAGTGTGTTCTTAGAATTTGTTTACTATCTTACAGGTACCTGGTAAGAAAAGAAGAAAAATCTTTTCATGAACACCTCTAAATGCAGCTCATAATGGTATATCAGTTATTTTATGGCAATTACAATTCCCTGAGAGTTCCAAAAGGGCAACCTATATAAGAGAAATTCAAAGTATGACCACGATGACATCACAAAGGAACACTTACTAAGAAACACTTAAGGCCTGAATGAATCATGTTAAATTTACATAGTCAATCAAGGATGTCTGCATTTAGAGAAAAGCACTCTAAAAGATTAACACTACCTGTTTTTAAGAAATCAATTACTTTATCATCAGTCATAACCCAACTGGTTAATGAACCATACTAGTATTTATATCATGCTAGAGTACAAAACAAAACATTAACAGTTTAAAAGGAAAAGGGTCAGTGTTCCCAAAAGGCACGGGAAAATAAAAAGGTTTTTAATATAAAACCTGGCTATCAATTAACTTAAGGGAAAAGAGTTTGTTAATAGGAGCTTTCAACTAACGGCATCAAATCCATCAAGAAGGTCCTTCAGGAAAAAAACAGAATTGTGGGTACGTGAATGCTAAGCATGTGTGGGTATTAAAAAAAAAAGCAGGAAAAACATATTACATTTTGATGAAGGATGACTTTGTTATATAGATAGCAGTATGATTCGTTCAGCTACTATGTACATATTATCTGTTCAATTTAGTCCAGTCCAGCAGCCTTCAATTTAAAAATAAAAGATGAGACATCTTCCTGAATCATAAGCCAGTGACTTAAACATTTCAGGTGATTAGAGAATCTGCAGCTAAAGGCCAAAATAACTTAGTTTACATTTCATAAGGATATCTGTAAACAAGGCATTTTATATCTATATGCCTATGTTTATCAACATTCCAAACAAACTGGCTGATATTCAAACTATACACAGTAATACTTTAAGTACAAAGCAGAGAAAGGTTAACTATATGTACGTACAAAATAATTTACTTCTTCAAAACGAACAAAGGAAGTACTAATACTACCGAATATTCTGAGAAACTGAAAGATATCTATCTAGGTAGAGTTTATCTTAGTATTCATTTATTCACCCAAGAAATACTAACTCAGGACCTAACATGCAGGTACAGTCCTAGTTGCCGAGATTCTGCAATAAACAAAACAAAGTCCCTGTTATTATGGAGATTTTCATTCTACTCTAGCACTCTAGTTAATTTTAGTGTTAACCTCTAGAAGGAATTCAGTTTTTAAACATTTCTAAAGTAAAGAATATACAAAATTAGTTAAAGTTCACCTTTGTCCTAGAACATCCTCCTCTGCATTTGACTTATTCAACCCTGAAAGAGTATTTTTGACTAGCTTCTAAATACAATGAATTGCTTGAGCTGTATTTAAGTAATACGCTTCTTCCAGTCTTGAGACGGTTTAATGCCAGTGGCATTCCTACAACCTATTTATTATTAAGCACTATAAGGGAATTAATCACTGAAATTGTTCAGAGGCCACATGAAGAAAAAATAGAAACCTATAAGAAATATAGAGTATTCCCCATAGTTCCTCTCTAGTCTGCTTAATTCAAATAAAATAATTCTAATCCTAGTCTGCTAACTAGTGGAGAATGGGAAGTGTTTTCTACTTAGTACTTAAAAGAGTCTAGGTGCTCCTCACACAGAACACTGTTCATTTTTTGAACTTCTTCTGGACGGCTCAAATGTTCAGCACACAGAGCTAAAAATCATGGTATTTAACTTTTCTGAGCTTCACAGTTCCTACCTGTTAAACAGTACTTACCCTCTTAATATTGTTTTGGCATTAAATGAGATAGAGCATAAAAAAGGTTTAGTGCTCAATCACAACTGATGATATCAATCATCATCATTATCCCAGGTAGTGATATTCTCAATAGTAATAGCTTATATTTATCATTAGCACCATCTCAAAAAGCATAAGTTGGGAAAGACAATAAATTAGTTACCATAAGGATATTAGAAGATTTCTTTGTGTTTTAGCAAGATGATCAACATGCACATGTTCCTCAAACTAAGCAAAAGATTTAAAGTACCAGGAATACTAATGCCATCCATATCCAGGATCCCTAAAAATGATTGCATTTGGGATATTTTCAGGGAAAAAAAATCTGCACTAAAAAGATGTTTTAACAACACGTCATAATACTACTCCAAAGACTCAGAAGTATTTCCTGTCTTTAAAATAATATTTCTTGCCTTTTACTTCAAAGTAGAGTTAATAGTAGAACTCAAATGGCAAACTAACAAAGGAGTTAAGACCATTTAAAAGATATTGTTACTATCTTCTAGCCCCATCTTGGTCAGACCATTTGGAAATCTCTAAAATGATTTTATTGAAAGCAAATTTAAAAAGCCCAAGTAAACAAGCAGAAAAACTTTTATGTTTAATTAAATCTGGAAAGTGATGAACTACAAATAAAGAAATTAACAAAGGCCTAAAATAAAGCAAAAACACTAAGAAGAATCTTTAATTTAAAAACTCTGCAATCTTTCAAAAGATGTTGAAGAAATCCAGAAATGGAGAGGTCACTAAATATCCAAGAACACTCACCCAACCATTGGTAGGAGACCTCTTGGAGACCCAGATGCTTGAATCAGCTGAAATAGTACCAAGTTTTTACTGATTACTCTTAATAGGGCAATGGAGCATAGGCTAACTCCATAATATCAAAAATTAAAGGCTATTATTATTGATAATTCTAGTTATTACCATTACAAATGACTCAAAGGAAAAAGAGACTGAGTAATGACTTCCAAGGTAAATGAAACTTACTGTGTGCATGTGTGTAAATGTGTATATTTCTTCCAGTTCTCTTAGTGATACAAGTCTGATAACATAATTTTTCCTGTAAGTGAATACTAACAGAATAAAATTTTCTACATTAATGTTACAAAATCCTTAAAGAAAGTATGTAAAATTATTGTTTTAAAGAGATGGGGTCTTGTTGCCCAGTCTGGCCTTGAACAAATGGGCTGAAGCAATTCTCCCACCTCAGCCCACCTGTTAGCTGGGACTATAGGTACGTGCCACTGTACCTGGCCATAAAACATTTTTAACACTGTACTAAAAATTTTGAAAAAAGATTTGATTTTTAAAGATAATGCAGATTTCTCAACAGTAACACAAAGGAAAAGATTTTCAGTCTCTTGCTCTTAAAAATTATAGTTCTTAATTTTAGGCCTTTAAATTATATTAAGACTCTTCTAATAAGAGGATTTCCATATTCCAACATATAAAAGAACTTAGAACACTTAAGACTAAACAAAAGACTCTTGTATCACAGTCAAGTACTATTTTAAACATTATTGATTTAAACATGAAAGTTATCAATTTAGTAGAAAAATATCTAGTGATATCTCATTCCAAAGAGGAGTAAAATAGGGTCAACAAGTAGATGATGACAATATGGTAATGTTTTCTTAATCTCAAAGTTGAGAGAGAGAATAATCCCCCAACCTAAACATGCACCATAACTTAATCCAAAGGTCCAGGTGGTAAAAATAAGACACTCTATTACTGTGGGAACAGCCAAGAACAAAACATGAAAGGTCCTACATTTCTCTAATTCTCCCAAGTAACTAAAATATAAAAACTACTACTGCTTGATACATGAGTGTAAAGTAAGGGAACAAGTAAAACAAAAGCTATTTGGTTTGAGTAGTTTGGAGAGACAAGAAATAAAAAAGAACATTGATTTTTTTAATGTCTACTAAGCAAATTAAAGTTACCAAATAAATATTGAAATAGCAAGTCAGCAAATATACTCCAACCAAGCTGATAAGTGATTTCACTATTACATTATCAGGCATAGCTTTGCAATATAATATTATATATCTGTAACTTATTGAACATCAAACAAATTTTGAAGTGTTCAAGACAGCAATACAATAAGGAAGACCAGAAGCATAAGAAAAATTTTTAAAGGTTCCTATAATAGATGAGGAAAATGTGTGATAAAGTCAGAGAGATACTTGAAAATAGAATGCTGAACAGGAATGCCTAATACAAGACTAGTACTAGAATGATTGAGACTCCTACTGTCCCTAAAAATATAAAGAAAAATTAAGAATAAAGAAACAATAAAGAGTGAAGTAGAGAGACTGACATATAAAAAACTTTTGTGTAAAAAAATTCCAACATTTTACATCTCTATTGCAAATTTTAAATGACAAAGCATACCAATATTACCTTTCTTTCGAAAGAGTGCATTTAGGTAATTTTCTGCTTGGCATTCAATCTTATCAGTGTTGGACTGGCCCTGAGATGATAGCTCCTCTGTTGGTGTTGACTGTGAAGAATCAAGAGATGGTATACAATCCTAAAAGTATAAGAAAACAACAACATACAGAATTATTTTTTAATTCAAACATGGAATTCCATTAAAAATGACAAAAAATTAATGCTCTAAATGCCCATTTGTTCTGCTCTTTAAATTGTATCAAATTAGATAGAGGGAACATAAAATTCAGAATGAGTCAGGAAAAAAGAAATAGCTCTGATAGAGAGTCAAAATAACCTTATTCCTTAGCAAAACTACAGTCAAAAAAAAAAAAAAGAGCATATGAAACATACTGGTGAATAAATTCACTATATTGGCATGCCAGTAATGCAATCCTATCGGAGAGTTTTAACAACAAAGCAGATGTGTTTACCCACTAATCTGACCAAAATTGGTACAGGTTCTCAAGTTTTCAATTCTTCTCAGCCCTTCTCACAACAGTAGAAAAGAAATCAGAATTTCCCACCACACAAGAAGATGCTGGTTGCATAGTTTATGCCCCGTATACAGTAGACACTTACATATTTCATCATTTACACAGGAGATAATTATGATATCCAAAAGACTTCAAGAGTAAGTGAAAGGCTAAAACAGCACATTATTCCCCTACTATTAATTTCTAAGAAATCAGATTGTAGGGTGGTCTCAGACCAAAGTAGGCCTTCAAGCTCATCCCTCTATACCTAAATACAAAATAGACCTGAACTAAACTTAATGAGTCAGGGTAAGTAAGAGTAAGAAAGAAATGTGAAATAAATAAGTAAAAAAAAAGATGAGTTTTCTAGGATTTTCACCTGCAAGTTAAGCTAAATGTTAGATTTCTAATATGACTTTAAAATATTATTTTCGTTTACCAAAATCAAATACTTAAACTTCCACTGTGAGTCACAAATTTTCAAAACAAATTAAGATAAAAAAAAAACTGTGTTACAATTGTGCATTAGTTTAAAGATAATTTCATAGCACTAAAACTTACACTGACTGCTTCTCTCTGTAGGTTACAAAATGAACATTTTTCATCCATAGACCAGTCAGTCAGCTCTTCTGGTTCACAGTCTTTAAAAGAGGGAAAAAATTCATTAAATATACTAACTTTATTAAAACAAATAAAATTACCACTCTCCACAGCAATGGCTCACATAATAATAATTTTTAAAAAACTAACAGTAATGGGAGAAGAACTAACTTTAAAATTAAACTCACAACATCTAGAAATAAACAGAGAAGGCTGTAAGGAGAGTAATCTGCACTATTATGGGACAAAATAGCAAGAACAATGAGCTGGTTATAAATTAACAATTTTCCAACAATAGGGTTTTAAATATCATCTAACTTTCTGAAAGATTCAACTTATCATTGTGCTTTAATTTTATTTTTGCTATGAAAGGAATCAGAACAAAGGGGGAGATATCTGGAGGAAATAAACTTTGCACACCATGAAAGACAACATAAAATAGAGAAATAGAAGAAAGCACTAGAAAAGCCCACAGATTTCAGAAAATGGAATGATGCCCAAGAAAACAAGTAAAAGTCTATAGCTCAAAAGTCAGAACAGATTTTTATTAAATTGTTTAAAGGCTTTGTTGCAAGAATTAAGAGTAAAAATCAGGTAAACAAATAAGGTATATTATTTAATATAAAACATAGATTTTTTTTTTCCAGAAGAATATTCCTTATAATCCAACTGTCGTAATATATTAGAGAATTTCTGGAAAACTAAAATAGTTCCTACTGAATTTTATGAAGGCATAATAATATTGTCATCCTAAATATATCTGGCATAGACATGATTTTAAAACTTAACCCTTGCAGCAGAAACTCTCCCCAATTTCTATTCCCAAATAAATTCATATGCAGAACCTCAAACATAAAAACCATTATCATCTAAGGCAGCTATACTGTGACTGATTTGAAAAACACTGGTCTATCACTGCAATTTTCATACTTTTGAAATACATGATGAAGTTGAATACACATCTCTGCTAAAATGCACAGATAATAAAGTTTTTCTTTTTTTGAAATGCTAATGAATAAATACTAGTTAGGATCAGTAGCTAGGACTCCCCTAAATCAACTCAGAAACACTGATCAGAAAAGAAGATAATATGTTGGAATATAAAGAACATAATAACAACTCCCTTTAATTTCTGCAGTAGTACACAAACTTATTACTAATATCTACATAAACTTGGACAGAGCAGGGAATGGAAATTAAGATGCGGTGTAGGGTAATGGAAAGATAACTAGATTTGAAGTTTCTGAAAATGTGGGGTGGAATCTCAATTACTAGTTTAAGCTTTTCAAGCCACAAAGTTGTTTTAATTACCTTGTATGTGAATAAGGATCACATCATCTAACTTATTTATGGATTAAATGAAAAAATGTAAAAATACTTTATAAACTATGAAGCACCATACAAAAGCCAGTTATAAACAAGACAGAATTACCAGTCGTTATTTTTTAATCCTATATGATTGTATGTGATTTAATAAGGTCAGTTTGCAGAAAGATTTTAATTAAATTTTAATTAAGAAAACTGGTCACCTTCTGTAAAACCTGACAAATCAAAAAGTTTCAACATTCTATATAATTAAAAACCCAGCTCCTATAGAACTGTAGCTATGTAGGCTTACGTAGGTTTCAAACTTTCACCCCCTCACTAGGACAGAATCACCATACAACGTAAGAAGAACTTGGGACCTCACGCTCATGTGAAGATGTTATTCCCCACTCACAGCCTGAAGTCCAGCTGAACCAGATCACCCATAAGCGTGCAAAAGATTTTGGAGTTGTTTTGGAACTGTTGTGCCAAAAACATGATTCCTATGCCAAGCGTAACATAATTCTGATAGGTCAAGGAAATCTTACTGCCCTTTTTTTTTTTTTTCTTTAAATCAGTGTCTCATTAAAGAATTTTTGGAAAATAGCTTGTAGGCTTCGGGAAGGGGTATTTTTAAAAAATAGCTGTACGGTTTCATAAAGTTTCAGTGATAAATATCCTCAATCAAGGGCCAACAATTTTAGATTAAGACAATTGCCAGTTGTAAGATAATATCAAGGCATCCTGAGATTGTCACTTATTTTAGATATTTTAGGAGTTCTTCAAGAAAATGTTAATTACAACAAATGTTTACACAGTCAAATAAATGGCAATGAATAATCAATTGAATATAAAGACCATTAAATTTTTCTGAATTCAAAATGTATAGCTTTATAGCTTTACTTACAAATATTTAATCACTCTTTCTATATTAACTTTTTATTTTAAACCAAACAAATGATGTTTGGTGGGATACATTTTTCTACATGGAAAAATAGCTTTTGAAAAATCAACTCTAGGCCAGATTTTCACTCTCCCCAGGTTATCTTTCATGTCATTAAAAACTAAATAAATGCTGAAATAAAACATTCATTTTAATCTCTCAAACAACGAATAAGATACTCATCTCTAAAAGATGTTATCTCTCTTTTTGAAACTGTAATGCATAAACTCAAAAGAGGTTAAATTATATATCTTATAGAAATAGCTTCATTAGTAAAAGGTAACGTCATAATTAAAACTAATAGTCAATGAATGACAAACATCAACCTTTCCACCATGGATATATACTCTTATAGTTAAAATCTGGCTTGAATCATTTTATCTAATCCAGATTTTGAAATAGGAGAACCCTAGTACTGAACTTTTTGTGGCTTTTCCACATACTCATGTGGCCTCAGTCAGGCAAGTTAACTTGAGTTTCAGATTCTTTGTTTGAAAAAGAGAATAATAATTACATGTTAAAGCTGTAGTAAAAATTAAAGCATGTGTGAAACACCTCAACAGATGTAATTTTTATTTTCTTCTAAATAACCTCATTATTAATAAATAATTTTTGAGTGTTTTAATGCTTTTTGGTCCCTTTAATCCATAGGCTGTAAATTTAGCGTTTCCAAAGACAAAGTTCAGTGAAAAATGAAAAAGAAGAATATTGAGCTAGATTTTTCATGAAGATCATGAAACACTGGTTATAACTGTATTGGTCTGAGGGAAAGATACTAATCCTTAGGCAATACAACTAAAAACTGATTTTTCATTATGGAATTACATATTAACTATATTGAAAAGTACAAAGGAGAAAAGAAAAATTCATAATCCCATCATCCGTAGACAATGATTAACATTTTGTTATAGATTCTTCTAGTTTATATTTTATGCCGCTTAAAAAACTAGGATCAGCTGGTTCATTGGGGAAAAAAATCAGTAAAATAAACCTCCAGACAAATCTGGCTAGCCAATGAAGAAAAAAAGAGAAAGCACAAATTTTTAATACTAGAAATGAAAGACTGGCCATCACTACTGATCCTATGGGCATTATAAGGATAATAAAGGAATATTATGAACATCATGCTCACAAATTTGATAACTTTAAATAAAATGGACCAATTCCTCAGAAGACACAAACTACCAAATCTCACACAAGGTAAGATAGATAACCTCAACAGCCCTGTATCTATTAAAGAAATTAATAATTAAAAACCTTCTGAAACAGAAAGCACCAACCCAGATGATTTCCATACAATCTGTCTCTAAAAACAGCAGCAGGGGAAATATGTCTTCACTTACTCTACGAATCCATCATTGTCCAAATATCAAACTCTGTCTGAATAGATACATCACCCAAGAAGATACATAGTGGCAACCAAGCATATGAAAAGATGCTGAATGTCATGTCATTAGGGAACTACAAATTAAGGCAATGAAATACCACTATATACCTGTTAGAATGGTTAAAATCCAAAACACTGACATCAAATATTGGTGAGGATGTGCAGCAACAGGAACTTTCATCCATTGCTGGTGGGAATGCGAAATGGTACAGCTACCATTGAAGATACCCTTACAGTTTCTTACAAAACTAAACATAGTCTATCAATGATGCTCCTAAATATTTACCCAAATGAGTTGAAAAAATTTGTCCACAAAAAAATTTGCCTGTGTTTATAGCAGTCTTATTCTAAATAGCCACATTTTGAAAGTGAGCAAGATGTGTTTCAATAGGTGAATGAATAAGCAAACTGTGGGTACATCTATACAACGCAATATTATTCATCAAGAAACAGACATGAAAAGTAATAGAGGACCCTTAAATGCACATTTCTAAGTGAAAGAAGCAAATCTTTAGAAGCTACATACTGTATGATTCCAACTATATGACATTCTAAAAAAAACAAAACTTTAGAGACCATAAAAAAATTAGTGTTTGCCACAGGTTTGGGGAAGTGGAAGGTATGACTAGGTAGAGTTTAGAAGACGGTTTTTGGCAGTGATATGCACTGTGTCTGATACTATAATGATGGATCAATGACACCATGCATTTGGCAAAACCCAAAAAACTGCACAACACATAGAGTGACCCTAATGTAAACTGTGGAATTTTGTTAATAATAATTTATCAATTGGGTTCAATAAAATATGCTAATATACAGGGACCTGAAGGCAGAGGAAAGAGAGTACATGGAAACTCTCTGTACTTTCTACTCAATTTTTTCTGTAAATTTAAAATTGCTCTAAAATATTTTAGTTAAAAAAATTAAAATCATATTATACCTTTATACTTATTTACCACAAATATTTCCCATACTCAAAGTAATTTTTGGTTAAGTATAGTCCATCAAAAAGATGCACTACAATTTATTTAGCCAAATTCTATTACTGAATATTTAGCCTGTTTCTCCAGTCTTTGTATTACAAGCATTATGATGAATATACTCAGGTAAGTCTTTACTTCAGATAAGTATGTATCAAATATCAGGTTGGTGCAAAGGTAATCGCAGTTTCTGCCTTTAGTTTTAATTGCCATTTGCCATTACTTTTTTTTTCTTTTCTTTTCTTTTTTTTTGAGATGGAGTTCCACTCTGTTGCCCAGGCTGGAGTGCAGTGACACAATCTCGGCTCACTGCAACCTCTGCCTCCCAGGTTCAAGCGATTCTCCTGCCTCAGCCTCCTGAGCAGCTGGGATTACAGATGCCCGCCATTACACCTGGCTAATTTTTGTATTTTTAGTAGAGATGGGGTTTCACCATGTTGGCCAGGCCGGTTTCAAGCTCCTGACCTCAAGTGATCTGCCTGCCTCGGCCTCCCAAAATGCTGAGATTATAGGTGTGAGGCACTGCACCCGGCCATTTGCCATTACTTTTTATTGACATTACTTTTTAACGACATTACTTTTTAACATTAAAAGTAATGGCAAAAATCACAATTACATTTGCACCAACTTAAACATACATATGTGATAAGAGCTAATATAATTTGTAACTAAAAATAACATTAGATTCTCTGGCTTTAATTGTATAATATAAATAATCATCAATTCATATTAGAAAACTACCAACTTCTGAGTAAATACTAGGCCATGAGTTCCTAATAAGAAGAGAACTTACTTATGCACCTTTTATTCCTTATTGCTAATCACAGCATCTAAGACAAAATAAGCATTCAAAATATTTCATTAAACAAATGTTATTAAAAAGTAGTTTTGTTGTCTCCATCATAGTGTTAACAGGTAGAAAACATGATATTAAGCCAAGTATATTAAATTTCAGTCAGTATTATAAGTCAGGGGTCAGCAAACCTTTTCCATAAACAGCCAAATAGTAAATATTTCAGGTTTTGCAAGCCATACAGTCTCTTCACAACTACTTAATTCCATCATTATAGTATAAAAGCAGCCATAGTCAAGGAATGAGTGAGACTATGTCCAATAAAACTTTATTAACTGAAAAATTAAATTTGAATTTCATATAATTTTCATGAAATGTTAACTTTTTTAACCATTAAAAAATGTAAGAACCATTTTTAGTTCATAAGCCATTCAAAAACAGTCAACAAGCTGGATTTAGCCCACATGCTGTAACTTGCAAATCTCTGATACAAATAATGCCTTTGATATGTTGCCACACCTAGAGAAAAAACAGTAAGCATTTATCAGTTTCTACAGGCCTAATGCATTGAGGTTCATGCCACATACAATCTATTCATATTTTTGTAAATATACACAGTCAGGTATATAAAATCAGATGGCCCCAACCAGATGAAAGAAACTGGCCTACCAATAAGACATAAAAGATTAACTAAGGTAGGAAATGAGTAGTTTTTGATTAAAAAGTCCTATGACACCAGAAGTGCAGTTAGGGTAGATGGAGGAGCAAGACAGGCATAGAGTACTGGGAACTCTTCTAAAAGTACACCAATGTGTGAAGTTTGTGACTTCTTGGAGACCTCACTCCAAAAAGAGAGAATAGTTATGCTTTCTTCATAAGGACAGTCATAAGACAGACTAAAGAAGATTTTGTTTCTAACAAATTAAAAATAAGCAGCACTCAAAAGTTTCTTTCAAAACCACTCAATCTGGAGGTGGTTGCGAATTAAATTCAAAAATTAAAATGTAAACCTCTCAAAACACTAGCGTGTAAGATAAAAAGTCTTTACCTTTAAAATGCTGTGCCAACGTTGATTTTTAAGGTAGTAGGATGAACTTTAGAATATATTTTTCAAGAGAAAACAGTAGGTTTGCAAACTAAAAGTATAATTAACTTAAATGTATATAATACGCATTTAATTTCATAACTAAAAAGAATTCAGGATAATATACAAGAATATACAAGAATTATATTATCCTGAAGGATGGCTGAAGAAACATCAAGCATGGGTTAAATTCTTGATTCTTTAGATTTTTCCTTTGTTCATTCGTAAACTCAGCAGAAAAACTGGTTAAACTAAAATTAGCATTGCTTAAATATTTCAGATAAAAATACTTAATTCAGTGCAAAACTATGTTAAAATAAGAAATGATTAAAATTAAGAGATTTCAGAAAAAAAGCTCTCTTAAGCCATAAGAATAATAAAACACTGGAATGGGTACATTTTGGAGTCTCCACCCTTAAAGTCGTGTTGTGTATGGCTATCATTCCATCTGACTGGTAATATATTGCTGGGATATCTTTCGTATGTACTTTCAGCTTTGTGATTCAAAACTGAATTACCCTGCTCAACATTAACAAAGACAAGCAGAAAACTTCTATCACCACTATCACTTCCTTAACTTAAAACATGTATTTATACAAAAGAGAGAAGGATCCTTAGAGATACTTTGTGTCTCAATAGAATGGAAAGTACCATAGTACGGTGGAAAGTAGCAACAGCACATAAAACTGACCAGATAGAAGATCCAGAAATAGCTCAATCAAAAACCAAAGCAGAAAATCTAAACCAACACTACTCATTTTGTAAATGAATTGTACTATAACATTTCAG
The DNA here is from genome assembly GCF_000001405.40 of Homo sapiens. Lineage (NCBI taxonomy): Eukaryota > Metazoa > Chordata > Mammalia > Primates > Hominidae > Homo > Homo sapiens. The sequence goes on from NC_000004.12 coordinate 17,970,290, forward strand.
ATATATCTACAAAAATGTTCTCTCCTTGTGCTCTACATTTCCAAGCAAGCTATAAAACAGCTAACCTGTTTATGTGGTATTGCAATTACATCACAGATCAAAAGCTTCCAAGAGTATCTGAGCTAGAGCCTTTGGAAGAGAAGGCTATAATAAATAACAAACAATCTAATGTAAAATATAAAACTCTGAATACACAAGGTAGTATTTCTTGGAGTGGCAATCCAAGTTCCACGCTGCCTGTATCATGAGAAATAGAACATAACAGCTGCAAACCTGTAACCTACATTGCCAGACAGCAGCCAGGAGCCCAAGGGCTTCAATGGGCAATAAAGGCACTTTTGAGCACTGACCAGTTGCTACGAATACAAGGTTTAATGCCATATCCTTGTCTTCAAGGTTTGAGAACCTCAAAGGCCTTAAAGCTGTTGCAATACATTTAAGATAATCCACAAGTTCTCTGAAAACCTCATGGGAAAGACTGAAAACATGCTATGTTCCTATATTCTTGCAAGATCCCATTCCCTTCCCAAGGACAGTTTAAGAAAACACAGGTTATATGTCAAAGAAAGTGTTTATACATATGAGAACCCAAATAAAATTCTATTTCCTTTATGGTTCTGTAATTTATAATATTGGATAAAGTTCATCTGATATTCCACACTAGCATTACACATATAATATGATCAAAATGACTGGAAAAACTAATTGTTGGTAAAAATAGATAACGCTCTAAGGGAGGTCTCAGCCATAGACCTCCCTTTCCAATACTGGTAAGAGTTTCAGTAAGAAAAATACGAAGTGTGCTATTTAAAAGTTTCATAATTTTCATATTTTAAAAATTATATAACACATGTTTGATTTTGGAAAAAGCCACATATATAAAAGGAAACCATAACTATCCATAATCCATATTTCAAATATAACCACGACAAACATTTTGGTGTCTTTTCTTTCTAGTCTAAAATATACACACTTTTCTCGTTTTTGTTTTGTTTACAAAAATAGAATGAGTCAATATACAGTATATATACACTGCACTTGCTTTTCTTCAGTCTAACAATTCTTCCACATCATTAATAAACTCAACAACATAACTGTTAATATCTGCATATATCCGAATTATAAATATAAAATATTAAATAGCCCCTTTTTAAATACATAATAGCAAAAAAAAAACACTAGAAACAGCTTTGAATGACCTATAATGAGCAGCCTTATACAGAATACATCTTTTGCATACTTATTTGATTATTTTCTTGTGATACCTAAAAATACAGTGTAGTTATGTGTTTTTTTTTGGCTTTGAATATTTATTGATAAAACTGCTTCTTTTAGAATGGCTGTACTAGTAATACTTAGGAGCTCAAAATTGCATTAATACACAAAAAATCCTTTTCCCAACCATACTTTAAAAGCATTAGATTTTATCATTAAAAATACTTTCAATCTGATAGTAAACTTGTTCTTTGGCCTAAACTGTATAAAATATAATGATAATTAAAAAATTTATAAGCAGTATGTAACACTTTGGGAACATCCTAAAATAATAAATTGTACTCAATATTTAAAATTTATATTAAGAAATTAAGAAAATCTTTTAAGTTACTACTTAGTAATATCCCTTGGATATGATAGTTGAAAAAAAATCAAAGCAGGTCACGCCTAATAAGAAATGTATTCATGTTAAGTTAAAAAAATTTTTTTAATTGATCAAATATTAGCATCATTGCTACAATACCACTACCAAGGACACTTCTCCTTTGAACAATAGCAAAAAAGGCTCTATTTAATTTTGAAAACTATGCCAGTGAAGAGACAAGTTTATAGGTTAGAAATATGTTGACCTTACAGGTTTAGGTGACTAAAGTGACTGCCAAACTCAGTAAAACTAGAAAAAATTAATCTCCTGACTTCTACTCAATATTTTCTATAAATTCCTCATTTAAAAAATGTTTTACAACTCTAGCTCTTCAGATATTAGAAAGACATGTCCTAACAAAAACAAATAAAAGGAGTCAATATATTAGTTCACTTAGCCATTGTTTCTTCCTTCCCAATATTCACGTGTTTCACTAAGACAAATATTAAAAGAACAAACAAAAGTAAAAATGGGTGATAGCTTTTTAGAAGGCAATTATTCAATTGAACATTTAAATTGAATCAATTAAATAATTCAATTAAAGTTTAATAATTTGATTAAGCAATTACCTAACTCAATTTAATTAACATTTATTTATTTAAATCTTATTTAAGAGTAAGTTAGGGCGTAGAATCAATAAAACAACAAAAATTAAATTACACCATTGACCTCCAAACAAGCTTTATTTTCTATTTTGATTTAGTATATAAAATTTTTTAAAAATATGGTATGTAATAAAAATATCTGGATTACTTTATTAATTTTAAAATATTTTCTAATTAAATTGGATCATAAATTCATGTTTAATATAAAGTTAGTATAGAACAACAATTTTTCATTTGTTAAATAGGATGGGAAATGACAACTTTTAAATAAAATTTTAAAAATTACCTTCAAATAAACTGAGGTCTCTTCGTAGCCGTGGTCCATAAAGCCCTTCTAAAATACTCTCAAAACCTGTGTTTTTAGAGAGAGAAAAGTATATTAACTACTAGAAAAGTTACATTTTACAATTTAAAGTCATAAACTCTGTATCAATCAGCAAATTAATTTAACATACCATAAATATTTTTCCTCTAGCTGCATTAAACTGAAGTAGGCAATATACAACATAACAGTCACACAATGACTACCAGAAATTACATGACTGTAAAGAAATTAAAATATCAAAATGGAAATATTCACTACTAAAACAACTAAACAACTTTATCATTTATAAGTATTCCTGGGTAAAATATTATGGGCAGATTTTGTATGTAATAATCTTGCAGAGAGGGGAAGAATAATTAGAAGACACATAATTGTTTATGTTTGTTTTAAAAAAGTAAACATGAAAAATAGCATCTTTAACATCAATTACAAGAATGAGTAAATGAGGGTCAATAGGGAGAAATCTTTCTGTTAAACATATGATGTATAAAATTTAAACCTACTTGTAAAAATCAAAACACAACAATTTGGTCATTGCTATAGACTGCCCTAAATTTTAGGTAAAAAAAATTACTGAAAATCTTACCAAGTTAACAAAACCCTAGTTTATGCATTTCCCAAGTATTCCACTTTCTGGATATACTAGTTTTAAGATTTTACAATTTTCAACTTTGAAGTCTGTAACATATTTAATTTTAAGCAACAATCAACTACAGACATCCAAAAAAAAATATGATCCTGATGGCAAAATAATTGAGAAGCTAAGAAAAGGAAATAATGTAAGCCGTGTGTGGATTTGGGAGGAAAAAACTAAACATGGCATGACAGACCCTATAAATCAAAGAAAAAGTAGATTTTCTCAGTGGTATTCCTAAAATGTAAAACATTATTAATACTTCTATAGAAATATTTCATAAGTTATAAGATGCTTTTGAAAAACATTAACATCTCCAAAATCAAGACTCATCTTAGAATCTACTGTCATAGTAAAAAACTAGCCACAGTTTTTCATTTAATAAAACATGAACTACTGATGCATCCTACAACTAATAATGTCTTAGATTTCACAAAGTAAGGTAGCTATCATGATACTTGGTAAATATGTAATGAAATAAAATCTTCTGTGAAATGACAGTACTAGTTCCCATGAGTAGAAATTTCCTGGTAAAAAAGTGAATGAACTACCTACTACTCGAGCAAGCTATCATACTGGGTAGAGACTCAGACAGATTAAGCCCAAATCCTTCTATAGAAGGGTTATTCTATTTTAGAGTAGAAGATACTCTATTTTTCTGTCATCAACGTGCTTCAGAAATATTACTGCACTTGTGAGCATCTGTTGCTGATAACATAGTTCCTAAGACTGATCAAAAGTGTATTAGTTGGTCTCATTATAGTCTTCATGCTACTATCTCTCTTCCGCATTTTATGTCTCTTTAGCTTTCTTTACTGCATTTTAGTTAACTTCTTCTACTATCTATTCCACTTCATGAAATTCTTATGGTTCAATCTGCTGACAAATACATCTTTTTGTTTAAAAAAAGTCAACTTTATTGAGGTATAATTTTCATACAAGGTATCCATTTTAAAAATAAAGTTCAGTAACTTCTGAAAATCCATACTTTCATTTTGCCAAGAACACAACCAAGACAGAAACTATTTCCATCAACTCAAATGGTACCCTTGTGCCCTTCTGAGTAATCACCTGGAACATTCCAAAGCCCATTCCAAAGCATCTTTTCTCCTGTAATGGTTTTATTTGGTTTTGGTAACAGAGTAATGCTGGCCTCATAAAGCAAACTGGGAAATGATCCAAACTTCACCATTTTTTGAGTTTGTGTATTATAATATTTATTAATTATTAGTCAGACTTGGAGCTCTCTTTGTGGTAAAATTTTAATCATAAGCCCAGTTTTTAAAAATCAGTAAAAAACTATTTAGGCTATCGATTTCTTATTAATTCAGTTTTGGTAATTTGTATAAATTACAGCACTTATTGGCAAAAAAGTTGCTCAAAAGATTCTTTTAATACCTTTCACCATCTGAAGAATCTGTAGTTGTGTCCCTCTTTCATTCCTGGTATCAGTTTAGGTATCGTCTCTCCTTTTTCACTGATTACTTGACTAAAAATTGAGTAATTTTATTGATCTTTTTACAAAAGATCAATTTTTGGTTTTAATTATTTTCTTTCTTGATCACTCATTTTCTATGTTTTTCATTTCTGCCCTTTCCTCTTTATATCCTTCTAATTATTTTTTATTTTCACTGAAACTTATTTTTCTAAGTTTTTAAGGTGGAAGCCTAGATCACTTATTTGAGACCTTTGTTCTTTTCCAATAAAAGCATTTAAAGCTATAAATTCCCCTCTATTCACTACAATAGCTCTATCCCATAAACTGTGATATATTCTTTATTTTCATTTAGTTCAAATTGTTTATAATTTCCCTTATGATGTCTTATTTTACACATAGGATATAAATGTGTTGCTTAATTTCAAATATTTAGGTATTATTCAGAAATCTTTCTCTTTGCTGAATTCTTTTGTTTTTTTTTTTGAGACAGAGTCTTGCTCTGTCACTCAGGCTGGAGTGCAGTGGCGTGATCTCGGCTCATTGCAACCTCCACCTCCTGGGTACATGCGAATTCTCCTGCCTCAGCCTCCTGAGGAGCTAGGACTAAAGGCACATGCCATCACGCCCGGCTATTTTTGTATTTTTAGTAGAGATGAGGTTTCACCATGTTGGCCAGGCTGGTCTCAAACTCCTGACCTCAGGTGATCCATCCATCTCAGCCTCCCAAAGTGCTGGGATTACAGACGTGAGCCACTGGGCCCAGCCTGTTATTGAAATGTACAAGATTCTTTGTGGTTGTAAAACATGTAAGATTACAGTCATTGTAAATTTCCTGACACTGAATTTATGGATAGCATATGATATACACTGGTGAATATTCCATGTAACACGGAAAAGAATATGTGTCTGTAGTTACTGGGAGGAATGTACTATAAATGTTAATTAAGATTTAGCTGATTGATAATGTTCTTTGGGTCTTTTATCTCTCATGATTTTCTGTCTTTTCTCCTTTTCTGCCAATTTTGATGCTCTGTTATTGGGTACATTTATATTGCATATTTTTATGTCCCCTTTGTGAATTGATATCATCATTATAAAATGCTCCTCCTTGTCCTTGTTCTATTGTGTCTACTGTTATATCAGCTACACCAACTTTCTTATGATAAGCAGCATTTTCATTATGTATTTTTTTCCAATTGTTTAACTTTTAACCTGTCTTTATATTCAAATTGAGTTTCTTGTGGACAATAGAGTTGAATCTTGCATTTTTATTCAGTCTGAAAATATCTGTTTTTTGAGGACAGTGTTTTAGACCATTAAAATTGAATGTATTTATTAAAATAGTTGGATTTATATCTACCATCTAATTTGCTATTTATTTCCTCTGTTATACATTCCTCCCCATTCTCCACTCCACAACATTATTTTAAGTTAAATGAGAAGTTTGTAGTATTCCATTTTGTTGCCACCATAAACTTAATAGCCATACCTCTTCTAGTTTTTTTAGGGCTTGTCCTAAGGTTTACAATATTCATTTTAGCTTTTCACCATCTACTTTAAAACATTATAGTACCACTTAGTATGTAATGTAAGAATCAATACATAGAATGTAATATAAGGATCAAATCTCATTATATATAACTTACTTAAAAACATTTTAAATATATTAAAACATTAGAAAGTCTTTTAAATTTACTCACAATGTCACTTTTTTGTGTTTGTAGACCTATGCTTAAAGATCTACTAGCTACCATTTTTCCTAAAAGACAAAATCATTTGTCTCAATTTTTTAAAAAATGTTGTTTTGAGTATAAAGTTGTAGGTTGACAGTTTTGGTACACTGAAGATGTGCTTTCACCGTCTAGTGGTTTGCATAGTTGCTGGCAAGTTTACAATCTTTCTTTCCTCTGTTCCTCTGTACTTCGTAATGTGCCTTTTTCTGACTGCTTTTAAGATTTTCTTTTTACCATTGATTTTCAGCAGTTTCATGATTATGTGTCTTGGCATGGTTTTCTTTGTTGAGCTCACTAAATCTGCGGAATTATTTTGATTATTGAGCTCACTAAATCTGCAGAACTATTTTGATTTCTATGGCAGATTAGTTTCTATTTTCTAGACTTTCATGAGAATCGAATCTTACAGAACAGACTCTCTTTTGTGGGGGCTGGTCTTTTTCACTCAATAGAATAATTTTTAGCTTTCTCTGTATTGTTGCTGGTTATCACCAGTTTATTTCTCAGTATATTCCATTATATTAGATATACTACAATTTTTAATCTATTCAGAAGTTGGTGGATATACGTTTTCATTTTTCTTGTGTAAATAATTAACAGTGTAAATGTAGGGTTACAAAGTAGGGTTACATTTAGTTGTTTAAGAAACCAAACTGTTTTCAAAGTTATTGTTATCATTTTACATTTCTGCCATCTGCCATCCATGTATGAAAGTTACCATGGCTGATTCACATCCCAATCACCACTTGGTTAGTTGTGTTTTTCTTTTGCTTTCTTCTAAAAAAATAATAATAAAAAACAGTGATTTGTAGAAAACATTCTAATGTCTTCATGTCTCCACGTGGTTTTAATTTGTATTTCCCTATTGACCATCTTTTCACAGGCTTACTTCAGATACCTCTGTTCAAATCATTTGCAAAATTTTTAACTGGGTTGTCAGACATTTTATTACAGCATTATAACAGCCTTTCCTATTTTGTTTTAAAATATATTCTGGATACAATTCCTTTGTCTAATAATATATGTTGTGAATATTTCTCCTAGTCTATCATTTGCATTTTTGTTTTCTTAGTGGTGTTTCCCAAAGAACAACAGTTGTTAATTTTGATGATTAATTTACCCAGTTTTTTCTTTACAGTGGTTTTTCTGCTCTAACAATCATTTTCTTTATCCCAAGGATGCAAAGGCTTTCTCCTAAAAGTTATAGAGATTTAAATTTTACATTTAGGTCTGTGGCCCATTTTGATCACTTTTTGTGGATGGTGTGAAATGACTGATCTTTTTTTTGTTTCTGTATTGGTATCTATTTGATGCAGCAAACTATTTGTTTCTACCCTAAATCCTCCATTTCCCTCTTATGTTCATGTTACCTTTTTAGTCCTTGAACATAACTTAGCAAACTTTAATAGCAGTTTTAGTATACTTCTTTGCAATTTCGATCATCAATTATTTCTGGTTCTACTTCTACTGATGTTCTCCCAATTACGAATCGTATTTTTCTGCTTTTTTGCATATCTAATACTTTTGCTTGAATGCCAGACATTGTGAATTTTACATTGTGAGTGCTGGGTTCCCCATTTTTTAAAGGGAGTCAGACCATGTTTATTCAGGAAGGTAAGTTACTTAAAGTTCATTTTGAGGTTGTTAAGGGGCTGGGCACAGTGGCTCATGCCTGTAATACCAAGAACTTGAGAGGGTGAGGTTAAGAAGATCACTTGAGACCAAGAGTTTGAGACTAGCATGGCCAACAAAGCAAGACCCCTTCTCTACAAAAACATCTAAACAACTGGCCCAGAGTGGTGGCACACACCTGTAGTCTCAGCTAATTGGGTGGCTGAAGTGGAGGAATGCTTGAGCCAGAAATTGGAGTCTGAAGTGAGCTATGATCACATCACCATAGAGCAAGACCTTGTCTCAAAAAAAAAAAAAAAAGTTTAGCTTTCTTGGCTTCAATGACTGCTTTCACTTTGGGTGGTGGGAACTTGAATAATGATTGCCAGCCCTATATAAGTTCTGAAAATTGTTTACATTATAGGTTCCAGAAACTGCTTTCCCAAAGGTGTTATTTGTCAGGTTTTATGGATGTCACCCTACACACACGAACTGGTTTTCAGCCAGATTCAAGGGCACTGCATGCTGATTTCTTGAGCTCTTTCTCTCTGCAGCTCTCTCCGTTCTGGTACAATGCCCTCATAAATTCCGGCCACTCACAATACACTAAAGGCAGATCTCTGCCTTCTTTTTTTTATTTTTTATTTTTTATTATTATACTTTAAGTTTTAGGGTACATGTGCACAACTTGCAGGTTTGTTACATATGTATACATGTGCCATGTTGGCGTGCTGCACGCATTAGGTATATCTCCTAATGCTATCCCTCCCCCATTGCCCCACCCCACAACAGGCCCCAGTGTGTTATGTTCCCCTTCCTGTGTCCATGTGTTCTCATTGTTCAATTCCCACCTATGAGTGAGAACATGCGGTGTTTGGTTTTTTGCCTTCTTAAGTCAGCAAGCCCACTGGGCTCTTTTTAGGCCAACCCTGCCTGTGCTATAATCTGCAAATTACCTACAGGCAAAAAAGCTGGCATGATCATATGGCCTAAATCATTAGTTTCCTTCTTCTCAGGGACCAGTTTTGTGCTCCCTGTTTTCCACTGTCTGTGCATATATGGTCCAGTTTCCTAGCTGTCTACAGGAGAAGATAAGTCCAAACTCTATTACTTCCTCATGCACAGAGGTGGACGTTCATCCTCTGACTTGTTAATCTCAGCAATTTATACAAGCTTTATTCTGTTATTTTTGAAAACTTAAAAACTTTTTAATAGCTCTCCATACCTTACAGATATTCAGGTCTATAATTTATTTCTTTAAATATGAAATATTTTAAAATCAGTGTTAAAAAATTAAATTGGTATCTAATCATTTCAATACTTTTTCTTGAATAAGTCTGTTTCTGCAGTCTGATGCGTCTTGCTCATCTTGCCCTGTTTCTTCATGCAATTAATTCAGTACTTACTGGCTTTTGCCCTCAAAAGATCAAATTCCCTAAGGCCTAGAATGGAAGTGCTCTCCTCCAGAGAGTTCTAATACCCAGTACCCTTGAGCAAACTATGCTACATGGCAAGGGGGAAACAGGCTGCAGATGGAATTAAGGTTGTTTATCAGCTGACCTTAAAATAAGATTATCCTGGTGGATTCTACATAATCACAAGGGTCCTTAAATTGGGAAGGAGGCAGAGGAGTCAGAAAAAGAGAGATGAAATTGTGAGAAAGAATCAACCAACCACTGCTGGCTTTGGAAATAAAAGAAGACCTCATGCCATGGAATGCCAGCAGCCTGTAAAAGCTGGGAAATGCAGGAAATTTGATTCTGGCCTAGAGCTTTCATAAAGGAAGACGGCCCTGCCTACAGTTTGATATTAGCCCAGTGAGACCCATTTCAGATCTCTGACCTCCAGAACTATAAGATACTAAATTTGTCACGTGCCACTAAACTTGTGGTATTCGTTACAACACTAATAGGAAACTCATACCTGCTTCAAACTAATTTCATGGCTTGAAGTTCCTTGATTGACTCAGGGTACAGATCTACTAGAGGGCTGGTCTGTGGCAAATTCAATATTTGATATTCTTCTACCTTTACTTTTCTTGTCCCGCTCTGATCATCACCAAAGCAAACTTCTGGGACTGGAGAAAGGCAAGATGATTTAGACTGACTTGCTTTTATTCTAAAGCATAACTCTTTGATGTCACAGCTTAACGTAAAGACAATCTCCCATAGAATTATTTGGACAGGCTATTGCCCTAGAATTGTGATCCTCTTGTTTAAACAGCCATGAAAACACAAATACGTGGTACTCACAAAGACTTCGAGCTTAAGCAGCTTTTTACCTCTGATTTTCTACTTATCTCTAAAATTAGCTTGGGTATTCTCAACTGCCTTTTTAACTCTTAGCCATTTTTAACTTTTTAAAAATCCAGCACTTTTCATTGTTTTTAGAAGAAAGGTTGATTCAGAGCAGGAGTCCCCAATCCCCAGGGCCATGGACCAGTACCAGTCTGTGGCCTGTTAGGAAAGGGACCACACAGCAGGAGGTGAGCAGCGGGCAAGCGAGCATTACCTCCTGAGCTGTGGCTCCTGTTAGATCAGATTCTCACAGGAGCGTGAGCCCTATTATCAACTGTACTTGTGAGGTATTCTGGGTTGTATACTCCTTATGAGAATCTAATGCCTAACGATCTGAGGGGGAACAGGTTCATCCCAAAACCATGCCCCTGTCCATGGAAAAATTGTCTTTCACAAAACTGGTCCCTGGTGCCAAAAAGATTAGGGACCACTGACTTAGATAACTTAATCCTTCCAAAGACCAAAATTCATAGTTCTTTAAGACTAATTACACTATAGAGTTCATTTGTATAAGTACATAGTTACCCATTTCCCTACTGAAAGCTATATAACTTTTTTGTTGTTATTGTTATTACAAACATTGCTGCACTGGAACCTTTCATAAACGGCTTATCCTGTCCAACTGGTAGTTTCTACTGAGTAGAAATCTTTAAGTGGGATTACTTAACCCTAGAGTATGAATATTTTAAACTTTACTACAATAAATATTGCATCATATGGCTGAATCATCTTAACAATCTTATCAGCAATGTTTGAGTTCCTATTGTCCCCAAATGGTCACCAAAAGTTATCATCAGACTTCATATTTGTCCAACACATGAATACAAAATTATCATTTTAATTTGCAGTTCTCTATTACTGAGTTTCAGTATATTTTAAATATTCTACTTTCAGATTTCCTTCAGCCAGACACGGTGGCTCACGACTGTAATCCCAGCACTTTGGGAGGCTGAGGTGGGCAGACTGCTTGAGTCTGGGAAACATGGTGAAATCTCATCTCTCTCTCTATAAAAAAAATTAGCTGGGGGTGGTGGCATGCACCTGTAGTCCCAGCTACTCAGGAGGCTGAAGTGCGAGGATCACCTGAACCCAGAAGGTTGAGGCTGCAGTGTGCTAAGCCATGATCACGCTCCTGCACTCTAGCCTGGATGACAGGCTAGAGTCATCCAGGCTTTTCTTATTACTTTTATTTTAGGTTCAGGGGTACATGTGCAGGTTTGTTACATAGGCAAACTGATGTCACAGGGGTTTGGTGTAGACTATTTCATCACCTGGGTAATAAGCCTAATACCCAATAGTTATTTTTTCTGATCCTCTTGCTCCTTACACCCTCCATCCTCAAGCAGGTCCCAATGTCTGTTGCTCCCCTCTTTGAATCCATGTGTTCTCATCATTTATATGGTAGAATACATGGTATTTGATTTTCTATTCCTGTGTTAGTTTGCAAAGGATGATGGTCTCCAGCTCCATTTATGTCCCTGCAAAGGACATGAGCTTGTTCTTTTTCATGGCTGCATAGTATTCCATCGTGTGTGTGTGTGTGTGTGTGTGTGTGTGTGTGTGTGTGTGTGTGTATACAAGATATTTTCTTTATCCAATCTATCAATGATGGGCATTTAGGTTGATTCCATGTCTTTACTATTGTGAATAGTGCCACAATGAACATATGCGTGCATGTGTCTTTACATACAATACAACAATTTATATTCTTTTGGGTATACACCCAGTAATGGGATTGCTGGTATGAATGGTAGTTCTGCTTTTAGCTCTTTGAGGAACTGCCCACAATGCTTTCCACAATGGTTGAACTAATTTATCCTCCCACCAACAGTGTGTAAGTGTTCCGTTTTCTCTGCAACCTTGCCAGCATGTTATTTACTTTTTAGTAATAGCCATTCTGACTGGTGTGAGATGTTATCTCACTGTGGTTTGATTTGCATTTCTCCATTATCAGTGATACTGAGCTTGTTTTCATATACTTGTTGGCTGCATGCACACCTTCTTTTGAAAAGTGTCTGTTCATGTCCTTTGCCCGCTTTTTAATGGAAATTTTTTTTCTTGTAAATTTAAGTAAGTTCCCTATAGATGCTGGAAATTAACCTTTGTCAGATGCATAGTTTGAAAATATTTTCTCCCATTCTGCAGGTTGTCTCTTTATTCTGTTGACAGTTTCTTTTGCTGTGCAGAAGCTCTTTAATTAGTTCCCATTTGCCAATTTTTGTTTTCATTGCAATTACTTTTGGCATCTTTGTCATGTAATCTTTGCCCGTGCCTATGTCCTAAATGGTACTGCCTAGGTTGTCTTCAAGGGTTTTTATACTTTTGGGTTTTACATTTAAGTCTTTAATCCATCTTGAGTTAATTTTTGTATAAGGTATAAGGAAGGGGTCTAGTTTCAATTTTCTGCACATGACTAGCCAGTTATCCCAGCACCATTTATTGAAAAGGAAGTCCTTTCCCCATTACTTGTTTTTGTTAGCTTTGTTGAAGATTAGATAGTTGTAGGTATATGGCCTTATTTCTGTGCTCTCTATTCCATCCAATTGGTCTATATGTCTAGTTCTGTATCAGTACCATGTTGTTTTAGTTACTGTAGTCCTGTGGTATAGTTTGAAGTCAGGTAATGTGATGCCTCTAGCTTTGTTCTGTTTGCTTAGGATTGCCTTGGCTATTCAGGCTCTTTTTTGGTTCAATACAAATTTACAAATAGTTGTTTCTAGTTCTGTGAAGAATGTTATTGACAGTTTGATAGAAATAGCAGTGAATCTATAAATTGCTTGGGGGAAAATGGTCATTTTAATGATATTGATTCTTCCTATCCATGAGCAAAGAAGGTTTTTCCTTTTGTTTTTGTCATCTCTGACTTATCTGAGCAGTGTTTTGTAATTCTCATTGTAGAGATGTTTCACCTCCCTGTTTAGCTGTATTCCCGGATATTTTATTCTTTTTGTGGCAACTGTGAATGAGACTGAGTTCCTGATTTGGCTCTCGGCTTGCTGTTGTTGGTGTATAGGAATGAGGGTAATATTTGTACATTGCTTTTGTATCCTGAAATTTTGCTGAAGTTGTTTATCTGCTGAAGGAGCTTTTGGGCTGAGACTATGGGGTTTTCTAGATATAGAATGATGTCTATATCATCAGACAAGTATAGTTTGACTTCCTCTTTTCATATTTGGATGTGCTTTATTTCTTTCTCTTGTCTGACTACTCCGGCCAGCATTTCCAATATTATGTTGAATAGAAGTAGTGAGAGAGGATATCCTTGTCATGTGCCAGTTTTCAAGGGTAATGCTTCCAGCTTTTGCTCATTCAGTATGATGTTGGCTGTGAGTTTGTCATATGTGGCTCTTATTATTTTGAGGTGTGTTCCTTCAATACCTAGTTTATTGAGAATTTTTAGCATGAAGGGAAACTGAATACATTGAAAGTCTTTTCTGTATCTGCTGAGATAATCATGTGGTTTTTTGTCCTTAGTTCTGTTTATATGATGAATCACATTTATTGACTTGCATATGTTGAACCGATCTTGCATCCCAGGGATAAAGCCTACCTGATAGTGGTGTATTAGCTTTTTGATGTGCTGCTGGATTCAGTCTCCCAGTATTTTGTTGAGGATTTTTGCATCTATGTTCTTCAAGGATATTATCCTGGAGTTCTCTTTTATTGTTGTGTCTCTGCCAAGTTTTGGTATCAGGATGATGCTGGCCTCATACAATGAGTTGGGGAGGAGATCCTCTTCCTATATTTTTTGGAAGAGTTTCAGTAGCAATGGTACCAGCTCTTGTTTGTGTATCTGGTAGAATTCGGCTGTGAATCTATCTGGTCCTGAGCTTTTTTAGGTTGGTAGGGTATTCATTACTGATTCAATTTAGGAGCTCATTATTGGTCTCTTCACGGAATCAATTTCTTCCTGGTTCAGTTGTATGGGGGGGTATATGTGGCCAGAAATTTATCCATCTTCTCTAGGTTTTCTAGTTTGTATGAATAGGGATGTTTGTAGTTGTCTCTGATGGTTATTTGTATTTCCATGGAGTCAGCAGTAACATCCCCTTTGTCTTTTCTAATTGTGCTTATTTAGGTCTTCTCTCTTCTGTATTATCTAGCTAGTGACGTATTTTATTAATTTTTTCAAAAAGCAACTCCTGAATTCGTTGATCTTCTGAATGGTTTTTCTTGTCTCAATCTTCATCAGTTAAGCTCAGATTTTGGTTATTTCTTGTTTTCTGCTAACTTTGGGGTTAGTTTGCTCTTGCTTCTCTAGTTCTTTTACTTGTGACGTTAGGCTGTTAATTTGAGATCTAACTTTTGATGTGGGCATTTAGTGCTACAAATTTCTCTCTTAACACTGTCTTAGTTGTGCCCCAGAGATTCTGGTATGTTGTATTTTTGTTCTCATTAGTTTCACAGAACTTGCTGATTTTTGCTTTAATTTCATTATTTATCCAAAAGATAAACAACGTGCTATTCAAGAGCACGTTGTTTAATTTTCATGCAATTGCATAGTTTTGAGTGATTTTTTTTGTTTTAATTTATATTTTTATTGAGCTGTGGTCTGAGAGTTTTTAATATGATTTTGGTTCTTCTGCATTTGCTGAGGATTGTTTTATGTCCAATTGTGCAGTCAGTTTTAGAGTATGTGATGTGCCATGTGGTGATGAGAAGTAAGTATACTCTGCTGTTTTGGGATGGAGAGTCCCGTAGAGGTCTATCAGATCCATTGGGTCCAATGTTGAATTCAGGTCCTGAATATCTTGTTAATTTTCTCCCTTCATGATCTAATACCCTCAGGGGAGTGCTGAAGTCTCCCATTTTTATTGTGTGGGAGTCTAAGTATCTTAGTAGGTCTCTAAGAACTTGCTTTATGAATCTGGTTGCTCCTCTGCTGGGTGCATATATATCTAGAATAGTTAGGTCTTCTTGTTGAATTGAACCCTTTACCCTTATTTAATGCTCTTCTTTGCCATTTTTGATCTTTGTTGGTTTAAAGTCTGTTTTGTTTGACATTTCGATTGCAACCCTGGCTTTTTTCTCATTTCCGTTTGGTAGATTTTCCTCCATCCTTTTATTTTCAGCCTATGGGTGTCACTGTGTGTGAGGTGGGTCTCTTGAAGATGGCATACCATTGGGTCTTGCTTTTTTATCCAGATTGCTACTCTCTACTTTTCAAATAGTGCATTTTACCCATTAACATTCAACATTAGTATTGATATGTGTGGATTTGACCCTGTTATTGTGTTGTCAGCTGGTTATTATGCTGGCTTGTTTGTGTGGTTGCTTTACAGTGTCACTTGTCTGTGTACTTAAGTGTTCTTGTATTGGCTAGTAATGATCTTTCCTTTCTACATTTAATGCTCCTTTCAAGATCTCTTGTAAGGCAGGTCTGATAGTAACAAATACCCTCAGTATTTGCTTATTTAAAAAGGATCTTATTTCACCTTTGCTTAGGAAGCTTAGTTTGGCTGGATATAAAAATCTTGGTTGAGAATATTGTTATTTAAGAATGTTGAGTATAAGCTCCGAATCTCTTCTGGCTTGTAGGGTTTCTGCTGAGAGGTCTGCTATTAGCCTGATAGGGTTCCCTTTTGTAAATGACCTGCGCTTTCTCTCCAGCTACCTTTAACATTCTTTCATTCCAACCTTGGAAAATGTAATGATTACATGTCATAGGGATGATCTTGCACAGAATCTTTCAGGGGTTCTCTGTATCTTCTGAATTTGACTGTTGGCCTCTCTAGTGAGGTTGGGGAGGTTTTCATGGGTGATACCCTGAAATATGTTTTCCAAGTTGTTTTCTATTTCGCTGTCCCTTCTAGGGATGCCAGTGATTTGTAGGCTTGGCCTCTTTACATAATCCCATATTTGTTGGAGACTTTGTTCATTCCTTTTCATTCTGTTTTCTTTATTTTGTCTGACTGTCTTATTTCAGACAGCCAGTCTTCAAGTTCCAAGATTACTTCCTCAGCTTGGTCTATTCTGCTGTTACTACTTATGATTGCATTGTGATATTCTTGTAGTGTGTTTTTCTGCTCTATCAGATCAGTTAGGTGTGTTGTTTGTTTGTTTGTTTATACTGGCTACTTTGTCTGTCAGCTCCCGTATCATTTTGTGATTCTTAGTTTCTGTTGATTGGGTCTTGCTGTTCTCCCGAATCTCAATGATCTTTTTTTTTTCCTATCTATATTCTGAATTCCATTATTGCTATTTCAGCTTTGGCTACTTCTCAACTGAACTGTTGGTCTTTTAAGAATTCAGGCATAGTTTTATGTATTCTGGGTAACAATTATCAAATTCATAAATTACAAACATTCCCAATTATGACTACACTTTTCATTTTGTTTTTGAGTGGTTCTTTTGGTTTAATGTACCACAGTTTAACCTTTTTTTTGTATCTTGTTTTATGCTTTGTATATTTTTTCTTACATAAGAAAAATTTTTGAAAGTCAAAAATCATTTTATGTGTGAATACGAGTGTGCATTTGGTTTTCACATGTGGTTCTTTAATATAGTGGAATTAATTTTCTTATAAACTTATAAACGGTATAAAACAGAAAATCAATTTTATCTGAAGCACCATTCATTTTCAGGCCACTTTTATTACTCATGAAGTCTCAAAATGATGTGGGTCTGTATTTCTTGTCCATTCATAGCTTTACTGAGATATAATTTACTACCATAAAATTCACTCACTTTCCATTTCTATACATTTGCCTTTTCTGATATTACATATAAAGAGAATATCACATATGCACTTTTGTGTCTGGCTTCTTTCACTGAGCATAATGTGTCTGAGATTCATCATGTTGTAGCATACATCAGTACTCCAATTCTTTTTATTGCTGAATAGCAGTCCACTGTTTGGATATACTACATTTGTTTATTGATTTGCTAGCTAATGAAACTTTGGGTTGTTTCCACTTTTTGCTATTGTGAATAACACTACTATGAAATTTACATGAAACAGATTTTCATTTCTACTAGGTAAGACTATAGGAATATAATTGCTGGGTCATATGGTAAGTTTATATTTAACATTAAAAAAAACTGACAAACTGCTTCCCAAAGTGGCTTCACCATTCCTATAACAATTTCTCCACATCCTTACAAACACTTTGATTATAGCCATTCTAGTGGATGCAAAGTGCAGTCTCATTTCCCTAGTGACTAATGATGTTGAACATTTTTTCATGTGTTCATTGGCAATTCATGTAAGTTCCTTGGTGAAATGTCTATTCAAATTTTTTGCCCATTTTTCAATTGAGTTATTTGTCTTTTCATTATTGAGTTGTAAGCGTTATTTTGAACATAAATCCCTTATGAGATATTCACCCATCTGCAAATATTTTCTTCAAGCCTGTGGATTGTCTTTTTCTTGATACAGGATGATATGGTTTGGCTCTGTGTCCCCACCCAAATCTCATCTTGTAGCTCCCATAATTTCCATGTGGGAGGGACCTGGTGGAAGATGACTGATTTATAGGGGCGGGTCTTTCCAATGCTGTTCTGGTGATAGTCTCTGATATTTGATGCTTTTAAAAATGGGAGTTTCTCTGCACTACCTCTCTCTGCCTGTTGCCATCCACGTAAGATGTGACTTGCTCCTCCTTGCCTTCCGCCGTGATTGTGAGGCCTCCCCAGCCATGTGGAACTGTAAGTCCAGTAAGCCTCTTTTCTTTTGTAAATTGCCCAGTCTCGGGTATGTCTTTATCAGCAGTGTGAAACTAATACACAGGGTCTCATTCTGGAATTCAGGCTGAAGTCCAGTGGCACTATCATAGCTCACTGCAGCACTTCCTGGGCTCGGGTGATCCTCCTGATCCAGCCTCCTGAGTAGCCAGGACCACAGGCATGCACCATGCCTGGCTTATTTTTTTATTTTATTTTAGTAGAGACTAGGTTTCGCTATGTTTTGCATGTTTCTTTGACTTTCTTTTTAGACTTTCCATTCATCTGCTCATCTACTCCTAAGCTAATACCACAGTATGTTAAACATCACTATTTTATGATTTTAAAAATATTCTTAGTAACATTTTATCATTTCTTTAATAAAGGTCTAGCACATTGTTTACTGGATTTATTCTTGCTTATAGTTTTTATAATCATCAAAGATGTTAACTTAAAAATAATCTTGTTTCTGGCCGGGCGTGGCAGCTCACGCCTGTAATCCCAGCACTTTGGGATCAAGGCAGGTGGATCACTTGAGGTCAGGAGTTCGAGACCAGCCTGGCCCACATGGCGAAACCCTATCTCTACGAAAAACACAAAAATCAGCTGGGCATGGTGGTGTGCGCCTGTAATCCCAGCTTCTCAGGAGGCAAGGCAGGAGAATCGTTTGAACTTGGGAGGCAGAGATTGCGGTGAGCCGAGATCACGCCACTGCACTCCAGCCTGGGGGACAGAGTGAGACTCCATCTCAAAAATAAATGAATACAAAACAAAATTTAAAAAAACTTTCTTTTTGGTTTCCATGGATGTGGCCAATTTATATCCAAAACACTTGCTAAACTATCCACCAGCTTTAATAGTATATCTATAGATTCTCTTACACTTCTATACAAATACCTGTGGAAAACGACAATTGTAATTCCTCTTCCAAATCGTTTTCCTTTATTTTATTGTTTTGATGATCTCCTCAAGGTAATGTTAAACAAAACTGGTAATAATGAGCATCCCTCCCATTTTACTGATTACAATGAAGTTCTTCTAACATTTTGAAGTCACATACTATACTTGTCATAGATTTTTTGTAGATATCATATCTTTATCAGAATAAAGATTTCCTTCTATGGCACCTCTTTTTATTTTGATCCAGAGTAAAAGAATTTGTTAATTGGGCACATGGGGAAAGAGATGGACAGTGTCAAGGGCAAAATATTTCAATGACACCAAAGTAAGTTTACTCAGTTCGAGAAAGTAATAGACAGTGAATTACACTAGAGTTTATGATTTCAGATATTGAAAAATTCTAGGTACAGAGTCTGCAGAAGTATCTCCCAAACTTTTGGAACACAAGCCGCATCAGTAAAAACTTGACTGTGTACCCTCAATATCTTCATATATGTCCAAAATAAAAAAGAAAAAGTTAAAAATACTATAAAATGTCTTCATATTGTTCAAGTCATAAAAATCATTAGTTGATCATTCAAGGCATGTGTATTATTTATCTACTGTGATATAACAAAAGACCACAAACTGTGCCTTAAAACAACACAAATTTACTCATCACAGCTCCTTAGGCCAGAAGCCTGGTATGATGTGGCTGGTTGACCAAGCTGAGTTCTCATCTGGAGGTACCAGGGAAAATCTGCTTCCAACTTCATTCTTGTTAGCACAATTCAGTTTGGTGTGGTTGCAGGACAGAGGTCCTCATTCTCTTACTGTCAGCCAAGGGCCATCCTCTGGCTCCTAGAGGCCACATTTATTACTTAATATGTAGCTCCCTCCATCTTCAAGCCAGCAACTGTGCAGAGAATTTGAATCTCCCACTTCGTCTTCTACCACCAGCAGAAAAAAAGAAAACTCTCTGCGTTTTTTTTTTTTTTTTTTTTGAAATGGAGTCTCGCTCTGTCACCCAGGCTGGAGTGCAGTGGCACGATCTCGGCTCACTGCAAGCTCCGCCTCCTGGGTTCACGCCATTCTCCTGCCTCAGCCTTCCGTGTAGCTGGGACTACAGGCGCCCACCACCACGCCCGGCTAATTTTTTGTATTTTTAGTACAGATGGGGGTTTCACCATGTTTGCCAGGATGGTCTTGATCTCCTGACCTTGTGATCCACCCGCCTCGGCCTGCCAAAGTGCTCGGATTACAGGCATGAGCCACCACGCCTGGCCAAAAACTCTCTGCTTTAAAAGGGCTCATTTAAGTTTAGGTCAGACCTACTCACATAATCTCTCTCTTAATGTCAACTGTGCCTTATAACAAACTAATCATGAGGTGAGGGAGTGGGGTGGGGTGGGAGGGTTGGTCTTGAGGGCTGTCTTAGAATTCTGCCTACTGTATCATGATATGCACTAAGGGTAAACTTCATTATTAATGACAGTGGCTATAAATTCACATATTAAATTCCCATCTTGGTTTTTTTTTTTTTTTTTTAGAGAATTCTTTTTATTACAAGTGAACAGGTACAGGTAAGCAGGTCTCAGCCTTCTGCTGGTGGTGCAGCATCTCCACAAAGGGCCTCAGCCCGGTCCTGGCCCTGACTGAGGACTGCACTGTCAGGGTTTAAAGTAAGGATGGGAGATTAAAAACTAGGTGTCAAAGCCACCAGTGAATGTGGAAAGATATCTGGCTTTTAGCACACTCATGCCATACTAAAAAGTCCACGATCCTCAAAAATAAAAGGCATTTTGTATGGGGGCACAACAATGATTTGAAAGCAAAATCATGTTACAGAGTACACACAGAAAAACTACCTTCAAAAAAATAAAAATAAAAAGCTTTTTGAGAGTAAATGTTAAGGATAATGAGGTATGGTCACATGAATATAACATTTTATAGAAGAGCCTAAGGAAATTACAGGAAAATTCAAAGAAATAAAATTTTTTAATAAATAAAAGATGAATAAAAGAATTTAAGTTAGTCCTAGTTTACCTAGCATAACCTCTCTCATCACTAGTTAATCCTCCACTCTACTCTGGTGCTCCTCTGTTTCAATTCTTCCCAAATACCCTGCTCATTCATTCTTCTTTGCTTTTAAAGACTCTACTCCTTGTTCTTCTCCATCCCTTCTTCTAACTCAAATTCTGTGTCTTTAAGGAAGGCGCCTCTAATTAAACCATTCCTCATTAATATCTGTTCATCTTTAAATGTTTACCATACCTATTTGTGTCACACAATTCAAAGTATCTAAGCTATATCAAAGAAGCTTTTCTAATCCCAAATGTAGCTAGAGTCAACTGAGTTCAGAAAACTGGGGTTCTGATAGTCACACATTCCAAGTTGGAATATTTGAAATCAGAAGTATCTTGGGAAATCTATTATTTCCCTAAGGCATTCTGATAATATTTGGCATCTAAACTTATTCCATGATAGCCTCATATTGCTGAATGAACAAACCCAAAACCACAAATTTAAAAACCTATGTCTTTTTAGAACACATATCCAGATCTCTGGTAAATAAAATACAGTCACCAAATTTATTACAAATAGACAAGAGGAAGAATATGTCATTTGCCCCTTTCTTAGGGCACAAGACCAGCCCTGGACAAAAATTTCAAGCATGCCCTCCTTAAAAAAGAAAAAAATCAAATATTTTCTAATACCCGCTAATACCATATCTGAAGCCCTAAACTTTGCTCAATCTAATCTCTCCTCACCCTCACCCTCACAGAGAGGTGTATCTGAAATTAATGATTACGGAAGTGAAGCACACAAAGTGATGGTGAGACACAGAGAGTAATGGATACCTAAAGGGGAGCAGAGGTAAAACCTTCTGATGACAAGTAATCATACTATAAACTTCAGAGTACGTACCATAACGTTTTTGATATTCCCTAATCTGCTTATATTAGTTCATTTTTATGCTGCTATGAACAAATACCCATGACTGGGTAATTTATAAAGCAAAGAGGGTTAATTGACTCACAGTTCCACATGGCTAGGGAGGCCTCAAATAACTTACGATCATGGTGGAAAAGGAAGCAAATGTGTCATTCTTCATATGGCAGCAGGAGAGAGATGTGCTGAGTGAAGTGGGGAAAAGCCCCTTATATAAAACCATCAGATCTCGTGAGAACTCACTATCCCAAGAACAGCATGGAGGAACCGCCCCCATGATCTAATCACCTCCCACAAGGTCCCTCCCCTAACACGTGGGGATTACAATTCAACATGAGATTTGTGGGGACACAAAGCCAGACTATATCACTGCTTGTCATAATGCTATTTAAACTGATCTGATGGCTACAAATTTAATGCTGTGTTTTCATAATGAAAATACGTCTGATTTCATTACATTGTATAATTCTGGTGCAATGCTTTTCTATCTACCTGTAAATTTACCTATTTATCTTTGAACAGATTCTTGAGTTGCTAGATTCAATTCTACATTATAAAATTTGCTTAAGTGTATGCAATTATTATCAGTCAAGGAGCAAATCTGATAACTTTGACCTCCATAACAAACAGACTCTATCTTTTCCTAAGGTCACACTTAACTAGTGAAGTGCTTCTTTACTCAGTACTCAGACGATAAATCCATTTAAGTGTCACTCATGTGCTGGTAAATCCAAGCACCATACTCATAAATGTAAAACTGTAATTTATAAAAAATCTTTATACTTTGTTAGAATTTTGCTATTAAGCACTGACTCCTGGGTTTAAATGCAAAAAGACATTAAGACAAAAAGTAACAACACACAGACTTTAGGGTTAGGGGAGAGACAGAAAGATGTCATTTGATGACATTTGATGATGATGCCCAAGTGGAGTCTTAATGGAAGAGTAAATGTTAGCTAGGCAAAACAAGGAACGGCACATTACACGTTTAGAAAAGGAGAACAGCATGTATAAAGACACAGGGACAAGAAAACTTGATATGTTTAAGAAGAGCACTATCCAATAAAATTTTCTGTAATGACAGAAACATTCTGAATCTGTGCTGTTCAATACAGTAGCTGAGAATATTTTATTTAGTTTTATTAAATTTATTTATTTTAGACAGACTCTCACTCTGTCGCCCAGGCTGGAGTGCAGTGGCATAACCTAGGCTCACTGCAACCTCTGTCTCGGGTTCAAGCAATTCTCCTGCCTCAGCCTTCCAAGCAGCTGGGATTACAGGCATGTGCCACCACAACTGGCTTAATTTTTTTGTATTTTTAGTAGAAGCGGGTTTCATCATGTTGGCCAGGCTGGTCTTGAACTCCTGACCTCAAGTGATCCTCCCGCCTCAGCCTCCCAAAGTGCTGGGATTACAGGCGGGAGCCACCACACCCGGCCTAATTAAATTTAAATACCTATGTCTACAAATTGAAAAAAAAAATGGTATGAGTAAAGAATGTGATATGAAAGGAGGACAATATAAAAGGCTGAAGATGTGTGCAACACAGATCCTGAGGAGCCTAGTTATGTTTTGCCAAGGAATTAATTTTTATCCTGAAAGCCAAATGAACCATGGAAAGTCTTGAAGAAGTCAAGAAACAGGATTAGCTTTACATTCAGAAAGGATTGTTCAAGCAGCAAGTGGCGAATAGAATGAAAAAAGAAAAGAATGAAGACAGGATGGTTAGAAAGCTTGCAAAAATACATGAGAGGAAAGACAAGAATGTAAATTTAGGTGATGGAAGTTTACCTGAGAGAAAGAAGACAGCTTTGAACAATACAATTAAATGGAAAGAATTTAGTGATACAGCGTCATTATTTTGAGGTGGGAGTGAGAGAAGTTAAAAAGTTCTGGCTTGAGAAATAGAGTGATTAAATATTCACTAAGACAAGAAATTCATGAGGTTTGTTTTGCTTTGAGTGGTTGTTTCAAATGAAGTTCATTTTTGGTTGGATATGTGGGGCATAAATTAAACAAATATATCAGGAGGTAGAAACAAAGACTTAGAGAAGATCAGTATGCAGGTGGAAGATGGGGTCTAATTTCCTAATTAAATTAATTAAAACAAGTTTTCTTCAAGTATCAGAATCAAAATATTTTTAAATTACCATTTAAAAGCTGCTTTTCTATTTTCATTGCTATATTGTCATGATGCTATTTTGTTTTATAATATTCCATATTTCAGTACAAAATAAAAGAAAAATCAATATTCCGTCTCATGTCATGCTACTCCCTGACCCCCGCACCTGCCAACACCCAAACCCTATAAAATGTGGATACTTCAGGTATTCACAGAAGCTGTTTAATCAGACACAATACACTCCAACCCCCATTTCCATTCCCAAAACATGTCTGGATGACTCCTACTCATTCTTAAAAATTGTAGTTTAAGAATCACTGCCTCAATTTAAAGTTTCATCTGATCTATTTTGCTTTAGACTAGATTAATTGTTACATGCTTTAAATTACATAACACCCTGTATTATTCCCTTTGGAACACTGATCACAACTCTACTTCATCACCTGTAATTTTTTAATGTCTCTTTCAACTAATCAATTATTCATTTAACAAAGATTTCCCTGTTTACCAGGTGCTCTGGGGATACAGCAGTGAGTAAAGAGAAAAGAGTTGCGCCCTCAACTCAAACTGGGAGAAGGGGAGTAATAGGGAAAAAAAAAATCACATAAATGTTAATTTATGTGATTTTTTTATTTGATAAATGCCATACAATACTATAAGCTCCAAAGAAGCAAGGATCCTGTCATCCTGCTGGCTATGCTAGCCCAATGCCTGGTCCATGCTAGGCACTCAAATATTTGTTGTATAAATGTTTGAGGGAAAATGTCACTCTGAAACCAAAGCTATTCATCCTCAAAACAACTTTTAGAATACAGCCCAATTTGCAAGTTAAAAACTGCCTATTATTAATAATTATCTTTCCTCACATCAGGTAGCTTTCTGAAATTCACAGCCACAGTGCCATATTTACTTACATCCTACTTTCTTCTAAGAAAGACAACCCATTTTTTGTCTGGCTTTGTTTAGTGCTTTTTCAATTTATTTAGTTTCAGGGTAACCACTACCTTTCTTTTAAGCATTTTTTTTTTTTTTTTACTATTCTGTTCAGTCATTTTTTTTAGGCATATGTCAGATGTATTTTCTGCTATGACTTAAGGACTACAGTGTCTCCATTAATAAAGGTGTTGCTATTACAAGGTCCTGGTCTCCTTAATCCCAAACACAAACATATAAATGGAACTACTGGCATCTTGTGGGAAGAGGCCAACTGTGCTGCTAAATATCCAAAACAATTCACAATAAAAGAGAATTCACCGGCCCAAAATGTCAATAGCACCAAGGCTGAGAAACTCAGCATTAAAGAAACCGGATCAATGTATCTAAATAGATACTAAAAGAGAAAAATCCAAAGAACACTTTAATTATCCACTGATTTCCCTAATTTATACTTATGCAACAAGTAGAAACCAAACTAGTCATAAAGAATTACTGAGGAATAAATACATGTACAAGATATATGGTTCCCCTGTTGAAGGCTTAAACACAACTGATTTGATACTAGAATATTTTGCTCTATTTAAATGCTTCTTAGTTACCATTGGGGAAACTAGTCTCACCCTCTCATTAGCGTCCCCTGAGTTTTATATCTAATATTATATAAGTTTGTTTTGCCCTCTCATGAAATATAGAATGTAATGAATATGGAGTGAAGACTCAGGTTGGAGTCCATGATTTGCCATGGTACTAGCTGTAGTAATTCTGGACAAATGTATCTCTCTGAATCACTGAGATAGATACATCCTCTTCTTTAAGACTTGGAATATTATCAACACCTCATATATTGAAAATTTAATTATTTCATGAAAAACATTTAGTAAAACAGATATGTTCCAGATACTGAATTAATTTGCATGGAACTTCTTGAAAAAATGTAATGCAATAAACAAATGCTAGATGCTGTCAGAAACTAGAAATATACAATTCAAATGTGTGAACCAGATTTACTCATGCCTAAGTTCTTAGGCACAAATTCAGGAGATATATTCCAACCAGGATATATCCATATTATTTCCCTTTATCTTTTACCAGCTCTGTAAATTATTACTTATAAAGTTGTAATACTAGAATTTTTATATTTATAGCACTGATATGTATCATTTTATGCAAATGTAGCTAAATAATCTAGATGTATAGAGAAATGAAAGGACAAAATCTGGGGTTAATAGCATGCTTTAAAAGAAGAAACAATTTAAATAGGAGGTTTGTTTAGCAAAATAATCAGACACAGAAAAACTCTTATAAAAGATACCTAGTAAATAAAGTATAACTGATTCATTATACTGAAATAACTTATAGAAAACAGACTATGAATACTTTATAGAAGACTGATAGTGAGTGAAAAATATATACCTCCAGGATGGAAGAAAGGGAAATGGACTGGCAAATGACAGATGGGAATTTCAATTTCATCTGTCATATTTTATTCCTTTAAATGCAAGGTAGTTGAACATACACTATATTCCTCTGTAAAATTTCCAGAGGCCTGACATATTTCATAAATTGAAAAAAAAAGTTTTATAATTCCAAACAGTAAGCTTGATACATTAAAGATTCAACTCTGTTGAACATCTTTCTCAGCAGTACAGAAAATTCCAGGTTCACTAAAACCTCTCTCTCAAGGCTTTTATAATGGATATCAGAATCATTGTTCTAACCAACTTTTACCATTCAGAAAGGAAAAAGTCTATACTAACTCTGGTTCTCTACTGTCTACAAAATGAATTATAAATATTCTAAGTTAGCATACGTAGCCTTCCCTGATCTAACTCCTGCCTTTTCTCCAACCATTCCGTAAGTAAATTATATGCACTTATAAGAAACAACTAACCCATGACGCTGTTTAAACATTTGAACTTTTGCACATACTATCTGAAATGTCTTTTTCCCCATCTCTGTTCATCTGTCAAGTGTCCTGTCTTCCAAACTAAACTAAAACAGTTTCTTCTAGTTTTATCACAAACCGAACAATTACCTAACCACACTAAACAACAGTTTGTTCATACGTAACATACGAACAAGTATGTACTGGTCTAAATGATGTCTCAACGCCTTCTCCAATCTTACTTGTTGGAATTCGTTGTTACCAACACCACATTCTCCAAGCACATTCACATTCTAATTACATTTATGATTTGAGAATTTGGGGAAAGGGAGGGTTGGGGAGGAGGGCTAGAATGTTTAGCTCCTTGACAACAGGAACAATATTACTGCCTTTGTATTACCCTCTGGATCTGTCATAGTGATTCACCTAATAAAAGTAATTGAATTTTATGGCTGATAAAGGGTTTACTTAACATAATGCTTTTTCAATAAAGAAGCAGAACAGTTTTTAAATAATAAGAAAGATGACTAATACAAAAATGAGCACTTGTGGCAAATGATAATGCTTTAGAGAACACTAAAACAAGTGACAAAAGTCTTCAAATTTTTTTTAAAGTTTTATTGAGCTCCCAATAAACACCTACCTTAAACTCATAGTTTGGTGGGAAAGATAAAGATGCATAAAACATCTGAGATCAGCAAGAATAAAGAGCTAAAGCCTAAGAAAAACTGGGAGAAAGAGGATGGTAGAAGGTATACTACCATTATTGTTTGTTTGTTAGTAATGGACACAATGGTTAAAACAAAGATGAAAATTTTAATTTCAGAGAAGACAAATTCAGGATAAAGAAGGCTAAAAATGAAAAACAAAATACTCTTGCAAATTGAAGAAATAATATTCAAGTATAAATTAAGGGCTTGTGCATTGCTTAAAAATGGAAACACATTCTGATAAATGCATCTTTGAGGTGATTTGTTGTTGTTGTGCTAACATCAGAGTGTACTTACACAAACCTAAATAGAAGAGCCTACTGTATACAGTCTGTACAGAACGTTACTGTACTGAATACTGTAGGCAATTGTATTTGTATACCTAAACGTATCTAAACATAGAAAAGAACAATAAAAATATGGTATAAAAGATACAAAATAGTATACCTGTATAGGGCACTTACCATGAATGGAGCTTGAAGGATGGGAAGTTGCTCTGGGTGAGTGAGTGAATGTGAAAGCCTAGGACATTACCATATACTACTGTGGACTTTATAAACATTGTACGACTACACTAAATTTATTTCCTTTCAAAAATAATCTTAACTTACTATAATTTTTTTACATTATAAACTTTTAATTTTTAAAAGCTCTTTGGTCTTTTGTAATAAGACTTCTTTATTGATAGTCTTATTCTATAATTTTTTTCTATTTAAACTTTTTTTTAAAACTTTTTAACCTTTTTTGTTAAAAACTAAGACACAAATACACACATTAGCCTAGGCATACACAGAGTAAGGATCATCAATATTACTATCTTCCACCTTAACATCTTGTCCCACTGGAAAATCTTCAGGGGCAATAATAGGCATGGAGCTGTCATCTATGATAACAATGCCTTCTTCTGGAATATCTCCTGAAGGACTTTTTTTTCTAAATTAAAATAACAATAAAAACTATAGTACATGTTCGGACATGGTGTTCATGCCTGTAATCCCAGAAGTTTGAGGCTAAGGTGGGTGGATCCCTTGAGCTCACGAGTTCAAGACCAGCCTGGGCAACATAACGAAACCCTGTCTCTGCAAAAACCACAAAAATTAGCCAGGCATGGTTGTGCACATCGGGAAACTTAGCTAATCAGGAGGCTGAAGTGGGAGATCACCTGAGACTGACAAGGTCAAGGCTGCAGTGAGCCATGATCACACCACTGCACTCTAGCCTGGGTGACAGAGTGAGACCCTGTCTCAAAAAAAAAAAAAAAAAAAAAATATATATATATATATATACACACATATATATATATATATATATAGTATAGTAAATACATAAACTAGTAACACATTCACTTATCAAGTATTATGTACTGTACATAATTGTATGTGGTATATTTTTGAAGGGCAGTAGATTTGTTTGTACTAGCATTACTACAAACACGTGAGTAATGCATTGCACCACAACCATTAGGATGTCTAAGCCTGTAATCCCAGCACTTTGGGAGGCCGAGGCGGGAGGATTACGAGGTCAGGAGATGGAGACCAGCCTGGTGAACACGGTGAAACCCCGTCTCTACTAAAAATACAAAAAAATTAGCCGGGCGTGGTGGTGGAGGTGTGTAGTCCCAGCTACTCGGGAGGCTGAGGCAGGACAATGGCGTGAACCCGGGAGGTGGAGCTTGCAGTGAGCCGAGACTGCGCCACTGCACTCCAGCCTGGGAGACAGCAAGACTCCGTCTCACAAAAAAAAAAAAAAGAACAGGATGTCGAAGACATCACTAGGTGATAGGAACTTCCCAACTCCATTATAAACTTATGGGACCACCCTCTTATATGTGGTCTGTTGTTGACCAAAATGTCTTTACGTAGAACATGACTATACAAATAAGTAATTTGCAAGAGCAATCAATTTTTAAGGCAAAAGAAACTCAAAAGCACAATAAACTATAAACTCTGGTTTATCTCAGTGATTTAACTTAACCTAAATTCAGCGACAATTTGGTAAGAAGAAATTGTTTTAAGGACACTAGTAGGTGGGAAGTAGGGGAAGAAAGCCAATGTTCCTTAAAATCTCAGTTCATTTTTGATACGATTTCTCAGTCTTTTTGGCAGTTTCCAAATGTCTTTTGGCAATTTTCAACACTCAAGACTACCCATGAAGAGCACATACTAAGTCTGCTACAAATAAGGTTGTTAAATGTCCCACAAGTTATAAAAACAATGTTCATAAATACTTTATACAATAGCTGTGGGGTAGAATGAGTGTACAAAAGGGATAAGATGCCTGGCACATTAAAAACTTTTAGCACAATTTGACAATAACACATTTTAAGGTAACTCTGCACATCTAACCGAACAAAACAAAGACAGAGAGTAACTAAGTTTATTACTCAATTTCCATTAGATTTGTGGTTCTTTTTTTTTTTTTTTTGCACTGAAAGAGTGAATGTATTAAAAATTCATTCACTCAACAAATATTTATGTATTTGGTAAGTGCCAGAAAGATAGGGAAGGGGAAAATATGGTACACACTTCTTTGTGGACACACACACATACACTTTGAACTTGGTGAGAAAAAAACAAGCAATTAAAAAATAGCATAAATGCTTATGATAAAGGAAACAGAGTGATTATCACTGCACAAAGAAGGGGGCAAATCTCAAACTTGGAGAGGCTAAGAAAGGATTCCTGGAAAAAGTGAAATCTAGACAACTAAAATGAAGTTTAAAAATATTCCAGGAGTTGAATCAAAATTAAGAATGTGTAATGTCTAAGAATGTTCATTGCATTGTTTCTAAGAATGTAAAATGAAAACAACCTAAATATCCTTCAAAGATGTTTTGATACAGTTACATATTAGAATATTATAGAGCATTAAAAGTGAACGAACTATATCTACAGGCAACCACATGAATGAATTACATAAAATACTGAGCTAAAGAAGCTAAACACAAAATATATACTACATAATCCCATTTCAAAGTTTCCCAAAACAGGAACAAATAGTCTACTGTGTTAAAAAGTGAGAATACTATTCATATTTTACAGGGAGTGGGAGAGATTAGTGACTGGATGGGGATATGAAGAGACTTCTGGGGGTTCCATTTCTTGATCTGGTGGTGGTTATAAGAGTATGTTCATTTTGTTCACTGAGGTGTAAGATCATGATCTGATACATTTTTTCCATGTAGTTCTATTTAGAAACAACAGTTTACAAAAAGTAGCAATGGAGCAGCAGCTACTGTAATCCAGAAAGAAAACAAATATGCAAAAGCCCACAGGCATAGTGTTTGAGAATCCAAAAAGAGTTCAAGCTGAGTGAGTTGGCTCACACCTATAATCCCAGCACTTTGGGAGGCCAAGGTGGAAGGACTGATTGAACCTAGGTGTTCGAAGCTGCAGTGAGCTATGACAGCACCACTGCACTCTAGCCTGGGCAACAGAGCGAGACCCTGTCTCATAAACAAACAAACAAAAACCAAAAAGGATTCAGTGTATGCTAAAGACAATGCCTATACTCAAGATTATTGTGAGGATTAAAGGATATAATACATGTAAAGCATATACCTGGCATAAGTATTAATAGATAGTCAATAAAAGCTGCTATTATTACCATACTACAATTACTCTGCTACTGATACGCTCTTTGACTGCAGTGCTCAAAGTAGAATGAAAAACGGAAAGGCTAAGGCAGTACAGAGCAGGTAGGCTATGCTGAGCTTTCTAAGCCATATTATAAATTTAAGGCTTTATCCTAAGGTCAATGGAGGAACCAATGAAGATTTTTATTCAGGGGTAACATGAACACATTTGAATTTAGAAAAGTTATTCAATAAAAGAACTTAAAAAAAGAAGTCAAGAAGAAAGGGGCTACCAATATTCTTGCAGAGAAAGGTTCAGTATAAAGAAAGAAAGAATGGAAGACAGAGAAAGGCACAGATCTGGAAATCAGTATGCAACTATTTTTGAGAACACAGCTCGTAAATTTTGCAAGGTTACACAGTTAATAAGTGACATCTACAATGTGAACATAAGGTGTTAACTCCAAGATCACAATTCACTACAAAATCACAATGAAATACATTTTATGGATTTTAATTCTACACAAATGGTAACAGGTTCATTAAAATAAAACAAATTTTTTTTAAAAGTCTCCCAGAATCATTATACTTGTTACTAACTACAAATTATATACATATATGGAAATAGACAGTCCTATACACACATCTATATATCTATGTTTATCTATATCCATCCACACACATATGTTTGTTTCTCTAAAATTCAGATTTTCCAAGGCATAATTTGGTGTGGATCTTTAATAAACACCCAAGACATAAGTACCAAATTATCATGAGTGCTGACAAATACTGTAACACTAATGTGAAAACATTTTCATTAAGTTATTGTTATTTCAACAACCAAGTAAGATGAATGCTCTGAGGTCTTTCTACCCATTAGTTACATCACTGTTAATTTGGTGGCTCTACAAGATTGAAAAACAATGAACCACTGTTCAGCATATGCTATGGGTCTATAATAAGCAATATCTTCTTTGGTTTGCTTCATGAATGTAAACTGTCAGATACATCCAAGACATAAACAATGCTTTCTTACTGGGTTTTAGAGTTACTCAAAATGCATTTCATATACAAGGTGCTCTCACCAGCACCACTCCCGCCTCTCACAAAAGAAAAAAAAAAACCTTCTGGGTTCTAGAACTTAAATTTTTTGGTTTATAACTAAACCATATAGTACAAACAAAAATAGTTAATATTAAGCTAAAAGCAACAGTAAGACAACATGTCATGATGTTAATACTTTTCACTTTCTGTTGTAAATTTACAACTCCAAGAAAATGTGTAATTTGGGTTTATTCAGATGAGAACATGGAATGAATTACAGTACATCAGACAACCAACATATAAAATGTTTTGATAATTTTTATATTAAAAATTAAGCCAGAATTTGTTATATTGTTAAAGCTAGGTCACAAAAACATTGAGATTCATTATGCTTTCTCCTATTTTTGTACATATTTAAAATTGTCCATGATAATTTTTAAAACTCAGCCCAAGTCTTCATATATTCTCTTGGGAAGGTATTCTCTCAGGAAAGCTTTTGATTTCTCCAAAGAAAGAGTAATCAGAGTTTGCATGGGGTTGGTATAAAACAGAACTGCACCAGTGAATTCACTAAACGGAATGTGGAAAGTGGCATCTCTATCAATCCCACTGCTTAAAAACAAACTTAAATATCAATTTAATCCCAATTAGCAACAGAAAAAGAACCAAAGTCCACAGGACAATACATATTTTTTTAAATCGCAATCTGACCTCAAGCCAACTTTTGTACAGCCATGGTTTCTGCCACACTGCAAATTTGGGGGTGCTATAATTTTCCAAGAACAGAATATATCCATATCTCCGTGCTTTTGTCGTTGGTGCAGAAGTCATTAAAGGTTGAGAGCAGAGCAAAGTACTTAAACAGATTTTTCTTTGCACCATGGAAGACTAAACTAGAGAGAATAAAAGGAGAAGACAGGAAGCCATATAAGAATTTTTTGCATCAGTCTAGGTAAGAAATGAGGCTGACTTCAACTGGAGTGAAAATAAAGGGAAATGAATGGGTTTAAGATATATTTGAAAACATAATTGGTGGATTGGCATAGCAGATGAGAAGGAAGATAAGTAAAAGATTACTTTCAGGTGTTTGACTTGTGAAATTTAAGGTACGTTGAGATAAAGAACACCAGAGAAATAGACTTTGTATTTGGTAGAGAGAGATCAAGAGTTAACTTTTAGGTATGTTACATATTAGGTTGGTGCAAAAGTAACTGCAGTTTTTGCCATCAAAAGTAATGGCAAAATATCCTAATATTAGAATACCTGAGAGACATACAAGTGGAGAGAGATCAAGTAAGTTAAATATTGGGATAGGTAACTGGTAGGGAGATAGAGAAATGAAGATCAAGGAAGTGTTTTAGGTTTTAAGATGTAATCACTATATGTCAAAGCTACAGGGATCTAAGACCTACAATTTTGAAGCACGTTACAATCACTCTATCAACTGAAAACTGACTTGAGGTGTAACTTTTCCAAATAACATTTGTTATTAAATTATTCAACATATCACATAAAAATACCACATAAAGTTACTCAGTTTATCTTGGATAAATTTTCCTGACAGAATAAGTGATCAAACCTGGGGGAGGGGTGCACCACACACACCAATAAAGTCCAAAGCCACCTGTGGATCTTCAAATGTTAAGAACGCAAGAATGCAAAGGTGCTACATGCATTCCTGCAGCAGAAACACAAGAGCTTTTGAACCAAAGCACAGAACTTGTAAGTAGAAGGGAACTCCATTCTATAATTGCTTTCTCTGGGAAGTATTGGTGTACATATCCTTGCAATGACTGGCTTTAAGACAAACTAGCAAATAGCAATGTGTTGATCCGATTTCAGTCTATATATACTGACTCCACCTACCACATATACTAAATGAAAATACATGTATTATGTGAAAACATATTATTCATATATGGATTTCACATTGTACTAGCCCATTTTCATGCTGCTAACAAAGACATATCCAAGACTGGGCAATTTAAAAAAGAAAGAGGTTTATCAGACTTACAGTTCCATGTGGCTGGGGAAGCCTCACAGTCATGGCAGAAGGTGTAAGGCACATCTCAGAAGGTGGCAGACAAGAGAAAAGTGCTTGTGCAGGGAAACATCCCTTTTTTAAAACCGTCCGATCTCATGAAACTCATTCACTATCATGAGAACAGAGCAGGAAAGACCCACTCCCATAATCCAATCACCTCCCACCAGGTTCCTATCGTGATACGTGGGAATTGTGGGAATTACAATTCAAGATGAGATTTGGGTGGGGAAACAGCCAAACCATATCATTCCACCCTGGCCCCTCCCAAATCTCATGTTCTCACATTTCAAAACCAGTCATGCCCTCCCAGCAGTCCCCCCGCAAAGTCATAACTCATTTCAGCATTAACTCAAAAGTCCACAGTCCCACATCTCATCTAAGGCAAGTCCCTTCTGCCTATGAACCTGTAAAATCAAAAGCAAGTTAGCAGATACAATGGGGGTAACAGACATTGGGTAAATAGAGCCATCCCAAATGGGAGAAATTGGCAAAAACAAAGGGGCTACAGGCCCCATGCAAATCCGAAATCCAGCAGGGCAGTCAAAGCTTTTTTTTTTTTTAGATGGAGTTCCACTCTTGTTGCCCAGACTGGAGTGCAATGATCTTGGCTCACTGCAACCTCCACCTCCTGGGTTCAAGCAATTCTCCTGCCGCAGCCTCCCGAGTAGCTGGGATTACAGGTGCCTGCCACCACACCCAGCTAATTTTTTGTATTTTTAGTAGAGACGGGATTTCTCTATGTTGGCCAGGCTGGTCTCGAACTCCTGACCTCAGGCGATCCACCCGCCTCAGCATCTCAAAGTGCTGGGGTTACAGGCATGAGCCACCACACCTGGCTAGCAGTCAAATTTTGAAGCTCAAAAATGATCTCCTTTGACTCCATGTCACACATCCAGGTCACACTGGATGGGTTCCCATGGTCTTGGGCAGCTCTGCCCCTGTGGCTCCGCAGGGTACAGCCTCCCTCCCAGCTGCTTTCACAGGCTGATGTTGAGTGTCTGCAGCTTTTCCAGGCACATGATGTAAGCTGTCAGTGGATCTACCATTCTGGGGTCTGAAGGACGATGGCCCTCTTCTCACAGCACCACTAGGCAGTGTCCCAGCAGGGACTCTGGGCTCCAACCCCACATTTCCCTTGCACACTGCCCTAGCAGAGGTTCTCCATGAGAGCCCAGCCCCTGCAGTAAACTTCTGCCTGTGCATCCAGGCATTTCCATACATCTTCTGAAATCTAGGCAGAGGTTCCCCTAAACCTAATTCTTGACTTCTGTGCACTCACAGGCTCAACACCAGGTGGAAGCTGCAAAGGCTTGGGGCTTGCATCCTCTGAGGCCACGGCCCGAGCTCTATGTTGGCCCCTTTCAGTAATGGCTGGAGTGGCTCGGACACAGAGTACCAAGTCTCTACACTGCACAGAGCACAGAGACCATGCATCCGGCCCATGAAACCACTTTTTCCTCCTAGGCCTCTGGGCCTGTGATGGCAGGGGCTTCCGTGAAGACCTCTGACATGCCCTGGAGACAATTTCCCCACAGTCTTGGGGATTAACATTCGGCTCCTCATTACTCACGCAAATTTCTGCAGTGGGCTTGAGTTTCACCTCAGAAAATGGAACTTTCTTTTTTTCACATTGCCAGACTGCAAAATTTCCAAACTTTTATGCTCTGTTTCCCTTTTAAAACCAAATGCCTTTAATGGCACCTAAGTCACCTCTTGAATGCTTTGCTGCTTAGAAATTTCTTCTGCCAGATACCCTAAATCATCTCTGTCAAGTTCAAAGTTCCACACATCTGTATAGCAGGGGCAAAATGCTACCAGTCTGTTTGCTAAAACATAAAAAGAGTCACCTTTGCTCCAGTTCCCAACAAGTTCTTCATCCCCATCTGATACCACCTCAGCTTGGATCTTATTGTTCATAACACTATCAGCATTTTTATCAAAGCCATTCAACAAATCTCTAAGAAGTTCCAAATTTTCCCACATTTTCCTGTCTTCTTCTAAGCCTTCCAAACTATTCAACCTCTGCCTCTTACCCAGTTCCAAAGTCACTTCCACATTTTCAGGTATTTTTTCAGCAGTGCCCCACTCTACTGGTACCAATTTACTGTATTAGTCCATTTTCACACTGCTGATAAAGACATACCCAAGACTGGGCAATTTACAAAAGAAAGAGGTTTATGGGATTTACAGTTTGAAGTGGCTGGGGAAGCCTCACAGTCATAGTGGAAAGTGAAAGGCACATCTCAGATGGTGGCAGACAAGAGAAGAGAGCTTGTGCAGGGAAAGTCCCCTTTTTAAAACCATCAGATCTCATGAGACTCATTCACCATCACAAGAACAGCGCAGGAAAGACCCATTCCCTATAATTCAATTACCTCCCACCAGTTTCCTCCCATGACAGGTGGGAATTGTGGGAGTTACAATTCAAGATGAGATTTGGGTGGGGACACAGCCAAACCATATCACATATATTATTATATTATATGAAAATACAATGCTCTATATCCTACTCTGGATAATGGTCCCATAATCCAGTTAGGCCTCCTAAACAGAAGCTTGGAAATGATTCTCTGTTCTTTCTCCTTTTTTCTGTATGGCCATATCTAATCAACAACTAAAATCCGTTTATTGTAACTCCTCTTGTAATAGTCTCCCCCTCTTCTCTGTTTCCACTACTACCCTCAAAACTTGCTTGGTCTATCTTGACATCTCCTGATTTGCCTGTTATATTCTCCATACTAGCAGAGTAATCTTATAAAACCACAAATTAAACTATATCACTCCCATGCTTAAAATTCTTCAGTGGTTTTTCTCCACCTCTAGTGTAAGTGAGTTAATTGCCTTATCTATAAAGTAGGATGAAAAATATAGTTCCTGTCTTATAAGACAGTTATGAAAATCAAATAAATTCTAAGTATAAGCACTTAATGCCTAATCCACAGTAAAATAATTTAAAATAATTACTACTATATCCTGCTTACATGTTTCTTCATGATTCAATTAAACAAACTATCTTTTCTCATTTCCCACAATCATCTTATGATTGTTCATGGACTCATATAAGGAAACCTCACCATTCCCCTCCTTTATGCTACAAATTTAATACTGTATATGCTTCTATTATCGCATTTATCGTATTCTGTAGTCAGAGAGCCTTGTTTTCCCCAGGAGATTGTGCTTCATGAAGACAATCTAATACACCTGAGTCTCCTAGTACAATGCCCTGTCCATAAATAATTACTGAAAAAAATTATGAGGAAGAAAATATAAGCAAAAGGATTTTAGCAGATGGCCATGCTTCTTTCAACACTGAAAATACTATTATTCTTTATATAAAATAAAGGCAGCAATTTTAGAATGGGTCTGAGGAATGAGTAGGTCAGCAGAAACTCACTCTGACAGAGGATGAAAGGATCTGTGGGCTCAGACTGTTAAGAGTGAAAAGTTAGACAAGCAAGCTAATATGTACTCATAGGCAAATTCTATTCTATTTATGTGCTATGCCAGAACACAAATACTAAAAGGTTAAGAAAGCAAAGAAGAAAAAAGTAATTATTGGGCTGATCCCAAAAGAGTAGTATGTAAAAAAAATACAGGATTTTACCAAGAAACTACTTTTCCATACCCTAAATTGGCACAGATAAGTACAAGGAAAGGAAGGTTAAAATGAAACAATTAGCTATATCCTATTAATTCATCTGCCATTCTTGAGGAAAGTTCAAAAGAGATGGAAAGGTATTGCTCATCATTCTTAGAATTAGGATAGAAGGTAACTTTATATCCAGACTAAAACTTAACACTGCAAGTCTGTGCCATGGAAAAGCCTTGCCCACTAACTCCATGTTCTCATCATCAGTTGTAAAAGCAAGAAAAAAATTAGTGGATATTTTCTCTGATTAATCCATCACAGGGGAATCCTTATCTCTGACACTGTGCATTCAAATACAGAAGTCCCGGTTCTCTCTCACTCCAGGACAGGAATAAAAGGCTGAGGAGGCCTAAACCCAGAATACTTTTTCCCACCCCTGAAACTCAAGTTCTAAAATAAAATGAAAACAGCACTACTAAAGTTTTAGATGTAACAATCTGACCAGAAAGGATGAGACTTGCTAATTTTTAAATGAGGTTTGACCTGGTATAGTGGTTAAGACTGGATGTGAATTCTACTTTTGAATTTGCTAGGCAGAAAGACTTGGGCAAGTCACTTAGCCTCTCTAAGCCTGAATTTTCTCATTTGTAAAATGAAGATAAAAATTGTACTATTTCATATGGAAAATTATATGTGATAATACATATAAAAACTTAGAATCTGCCTAACACACGGTAAGCACTCAATAAATATTATCTATCATTATTTCAAGGGGCAATTCTTGGTGCTGGAAAATCTGTAAGACAACATGTATATTACTAACTATGGTAGTTAGGGCTGAAAGTGATTAATTCACAAGAACATACGTAGACTAATGACACTGTTTTTAAATACTTTTATGTTTTAACAATCTTTAACTTAAAAGTTTTAAGTATAGTAAGGAAGACCTTTATCTTCCCAACCATTTGAGAGTAAATGTCTACATAATGACCCACCACTCTTGAATTCCTAGTATTTCCCAATTCTCTCACAAAAACAACCATTAAAATCAGGAAATTAACGGTAATACACTATGCTCACTGCTACCGTACTGCCACTGCTCCTAAGCCCCTTCTCAATGACCAGTATAGGGCATGTGTATGTATACATACACATACATTTCTATATCTATATATGATGAAAACCATGAGTTCGCACAAGTACTTCATTTCCTATCCAACACTACAGACAGCATTCTAATTTTCCCTACTTTCATATTAGTAAATCCCTTCTCAGACAATGAGAAGCCTGGCTCCCATTATTCTTAATACTGATCAATCTTCATGTACGTAACCAATCTCCCACTGTAGCTGTCTCTTTCCCTACACGGACACCCTCCTCACCTCTCTTGGCCCCAAAATCCCTACCCCATGTATATAATCTCCTTACCCTGTTCAGGTCCCTATTCCTCATGCCTGGCATCCCTCCTACAAGAATATCCTCCCTACCCTGCTCAGGCTATGAAATCCCATATTGTACCGAGCTCCACTGAGAGGCCTTCCTCCCTTTACCCTCAGGCTCTAATACCTTGGACTCAGATACCTCTATGTATGGACTCCCTCCTCATCTCACTTGAGCCTTAATATACCTACACCAGGCTGCAATCCTACATGGGTCACTCCCTACCCCCTGGTATCTACTGGGGCCCTGAGAGCTCATGCAGGATGACATCCCACCCCAAGTAGATGTCCTCCTTGCTGGGACCAGCTGACCTTCCCCCATACCAGGCCACTCTCCTTCACAGATACCATATCACCCTGCTTGGGCTCCAATACCCTGCCTTAGCATGCCTTCCAATGGAGAGGTGCTCCTTACCCTTCATTCCATCAACCCCCATGGACACCCTCCTCACCCTATAAGGTTCTGAGATCCCACTCCTCTTACATGACGATGTGGCTCTGCCTCCCACGCACCCCACCCAGTGTGGATACCTACCCTTGTTTTCTCCCACTTGATGTTTTAGTACTGAGCTGTTCAGAAAGGGAGGAGGAAGAAGACATTGAAGAACAATTAATTATATTTTAAAAAAAGAGACACCAGTGAATAAACTGTGTAAGCACCTATAATCAGAGCTAATTAAAACAACAATCTATTTGTCAGAGTACCTGCTTTTTTTCCATGTAAACAGTGCTCTATTCTTTTACACTAATTCCTTCTAAGTTTAAAAAGTTAATTGAAAATTATAATACAGAAGAGAGCACTGGGTTTCCTTCTAACCAAACATGCATTTTACTTAAGTATCTTACATAGGCCTGTGGAAAATCTAGTTAATTTAAAAAGAAGAAAAAACCCTACTAATTTTATTTTGAGAGTTTAAAAAATACAGTTGTTCCAAACACTAAAATATACATAAATGTGTGTATGGGTACATATATATATGTGTGTGTGTCTGTGTGTGTGTGTGTATATATATATGTATGTATGTATATATGTATGTATGTGTGTATATATATATATTTGAGATGGAGTCTTGCTCTGTTGCCCAGGCTGGAGTGCAGTGGCATGATCTCGGCTCACTGCAACCTCCGCCTCCCGGGTTCAAGCGATTCTCCTGCCTCAGCCTCCTGAGCAGCTGAGATTACAGGCACCTGCCACCACGCCTGGCTAATTTTTGTATTTTTAGTACAGACAGGGTTTCTGTACATGTTGGCCAGGCTGGTCTTGAGCTCCTGACCTCATATGATCTGCCTGTCTCAGCTTCCCAAAGCGCTGGGATTACAAACGTGAGCCACCGGGCCCGGCCATAACATATTTTTTAAAATATCCAGAACAAGTAAATTTGACTTGTTTTCAGAATATTAACAGTTGTATTGTTTCCAGTATACTTACCCCCAGATACAACCCTGCAAAAATTAACAGCCATGATTGTTACAATACCTTTCCCTTGCTCCTGGTTTCTATGAGGAAGGATGCATCAAAAGCACAACCTGAGCCTCTTTTTACCCTTAGCTAGTAAAGTGAATTATCCGATTGGTGATTCTGGATTTGAGGAAGAGCTCAGTTCTATTCCTCTTGCCCCTGGGGTTGAGCTTTCAAAGGAGAACAAACCTCCAAAGACTCATATTCAGCTCTGCTTCTCTACTGAGCCTAGGACTGGATGGATAAGTCAGCCTATGCCAGACCACCTGACTCCCCCATCAAGCTATTCCTCTAACCTGGCCTGTATCGGTAATAGAAAGATTATTTTGGCTTCCATCTTTCTCCTTGTTTTATTTCTCAAGTTGTTCAGAGCCCAAGCAGAATGTCTTAATACATTCAAGTGAATGAAGACTGCTCATTTTCCCAGTTTTGATTTAAAAGGGCTGCTTTAATTTGAGCTTCTTAAAACTATTGCAAACAAAAAGCCCTCAAACCTGCACCAACAACAGATGTTCCAAATGAAAATAAGCTGACTTATCTGATCATGCTTATTACCCATTTTAAAAAAAAAAAAAAAACAACTTCAAAGGCTTACAATTTCCTCCTTGTAGAAGCTATAATTTATACTTCCAGTCCTACTTTCTGCTGCTAACCTATAAACCAATGGCACTGTAATGCTAAATATTTTCAGAATATATCATTATTTATACTTAAATATATTTGCTTATACTATCTCTGCCCATTCCCTCCACTCTACTTTCCTGCTGTATCCTTTATCCCAGAGATCAGCAAACTATGGTTTATAGGCCAAATCCACCTATTTTTATAAATAAATGTTACTGAAACGCAGCCATGCTTATTAATTTATGTCTTTCTTTTGGACTACAACAGTGGAGGTGAGTAGCTGCAATAGAGACCAGATGGCCCACAAAGCCTAAAACATTTACTGTCTGGCCCTTTAGAGAAAAAGTTTGCCAATCCTTGCTTTCCCTCAATGTTTTGAAGCCTAGTCATTTTGAATCCTTCAAGTCAAAATTAATTGTTCCCACTTCTGTCTTTCCATTACATTACACCAAGTCTAATATTTAACATCCCTGATCACTGTGAACTCTTTAAAAGCAAGGTAAATCCTACTCCTGTGTAAACAGTAAGCTTTTTGAACCACACCACAGTTCCTGTCTTTTCCATAAAATAGAACTCCCACAAACACTTTTCACATTCTTGGGGGAAGTACTTTGGAAGAAACTTGGCTCTTTTCTCTACTACTTATTCAGTTCTCCCAAAAGAAGGAAGAATAACTAATATTGGCAACATCCTTACAGTTGGTCCCTAGTGGGATGGATTAATGTTTTAAAAGTCATTTTTCATTCACGGCCAAGCCTCCTGCTCACTCCTACCAACAAGCATGGTAAACTCACTAGGGTACAGCTTCCTTGTATTTTAAGACGCCTGCAGCTCCAGCTGTACTGTCTTTGATAGGCTGATAAGTTCAATTCAGGGAGTCAGGCAGTAGGGCAATCTAATGTCTAATTTTGGCCTCAGTTCCAAGCCAAGTTCCTCAATGCAACCTTACCATTTTAAAAAGCTAATATTTTGATTTTTTATTCCAAAGTCTATTTCTAGTTCAGAATCCAGTAAAGAAGAAACATAAAATTATACCCCCAAGCAATGGTCACACGTAGGACTCAAGATAAATGATGACTGACAACAGTAAATTAATTGTAGAAAAAAACATTCTTTTAAAATGTGTAATGCACCAATGTTACACATACCACATCTCAGTAACTTGATTAGGAAACTTTTTTGAAGGGGAAAAAAAAATACATGTAGAATCCATACTAAGAGATTAAAACCAACTCTATCCCATTTCTTTATCTAATATATTTGCCTCAGTATTTTGTTACTATCAGCTCTCAGCTTAATGAAATTAACATATAAAAGAATCATGGTTATCACTGATACAGAAAAGTATTCCCCATCTTACTAAGTATGGTAAATGGTAACGCCCATCTAAAAAACAAATATCCCTAGACCCCAGATGTCTCCAATTACTGCTGTATTTATCAGTTCTTCCTCAAAATATAGCTCTTAAATTAGTTTACGACAAATGTTATCTCCACTTGCACATATCTTAATTACTTTCTAACCTATTATAATATGGCTGCCATCTCCCTCACTACTGAAATTTATCTAGTCAAGGTCACCTAGAGCCAAAAACAATGTACACTTCCCTGTTTCATGGTACTTGACATCTCATCAACACGTAACAATCCCTCCTTATTGTAATATTTTTCTCTCTCCTCTTGGATTTGGTAATACCACTCCCTCCTGGTTTTACTCTTCAGCCAGTGACCTTACTTTGAGGTTTCTCTTCTTCTGCCCAAGGAAGGCTAAGATTCCTTAAGGTGTGGTACTGAGTCACCTACTAGTTATACTATCTAAACTATCTCTGATATACTCAAGTTATACTCTAGATATACTGTCCCCTATTCCTAAGTAATCTCATCTATTTCTGTGGATTTAAATATCATCTTTATGCTGGTAATTTTCTAATTTATACCTTCAGCCCAGATACTACTACTACATAAATATTATAGCATCTTTCATAGGAATAAAAATGGCAAACATTTGAGGACAGATATTATCCCAGTTTCATAGGTTTCCATCTGTAAAAAGTGGAATGATTTGTGCCTAATGTTACAATGATAGGGGCTAAGAAGAAACTGGGTTATTTCCATTAAGTCCTTTCTACCACTTGTGAGGACTTATTAGTTACTGTCACTAAACAGTTTATAATTTAAACATGAAGACTACTGGACAAAATTACGTCCTATGTGCACACCTTGCACATACTAGTCAGAAAAGAATTGGCCAATTTGAATTAATGGAGAAAGCTCTTAAATTTGCTTTTCAATAAATACTTTAGAAAAGCCTCTAGGTTGCAGTTGAATTTTTTTTTTTTTCGGAGTCTTGGTCTGTCACCTAGGCTGGAGTACAGTTGCATGATCTCATGCACTGCAACCTCCGCCTCCCGGGTTCAAGCGATTCTTGTGCCTCAGCCTCCCGAGTAGCTGGGACTACAGGAATGTGCCACCATGCCCAGCTAATTTTTGTATTTTTATTAGAGATGGGGTTGTGTCATCTTGGCAAGGCTGGTCTCCAACTCCTGGGCTCAAGTGATCCGCCTGCCTCAGTCTCCCAAAGTGCTAGGATTACAGGGATGGGCCACCGTGCCCGGCCTGCAATTTAATTTTAAAGGCGACTGAGGATGGAGGGTAGAAGATATAAAAAGATACTCAAGAATTTGGGGCAATGTGGATAAAAAAGGACAAAA
The DNA here is from genome assembly GCF_000001405.40 of Homo sapiens. Lineage (NCBI taxonomy): Eukaryota > Metazoa > Chordata > Mammalia > Primates > Hominidae > Homo > Homo sapiens. The sequence continues at coordinate 18,014,202 of NC_000004.12, forward strand.
GTCTATGAAAAAGGTTGAGTTGTCTAAAGAAGAAACTAGACAAACTGAAGAAGCAGGCTGGTAAACTATGACCAACTAGATAAACATGGCTGGCAGCTTTTATTTCATGAAAAAAAGACAAATGGGAGATACTACAGCTTTGTAAACTATGAAATCAAAGCAGCTACTTTAAACAATGATTTACTATTGGTTGTAAGTCAGACTGAAAGACAGTAAAACCAGCAATGCAGACACTGATATAAACCAGAATCTTATCTGGATCTGTCCTAATGCTTACTGCATAAAAAAAAAAATTGAATCCATGAGATACTGTAAAGAAAGTAATAATAGCTTGGCAACAGATTAAGGTAAAAAAAAGAAAAGTAAGACGCAAATGTAGCAAGCAGGATAGGGTTGCTGCCAATTATGGGGAAACTATATGAAAGGAAAGGAGATGAGACACAGACAATTCCTCATTTTAAGTTTTGTTTTCTATCAAACACAAAAATTCTCAAAACAAAATTTTTATTTTGCTTTAATTAAGAACAAAGTGGTATTCTTCAAATACAAAGATGGCATTAGTTTGTTAATCAGTTTTCTATGGGTAGCAGTAGGCTGGTCTGGGCCCCCCATTCACATTCTCTTATCTAGATTGCATTGTGAATAAAAACTCTTGCAAAGATTACTTGATTACAGATTCAGCTCTTAAGTATGAACTCTATACAGTTAGGCAGGTCCTTAAAATTTTGGACCTATGTCCTTGGTGCTCTGTTATCTATCAGCCATGAATGCTAGTTATATATACCAAAAGGAAGGAATACTACTAAAAAGAAAAGATAGAAACTTCCCACCAAAAATGTAGGTTATTACAATTGAAAGATGAGATTTACTAATGAGGAATAAAAAGTTACATAACATAACCAAAAATCTATATATCTTTGTTGCTCCTCCCAAGACTGCACTATGACAGAAGAATTAAAGACCAGGGTTGAAAGTCAGACAAATGAGAGGAATGTAGAGGACACATAACAGCAATTTATCATGCGCACAGCCAATCAGGAAGCAGCGCACCCATGTAGCCAAACAAGGGATGTAGTATGTGCACAAAGAGGGCATCACACAAAAAAGACTGGTTAAGACCAGTCTGTAGCCCATATCTAACATTTACAAAATATAAAATTACACACTGCTTGGTTCCAAAAATGGCAGAATTTTACTCTTTCAAATATAAAAAGATCCAAGAGTACAGAGAACTTCAAAATTTGCATGCAAAATTCATCAATATGCCTATTTTACAGAAAGACTTGATACATGTCTTAACCATCCAACTACTCATCAGCATCACAGATTCCATTTGTCCAATGCACACTATTAGAAGGTGCCACAATTTACATCTTTTAAAATAGAAAACATTTGATAGTGCTTGAAAAAAACAGCTGTATAAACAAAGTCTTTTGGATAGCAGACCCATCCATACCAGTCCCATCAATCCAGATTTCTAAGTAAATCTACTCTTATGGGGTTTACATGGCAACAGTGACAAGATGAGGGAGAAGTTAGTGGTAAGATAAAGGAGCAGGAGACAAGAAGCATCCAGAAAGTAGCAACAAGTTGATTAACAGGAAAAGTAAAATAGAGAGTAGATACCGACAAAAAGCAACTTCAAGATGATCTAGTATGATATAAATTTTTTAAATGAGCTAAAAATAATTTATTGTATTCAGTTACCACATAGCCAAAAGATTCCTTTCGGTATCAAAGGCCTTCCTGGTTTCATACATAAAAAGCCAGGATTAGACTAAGTGATACCCTGTGATTCTAAAACTATAATTCTATGGCTCTAGAATAGTCTAGAATACAGACCATTCAAGCCCTTACTATCTTTTCTTTAACATGTTCCATGATCTTTTCACTGTTCATCAGGATTCCTACCAGAAAGAATCTATTGGCAAAAACGTTAAGAGTTCAAAGCTGCTAATAACCTGTGTAAACCAATCATACTAGCAAACACTTAGGGAATGCTTTCTATATGAAAGACACATATCAACATATATTAACACAAAATTAGCAAACAACCTGATTATCTCCAATTTACAGATTAAGAAACTAAAGTATAGACAGGTTAAGCTATTTGACCACACTGCTAAGTGGTAACAACAGGATTCAAACACAAGTAGTCTAGCTCTAGAACCTTTATGTTTATTTGCTGTTTTACACTACCAAAATAAAAGATTTGAGGAAAAATAAATTAAGCTATAGGTTTGGTTATTATTAACAGGCTTTAATTAAGTGGTATCATGGTAATCAAGAGTTGGCTGGAGCAACTACTGTACAGAACTGAACTATGCAAAGTGAAAGCCATTTGCTACATGTGACTATTAAGCCACCTAAAATGTGTCTAGTCCAAATTGGGATGTGCTATCAATGTAAAATACCTGATTTTGAAGACTTAATATTTTTGAAAAATATAAACTAACTCAATAATTTCTATATGGATTGGTGTTAAAATGATAATATACTTAACACATTAGGATAAATATGCTTTTTAAATGTGGTTATTAGAAGACTTAAATTTACATGTTTTACTTCCATTATATTTCTACTGCACAACACTGTTATGTAGGAAAGATACTGAAGTTTACAGAATGATTCTAAACCAATCTTTGTCATTCTGTTTTGCTGCTGTGCCCTTAGACAAAATGGTTACAGTGATTATCAGCTTCTGTATCATAAAAATCAGGTTTAAAAACAGTCCTAAAACCTACTGCTTATATTTTGGTATCTAAGTCTATTTTCCACTGAAAAGAATGGAGGTAAATTTGGAAAAGGAGCTCATGCCACAGCTTGGACAGATAAAATACAAAATTAAGCTGGAGTATCTTGTTTTTGCAGAAATAACACTGGAACCAGCTTGATGAGACACCCATTGGCCAAACCTGGGACAATTTGTGAATCAAAATAATGACAGCAATGGATTTAACCACTGAATAAAATTAAAAATCCATGAGTTCATACAGATAAAAACAACTGAGTAAATAATGGAGATGGGAAAGATTACCTTATGTCTGAATGTCAACTAATAATTATAGAAGGAATGAAGTCAGATAATCATCAACTGATGCTAAAACTTGTGGGTGAAACTTTGATTATACTATGTAAATATACTGTTCCCCAAAATAATTTTTCCACAAATTGCATATTAGTTACAATGAGATAAATAATAACTTTCAGGGATACATATGAGGAATACCAGCTTAACAAAATTTTCAAAGCTAACATCACCAACATTGGTACACACCAACATCATGAATCTCAAGATATGATGTACTAAGAAGGGCAGAACATCTCTTAAGTGGTATTCCTGCCAAAATGCATAACCAATCTAATCATGAGAAAGCAACAGATAAATTCAAATTGAGGGACATTCTACAAAATAGCTGCCCTGTACTTTTAAAAATGTCAAGGTCAAGAAATAGTAAGGTTGACGAAGTGTTCCCAATTGAAAGTGACTAAGGAGACATAATTACCAAATGTAATGCATGATCCTGAAGTGGATCCCAGAATAAGAGGAAAAAAAGCTAACAGAAAAAATAGATAAACAGATATAATCTGAATATGGACCATAAATTGGGTAACAGTGTATCAGCATTAAATCTTCTGGTTTTAATAACCTCACTGTAATTAGGTAAGACAGTATCCTTGTTTTTTAAAAATATACACTGAAGAATTTAGGGGTAAAGAGGTTGATGTCTCTGAATTACTCTCAAACTGTTCTGAAAAAATATAGAGAGATCAGTATAAAGCAAGAATGATAAACACAGCAAAATGTAAAACAACAAATGTAGGTACATAGGAGTTCTATTCTTCCAACTTTTAAGATTGAAATTACATCAAAATACAAAATTTTTAAATATTGGCCAGTCTCCCAGATCAGATATCCTAATGGACTATACAAGTCCTGATGATGTTTAAAAATATACAGGTGTATTTATTTTATTCTAGACCTGTTTTAAATTGTATGACTTATCAAATGCTAATTATATTATACATTTCATAAGATCCAGGACTATATTTGCTATTTCTCAATATCATAGTTAGTACTAGGATACTATTTACTACATCCAATAAGCACTCGAACATTTGTGACATGAGCTACTGAAAACTATAACACAGTACAGTATAGGATAATTATAGAAAAACAGTCAAATTATAGAAAGTACCACAATGTAAGTAGAGATATTAATTGGGACAAAAGGTTGTAGGACAACTCTTCAATGAAAAGAAAACTATGTGGAATGAACCAGAACAGTAGTTAAAAATCTAACATAAAGAGATGAATGCCACAATTAGAGGAAGGTAAATATCTCATTCCATATTAAGAGTTAAACGTTTACCTTTGTGGCTAACTACAAGCAGTCATGACAACTAAAACAACTTTCTACCCTATAAAATTAGAATATTATATGAGTTATAAAATGAATCAGATTAGAGTTAGGCTAAGAACTGAGATTCAAAATCTCATTAGGGGCTCAATACTAATTTGCTGTACAACCCTGAGACGCTGCCTACAATTCCATATCTCACTTAAAATTAAGATGTTTGGATCATTTCCTTTACCAAAAGACAAGAAGGATATTATTTTATAAAAATGATTGTAAGCAATGAGAGCACCGAATATTATATATATACTGAATATACACATATGTGTACGCATATATATTCACACATGTATACACATGCAAAGGGAAAATAATATGGCTTTTTTATAAATATGTTTATAAAGTAATGAATGTAAGGCACATTAATAGCAAAAGGTAATTATCCAAACTCCATTTAATCCCAATTCACACTATAAATAAGTGCTTAACACCTAAGATGCTAAAAAAAGCCCAATCGACAAGTGTATACTCTGTTTAAATGGATGTTATTGTTTATTTTAAAATAACAATGGGATTCGAGACCAGCCTGGCCAACATGGTGAAACCTAGTCTCTACTAAAAATACTAAAATTATCTGGGCGTGGTGGCGGACGCCTGTAATCCCAACTATTCGGGAGGCTCAGGCAGGAGAATCGCTTGAATCCAGGAGGCGGAGGTTGCAGTGAGCTGAGATAGCACCGCTACACTCCAGCCTGGGCGACAGTAAGACTCCATCTCAATAAATAAATAAATAACAAAGAATATGAGACAGGTTTTAATAGGGCTTAATTAGGATGGAGACTGTGGGAAACAATTCTCAAATATAGTTAGAAGCCAGGGACAAAATTTCTTTTCACATACGATACAATGTAATCACATATTGCAATAAAAGTGTAATACAGTAGTAACTTTCAATGTCTTCCAATTTTACTTGAATATACAAGTAGGTAAGGCAAAAAGATATTCTAGTCCCCTTTTCCATCAAATCCAATGAATTGTGTTTCATTTAAAGTTTGACTATTTTTCAAGTCTATCTATTTTTATGATGCAAAGCTATACTTAATGTATCTAAATAAGCAAGAAGACCAGAAAAAAAAACCAACCAAAATATTCCAAAACATAAAAAGACATCCTCAAATCACTTTGTGCCTTGACAAAACTTAACAGTAATATCATAAGCCAGTGTTGCAATGCTGTCATCCTACCTAATTCTACCTAAATGAGCTCAGTAATTTCTAAATTGGTTTCCAGAAGAGATCTTTACATAAGCAATTATCAAAAACAGCCCATTTTGTATTCAAGAAGCACAAACAACAATATTTAGTTTTTTAAACAATTTATATAAAGAATACCTAGAGGTTTTTTTTTACACTTCATAAACTAAAATCACTTACGAATACTTGACTAAAGCTATTTCTCATCATCTTTCCTTAGAGAAGACCAAAATACATTTTTCGTAAGGGCAAAACAAAAGCAGTAAATTACTTAAACATCACTTAAATGCCCCCTAAAGTAACCTTCCTTTCTCATACATTTTCCTATATTCATCGCGTTCTGCGGTACACATTTCTGAACTGAAATTGTATTAAGTTTAACCTAATACGATCTCTTCTCTACTAGTCAAAAAAAGATCTTAAGACGTTAACCAAATACATGGGAGGCGGGGTCGGGGGTGCGAGGTGGTGCCAGAGCAGATGGAAACAAGGTAAGAGAGTTGTTTTCTTAAGACACTAGGGTTACTCCCCAACTCCAAATGCCAAGATTCACTCGCCAGTAGAGCAAGCTGCTGCCACTATCCACTGCTTACACAATACAACCTTCCTTTCTACCTCTTCCCCTACACTCCCACCCATAACCCCCTTCCAAAACAAACACCCACAACGCGCCCCATTCCATAATCCGTGTTCGCCCCTCTAAGCCCACTAAACCAACCTGCTGGATAACAGCTCTATGCATTCGTCTTAGGCAAAAAAAGAAAAAAAAAAAAGCGACTGCAGCAAGGTCGGGAGTCCCACCATTCCTGTCACCCTAAACAATCCACAGGGTGAGAGCCCCAAGCCCAGAAGTTTGAGGCAAAACGATTCAGATCCAACCAAAAAGAGGGAATTGCAGTTGAATGGGGATGGGAGGTGGGGAGGGCGATGCGTATGCGTGTATATGTGTGTGTGTGTGTAAGGAAGAGTCCATCACATGACAGTGAAAGAGGACCAGAGTCGTCGGGGCGTCCGCAAGCAGACGGGGGGGAGGGTGTCGTTGCCGTGGCAACACCCCCCATCCGTCCAGACTTCCAAAGAGGGAGGAAGAACTTCAAATCCCAACCGTCAGCGCTCAAGCGGCTCCTTCTTAAAGGGGTACACACAGCGCCGCCGCCGAGCGCGAGAGGGCAGAGTTGGGCGCCCCCCGCCCCTCGGACGACGCCCCCGCCGCCCCTCGCCCCCAGCCGGCCCATCAGCGGCCCCCGCCCTGCGAGTGCCCGTGGGTCTCCAGGTCCAGGTCCCCGGGAACTGGCCGCGTCTGCTCACCCGGCCCCCGGCGGCGACAAGGGGGTGTGTGTGCGCTCGGCGGGGGCGCGGACCAGCCCGCCTTCCTCCGGCCGCCCTGCCCGCCGGCTCTCCTCCGCCAGGGCGCCGACCCACCGGGCCGCTTCCTCCGTCCTGTCAGGGTGGACGGCGGGCGACGGCGGGCAGCGACGGGCGCCGAGGAGTTTCGGGGAGAGAGCGAGCGGGCGGCTTCCGCGGGGGCTCAGCAAGCGGGTCCAAACTAACAGTTCCCGGGGAGCCCAAGAGCTGGGAAGGCGAAGGAGCGCGGACCGCGCCGGGCCAGCAGCCCGCAAGACAAAAGGCGAGCGCCGGGGCCGCCGCGCCGCGCCGCTCCCATCTCGCTCCCCCACCGAACTAACCCGAACGGGAGATTCAACTAAACCCCTCAGCCACAAACTCCTCGGGCTGCGACAGCGGTCGCCGCGCGGAGCCCGGGGCCCCGGCCCGCGTCTCTCTTACCTACACAGTGCATGAGGCGGTGGCGCCAAGAGTCGAGTTCCCGCCGGAATCCTCTTCTCTCCGCCGCGCACCGAGGGCTCCGGCACTGAGCGGCGGCGGCGGCGGCGGCAGCAGCGGCGGCGGCAGCGGCCATTCTCTCTCTTCCCTTGTCCATCTGCGTCCCGCGTCACGCGCCCTCATTTACATACGAGCAGCGCAGGCACGAGGCAGGGGCGCGAGCCCTCGGCGCGAGCCCCGGAGCGCGCGCCCCCCGGAGGGGGGTTGATTGACACGTGTCACTACCTTCCCTCTGCCCTGCCCTCCCCCTCCCACCGCTCCCTCAGGGAGAGGCGGGGAGGGAGCCAGAGGAGAAGGAAGCAACCTGCCGCTTCCGCTGACCCCGCCTCCCCACCCACTACCCTCCTCCCCCTCCCGCTGGAGTTTACTCAGGCGAGCCATACCGCTCCCGCCGCCCGCGAAAACCCTGAGCGGGAGCGAGAGACCCGGAGCCCAGCCAGGAACCGGCGTGCTAGTGGAGCGGACTAGCAACGCCTACTTTCTGCCTTCACTACGGGACTCCGACAGTCCGGAGACTTCACTTCCCAGGCTCCATTTCGCCAGGATCCCGAAGCTGAACTTGGCGCCGTGGCGCGTTGCTTGCCGGTCATTGTAGTCCAGAAGAAAGGATTTTTTTTGTTTGTTTGTTTTTCTTCCCCCCCGCACTTGGGTATGCAGGCTGGCCTGCAACTTCTCTGCGCCGCGCCGCTGGGGGGCTGAGTCTGTCGCTCCCTGCGCCCGGAACCATGCGCTGCCCGGTGGCCGGGTCTGACCCGACTGCTTTAGCTTCCTTAGGCTCCGCGATAGAAGGGTGGTGGAAGCCGCAAGAGTTGTCGGCTCCTTGTGGGTTCAGGCTGCGCTTTGCGTTTTAAGTGCTGGAAACTTTCCGGGGTCGCTGTCTTCCTGTCACTCCGCAGGGAAAGGGCAAGCCGGTCATTCGGCTACATCTGGAATAACTGCCAAACGTCCAGAGAGAGATCCCGGAGTGACTTCGGTATTCAAGGCGAAGAGATCTCGGAAAGCCAGAATATTTGCAAGGACTAGGAAAAAGATGCGGGTTTTTTTCACTGAAAATTACTTGCAGGGGACTGGGTGTAGCCGGCTGAAAACTGCAGAAGGAAAATTTTCTTTATAAGCTCCTGGAGGGCAGCGACCCACTGAGATCTCTGTACCGTGACATCTGTCACTCGCTAGACCCTAGTACAGTGCGTGACACGGGATTAAGCACTTTACAAAGGTTAATGGAATGAATTCTACCACGTGCTAGAGAAAATAACTTCTTCAGAGAGAGCTAGAGAGGAATCTTACGTTTAAATACAGACTCCAATCACAGTTTTTACTTTTGCACCAGAGCGATTGTGCGTTTGTTTCCGTATAAGTGCAGTTTATCAAGCCGAAGCTAAGCTACCCAACGTTTGCTAAGAAGTACTGTGTATTTCTGGAAATTTATTCACAAGTCTGTGGGAAATATGTTTAATTCTTCTTGGAAATCTCATAAACTCTGAATTCAGTACCACCTTCCCTGTTTTGTGGCTTATCCTTATCCACCTTCTTTTTCTTCCTATGAGAAAGTATTTCTTTGCTCATTATGACTTCAGTAGTGAAGATGTAATTTTGCATCTTCATAAGTTAAAAATAATAAAGTTTGAACGCATAATCACCTTTTCTAGAACGGTCACAATTGGAGTGCAGGTGAAATCACTAGTGAAGGTGATTTTGGAATTGTCAGTGGATGGTTTTAGTTAACCACTTCCACTCACAATTGCCACGATGATCAGCCTTTGCAGTTTTCCTGATCACTTTTATAGTAATCTACATTAGTTAGGATGGGAAAAATTATGGTGCAGTAATAAATGATCCAAGAATCTTAGTGGCTTAAAACAACAACAAAAAACTATTTCCTGATTATCTACATGTTCATCTCTGGGTGGCAGGAGGAGGGGGCTTCATTCCATGTGGTCTCACTAAGCAACTGGATCCTTAAAGAGGCTGGAATCTCTGCAACGTCCCCCCTTGGGTGATAGGCAAAAGGAAGATGAAGAATGGCGAACTGGTTCTTCCTAAAAGTGATACAAGTCAGTTCTCACATTTCATTGACCAAAGCGAATTATTCGGGCGTATCTATCTTAAAGGGAGCAGGGAAGTGCGATCCTATTATATGTGCAAAAAGAAGATAACCAGAATTTATTGGTAAATAGTATCAAGGATTACTGTGATCTATCCTTCTGGTCACCAGTTTACAGTTCACTTTCTTCACACTACAAAATAGATTTACTCCTATCACAAAGTGAGACAATCCAAAAGTTCTGTTCAGTAAAGGCATTAATCTCAAAGTCTGGCATCTCTGGGTGATGGTTGGTAGTCTCCATATTGGAACTGGATAAAGCTTCTCTTGTTATAGACAACTAAAAAGATAAGGTATTCTCCCCAGATCTCTCTCACTCGCGATCTCTCTTCTCTCTCTCTCTCTCTCTCACACACACACACACACAGACACACACGCACAGTGATGGAATAGGGACTAAATAGACATGGTGTCTTAGTCTATTTTGTGCTGCTGTAATGGAATACCGCTGACTGGGTAATTTATATGAAGAGCAGACATTTATTGCTCATGGTTCTAGGGCCTAGAAAGTCCAAGATCAGGGTGCTGGCATCTAACAAGGGCCTTCTTGTTACATGGCCCCACAGTGGAAAGGCAAAGAGAAGGCAAGTGAGTAAAAGGGGGCCAAACTCATCCTTTTATAATGAACTCACTCCTGCTATAAAGAATCCACTCCCTTGATAATAGCATTAATCCATTCACTATGCCCTCATAGCCTGTCACTTCTCATTAGGCCACAGTTCCCAACACTGTTGCATTGGAGTTTATGTTTCCAACATGTGCTTTTTCGTGGGCAAATTCAAACCACAGCATATGGTAAACATTCCTGTTTAGAAAGGAGAAAAATGGGAGACACACATGAACCGTTTCAGCAAATATTTTACGACAGTTAGCATCTCCAACTTTCCAGCCTCTGACAATTTCCTTGCTACCACCCACTGAGCCTCTAAGTTAAAGCCACATATTTTAGATTTTCTGTTATAACTGTACCTCCTTCTGGGTGCCAATTTATATATTAGTTAGAATGTGCTATGTTCTGCTCCAGTAACAAACCCAAAATCCAGTAAACTCAAAACCTCAGTGATTTAATACAAAGGTTAATACAAAAGTTTATTTCATAGTACACTATCTGTCTTCCAAAGGTCAGTGTGGAAAAGGGTGGAAAGAACATGAGCCCTATAAGCCTCATGTCCATCTCGGGACTGAGGCTTCTGGGGCTATGCCATTTGGAAGCTCCCCAGTCACCATGACGAGAAAGATGATGCTAAATCACAGTCCAACTCTTAAAGGCTTCTACCAGAAGTGACACATTTCAGTAGATGAAGCAAATTTTATGGTCATGCCTGACTTTTAAGGAGTTATATATTAGATAGCTTTGAGGGCAGGACAAACTACCCCACAACTTAGTACCTTGAAACACCAACTAATCATTTAGCTCATAATTCTGTGGAATGAAAATTTGTGCTAGGCTCAGCTGGACATTTCTGTTGGCCTCTACTGGACTCACTCAGGTGTTTGTGGTCAGCTGCCTGTCAGCAAGGCAGCTCTGTTTCTGAGGATTCACTGACTGTCAGCTAGGAACACAGAGCAATGAGGCCAAGTATCATCAAGAGGCCAGTCCTAGCCCTAGCTTATTCACATGGTGGCAGTCAGAGGGATCCAAAGTGCTGCAAGAGAAGAAGTCCCCATGCACACTTTTCAAATCTCAGTTTGAGTCACATTTGCTCTGGTTTCAATGGCTAAAGCAAGTCACATGGCCAAGCCCAGAGTCGATATGGGGAGATAGATTCTACCTCTTAATAGAAGGATCTGCAAGTCACATTGCAAAGGGATTTGGACAGAGGGAAATAAATAATTTGTGGCCACTTTTGTAGTCTACCACATTTCGGGAAGTGCAAGATTACCCTATTCTCCAAAAAAAGGAGAACTAAAGATATAAACAGAACTAATGAATATCACATATCTAGAATTTCTGGGAGAAGATAAAGATTAAGACCAGAAATATTGAAATACACAAATGGAATTAACTTTGGAATTCAGCGTCACTTTGAAGAGCAAAGAAGTTTCCACAGAATGTATTATAATTACCCAATGAACATAAAAATAGGAGTCTAACTGATTAACCATTACATTCTAAGTATCAAGTGCTGGGCCAGGCACTAATATGGTGTCTAATATTTATTTATTGGTTTGATACATGTTTGAGTTATCTATAAGTTCAAGTATAAAAAGAGGGCCATATCAGCCAGGAGCAGTGGCTCACGCCTGTAACCCCAGAACTTTGGGAGGCCGAGGTGGGTGGATCACCTGAGGTCAGGAGTTCGAGACCAGCCTGGCCAACATGGTGAAACCCCATCTCTACTAAAAATACAAAAATTGGCTGGGCGTGGTGGTGGGCACCTGTAATCCCAGCTACTTAGGAGGCTGAGGTGAGAGAATCGCTTGAACCAGAGAGGCGGAGGTTACAGTGAGCCAAGACGGTACCATTGTACTCCAGCCTGGACAACAAGAGCAAAACCCCGTCTCAAAAAAAAAAAAAAAAAAAAAGAGGGTCATATCAAAAATTGTCTCCTACACTGAAAATCCAGTTACTCACAAAGGATTTTCATATAACAACAGGTATATGATATGAAATGTTAATGTTCTTTGGAAAAATAATTTTGTTCTACTATCTACTTCCTATATATGTTGTACCAGTTATTTATTGCTGTGCAGCAAGCCAATCCGTAGGGTAGTTGCATAAAGAACAACCAGTAGATAATATTCACAAGTCTGCAGGTCAGGTGGGCTGTTCTGCTGATCAGGTGAAGCTCTGCACATCTTACCTGAGATTGCTAGTCCTGGAAGCTGCGTGATCTAGAATGGCCTCACTCTTGGTGTGTAGTTTGGCTCCCAGTTTGCTGGGGTAATGAGAATGACTGAGTCATGTGTCTCTTACCATCTAGAGACTAGCTAGAGCCAATAATTTATGTAGTAGCAGCATGTGAAGCGCAACATAATGATAAGTACTAATGTAGAAGTGCTTTTCAAGTCAGCTTGCATCATGTTCTGCTTGCTACTATCCTATTGGCCAAAGCAAATCTCATGGTCAAGCCCAAAGTCTGAATATAAGGACACTAACGAATGGCATGGATTCAGAAAGGTGTGAACAAATCTGAGTCATCACTTCAAACTACCATAAATAACTATCCAAGTTCACTATTATCCACCTAAAACTGATGAGCACATCTACAGAGTTCTTAGACAGCACCAAGACATATAAATTGCAGGGCCAAATAACAGTTTATTAATTTATTTACCACTTAGTCAATTGCAAGCTAGGGTGCTTTTTAGGAGGACATGATATAACAAATACTAATACATTGGAGTAGTTTGAAATACATTTCCATGATAGAGAAATACAAAATTACAGAGGGGTATGACTAGAGTCATATTTTTGAGATATTAACCCAAAATTAAAGCTATTCTTATATTTTGTAACAAATATAAACAATCCAATATACTAGTAGGATTGTAAAATACCTACTCAATTCTATATTATCCGTATGTACCAAAAAACGATATATTTTATAATTTAATAAAATCTAAACAATTTTGTATGCATTAGATATTTACAGTTGTAAAGCGTAACTACTAGATACCTTAATTAACTGTACAATGCTTTATAATGCTGAGAAACTATCTTTTGAGTAAATTATATCTGTCTTGTAAAGAATCGCATTTTACTGTATTTCCTTTGGTTCTGACCTGTAATACAGTTCACCGATCTAAGATTAAAACATCAGAGAAAAATTTGATAAACCAATTATTTAGGACATAGAACAAACTTCCCTTCCAAAAAATTTCTAATTAACTACATAGTCATATTATACTAAACTTTATGCAAACATCTTAGATTCATCCAGGCTCATGAGTCAAAGATTTCTCAATAGTCTTCTCCCTTATGGAAGTATAGACTCTAAAGACATCATTAACTGAAATACATACATGTTAATGTATTTATTTTCAATACTGCAGTTAAATAGTTAGAGATATCTAAAATATATGATGATTTTGTCTTCTTGATGCATTTCCAAATACTATCAACACTTTTTGTACATTTTGTAGGAACAAAGATAAAATTTTACAACAGGAATAATGATTGAAAAAACAGAAATATAGTGATAATGTACTTCATTTCTTAGATTATAATGTCTCCTTTTTTCCTATTCTAAGACTCCTTAGTATACATAATAATGGGCATGATAGCTGGTCCAATTCTGTCACTCATATCAGAGTGGCATCTCAGATTTTTGTTCTTTACTTTCTTTGTTGAGTTCAATCACTGGATACTTTAAAAATATTACTGTTACATCCTGTTACTGTCTTTATAGTAAATATCACATAGTTGGACATAAGTTTTACTATATTAGGACAACTCAGGCCCTAAACTGTCAGGATAATTAATACCAAAATTAGCATGAGTATGTTTTCTGATTTTTTTTTACATAAAATCATACACCTTTGAGCTTGGCACCTGAATTTAATACCATTTACCATCTACTTTCTCTTACATCCAGACATGATGATAGGACCTGATCTACCACTATTCTTTCTGTGTCCACTTGAAATCACTTCCCTGGCCTAACGCATTATTGTCACTTTCATTTTCAGCCTTTTAATAAAATTTCAATGTATTAAAGGCTCAATGAAGGCAATTTTATCCAATTTAATCCAATTGCACAGTTCAGTATCAAAGTAAAATAAGAATGTCATCTATAGTACCTAGACTATCAGAGTTTAGAGGGAATACAGATCATCTAGGTCAACCCCCTAATTTTGCAGATAGGGAAATTGGGCCCAGAGAGGATGAGCAATTTATGTAAGTCACAGGGCTTATTAGTAGCACATCCAAACTAAAGATCAATTTCTTGATTCCTAATGTTGACTCTTTTTCCTATAATAAGAGCTATCAGTGGTTTGGCATTTATACACATTATTAATTCATTTACCTTTTACCATAATCTTATGCAATTAAGTACTCTCATTATTATTATCCCCATATCAGAGAGAAAGAAATATAAATTGACTTAGAGATGTTAAATAACTTAAACAAGTTAGCATCATCTAGCTAGTTGCTGATGAAACTAGAATTTTAATCTTTGTCTTTCCAAATTTAACTACTGCTTTTCACTGGAGAACAGGAAAGAAGGTGAAAAGCTGCCTATTAAGGAGTCAGAAATTGAGGAAGCTGGATTTTTTTCTGATTTTCAGGAGTGGCTACTGATAATGTCACTATCTTTGGGGGAAGATAGATAGTGACATTTTCAGTAGCACACAAAATTATGGTCTCTCAATATTTAACCTATCATTCAGCCAAACTGGGGTTTTTGCTGTCCCCATCTGATATTCCATGCGATTCTACTCCCATAAAGAACACTTCTCAACTGAGTGGTGATTATTACTGCTTTCTATGCTCTTAGAACACTTCATTTTTCTCATGAGTCTTACCGCATTTTTTCATGTAATATAATTATCTGTGACTATTTCTTATTGTTTCTCTCTATAACCTTGTAGACTGTGAAGTCAGAGCCTGGTATTCACCACCTCTGTATACTTGCATTCTACACCTAGTTGGTATCAAAGAGACTTTTGTTGAATTGAAATAAAAGAGTAATTAATTGAGATTTTTTAAAGAAAGAAACATGGAAGATTATAGGGCTTCCTTCACCCATGATCTACCCTTATTCTCAAGTTCTACTGGTAAACCCAAACTTATTTTTCACCCAATGTCAGGACAGTGACAAAAGGTGGTCACACAATTTCATTTTACAGAGGTTATATTTCAAACCAAGAAATTAATATCATTTGGCCTTTCTGCATGTTGAAACGCCTGATACAAACTAAGTCATAACACTTATATGAACAAAGCATATCATTTTACTTACTAGCATGCCTTAGGCAGACAGAAATATTAACAATTTATGAACTTGACAATTGTTTCTCAGGCTGTTGACAATAGGATTTGGCTCTCTGTTTCAAAATACAGAAAAATTTTTATATGAAAATAGTACAAAATACCAATATTTCATGGTAAAGAGGCCAAGCAATAAACCTCTGAAGTAAAATCCATTGGGTTAAAGAAGTTTATTTTAACATATTACTATAAGGAAGGCTTGTTTAAACTGTGAAATCTGATAATGGCCCATATTAGTATCTACCTGGAGAATACATGTGCATAAAGAGAAAAGAATAAGGCAATTAAATTATGTTGTGATTTTCCCTTATAAAAAAGAGTTGTGAATGAAAATGTGGAGTTGGTAAAACTTTAATACCTTTTAACTTAGCCAAAATTGTATAATATTTGAAGATTTAAGTTATAATAAGTTTAAATTAAAATTAATAATCACCCTATGCAACAATGGAAAGTAAGAACCACCTAATATCCTATTATAGGCTTTCAAATTCAATAGGCAAAACCACCTGATTTTATATACTAAAGTCATTAAGCTCTAAACCTGAAAGTTGAAAGAAAAATAAATCTAACTATAAAACAGTATGGTTTGGCCCTGTGTCCCCCACCCAAATCTCATCTCAAATTGTGTTGAGGGAGGGACCTGTAATCCCAACATGTCTAGGGAAGTAGGTGATTGAATCATGGGGGCAGTTTCCCCCATGCTGTTCTCATTGATAATGAGTGAGTTCTCATGATATCTGATGGTTTTATAAGTGTTTGAAACTTCCTCCTTTGCTCTTCTCTCTCCTGCTGCCATGTGAAAAAGGTTCTTGCTTCCCCTTTGCCTTCCGCCATGATTGTAAGTTTCCTGAGGCCTCCACAGCCATGTGGAACTGTAAGTCCATTAAACCTCTTTCCTTTATTTAAAACAAACAAACAAAAAATCACCCTCATGATCCAATCTCTTACCTCCCTTGACACGTGGGGATTACAAGTCCTTCCCTCAACACATGGGGATTACAACTCAAGATGAGATTTGGGTGGGGACACAAAGCCAAACCATATCAAAACTCTGTAACTATTTTGAATATCAGTGATCTCCCCCAATCTCTTTTTGTTTTTCGTTGTTCTCAGGAAATAGAACAATTGTAAAGCAGAAAGTAAGGGTAAGAGTCAGAGCTGATGGCCTGGGGATTTGTTGAAATGTTATATAAGGAGCTGTGAGAACCACCTGCTCCTCCAGACTTTGTCTCCACCATAATGTAGTCAGGGATTTTTATACCAACCCCTGCAAGAAATTTACTCTGTGGAAAAATTGGACTGAAAAGATTATGGATTCGAGGACACCAAGCATGGTAGAAGGGTAGGGCAAATGTTGTAGCGTGAACACAGATTAAATAGTCAAAGTTTGCTGAATTCCTCCACCTTGTTCTTGGTACACCTGTAACCAGATTTATTCCCTTCAGCAAAAAATTGGCAATCCCTCTCAAGAGAAACTCAAAGTCTCAGAAAGCTCACCTACCCTGCAGACCTTTCCATAAACATTTAAGGACCTCACTCATAAATATATATTGACATTTGAGGAAAATATCCAACTTGAAAGAGAGAGAGAGACCAAAACAAACAGATAAAAGAAACTCAGAGAAAAACAGAAACATTTCAAGAAATAGAACAAAGCTTCCAATTAATTATAATTAACATTTTCAAAAAGATTAGAAAAGATATTGCATCATTAAAGAAACAATTACTTTGAAACAAGATGCTATAGAAAGAGAGAACAATGAGAACAAGAAAGAGCTCTTGGAAATTAAAAATATGTCAGATGAAATTAAAACAAAATTTTAAAGAAGTGCTGAGAGATAAAGATGAGAAAGTTTCATTGAAGTAGTATTAAAAAATATGAAGGCAGATAATAGGAGATAAGAAAATTTCACAATCAACCTAGGAAGCCCAATGTTTCGCTGACATGGGTTTCAGAAAGAGAGACAAAAGCAAACTTAGGAAAGAGTATTATCAAAGAAATAATAAAGAAAAGTTCCCAGAATTGAAGGAAATGATCCTCCAGATTAAGTAATTTCACTCCAAGACATGTAATCATGGAAGCTGAGGATTCTGGAAATAATGAGAAAATTCTTAAAACTTCCAGGGAGAAAATATAGACCCTGTGCAAGGGATTAAAAATCAGAATAGCATTGGGCTTCTCAACAGAAAACAATGGAGCAATATCTTCAAAATTATAACTGAAAACAATACCCATCCTAGAGTTCTAAAATCCATCAAACTATCAGTCAGTTGTGGGAATAGAGTGGATTTTTCAGGCTTGCAAGTTCTCAAAACATTGACCTCACAAATACTGTATCCCTTTTCAAGATACTACCGGAGGATGTGCTTCCTTATTACAAAGAGGTATAGTGATCTAGGAAGTAGGAATCTAACACAAGAAAAAAGTCAAGGAGTTCCTAAGGGGAGGGAGGGCAGTTACAGATCAGAGACGACAGCAAATCCAGAAATTAACAAGTCCGAAAGCAAGTAAGGTGATGGAGGGATCCAAAATAGAATTTCCTGGTACAAAATGGAACAGAGATTATATAACAGATTTGACTTGTGGAAAATTGAACATTGAAAGTATATTGGGGAGAGCAAGAATAATTAGCAATAGGCACATTGTTAATGTAATTCAGAAAAATAAAAGATCCTCAATATCTGTGACTTTAATTCCTGTCTTTTCTTCTCCAGTGCCTAAGATAGTGCCTGGCACAAAAGAATCTCAATGAGTGTTTCCTGAATGTATAAATGAATGAATGAGTGAATAATAATAATAATAATAAACTTTGCGGCTTCCTCCACCAGCACCCAATGCAGTTACTTGAACATAGACAAGTGCTAAGAATGTTTGTTGACTTGTATGAATGCAATTGTTTATTCAATTATTTGTTATTTATATTAATCAGTCTTCTTAGTGAAAGACAGAAATTAAATTTAAATTTGTTTGATCAAAGAAGGGTAACTATTAAACTGAAAAATTCTGGCTGGGTGCTGTGGCTCACACCTGTAATCTAATCCCAGCATTTTGGGAGGCCAAGGTTGGTGGATTGCTTGAGCCCAGCAGTTCGAGACCAGCCTGGGCAACATGGTGAAATCCTGTCTTTAATAAAAACACAAAAAGTATCTGTAATACCAGATACTCGGGAGGCTGAGGCATGAGAATCGCTTGAACCCGGGAGGTGGAGGTCGCAGTGAGCTGAGATCCCACCACTGCACTCCAGCCTGGGTCACACAGCAAGACCCTGTCCCCACCCCCCAAAACAAACAAACAAACAAACAAACAAACAGAAAAATTCCAAGTGGCAGCTTTAGTAACAGAATGGATCTAGGCATTCAAACAGAACCTGTTTCTTCTTGTCTCCTCTTGTTGGTTTCCATTTTCAGGTCATGTGCTGGAAAAGGTGTGTGTAAGTAGTTGCAGACTTAATCCCCAAGATGAGCAACATCTCTTTTTCTGTAGTTACTCAAAATCACAGAACTGATTCAATTGACCAACTTTTATCAATTTCCTGAGTCAATTATTGTGGCCATGGGAGTGGAATATTCTGATTGGTTAGTCACACATTCAGCTCTAGAATCATGGGTCAGCCTCAGCCAAACCACAGGGTCTCAAAATCAAGGAGGGAGAGAGTTCCTCAGAGAAGACCAGTACACTGTTAACAGAAAAAGAGAATATATCTACCCAGCAGGCAAAAACAATTAGCAACTTTATTGAAAAACTGCACCTACTTTATCTTGACCTCTACTAGAGAGACAAATATTTCTCCAAAGAAGCCTTTCAAAACAAAATAGCACTGAGTATACTGTTAAATATGACTTCAACCTCATTATATCTCATCTCTGAACATTCTAGCTTCTTGGCATGTACATTGTGTACTAGCACTGCTCAACAGAAACATAATGTAAGACACAAATGCAAGCCACATGTGGAATTTAAAGTTTTCTAGTAGCCGCCTTTAAAAAGTAAAAGTGAAATTAATTTTAAGAATATATTTTATTTAATACAACATATCTAAAACATCATTTAAAAACATAAATATGAAAGTTATTACTGTGATATTTTACTTTTTTTTCTGTATTGTCTTTGAAATTTTATATGTATTGTACAAAACAGTACACTTCAATTCAGATTAACCATATTTCGTAATCTCAGTGGCTAGAGGCTATATTTGGCAAAGCAGTTCTGGACTGTGAAAGATCTCATATACTACTAAGTAGAGTTTTCTTTTTCTCCCTCCTTCAACCAATTTCTCCTCTTAAAAACCTTCCCTTTCCCTTCTAGTAATTTTTATGCTTCCAATAAAGTAGTACAATGTATCAAACAGGACAATGTTAATTTATTCACAGTCTTATAATTTGGAAAAGGGAAAAGAAGTGTTCTTTTTACCACTTTTCTACTTTTCAATTTTCTACTTTTCAAGAATAAGAGCTGAAATAAAATGGCAAATCACACTGGTGCTTTCATTCAGCATAAGTAAAAGCAATATGAAACAGATGATCCTGTCTTGATGACAATTATGGTACTACTTGGCAGGAAGAAGTGAAGAAAGAATTTGGCTTGTTAGCATTAAATGGCTGCCCAGATAGGTTCTACAAAGAATAGAGGGAGTGAGAAAAATCAAGTTACCCACACGCAGCTAATGAAATAGTTGCGTCATGCTGTTGGGGGACTCTCAAATGCTAAGATAGAATACTTGTTAGCACACCTTTATTCCTCAGAGAAGTCTGGTTTGCACACACTTTTGAGAATAAATCTTCAGATGTACTTTTTATTACATTTAAAAAGAAAGATTTTTTTTCTGTTATGAATCCCTTGATCCAAGAGTTTATTTAGGCACTTGGAGAATTATGTAAAACTTATTGCCAAAGCAGCATTTTCAATTAAAGCATAGGTTTCCAAGCACTCCTTAGGTTAAGAAAGATTTAAAAAAATAAAAATAAAAAGCCCTCCAAAATGTCAACTACTTTGGGATAGATTTTTCATGACTTTCTCAGTTCAGACAAAACTACAGTATATATAAAACTGTGACAGAATTTTACTTTGCAAATTTAGTATGATTAGAATTTATATCCAACTATAAAAATTCAGTTCATTTTTCAGACATATCTTAAACAATTTGAACTCATTTGAACTGGGTGATTTAATTTTAAAATGTCAATATTTAAGATATATACTTTATCATAAAGTATATCTTTTTGTCAGAAAGCAACACCTTACAAATAAAAATTCAACAAACATTTTCACACCTAATGTTAGTCAAGTGCTATACCAGGTGCTGAGTCTTTGGAGATAAACAGAATCTACTCTTGTGTTCATGGTGGTTTGTCTGTAGTATTTGTTGCAGAGCATTTGTAAACCTTCTTTTTGGAAACATGAGTTTTATTTTTTCCTGAAGACTATCCCCTCTCCTGTTCTTAATTTATCTGCTTCCTATGGAATTGACTCCGCCCCGACTGCAAACTAGAGTAGGTGGCTCAGGACTGGCCAATCAGAACATCGAATCACCCTGGCCATAGAGATTGGCTCAAGCACAGGTACACTACCTAGTCAGAGTCAATGAGACACAGTGAGATTTGGGAAGAGACCCTTCCTCTTTTCCTTTAACTGTGCTACAACTGTATTAATCCATTTTCATGCTGCTGATAAAGACATATCTGAGACTGTGTAATTTACAAAGGAAAAAGAGGTTTAATGGATTCACAGTTCCACATGGCTAGGGAGGCCTCACAATCATGGTGGAAGGCAGCAGGCACGTCTTATATAGCAGCAGACAAGAGAGAATGAGAACCAAGCGAAAGGGGTTTCCCCTTATAAAACCATCAGATCTGGTGAGACTTATTCGCTACTATGAGAACAGCATGGAGGAAATTGCCCTCAGGATTCAATTATCTTTCACCAGGTCCCTCCCATAACACGTGGGAATTATGGGAGCTACAATTCAAGATTAGATGTGGGTGGGGACACAGCCAAACCATACCAACAACCGTCTTGCCACTACATGTAGTTTGAGAACAAAAACCAACGCTAAAAAAAAAAAGCTTACCAAAGGACAGAGGATAACCAAGTCTGTAATGAGCTTGTCTAAAGCCAATAAACTTGGAATAAAGGAGGAGAAGAAGAAAGTAAGCTGAATGAAGGCAATTAGGTTGAGGAGAAGAGATGTTGGAGTTTAGGAGAAGAAGAAATAGAATTTCAGCCAGATAAATACAAGACAAAAGGCAGATACAGCATGATGAGTGGGGAAAACCTCAAACAGTTCATTTTGGGGGACATAAAGCAGTAATACTGGAATGATAAGTGAAAAGAGTGGAGAGGTAGGCAAAGAACAAATGTTGGAAAATCTTATTTCCCAGAGTAAGGAACATCACGCAGGGGATGGCAGGATCACTGACATATTTTAAGCAGGAGAGTGACATGGCCATATTTTTGTGTGAAACAAAGTACTCTAGAGGTGTTGTAGAAAGGGTCGGAGGAGTCTAGAGACAAGAAAACACTTAGAAGTCTTTACTACTGTCTATTCCAATGACTATAATGGGGCAGGGGCAAGGAGAAGGCAAAGGAGAAATGAAACATTTATCTCTTTATTTTATTAAATTGAAGCCTAAAATATTTTTAATCAAAGTAATATGTACATATGATTTAAGAGTAAACTCATACAGAGTGGTTTACACTGAAAAAAGGATAGTCTGTTTTTGCTTTTCTCAAGCTCAGTCCTATTCCCCAGAACAAATGACTTTTAACTTTTTAAACTGTTCATGTCTGTAGCTATTCTTGGCTGGGTGCAGTGGCTCATGCCTGTAGTCCCAGCACTTCGGGGAGGCCGAGGCGGGTGGATCACCTGAGGTTAGGAGTTCGAGACCAGCCTGACCAACATGGTGGAACCCCGTCTCTACTAAAAACACAAAAATCAGCTGGGCGTGGTGGCGCATGCCTGTAATCCCAGCTACTCGGGAGGCTGAGGCAAAAGAATCACTTGAACTCGGGAGGTGGAGGTTGCAGTGAGCTGAGATAGTGCTATTGAACTCCGGCCTGGGCAACAGAACAAAACTCCATCTCATAAAAAAATAAATAAATAAATAAAGCTATTTTTGTGGTCGGTCAGGACTGCCATATTTAGTTGTACCCTTACCAATCTGTACAACTCTTGTGTGGCATCCCTCAATTAGTGCCATATCTCTAAATTATATTTTCTTACCACCAATTCTTCACTTCAATTTTAGACATTATCAAGCTATCCATTTTCCCCTCCTCCTCTCTTTCAATAGATCCATATCTTAATACATTAAAAAATACATTTGTGATTGCTATAGGCTGAAATGCATCCTCCCCAAAATTCACGTTGAAGTTCTAACCCCTAGTACCTCAGATTGTCACTGTATTTGGAGATAGGCCCTTTAAAGAGGTGCTTAAGTTTAAATGAGGCCATTAGGATGGGCTGTAATCCTATATGACTGGTGTCCTTACAAGAAGAGGAGATTAGGACACGGACACGCATGGGGGGAAGAACAAATGACACATGGAGAGAAGGGACATCTGAAAGCCAAGAAGACAGGCCTCAGGATGAAATGAACTCTTCCAATCTTGAACTTCTTCTAGTCTCCAGGACGGTGAGAAAATAAATTTCTGTTGTTTACGCCACCCAGTTTGTAGTTCTTTGTTATGGCAGCCTTAGTAAACTCATGCTGTGATTAAAATTTTAGAAATGTGTAATATACTTTTATTGCCTGTTTCATCAACCACAGACAATATATTTGATTCTCCATTTCTCAAGATGAGGGTTTTTAGCACTCATTTCTGCTTGCTCTTTCTTACCCTCTCAATTTCTACTTTTCATTTTCTGTACTTTCACGTCAAGTTTGATAACATTTACAATATATTCTGTAACCATATTTGAATCTTCTATGCTTTATTTATAGGTTGGGCCTAAAAATCAGTAATCAATAAAAGTCATCTTCATGTAATGACTATGTTCACTGAGTTGCCAAGTAGTTTGTTTTTTGTTTTCTTTAGGTTTCCAATTGCCTTGTCCTTTTGCACTATGAATCCTAACAGAACCTTGAGGGCATTTTCAAGGATACTTGCAAACCTGAATTTCCCCTTTCCCCCAGGTACCTCCTCTGGCTGTCCTCTTTTCTCCTATTCCAATACGGACTGGCTACTTTTTAGGCAGGTAGGCACAAGCACTTTCTGTCCTTGCTGTGCTTGATAGGAGCCATGGGTGAATGCCTTCTCTTTCTTGGTTTACTCCTTCATGTAGTGGGATTATATCCTCCAGGAATTTCCTGGTAAAGGGTGTCTGAGTGCATTTTCTTAGGTTTTATATTTAAAATTTTAAAATTCTGCCTTCATGCCTGATTAATATTTTTTATCCAGAACTTTGAAAAACATTGTTCCAAGGTCAGCTAGCACCCTGAATTACCAATGAAAATTTTCATGGTATTTTCATTTTTATTCCTTTATAGGATTTTCTTAGTCCATTTTGTGTTGCTGTAACAGAATGCTACAAACTGGGTTTTATAAAGAACAGAGATTTATTTCTTACAGTTCTGGAGGCTGAGAAGTCCAAGGTCAAGGGGCTTGTATCTTGCCAGGGCCTTCTTGCTGCATCATCCCGTGATGAAAGACCTCATGTAGGAAAGAGGATGTATGTGGTGAGTGAGGGGTGGGTGGTAGCACAAACTGGCTTTTATAACAAACCCACTTTGAGATAAGGATGTTGATCCATTTCTGAGAGCAGGGCCCTCATGACCTGATCACCTTTTAAGGCTCCACCCCTCAGTATTGTTGTATTGGGAATTAAGTTTCTGACACGTGACCTTTGGGAGACACATTCGAACCATAGCAAGAACGATTTTAAAAAAACCTGGAAGCCCTTAAAGTTTCTTTATCCTTAATGTGCTGAAATTTTATAATGATATGTAGAAAGCTAAGTCATTCTCCATTCATTATGTGGGATATGTAAAAGGATCTTTCATTTTGATGACTCAATATTTCTGCTCTGGGAAATTATTTTTTTTTTTTGAAAATTTTTTCCCTTCCATTTCCCATTTCTCCCTTTCTTGTACCCCTGTCAATCAGGATTCATTCCATTTCTTACTTTTCTCTCATATTTCTCATTTCTATTCTTTTCTGTACATTGTGGAAGATTTGTTTATGTTTCAAACTATTCTACTGGTTTTTTTTTGACTTAAACAATTATTTATTCATATGTATGTTGTAATACAATGACTGTTGTTTTTCATAGCATCTTATTCTTGCTTTATGTTACATTTTTTTAAAAGCATATCTCAGGATAGTAATTCAAATTCATTTTAAGTTAACTTCTCCTTCCTGAATTGTTTCTTCTAGTATCCCAATCTCCTTCTCTTTGTTTACCTTATCCCCTATGTTCATGTTTACAGTTTCCTTAAATGATTGGTGACCCTTAGTTATACTTTTATATTTAACAATGAGATAATATAGAAACCTGTTAGAAACACTGTGTTCACAGACTGAGTTTCTAAACTAGCAATCTATGCTTTAAGGTGAGCTGGTGAGCCAGAATGTGGAGGTCTTTGCTCTCAGGCACTATTAGTCAGCTATTGCTGCAATTCTGTGGTAGAATACCTAACTCTCAAAACTCTGTGGTTTACAATAACAGCAAACCTCTCTCTCTCTCTCTCTCTCTCTCTCTCTCTCTTTCCTCTCTCTCTGCCCCCACTCTGTCTCTCTCAACTTGATGGATTTGTGTAGTTTTTCTAGATTCAGGTAGACGTGGCTACAAGTTGCAAGTCAGGTTTACGTATGCTCCACCTGTTTCACTCTGGGATCCATGACTACTTAGGACATGCCTTCATCACAAAGATTTCAGAATCGTATAACAGCAAGAAGGCAACATGAAACATTAAAGCCTCTCCTTATATCACATTAGCTAACATTCCATTGGTCAAATCAAGTCACATGGCTGAGGCCAAAGTCTGTGAAGTGGGATTTTTATTCTGCCCATGATGAATCTTGGCAAGCACTGTGGGGATGGAAGGAAGGATTATGAGCAAATCATATAATCTCACACAGTTACCAATGGCTGTGATAAACTACCATAGTTTTCTCTAGATTATTTGCTTGATCCCTTTGGAGAGTAAATTATATTAAAAATAACTTATTTAGAGTCAGGCACAGTGGCTTATGCCACCCAGCTGCTGGGAGGCTGAGTGGGGAGGATCTCTTGAGCCCAAGAGTTTAAGGCTACAGTGATCTATGATTGTGCCACTGCACTCCAGCCTGGGCAGCAGAGTGAGATCCTGTCTCTGAAATAAATAAATAAATAAGTAAGTAAATAAATAAATAAATAAATAACTTATTTGATTAAGCTCCTTGGCAAAGAGAAAAAATAAAAAAGCAATTTGGGCAAGCACGATGAATTCTATTCATGAAATGAGGCCAACTGAGCAATGGCTGCAACAACCCTGATCTGAGTTCTTTCTGAAAGTGCTCTTATTATTAAGTGATGAATTTTGTAATTCAGCAATCTCAGTGATGTTAATGGATGCAAGTTTAAACTGTAGTGATGGCATTTCCATTCTAAAGGGCATGGTTTGGTTGTACCATTTTGTTTACTTTGTTGAACTACTTTCCTCTGTCAGTGTGAGACTATTGTTGGAGAAAACCAAAGAGGTCTGTATTCACATCTTGGCCTGAATGTATCTCATTGTTTCTTTGGCCATTAATATTTTTGTATTTTATAAACAAAATTATCCAGGTGTGGTAGCCCATGCCTGTGGTCACAGCTTCTTGCGGGTCTGAGGTTAGAGGATTGCCTGGGCCTGGGAGGTTGAGGCTGCAGTAAGCCATGATTGCACCACTGCACTCCAGCTGGGGTGACAGAGTGAGACCTTGCCTAAAAAGAAAAAAAAATTGTGTTTTGACTAGTTATTTTTTCTCCCACCTGTCTATGAAGCAGACATGGAAAGATCTTACAGACAGGTGAAGAAAGTTTCTGTTGTCATGGAATGTTTCAGATTTATTCCTGTATCAGGAATATTCTATTTTTGAGAGTTTAGAACCAGAAATAAGTTGCCAAATCATATTTGTGACAGCCATTAGTAGCTAATCTCTGAATTTATTTTGAAAGAGTAGTTCTATGTAGTAGGCAGCAAGGGAATTTGCATAGTCAAATTTTTGAGCTTAAAAAATGATTCCACAATATGCTTTATGTGCAAGCTCAGGTGCCAATCAACTATCACTGGTTATGTAGAGAGAACAACCTTAAATTCACTGTAGTTTCTTCCTTGGAGTAGCAGTCTTTTATTCAACTAGAGGAGGAAAAAGGATGAAGCAAGGGAAATGGTAATTGCTAAGTTGGTGGTGGGCAGGGTATTTCGTTTTTTTTCTCTCTGTTTTTTCTGCCTCACCTGATAAAGTAAGACGGTATCAGGCATGTGAATTAGTTTCTAGGGCTGTCATAACAAAGAATCACAAACTGGGTAGTTTGAAATGGCATATTATTCTACAGTTCTACTGGCTAGAAGTCAGAAATCAAGGCACTGATAAGACCATTCTCCCTCTGAAACCTGTAAGATAATCCTTCCTTGCCTCTTCCTAGCTTCTGGTGGTTTGCTGAAAATCTCTGCAGATCCTTGGCTTGCAGTTGCGTAACTCCAATATCTGCTTTCCTTATCACTAGACATTCCTCCTTTGTGTCTGTCTTCACATGGTATTCTTCTTAGAAAGACACCAGTCATATTAGAGCAGGGGCCTTACTCCAGTATGAGGCCCACCCTACTCCAGCATGGGGGGAGCATACAAGATTCAACCCATAACAAAGTGTAAGGGATAAACTCAAGAGCAGAAACAAGTCCTGTCCAAAAAGGGCCTCTGTTCACCTGTATGGAGTCTGTGTGAATTAGGAAATATGCTCTCTTTGGGTGGACACATGCCAGGGCTCACAGCAAGAGAGCAGAAAACCAGCTGGATTTCCACTCTCCGTGTTCCCTGGGCATAGCGTCTTTACGTAGTGCACAAATAGCCCAAACTAACAGTGGCTCAGAGACTGGAAGTAGATGATGATGGCAAGGTGTGGGCGGCAAGAGTGTTAGCAAGGTCAAGTTCATGAAAATGGAATTTTTTGGTGGGAATGGAGTAGAGTAGGAAGAAAAGATGATATTTATTCACTCATTCAACCAGTATTTATTGAGTATCTGTTTATACTAGGTGCTCTGATGTATCTCAAGGAACTTGATATACAGCCCAGAATGGATTGGTATAGGCATGTTTCCCCTCCCTGTTTAATTTTTCTACTTTTTGATACATATGTCATGGGGGTGTGATAGGGGGAGATGGCTGACCAAAAAATGGAGTCCCAGACCTCAATACAGAAACTCAGTACCTACCAATAACTGATGTGTGTTAGTTGTCTCAGGTTCTCAATGACAAATTCCAAGTAAAGAGAGCTCAGTAATACATTTTGTCTCAGTGTCAACTCTGGTCTAATTGACTGTGGTTGGGCAACAGAGTTGACCTAATACAAAGGTCAATACTTGGAGTGAAGTAGTATGGGTTTGGGAGAAGTCCTTAGTAAAGGGAGCAGGAACTGGACATATACCCCGTAAGTGTTTACTATGACTTGCAAGTTGACAACTTTGGGGGAAATAGCCACATATTTAAAGTATAAGTTTTTGAATGTTTGCTTTAAAAAGTTACTTTCATTTATAGTCACCTCTTCTGTACAATTTGTGAAATTTTGACAGAGTTAATGTGCAAACAATTCATAGAAGACTCTAAGTAGGTAGAATAAATTAATTATTAAAAGTCTTACAAAATCACTGCAAAAGGTACAACTTTATTATTTTGTAATTTTGAAAGTAGGAGAGATTTTATTATGGCATTCCAAAGAAGACAGTTTAGAAAGGTAACCAAGAAAAAGTATAGAAATTATTCAGTACATGTTCCTTATTATTTGCAATAATTACTGAGAAAAAGAAAAATGAAATATACAATAATAATACAAATAGACCTAAGAGTAATGTTAACAAGAAAACGTAATATATAGAAAACTAAAAACTTTGTTGAGACATAATAAACAGAAAGCTCAAAAAAATAGAGATGTATCATGTTCATGAATGGAATGGCTCCAGTAGATACAAATTTGTTAGGGATGCAGAGGTGAGTGCATAACCAATCTTGGGCCAAATGCAATACTTTATTTCTCCTGCAGGAGTAACTGGACCGAAAGGTGAGTGCTCAGACCAAACTGCAACATTCAGAAACTTTCTCAGGATTAAAAAAATTGAAGCTAGGGGAGACATTCCACTAGTTTTCAGGTCTTGGAACTGAAAGAATGTGAATCTTGGAGTCCTGGCAACTATGTTTTCTACCGTTTTGGAGAAAGTCAATCTGTGGTAGCAGAGAATGAAGCCCAGAGAGATAAGCAGTGATAAGACAAAGTCAGCAAAGTTTGAAGGAGTCAAGTTCCTGGGGCCAGTCATTGAGCACTCCAGAGCTACTGTACTCCTTACTTTGTTAATTTATTTATTTTCCTTCTGTGAACTACTTCAGCATCCTTCCAGTGAATTCTCACATCTTTGTTTTTATTTTTTCCACATTTATTAAATGTCTAACACATATAGGACAAGCCTCCTTTTGCTCGTAGAGCTTAAATTCTAACAGGTGGTGATAGGCTATAAACAAATAAATCAAAAACTTGAAAATATTAGATAGAGATAAGGGCTGTGATGAAAATGAAAAGGGAAAATAGAATGAAAATTGATGGGAGAACTACAACTTAAGATGTTAGGAAAAGACTCTCTGATGAGAAAATATTTAAGATGAGACCAGAACAATAGCTTACTTATTAATTAAACTGATATTTTGACTATATACCAGATAATGTTTAATATGATTTACAAAGATTAAGTTAGTTTTCCCTGGATTTCTCTCACCAGCAATGGAAAGAATTCAGATTAATACAAATGTCAATTGTTCTCAAATTTAGTTCCAATCAAATTTTCAGTTTTGTCAAATTTCTTGTCAGAAATCTATAAAATACATAATTTCAATAAACATTCCAAAAGATTATTTATTATTATTATTTTTAACCTGAGGGGAACACAAAATATCAAAGCAGCCCAAAATATGGGAAAGGGTAAGGAATGGGGGAAAACTTGCCATATCAGATAATAAAATACATCATAAATATTATAGTTAAAAATTATTACATGGAAATGCTGTAAAAATTAGATAAGCTGATCAATACAAAAGTACTAATGGCCTAGAAACAGGATCTTAGTATATATAAACATATACAGTATGATGGCAGTGGCATAAAAAAAGAGGCAATGGGAGAAATTATTAAATAAATTAAGCTTGATCATTAGGTAAATGTAGAAGGCAGAATTTACAATGACTCCCAAGATTTGTGGCTCCTGGTGTGGACAAACATTCTTTGAATAATTCAGTCAAAGATGAATCTAGGTGCTGCTGTGAAGGGATTTTGCAGATGTAATTAAGTCCCAAGTCAGTTGGCCTTAAAAATAGGGAGATTACTGAGGTGGACCTGACCTAATCAGATAAGCCTTAAAAGGGACTAAGCTCTTTCTGGAAGGAGAGTTTAAGTGTGAACAGGATTCCAGAAGAGGGAGATTCTCCTTTGAAGCCTCCAGGAGGCAAAAGTAGCCCCCAGCTGACAACCTGCCAGTAAATGTGAAGCTCGGTTCTACAACCACATGGGCCTGAATTCTGCCAAAAACCTCAATGAACTTGGAAATGGATTCTTCACCAGAGCCTCCAGAAAGAAAGGCAGCTCAGCTAACATGTTGATTTGAGCTCTGTGAGATCCTTAGCAGAGAACTCAGTCACACTGTGGTTGGGTTTCTGACCTACAAAGTTATGGGCTTATAAACGAATGTTGTTTTAGGCTGCGAAGTTTGTTGCAATTTGTTATGCTGCAATAAAAATTTAATATATTAATTTAAAAAACATGGAGAATCACCTCTCTATAATACATGAAAATAAACCCCATAAGTGTTGATGCTTTAAATGCAAGGAATGAAGGTGTAAGACCAACCTATTTGATCTTAGAATGTGGAAACATTTTCCTCAATTTTTTATTATGTAACATCAAATACAAAAAAATACATGCAATATATAAGATTTGATGCATAATCACAAAATGAACACCCTTAAGCCCACCACGAAACTTAAATAGAGTATTAGTATTACCGGTGCTGTAGAAATGATCTGTGTTCCTCAAGGATGCTTTTCTTCGTATTCTGGGCCTCCCCTTCTCTATCCCAACCAGGTAAACTGTGCTGAAGTTTATGTTTATCCTTCCCTTGCTTATGTTTGCATTAACAATAAGTACCATTTTTGTTTGCATCCTTAGAAAACATATTGTTTAATTTTCCTTGTCTATGAGCTTTATAAAATATCACACTCTGTGTAGCCATCTGTGGCCTGCATTTTTCCCACTCAAGGTTATGTTTTTAACATTTTATTCCCATTGTTGTCTATGGCTTTGGTTCATTCCTTTTAAAATCCAATGTGTCAACATATTACATCTAATCTTCTGTGATTGTACATTTTTGTTATATCCATTATTTTTACTGTTATAAACTATGCCTCTATGAATATTCTGATCCATGTTTCCTGGTTTTTCTAGAGTATATAAATAAGAGTCAAGTTGCTGGGTTGTGTTCAACTTTACAAAATAACATCAAATTTTTTTCTAAAGTAATTACACCAAATTATAATCCCACCAACAGCATTCTTGTGAATATTCATTATTGTTCTATTTTTCCCCCTCTGATAATCTACTGGGTATATGACGTGCCTTATTGTGGTTTACTTGTCTCTGTTATTAATGGAGTTGAGGACGTTTTCATATACTGAACAGATCTCTTTCCAGTGCAATGATTGTCCATATCTTCCACATAATTTTCTTTTTTTTTTGAGACAGTCTCGCTCTGTTGCCCAGGCTGGAGTGCACTGGCACACTCTTGGCTCACTGCAACCTCTGCCTTCTAGGTTCAAGTGATTCTCCTGCCTCAGCCTCCTGCGTAGCTGGGACTACAGGCACACACCACCGTACCCAGCTAATATTTTTTTATTTTTAGTAGAGACGGGGTTTCACCATGTTGGCCAGGCTGGTCTCGAACTCCTAACCTCAAGTGATCTGCCTGCCTTGGCCTCCCAAAGTGCTGGGATTGCAGGTGTGAGCCACCTCTCCTGGCCATCTTTCACACATCTTTCTACTGAATTATTTGGCTTTTTCTTATTGATTTAAAGATGTTCTCGATATATTCTGGATACTAATCCTTTGTCAATTATTCGTGTTGCTGTTCTCTTCAATAGTTTCTGGTTTGTATGTTCATTTTATTTACGGTGTCTGTAATAGGTAGAACATTTGTGTCCGCCACCCCCAAATTTAAATGTTGAGGCTCTAACTCCCAATGTGATGGAATTTGGAAATGGAGCCTTTCATAAATAATTAGGTTTGGATAACATAATGATGGTGGGGCCCTCATGATGAGATTCATGACCTTATAAGAAGACATACCAGAGAGCTTTCTCTCTCTCTCTCTCTGACATGTGAGAACACAGCAAGAAGACAGCCACCTGCAAGCCAGGAAGAGAGTCCTCCTCATCAGAACCCAACCATGTTGGCATCCTGATCTTGCATTTCCAGCCTCCAGAACTGTGATAAAATGTCTGTTGTTTAAGCCACCCAGTTGATGGTATGTTGTAATGGCAGTCTGAACAGACTAACACAGTGTCTTTTGAGGAAAATAAATTCTTAATCTTAATATAGTGGAATTTATACGTTTTTTCCTTAATGACTTTTATCTCATTTAAGAAATCCATTATCCTAAGGTCATACTATATTTTCCAAAATTTTTCTTCTATAAGTTTTAAAGTTTTATCATCACATATATGTTTCAAACACATTAGAATTTGATTTTTATGTATGGCATAAGGTAGGGATTTAATTTTACTTTTTATTTTTTCCATGTGGATAGCAAATGGCTGTTTGGCCAGTTGTCTCAGCATCAATTGAAAAGTCTGTTCTTCCAATTATCTGTAGGGTTGTTTCTGCCAGATATCAATATTCCATACATGTATGGGTTAGTTTTTTGGCAGTCTATTTTGCTCAATTGAGCAATTTGTTTATATCTATGCTCATAAGTCACTATCTTAATTAAAATAATTTCATAATAGGTTTTGATACTTGATAGAGAAATTTCCTGCACTTTATTTTTCTTTTTCTGGGTGTTTTGCTAGTTGTGGCCATTTATTTAGCCATATGAATTTTAGAATCAGCTTGTTAAATTTCTAGGAAAAAAATCCATTGAGACTGAGGAAAAACTTTTTGTTTTAAAAAATTTCTAATGCACATAAAAATAAAGAGAATAGTATATTGAATATATCAATATATCAATCAACTAAATTTAACAGGTATTAACATTTCCAATATTGCTTCTCTTTTTTTTCTTTGCTGAAATATTTTAAAGCAAATTCCAGATGTCCTGATATTTCTCTCCTCTATATTTCAGGAAGCATCCTTTTAAAAGAGGGGGCATTTTCTTGTATATCCAACAGACCATATTATGCCTAACAAGAGTAACAATAATTCCTTTATAAAATCTAATATAGTTTATATTCAAATTCTCCTAATATCCCCCCTTCTTTTGTTTTACAGATGATCTGGTAACATCTAATACAAATAAGATGTTCACACTATATTTGGTTGTTATGTTTCTTAGGTCTTTTTTAACCTAGACAGTTCCTTTTAAAGCCAATGACCTTTTAAAAATGTCATTGGCTTCTTGTAAAAACCTAGTCACTTGTTCTATAGAGTGTCTTATGTTTTGAGTAGATGTCTAATTGCTTCTTGGGGTTTCCTTCACCTTATTTCTCTATCTCCAAAATTTCAGATTTAAAGTCTTGCTTTAATTCAAGCTCATGATGAATATAATGACTGGTTGTATCACTTTCAGGGTTCCTAACCCAAATCACACAAAATGAGGAGAAAGCAGTTTCCAAAAGGAAAGGATGCAGAGAAGATGACACAAATGTGCAAGAAAGTTTGTGTTTGGGCTGATGCCACATAGTGGGATGTGCATGTGCAAAGCACAGAATAATCGTGAGAATGTGATCATATAGAGAAATATGGAAATTCAGTGAGCCTAAAGCCCAGTTTTCACATTTAGAAATGGTTCTAGAAGAGGAGATTGAGGAGAAATAAGGTCAAAGAGGAGCACATGGGCCCCATAACGTAGGGCCATGTATGCCGTACTAAGGAGTGTGTACACTCTCTCTAGAGGCAAAGGAGAGAGCCTAAAATTGTTTAGGTTATAGTGAAATGATCAGATTTATATCTTGGAGGGAGTGTTTTGGTGGCTGTGTCAGGGACAGAGGATTAAAGAGAACAGCCTGGAAGTCAGGACACTTGTTAGGATGTTGCAGTGCTCTGAATGAGAAAAATGTAAAGGGCTCAGTAAAACTAGGGCAGTGTAGCTTCAGAGAAAAAGATGCATTTGAAGGATATTGAGGACTTGGAAACCCTAGAACGTGTTGAATTATGTGAATCAAGGATGACTCCCGGGCTTCTGGCCTAAGCTGTCCATTCTCTGCCCGTTTCAACTGGAACATGTCTTCCATTCATAATGATAGGATTTAAATAGAAATCACATGCATCCACCATTGGTCAATTCAGAATTATTACAGGGAAGCCTTTTCTCCTGGTGAGTACTGGGGATAGACACTAGCATATCATATCTGAGGTTCAGGAATCTCAGTTTTGAAAGTCATTATCATACAACTATTAGTTAACACCATAGGAATGGATGACCTAATTCCAGGAAGGGGTGTAGAGTAGATTTTGAAGACAGCCTAACTCAGACCCCAGGAGGACAACAGCATTTGGGTGATGAGTGAAGGAAGGAGAGCTGAGTTACTGTGGCCAGACTAGTAGGAGGAAAATCAAAAAAGAGTAGTAGTATGGAAGTTAAAGAATGAGAAGCTTTTAAAAAGGAAGGAGTCTTTTTCCGCTCTGGCTACAAAAGGAAAACACCACAGACTGGGTGACTTAAGCAAAATAGACATTTATTTTCTCACAGTCTAGAGGCTGAAAGTCCAAGATTAGGGTGCAAGCATGGTTGGGTTCTGATGACGGCTCTCTTCCTGGCTTGCAAATGGCTGCCTTCTCTCTGTGTCCTCACATACAGTCACATTGGGGTTTAGAGTTTTAACATATAAATTTCGTGGGGTCTGGAGTGGACACAATTTAGTTCATAACAGAAAAAGTAGCAAATTTTGTCAAATAGAATAAAAAGTTCCAGAAAAATGAAGACCAAATAGTTGTCCATTTGATTTGTCAACAAAGATGATATTTGGGACATCAGAGAAGGTAGTTTCTGTAGAATGATGGCAAAGAAGACTTATTGCTGGAGGTTGATGGGCAAATAGAATTTGTGAATGTAGACACATGAGCATTAATTATTTCTTTAGGAAGGTTGTCTGAGATGGAAAAGAAATATAGAACAAAGGTACAGGATATAGGACAATAGTTGAGTCTTGAAGATTGGATAGGATTTAGATTGAAGAAAATAATGGGGTGAAGATGCCAAGATGGAGGGGCGTGTCATGGTAACAGGTATAGAGGTAAGAAGGTAGTTGGTCTTTTATGCTCTAGTGAGTCATTATTGTACTGGAAAAAATTATTTTTGTAAGACAGTTGTCGGGGGCTAGATGTCAAAAGATAGTGTGTTTACTGGCTAGGGCTGCCATAAGAAAGTACCATAAACTGGGTGGCTTACACAACAGAAATTTCCTTTCTCACAATTCTGGAGGCTGGATGTCTGAGATCAAGGTGTTGGCAGGATTGATTCCTTCTGTAGGCTGCGAGGGAGATCTCTTTCGTGCCTCTCTCCTAGTTTCTGGTGGTTTGCTGACAATCTTTGGCATTTCCTGTAGATGTCATTTCCCATGTGTCTTCCCATGATTTGCCCTCTGTATGTGTCTTTTTTCAAATGGTGTTCCTTTTATAAGGACAGGAGTCATATTGGATTAAGGGCCTACCCTATTCCAGTATGAACTCATCTTAAGTAATTATTATCATTATTATTATTTTTTGAGACAAAGTCTCGCTCTGTCACCCACACTGAAGTGCAGTGTTGCGATCTTGGCTCACTGCAACCTCTGCCTCCCAGGTGCAAGTGATTCTCCTGCCTCAGCCACCTGAGTAGTTGGGAATACAGGTGTGCACCACCAGACCCATCTCATTTTTGTACTTTTGGTGGAGATGGGCTTTCATCACGTTGGGCACACTGGTCTTGAACTCCTGACCTCAAGTGATCCACCTGCCTCGGCCTCCCAAAGTGCTGGGATTACAGGCATGAACTACCGCGCTTGGCTATCTTAAATGATTATATCTGCAACAAAGCTAGTTCCAAATAATGTCACATTCTGAGGTACTGGGGGTTAGGACATCAACATATGAATTTTTGGTCGAGGGAGAGGGAGGAAACAATTCAACCCATAACAGATAGTTTGAGACCACAATGTGGAGGGCATTAAAGGACATTTGAAAGACTTTTATTTATTTTATGGGAAGATTTGGAAAGTTTATGAACAGAAGAGTAATATGATTAGATATTTCA
Source organism: Homo sapiens (assembly GCF_000001405.40). Classification (NCBI taxonomy): domain Eukaryota; kingdom Metazoa; phylum Chordata; class Mammalia; order Primates; family Hominidae; genus Homo; species Homo sapiens. The sequence goes on from NC_000004.12 coordinate 18,050,352, forward strand.
GGAAAATTAATTTGACAGCAGTGCTTTATTAGAGAGTTATAGTGGAAAGCTAACTTAAGCTCAAAAGTAGTTTTGAGCTTGGGCGCAATAGCTCATGCCTGTAGTCCCAGCACTTTGCGAGGCCAAGGTGGGAGGATTGCTTGAACCCAGGGGTTCAAGACCAGCCTGGGCAACATAGTGAGACCCTGTTTCTACAAATAATAATAAAAAAATTAGCCGGGCAAGGTGATGTGCACCTGGTCCCAGCTACTTAGGAGGCTGAGGTGGATGGATTGCTCGAGCGTGGGTGGTTAAGGCTGCAGTGAGCTGTAATCACGCTACTGCAGTCTAGCTTGGGTGACAGAGCGAGACCCTGTCTAAAGAAAAAGTAATTTTGAGGGGAAGAATATGGGGGAACTCACATCAGGGAAGCCTAGAGAATCAGTTTTAGATTCTCACAAGACCAAGTCCACTACAGGGATCTAGGTAGAGAGATTACAGAACTGCCATGATATATCACCTTAAATAAATTAGATACAACCATTTGCAGTTTTTGCAGTATGTCTGCTCAATATTTGTATTTCAAGAGGAAATGTGTGATAGTTTATTTTAGTCATGGATCTGCTTTTGGAGGTTGGAGTTCACCTTGATTAATAGTCTCAGATGCAATGAAGGAGAGGTAATTATCTAGCAAAATGGGGGTACTATTACTAAATGAGAAAATGTCCACAACAAATGTTTAGGAGAGACGCTAAAGATGGAGCCAGTGAAAAGATGATTTCGAAAGTGCCATATGGGGTGATGAGAAATTGGACTAGAGTGAAGAAGATACCATGAGGAAAGTTTTGATAATACCCCAAAACCAATTGATAATGATGAGAGTATCCACATGAGTGATTTGAGGATAATGACAAAAGCCACATGGTTAGGAGGGAAAGCTAGTTTTATAGGAAGGTGCAGAAACATTTGCTGGTTTTGGCTGCCCATGACCCAAATACTCAATTCCTATTGTGTTTATTAATTTTATGTGTCAGCTAGACTGGGTCACAAGGTGCCCAAGTAATTGGCTGGACATTATTTCTGGATGTGTCATCGAGAGTGTTTCTGGATGAGATTAACATTTGAACTGGGGGACTGAGTAAAGCATATTGCCCCACCCCTCCACCCTGCCCAATGTGTTTGGGCATCCTCCAATTTGTTGAGGGCCTGACTAGAACAAAAAGGTAGAGGAAGGGAGGATTTGCTCTCTCTGTCTCTGTGCCTGACTGGCTGAGCTGAGACATCAGTCTTTTCCTGCCCTCAGGGTAGGACTTGCACCATCAGCGCTCCTGCTTCTCAGGCCCTTGGACTCAGATTGGAACTACACTACTGGCTTTCCTGGGTCTCCAGCTTGTAGACTGCAGATTACAGGACTTCCTAATTTTCCAATTTCCATATGTATATATCCATCTCCATAGAATATATATATTATATATTTTTTATATTTTGCTTTTTTGGAGAAAACTGACAAATATTCCTACCTCCACCATGGGAGCCAGAAGTGTGTGTTCAGGAGCAGATAATCTCTTTCCAAGATTTTGCATACAGTAGCTAGGTACGTGCCCTAGTAGTAGTAGCTATGTGACCTAAGCTAGGCCCACTTGATACTCCCATCTGGAACTCTGATGCTTGAGGAAGTAATGAAAAGGGGCAGTGGATGGTCAGACATTTTTTGTGTGTGTGGCAGAGTTGAGAGTCCAACCAACGCTTACTTATAATAGTAAGTGTTGGATGATGGTGGCATGAGGGCAGCATCTTCAGCAGCCTGGGTCTGTGGTGGGGTGTGCCTGGGTCTTGGCTCCCATTGGCTTCTGCCTGTTTTCTGAGTTTCATTCTCCAGCCCTCCCATTGATCCTGGCAGCTACCCACACAGCCTTCCCATCAATTCATTTTCTCCTTCAGCTGAGAGTTTGTTTTTTGTTTGCTTGGAAAGTTGGATGATGATGTACGGAGGATACAGTGAGGTTAATGGTGACTGGCATTTTAGTCATGATGAGTGATAGCAAATAGCATGACAGTCACACTGAAATGTCCAGAGTCAGCTAGATAAGCACAAGGAAGGCATGAAAGGATGCAGGAGTGAATGCAGATTTGGTTGTTATCTACCTAGATGTGATTCAGGCAGTTATGACAGTGAATGAGCTTGCTGGGGAGACAGAGTATGATGAGATAGAAGAATGCCAAGGACTACTCTTTGGGTTAGCCCACAGTGGGAGAAAAGAAGAAAGGAATGAATAACAGCATTCACAAAAGTGGGTGGAAGGATAATATAGTTCAATGACATAGACGTTAAGGAAGGAGAGAAGTTCAAGGAGAAGCTAAAGGGTCAAATGTGTTGTGAAATGTTCAAGGAGAATGAGAACTAAGTATATTTTTTTCAATTTGTCAGTTGAAGCATTTAAAACATTATAAATACTGAAGTAAAATATAACCTATGTAATATGCCGACTAGTTGGCAGGCCCTGTGATAAGCACTTTATGTATTATTGTATGTGCAATTAATAATATTGGTATTACTTAGTGAAATGAGGTAATGTGCCTGTGTTCACATGGCTAGTAAGTTGCAGATCTGGAATGAAAATGTGTTTGTAGGACACCCCATTACAGTAAATGATATGGTTTGACTGTGTCCCCACTCAAAGTCTCACCTTGAATTGTAAACCACATGATGCCCATAATCTGCATGTGTCAAGGGAGAGACCAGATGGAGGTAATTGAATGATGGGGGGTGGTTTCCCCCATGCTGTTCTCGTGATAGTGAGTTCTCACGAGATCTGATGCTTGTGTAAGTGTTTGGTAGGTACTCCTGCGTTCATTCTCCTTCCTGCTGTTTTGTGAAGAAGGTGCCTTGCTTCCCCCTTGCCTTTTGCCATGATTGTAAGTTTCCTGAGGCTTCTCCAGCCATGCTGAACTGTGGGTCAATTAAACCTCTTTCCTTTATAAATTACCCCCTCTCAGGCAGTTCTCTACACTGTGTGAAAATGGACTAATACAGTTAATAAGCTTGGCAAGATGGCCATATTTTAATAGACACCTTAAAGCAGCGTATTTAAGTTCTATTAAGCCTTTTGATATAACACCTCTAGATATAATATCTCATTCCCTTTGCTGTTGGGTCATTTGTACCTTGTACTACTTTAGAGTTTGATGCTAATGGAACTTTGCCATTTATAAATGCAGCCAGATATGGCTGAGTTTTAAAAATAGGGTCTGATTGCTTTTTGAATATTTGGACTTGAACAATTCTTAGCATCAGAAAATTTTTCAAACTTTTGTAAAACATAGAAATCTTTTTCTTACGATTTAGTTGTTTTGACTTAAAAAAATTTTATACAATACTTTCAACAGTTTTCTTAAAATTTTTCAAAAAACTGATAAAAATCATGTATGCAATGATTTGTTTAGATGTACATATACAATATTTACATACATGCAAAATATATATTTGTGACATCTTTAATACAACATTAAAATTTTAAGCCTATAAAGAGATAAAACATTCAGAAGGCATCATTTCCCTTGCTTTTTTCCTCTCCCTGCCTTCCATTGTAGCATGATAACTTGTTCTAGCCCTAATGTTAGACTACCTGGGGTTCACTGTTGGCTGTGCCACTTTTTAAGTATTGGTCTATGGGCAAGATACTCAACCACTCTGAACTTCCATTTCTTCACCTGGAAGTGAAGATTATAATCACAGCTGCTTTGCTGGGTTCCTGGGAGGACTGAAAGAGAAATATTGGGGACAGCCCAGAATAGTGTTCAACTCACACATAGTAGCTCCTCATTAAATGTTGAGTGTCTTTATTCCAAATTATCTCAAACCCTATACAGCAGGCCGGGAAACTTGTTTGCTGGTTTTGGCATGAAGTTTGTTTAGATCCTTCAAATTTCTGCTATCATCCCTTCCTCCCACTGGCTGCCTTGTCTTCTTCATATTTCCACGTCCCATTTTTTTCATCAAAATACGACTTAAAAGCATTTTTGTGTGCTTTTAAGAATTCTTTTAAGAATTCTTAGTTCTTTCTGTGCTTGTAGAACTAGGTCACTGAGTAATATTCAAGGTATTTTTTATTCTTAAGCTTTAAGAAATTATGTTGACATTGGGATAAAGAGTTGTATGTATATCTCAAAAACCTGATAAAGATGGCAAATTGGTGTTTACACAGTCTGAGGAAAATAGACTATTAGAGAACACGAAGCTAGACCATCTCCTACAATTGAGCTGGTTAATATACCCATAATGTCAGGAAACTGAGCAACTGTAAGAGGTTTTAAGGTCTCTACTTTCCTAACAACCCTTTCTAATGGGAATTAGATAAGAGTCTAATAACTGGACAAGGGTCTGATTGCTTCCAGGAATACTCAAGATTCCAGAGAATTCAAACAAAATATTCTCTAATCTGTAGAGCAAAGTGGGTTTTCTTTGGCTTGACTTACGGTGCCCATCAACATTTCCTAGAATTTGATGTAGAAAACACTGTTTCTTTGGCATATTTAGAGATGTTCCTTGAAACAAGTGTTCTTGGTTCAGATATATTTGGGTAAATCCGAGTGAAGCAAAACTGAAAAAAAGAAAGGTTTTAAATTGTAGTTCTCAGTGTTTAGAATTAAATATTAATTTAATTTTTTGCTTTACAAATATTTGTTAAGTATCTTCCATAAGTCACTAGCAGCCTTTTGGACATAGTAGAAGCATCTTGCATCTTTCCTACTTTTAGGGAAGTTAAGGGTGTGTGAAAATCTCTTGTCAATCTGCAAGCAAATGGTAAGGTATGCAGAATTTCTCATACTTTTGTTTGCTTGCATTTTGTTTTTTAGCAAAATGTCATCAGTATTACTTATTTCCAGATTTGAGACAAAATTAACAAATAAAATTGCATAAATTTCAAGTGTGTGACATGATGTTTTGATTTACATATACATTGTGAACTAATTACCATACTTTTTTTGATCACAAGAATATTTCTTTTTTTCTCTCCCTCAACCATTTTTCCTTCCTTCCTTCCTTTCTTCCTTCCTTCCTTCCTTCTCTCCTTCCTTCCTTCCTCCTTTCCTCCTTCCCTCACTCTTTCTTTCTTTTTTCTTTTTTTTGGTGGAGCATCTCCAGGGGCTAGCTTTCTGAGGGACATGCTTTCGGTAAAGGTAGGACCACATCAATTAATTGATTCCTTGGATATTACCTTTCTGTAGGGAAAAGAGTAATTTTTTGTTTTCCCTCTGAAGTCCAGATGTTAGAGAACAAGGCCAGGATGAGCAAGCAATGAAGTAGACCCAACTGACAACTTTACACACCAATGTCTCTATGATGCACCCAGCCATGGTGAGGTAGCACTGGGAACACAGGGGCAAGATGGAAAACAGAGTACTTGGAAGTAGTGAAGATTTTCAGCGGTTTGATATCAACAGGGATGCTGATGGACAACACTGACATTTAGAAGTTTTCAAAACATCAATTATCCAACCTGAATTTGAATCTGAGAGATTCTGTGGGAACCACATCTTTTCTGTCTGGGGTAGAGGAGATACTATCAGGAGACTACTTTGTGCTTTAGGGTTAAAGGGCTCCAGGTATCTTTTCTTTGTGGAAAAGACCAACCAGGCAAAGGTTTGAGAGGTAGGAGCAGTGAGAAGAGCATGAACCAGGAACACAAGTTGGAGAAGCCAAGTGTATAGGTTAACTGAAATCTTACATAAGTGGAGGACCTGCTACCAGTAGAACCTTACACACTGTTTTGCAAAATGAGTGACTAGTTTATGGTGCTGGGATAACATCAGGAAAGGGTAAGACTGTAATGTTAGATAGACTTGGATCTGAAGCTAAGCTGTTTCTCTTTCTGTTGGATGCCTGTGGCTTATAATAACTGTGCTTTCAACTATGTGTGCAGGCGCTGTGAAGGTTGCAAAGATGAAACAAACAAGAACACTGTCTTCAAAGAGCTTATGATTTGAATGCGAGATAAGGCATGCACTTTTTTCCATGATAAGTTAAAAAATAAATATCAAGAGAGTTATGAAGTTCTATTTAACCCAATTTTTCAATTAATAATTTCATTCTTTTTGAAAATAAGAGGGCTTCTCAGTTTAAAGACTGTGTCACAGTGAATTTGATTTATTAAGAAAAAATATTTATTTACGAAGCATATAAAATTACACACATCTTCACTTTGAATATATTTCTATTTAATAGCAGGTTTTGATTTATTTGTTAAAATTAGGCATTAAACAATTAATGGTATTTCTAATAATAAACAATGTGAATAATTTGTATAGTACTTTAAAAATTTCATCCAGATTTTGCATCTATTTTCTAATTTGTTCCTCTTAATAATTACATCTGGTAAGGAATGTACTAGTGCTTGTTTTTGACAGATGAGGAAACTGAGGCTCAAGGTCATTGGGCCAAGTTCAACAAATGAAGCACAGTCAGAAATAAAACCAGAGTTTACTGGTTTCAATACCTGTAATTTTTTTTCTTGCGTACTGTAGTTTCCCACATTTTGGGCTTCTGAGTCTTAAAAAGGCTATGAATTAATTGCAATAGAATAGTAAATCCTATCAGTTTATATGAGAAATCAAGAGACTAAAGAAATTCATTCTCACCCATGTATTCACTATTATTCCTCCATTCGGTTAAGATGCTATTATGACATGTATAGTGCAATCTCATTTAAGAGTGTAATTAATTCACAGGTTTTTTTTGTCATTAAGCATTTTCTTTAACTATTATATGGAGTATCTTTTACTGTTATTATTTTTTAACATGGAGAAAGAATCCTTGCTGCCTCCTCCTCTGGAAGGAAAATCATCAACTGTTTTAAATAAAATGCAAGTCAATCAATTGAAAATAATATTGCAGAGAAAGTTTGTTTTTTGTTTTTTTTTAAAAACAAAACTTCCAGCTAGGTGCAGTGGCTCATGTCTGTAATCCCAGCACTTTGGGAGGCTGAGACGGGTGGATCATTTGAGGCCAGGAGTTCGAGACCATGCCTGGGCAACATGGCAAAACCCTGTCTCTACTAAAAATACAAAAAAAATTAGCTAGGCATGGTGGCCCACGCCTGTAAACCCAGCGACTCTGGAGGTTGAGGCATGAGAATTGCTTGAACCCGGGAGGCGGAGGTTACAGTGAGCTGAGATCATGCCGCTGCACTCCAGCCTGGGTGACAGAGCGAGATCTTGTCTCAAAAACAAAACAAACCAAAACCAAAACCAAAACTTCCTGCTGGTTACTATTTTGGAAGCCTGTGGTTTCTTTGTAGTTCAAAGTATTACTTGTAGTTTGCACCCCAAAGCTTGGGATTCTCAAATTGACACAGAAGACCAGATTTTCCTTTTGACGAAGCTGTTTTTGAGACAGGATACAAAAGTTCCTTTATTTTTGCAACTGCTCTGAAAATCTTACAAAATATTATAATATTTAAGGTTAGGTGATCCAGAAAACAAACAAAAACATCTTATATTTTTCATGAACTAAAAACTAGTTCTGCTACTGTTGTACAAAATGATAAAATCTTTCCAGTTAACTCCTCAATAAAAAGAAACAGCTTTTGAATTAAGGTTTTAAAAAAATCTATATTATCTTGGGCCAGAAGAAAACAATGGCAGACCAGGGAGATGATAACTGCGCAAGAGATGTGTGAAACAGCAAAGAGAATCATGTCAGCCCCCTCGGGCTCTTCTTTCCATCCCCCTCCACACAAATACCTCATCACTAGGACACTTTTGACTGAAAGAAAATGCTATTAAAATTGTATATTTTTTAATTTTTAATTTATATCTGGTATATATTGGTCAGTCTGCCCCTAAAAAACAGGAGTAGGGTTCAGTAAGGTACATTTTAGAACAGTTAAAGAATTTTTAAAATTCCTCTTCCACTCTCACAGTTGAGCTTTGACTACCTGTATTAGCAAAATGGTATGCAAATTTAGTTGCTTTCTTGTTCAAAGACAGCAAGAATAAGAAATGCCTTTCAGTATGTGTTAGAGTGATACTTCCATTAACCCTTGTGTTTTAGCTCTTTCAAATGTCTCAGCATTATAGATAAGTGGTTGACAGAAGGAAGTCTTGCCAAATATGCAAATGAGAGAAACAATTACAATAAAAGGTTATTTTATATAAAAATGAATGTATTCTATTTCTTAAGGGAAATAAAAAGGAAGTTCAATTTAAAAAGATATTTTTATAAGAATTAATATGAATATATATTTTCAAAGTATTTAACATCTTTCCCCAGTTGCTTTTCATGAATCTCACCATTGCTTGGTACTGTACTTTTTGTTCCATTTAATTAATTTTTTTCTGTGTTGCTATTTCTCACTGGTTAATAATTGGCAAATTTATAAAAAAATTAAAATGACCTTAAAAAGATAAAAATTTATAAAAGAAGAACATTTATTTTAAAAGATGCAAAGCTGACTATTCTGTAGATTAAAAAACAGAGATTTTTCTCCCTCATGAAATGAAGGATATACTGAGCGTATTAGTCAGCATTCTCCAAGCAGACAAAACCAATAGGATATATCTATTAATGTATTTGTCTGTCTCTATCTCTCATCTCTCTTTATGTCTATCTATAGATAAATATGTTAGGGAAAATTTATTAGGGGAATTGGCTCATGTGATTATGGAGGCTGAGAAGTTCCAAGACAGCCCTCTGCAAGTTGGATGCTGGAAGCATGGCTCAGTCCAAGTTTGAAGGTCTAAGAACCTGTGGGGGCCACTGATATAAGTCCTAAAGTCCAAAGGCTGAAGAGCCTGGGTTTCTGATGTACGAGGGCTGGAGAAGAAGAGTGTATCCTGGCTCAAGAAGAGAGAGGGATCAATTTGCCTTTCCTCTGTTTTCATTCTGTCAGGGCTCCCAGTTATTTGGATCATGTCTGCCTATATTGAGGGTGGATCTTCTCCACGTAGTCCACTCACATTCACATGCCAATCTCCTCCAGAAGCAACCTCACAGACACACTCCTTAAAATAATACCAGTTATCTAGCTATTTCTTAATTCAGTCAAGTTAATACCTGAAATTAATCATCACACTGAGATTTCTACAGAAGATTCCAAAAGCACCCAGGAAAATAATTCATTATTTTTAAATTTAAAAAATACACAAAGTGAGATTTAATACCCAGAAAAATGGCTGACACAATAACATAAATACAGATTCCCCTCTTTTTAAGAATTTAAGGATGCTAGAACTGACAGACTATATTTAGAACATTTTAGATATTGAAAGAATAAGGAAAGCAGCTGGTAAAGTTTAAAGAATATAGTTGGAACTACACTTTTCAAGCTTTTAGATGGCTCACTTGGTTTTTATTTATGAAAAATTATATATTATTTAAAACTTTGTACTCTACTTGAGGACAAACAAAATAGTCAATTCTTGTTATTCATGGTAAAGTTCTGTAAACATCGAGTTAGCAAATACAAAACTATTACTCCCGGGAAATACAGGATTAGGTTCCTGAAAGCCTCTGGTCACATTTTCATCAGTTGATCAATACATAACATTGTTGTATGTTCATTTCTGTTTAAAAACACCCCATTTAATATACATTGCTAGTTCATTAACATTGAACTCAGTGGCTGACAGTACTATAACTCATGTCTGAATGAAGCTTCGCTAACATACCTGTCTTCTCTGTGAGGCACATCACAACCTCCTTGCACTTAGAAACACTAGACAACACTTCAGTACTATGCTTGGGGACCATATTAAACAAGGAGATTACAAAAAAAAAAAAAAAAAGCACAAAAATCGGCACTAAATAGACCACTAAAAAGACACATTTATAGTATGACAGCTGAAAAAGAAGACAGAGATTCACCTTGTTCAACTTCAGCTGGAAATGTGTGACTCAAATTTTCACTGATCTGTGCATTCCCACAAATGACAATGAAAGTGCTTGGGGATTCCAAATTAATTTTAGGGAGTAGGCTAATTTGAAAATATGGAATCATGAATAAAATGAGATTGTATCTTGTTCACCTTTGTGTCACTACTGTCACTACTGATTGTAATATTTTCTGTCATGTGGTAGTAGTTCAATATATATGCATATATATATTGAATAAATGGAAATAGTGTTCCTTAATTTTTAAATGAACCCCATTGTATAGTCCTATTTTGTTTTACGCTCTTGAGAAGTTTGTGATAGTCTGTAAATATTCAGTTAGTTTTCAAATACAAACATTTTATAATAATATAAATGCTTGTTTTGTTAGGCTTACATTTCCCTTTGGAACTTTGAAGATATTGCTCCCTTACCTTTGGCATTTAAAATTAATACAAATTCTGATGCCACTATAAATCTCAGTCTTTTGTGGTATTAATGCCCCTCCCCTCCCTACTTTGGAAGCTTTTAGGATATTTTCTTTTGCTTGAAATTCTGAAAATTTATAATAGGTATTTATACTCCTTATAATATGTACATTAGACTCTGGAATGTTCATATCTTTTATCAATTTGGGGAAATTTTCTTCTTTTATTTCTTTGGTTGTTTCTTCTCCATTCTTTGTTATTATTTCTGAAAAATCCTATTAAATATGTTCTAAACTTCTGAATCCAGTTGAAGTATTTCCTGAAGTTTTGAAAATACATTCCTCTTTGTCCTTTTATACAGTGTTCTGGGAGTGTAAGTTGACTTACATTTCCAACTAACATATTTATTTTCAGCCATATTTATTACACTATTCAGTCCATCATTTGAAAAATTATATACATCTTAATTTTGAATTAAGTTTTATAAATGGCATGAAGGGTACACCTTCATTCTTTTGTGTGTGGATATCTAGTTGTCCCAGCACCATTTGTTGAAATGACTATTCTTTTCCCATTCAATAGTCTTGGCACCCTTGTCAAAAATCAGTTGATCATAAATGTAAGGGTTTATTTCTGGACTCTTAATTCTATTTCGTTGATCTGTATGTCTTTCCTTACATCAGTACTACACTGTCTTGGTTACTGTCGTTTTGTTTGAAGTTTTGATATCAGGAACATTTCCAACTTAGTTCTTTTTTAAGATTGATTTGACTTTTCTAGGTTCCTTACATGTTCATATAGATTTCAGAATCAGCTTATCAATTTCTGCAAAAAAAAAAAAAGGCAGCTAGGACATTTTTTTTGAGATGGAGTCTCAGTCTGTCATCCAGGCTGGAGTGCAGTGGTGTGATCTTGGCTCCTTGCAATCTTCACCTCCTGGGTTCAAGCAATTCTCCTGCTTCAGCCTCCTGAGTAGGTGGGATTACAGGTGGATGCCACCACACCCAGCTAATTTTTGTATTTTTAGTAGAGACAGGGTTTCGCTATGTTGAACAGGCTGATCTCAAGTTTCTGAACTCAAGAGGCCTTAGCCTCCCAAAGTGCTGGGATTACAGGTGTGAGCCACAGCGCCCAGCCCACAGGTGGGATTTTGATAGGAATTACATAGAATCTGTAGATCCATATGTTAAAAACACTAAGCCTTCCAAATCATAAATAAATGGTGAATGTGTGCATTTTTATCTTATTTCTAATTTTAGGGGGAAAACACCCAGTCTTTCACTATTAAGTATAATGTTAACTCTGGATTTTTTTTTTTAGGGTATATTTATCAGATTAAGGAAGTTTCTCTCTACTCCTAATTTAAGTGTTTTTTACAATGACTGGATACCAAATCTTATCCAATGTTTTTTCTATACTTATTGAGATGACCAAGTGGTTTTCATCCTTTTTTCTATTAATATGGTGTTTTATATTGATTAATTTTTCTGCATTAAAACAAACATGCATTCCTATGATAAAATTTGGTTGGTCATAATTGTACTCCTGGCCTCCAACATAACATTTTTTTTTAAAAAAAGATACAGGTTCTCACTCTGTCACCCAGGCTGGAGTGCAGTGGTGCACCTCGAATGCCTGGGCTCCAGTGATCCTGCCACCTCAAACTCCCAAGTAATTGGGACTACAAGCATGAAAAACCATGCCCAGTAAATTCTAATTTTAATTTTTCTTGGTAGAGCCAGGGTCTTGCTATGTTGCCAGGGCTGGTCTTGAAGTCCTTGCCTCCAGCAATCCTCCTGCCTTGGTCTCTCAAAATACCGGGATTATAGGTGTAAGCCACTGTGCCTTGCCTTTTTTTTTTTTTAACATAGACATTTATAGCTATAAATGTCTCTCTAAGCAGTACTTTAGTTGCTATGTTGCATTTTTATTTTCATTAACCCCAAAGTATTTTTTAATTACATTGTGAGTTCTTTTTTGACCAGTAGATATTTATAGTATGTTAATTTCCATATATTTGTAAAATTTTCAAATTTTCTTCTTCTTGTTTTGATTTCTAATTTCATTCCATGTGGTCAGAGAATATACTGTGTATGATTTTAATTATTTGAAATTTATTGACACCTGCTTTATGGCCTAACATGATTTATTTTGGAGAATATTCTACATACACTTGAGAATATGTGTTCTGATGTTTTTAATGGAGTGGTATTTAGATGTCTGTTTGATCTAGTTGGTTTATAGTATTGTTTAAGTCAAGTCCTGTATTTTATTCTTGATCTTATGCCTAGTTTTTCAATTTCTGAAAGTGTAGTATTGAGTTATGCAATCATTTTTGTGAATTATTGATTTCTATCTTCAAAACTGTCAGTTACATGTATTACCAGTGATCTTTTATTCTCATGTGGATTTAAGGTACTTTTTAGTATCCTTTTATTTGGCTTAAATAACTTTTTTTTAGTATTTTGTTTAGGGCAGTTCTGCTTATGATAAATTCCCTTGGTTTTTGTTTATCTAGGAAAGTCTTTAGTTCTCCTTTGTTTTGGAAGGATAGTCTTAATGGATATGGAATTCTTGGCTGATATTTTTCTTTCAGCATTTTGAATACATTATTTCATTGCCTTCTGACCTCCATGGTTTCTGATGAAAAATCAGCTGTTCATCTCATTTAGGCTCCCTTGTGAGTGATGAATTGCCTCTTTCTTGTTGCTTTCAAGATTGTGCTTTTGGCATTGCCTTTCAGCAATTTATTTATGGTGTGTTTAGGTGTAGATCTCTTTACCTTTATCCTACCTAGAGTTTATTGAAATTTTTAAATAACTAGGTTAATGTTTTTTATTAATTTCAGAAAGTTGTTGGTAATTATTTTCCCCCCTTATCTCTTTCTTCTCCTTCTGCAACTTTCCTTATGTGTATATTGGTACTCAGTGGTGTCCCACTTGATGGTTTTCATTAGAGTTTCTTCTTATTCCTCACACTGAGTGATTTCACTTGACCTATTTTCAAGTTCCCTGATTCTTTTCTTCTATCATCTAAAATCTGCTGGTGAGCCTCTGTAGAGAATCTTCATTTCAGTTATTGTACTTTGCAACCTCAGAGTTTCTGTGTGGTGCCTTTTGTTGTAATTTTAATCTATTTATATTCTCCATTTGGTGAGACATTGTTCTGATGCTTTCCTTTAAATTTGTGACATGATTTCCCTTACTTCTTTGAACATATTAATGATAGCTGCGTGCATTACAGAATTAACTCAGTGGGCTTGGGATGTTTAAACCCTGCACATTACAAAGAAAAAATTGGCCCTGGGAGATAACCTCTAATCTCTCAGAATATCCTGCCTGATAAGATTGTCTTTGTATACCTGGTGCCTTGAGCCAGTCCAGATAGATTATGCTAGCAATATGCTTCATGGTGAATGCCTGCTTTTGTTTCCCTGGGGCTGTAGGCTATGCTGTATCAGTTTGACCACTGTGAGGAGGTGCTGGGACTACGTAGGTAAGATGAGTCACATGGGTGCCTCGTGTCTACATGATTAACTCCCAGTAAAAACCTGGAACTCCAAGGCAGGGGTTTGCTTCTTTGATTGGCAATACTTAAGATACACATTGTCATAGGTCATTGCTGGGAGAACTAAGCTCTGACTGTATGACTCCACTTGGAGTGGACAACTGGAAACTTGGGCCTTGTAGCTCTTGGACTCTGCTGTATGTACTTTTTCCCTTTCCTGACTTTAATTTGTATCCTCTCTTTTTAATAAACTATAATCATGAGAAAGACAGCTTTCCTGTGTTCTGTGAGTCCTTCTAGTGAATCACCGAACCTGAGGGTAGTCTTGGGGACTCTCAATCCACTTTACTTCCTAGGAAGTAACCCAAAGTTTGGGTTTCCTCAGGGACAATTTCTATTCATTGCCCATTTTCCCCATGTATGGACCACACTTTCCAGTTTCTTTTCATGTGTCATAATTTTTGGTTGAAAACTGGATATTTTAAACAATATAATATGGCAATTCTGAAAATCAGATCCTCCCTCCTTCCTTCCCCATGGTATGTTGTTGTTTATGTTTGTTTTTGTTGCTCTTGCTCTGTATTTACTGAGTGATTTTCTTGAACAAATTCTGTAAGGTCAGTATTTTTTGCCATGTGTGGCCTATTAAGTCTCTGCTCAGCATAGTGGTCAACTAAGACAGGAATTTCCTTGAACCCTTCAAACCTAGTGGTTCTACCAGCCTTTGCCAAACGGTTATGCGCATGTTTTGGCACACTTCCAATATTCAGGTAGTTCCATTTTGTTTTTGTCTTCACTTCCTGCTTGCACAGAGCCTCAAGTTCCACCAGACATCAGTTCTTTCCTGGGCATTTGCACAGCCCTATGCATGTACTTTACCTTCTAGATTCACAGGAATATATTGGTGCCTTCTCAAAGCCTCCTGTGGACACTCATGACTCAGTATTTAAAATTTTTTTTAGAAAAGTTATTTAGTCAGCTTCTTGTTTATTTGCCCCTGCTGTTAATTCTAACTTGGACAGCTGTGATATTAAATAATTGTCACTGGTTTTTGTTTCAACAAATGCTCTGGGGAAAAGGCAACAGCTAACAGCTCCAAGTGAGGTCAAACAAAGACAAATTCTATGAGTGGAGGTTTCTAGGGAGCTGCCATAATAATAATAATGCTCTTCTAATGAAGATTTGCTGGGCACTCTAAGCATGTTCTGCCTCATCCACTGGCTGTAGGCTGTTTTTCACAGTTATTATAGTTGCAAGACTGTTGGTTTTCAAAGCTGCTATAGAACTAGGGATAAGGAGATGGGAATAGGGCAAGTGAAAATATCACAAGGTTCACATTCTTACTGAGCTTTGATCATTTTTCCTTAATAAAAACTCCTTGGCTTGTCTTAAGCCTTTCACTAATTTCCAGAGTTCTGAGATGTTGATTTTGATAATTTTTGCCCGTGTTCTCTTTGCTTTTATGTAGGAGCTTACCTTCAAAAGTCCTTATTCTGCTATTCCAGAAAGGTTTCTTCTCCTCTTCTGTTTTTGTTTTTGCTGTTGTTTATTGTAAGTGTTTAGCGACTCTTGTCTATTTATCTTTGTGTTGGAAGAAATCCTTTTTGCTTCAGTATGAGTGATGATTTGGTTATGAAATTTTGTGATTATGGGTGAAAGGCAAGATGTGTACGTAAGTAGGTTACACTGAACTTACGGATATGGGGGCCTGGGTGGAACTAGCAACCCCAGTCACTACCCTAACTCTTTCTCACAAGAATTTTCATAGGCCAAAGTGGTGAACCCACTGTTTATTATTCAACACAAGGAAGTATGGAGGAAGGGATGACTTGCATAGCTGCTCTGATTGCTGTTCTCCCATTAGCCACCCTGATGAGTGTGGGAGGGCTTCGGCTCCTTGTACTGGTTGTATCTGACCCAGAACACTACTAGGACTTCCACAGCACCCCTCCTCAGAGCGTATTTTGTGTCATGGTTCCCTCTGTTAATCTGATCCCTTTTCTTTTCTTTTCTTCTCTTTTCTTTTCTTTTCTTTTCTTTTCTTTTCTTTTTTTTTGAGATGGAGTCTTGCTCTGTCTCCCAGGCTGGAGTGCAGTGGCGCAATGTCGGCTCACTGCAAGCTCCGCCTCCCGAGTTCACACCATTCTCCTGCCTCAGACTCTCGAGTAGCTGGGACTACAGGTGCCTGCCACCACGCCCAGCTAATTTTTTGTACTTTTAGTAGAGATGGGGTTTCACCATGTTAGCCAGGATGGTCTTGATCTCCTGACCTCGTGATCCGCCCGCCTCAGCCTCGCAAAGTGCTGGGATTACAGGCGTGAGCTGCCGCGCCTGGCTGATCCCTTTGCTTTTTATATTTCTGGTCCACTGATGATATGCTTACTTCTCGCCATTAACATCAAAATAATTTCTTTATCCTTTTCCGTTCCTTCTCCCTTTTGTCGTCGTCTTCTTTTTTTCATCCTCCACCTTCTCTTCCTCTTTCCCTCTTCTTCCTATATATTTCTTCTATGATTTCTATAGATTGGGGTGGATAGGAAGGGGAAGTTGGCCTTGTTCACTATCTTAATCCAAGTCTTTGCCCTGTGTAGAATAGTAAAATGTAAGGAACTTCTAAAATGAGGAATGATTAACTAAATTGAAGCACACCTACATAATGGTACATTGTACAACTGTTAAATAGATATGTTTAAAAAATGCTTAAAACCATGCAAAATTTGGATGATGTAAGAAGTATAAAAAGCAAGATTTAAGAGTGTATTTATAAAATAATCACAATAATGAACAAAAGAAAGCATGATTAAATTCCTAGGAAGAAGAACTAGATGGAATATGCCACAATATTAATCAAACATCAGGAGTATAATATTCAAATATGTATCCTATCCCTTGAAGATTAGTTAGTAGCTAAGATTAGTTAGTGGTTAAGCCAAGGCCTGTAGCTTCTTACAGGCTGTAGTCCCTAGGCAATTGGTGGCTTCATTTTGGACTTTGTCGCCCTTGCTCTCTCAGTTACAGACACACTGGCTTCGTTTCTTGTTCCTTGGATACATTGAACTTGCTTCTACCTCAGGGCCTTTCCCTTACTGTTTCCTATGCATGATTCATCATTTCCTAGGTATCCTTGTGGCCTAGTCCCTTATTAATTCAGGTTTCTAATCTAATGTTACCTCATCAGACTATCCTATAAAAAATAGCATCTCTGTCTTCACTATCACTCTGTGTCCCCTTACATTGTTTTTTCTTCACAACACATTATTATCTCAATATGTTTACTTTTTCCCACTTGGTACATATAAATGCCACAGAAACAGCAACTTTGTTTTGTTTTCTACTGTATTTTCAGAACAATGCCTAGCCCATAGTAGACACTTAATAAATATTTGTGAAATAAATAATTTTATGAATGAATACCTGACAAAATAGACAACCTGTTATTTTAGTCTATCATTTTAATTAAAAAATATATCCAGGCCGTAACTTCCTATTGAAGTTTGGGGAGTTAATATGGTAATAAGTATGGAAATAATAGTGTTTTAAAATGTAGATTTCTAAGCTCCTTTTTTACAATGCATATTTTATCTAATAACTGCTAACAATGATTGAAGCTCTCATTCTGTTACGAGGTTGGCTTTTTGACTTGCCAGAAAACTTAAATAAGGTAAATGAGTGTGTAATAATTTGTTGAGTGCCTACTCTATTGTATTTTTATACATAAAACTAATTAATCTTTGCTACATACATATGAAACAGATATTACTATCCTCACTTTTTAGATGAGGCAGCTCAGGCTGAAGAAGATTAATTATATGCCCAATGTTACAAAGAACATAACTCATGAAGCCTGGGTTCAAACCTAGGGTTCTCAAACTCTTAACTCCTGGGCTTTCTTCCTAGATTGATTCATTAGTTAAAAAAATATTTAATGAGAACTATGTGTCAGGTTCTGTTTTATGCACTAGGAATACAGCAGTGAACAAAACAGAAAAAAATACTCATGGCTTGTTACATTCTAGAGGAGGTGGCAGGAGAGACAGAAAAACAATAAATTAATAAGGAAAAAAATAGAACATGTTAGATAATGATGAGTGCTATGGAGAAAATAAAGCAGGAGGAAGACAGGGTGTTTTGGAAAGGGCATTGGTAGCATTGGTGTAATATTTTAAATAAGGTGGTTAAAGATGATGTCAATGAGAAAGTGAGATGAGATAACCTGGGGAATGAGCATCCTTAGCAGAGAGCAC
Source organism: Homo sapiens (assembly GCF_000001405.40). Lineage (NCBI taxonomy): Eukaryota > Metazoa > Chordata > Mammalia > Primates > Hominidae > Homo > Homo sapiens. The sequence goes on from NC_000004.12 coordinate 18,068,381, forward strand.
AGCAGGTGCAAAGGCCCTGAAGCTCATGGGTGCCTGATGTATTTGAGGACAAGCAAGGAAGCTATTGTGGGTGGAGTGGAATGATCAAGATGGAGAGTGTCAGATCAATTTCAGGCAGGTAAAGGGAAGGAAATAAGACAGAGCTTTGTAGGACATCGTAAGGGCTTTGGCTTTTACTCTGAATGAAATGAGAAGCTATTAGACAGTTTTGAGCAGAGGACTGAAGTGTTGTGATTTATGCTTTAAAATGATTCATATGATTTATGTGTACTGAACAGGCTTGTCTCAAAAGAGCAACTGTTTGTTTCTAATTCATCTTACATTTGAGATGCCTGACATCTTGAGGAGAAATACTGAGCAGGCAATAGGATATAGAGTCTGTAATCGAGAGGAGAGGTCTGAGTTGGAGATATAAATTTGGGAAAGCACATAGATAGTGTTTAATGTAATAAGTTTGGATGAAATCACTTAAGGAATGAGTGAAGATGGGGAAGAGGTCCAAAGATTGAGACCTCGGGCTCCAACATTAAGAAGAACCAGCAAAGGAGGCTGAGAAGGCTCACTCTGCAAAGCAGGAAGACAACCAGAAGAATGGGATGTCCCAGAAGCCAAGAGAAACAAGTACTGGAAGGATGAGGGAATTGTCAGTTGTGTGAAATGGTGCAGAACTGGCATGTGTGAAAGAGAGAGGAGAGAAGTATTTGGGGGATTATATTCCTTTGTTTTAGCTAAGAAGGTTTTCTTTCCTCCCAAAGTCTCTGTAAGTTCAGCCATGTGGTGATGTAAGGTGATGGGCTGGGTTGTGTGCTATGGTTGACTTGTTTTTGGTATGTGTAATCTCCCTGTTCCTACTCTGCCATGATTATTGATGATCCTGGCGAGCAACATTTCCACGGGGATGTGTGCATTTGCTATGTCTGGCTTGTAAACAGTAAATACAAATGCTGCTTTATCAATTTACAGTACAATTGCCCTATGGCCAAAAGCAAAGTTGGAAGTCTGCCTCTCACTGCCTTCAGGATAAAGGCCAAACTTGGGAGCATGCCATATCGGCTTTCAGAAGATGGCTTTACATCTTACCACCCTCTCACATCTCCACCTCCCCTACCTCCCTCCACCTCTCTTCCCTGCCACACACTCCTATGCTCCTTTCACCCTGGACTCTAGGGACATTGTGCTTGTGCCTCTTCATATATGCTATTCCTTAGGCTTGCCATGCCCAACTCTGCTTTTGTTCTCAGGAAAGTACCACTGATGTTCTGAAGTCCAGCTCATGTGAGATTCCACTGTGAAACCTTCCTGATCCCCAGGCTAGAGTACTTATTCTTTTCTCTGCTTCACCTTCTTTTATTGTATTTCCACTATAGTCTCTAATTACTCAACCCAACACTCATCTAGATGTTGCTGTGAATGTATTTTATAGATGGGATTAACATCTACCATCAGTTGAATCTAAGGGGAAACTGTTCCAAATAATTGGGGTGAGCCTGATCCAATAAATTAAAAGGCCTTAAAAACAGAACCCAGGTTTCCCTGACAAAGAAGAAACTCCGCCCGTGGACTGCAGCATCAGCTTCCGCAGGAGAGTTTCCAGCCTGTGCTTCCTGACATCCTGCCCTACAGATTTCAGATTTGCCTAGCCAGGTCATTGTGTGAAATTGTGTTAGCCATTTCCTTGCAATAAATCTCTCTCTGTCTCTGACTTTCTTTCTCCATACAACACACACACACACATACACACACACACGTGTACATATACATAGACACACAAATCCTACTAGCTCTATTTCTCTGGTGGAACCCTGATTGATACAGAGAGCAAATAAAAAAAGTGACTATAAAAGGAGACAAAAAGAAAGAAAGTAGCTGAGTAAACGGAGGGAAGAATATAGTATCGTAATAGAAAATATGTAGAAAGGCGGAAGAGTGGAAACATCAAAGGAATTGAAGGGTTAATTGTCATCCTTTAAGACTCTGCTTAGATGCTTCCTCATCTACACAATCTTCCCTTCTCTAGGTATTCTTATTCTCTCTTGCATCTTGTCACCTATCACAGCACAAGTATTATAACTTCATGTTGATACCTTTGTGATTCCTGTTTTGTGAGTTTAAGACCTCAGAGGATAAATTCATCTTTCTATCCCTAGCACCTAGCTTAGTGCTTGGCTTATAACAGGGGCAGAATAAAACATTGGATAATAAGTGAATGAGAGTTTGCAGCCTTAGGTGCTCACAGATGCCCAGCTCAGGCCAGCCCATGGACCAGAGAAGGTTTTCTGAAGGAAGCAGCCTGAGTACCATCAGAGGGAAACTCCAGTCAGCTGTTCTAGCTCCTTCCCTCCATGCATTCATTGGCACCTTCAGGACCACATGATTTGCTGGGTCTCCTTCCCAGTATGTTGTGATGCTACCAACATACTTCCAGTGCCCTTAAGAAATGGCACTCAGTTCCTCCTACTTGAGGCTGCTTCATGGAAAGATCCACAGGCCACTTAACACACTGTGGCAACTCTCATAAGGGCATCTGAGTTGAAGGGCTTGTGGATATTTCTGTCTTCATTAAAGACTTTCCCTGGGCTCCTTTTATCCTTTTTGTTGACACCAGAGTTTGGACCATCTCTGGAGCACATAGATGTGCTGGATGCTTGTCGTCTCTTTGCAAGATGAGATGCAAGAACACTTTCCTGCAGGAAGGAGAAAGCAGAGGGTCTTTTGGAGGCAAAGGACTCTCTAGCGATGCTCTGAGGCATTCCATGTAGTGACTTCCTCTTGCAGATGGATTTCCCCTTTGACAGCCTGAGAGTGTGTCTTACTTGCGGGGAACAAGCATAGAAAAGGAGATGCAAGTCTGCTTCGTTCTCCCATAGGAATCTACAGCTTTTGAGCCTATTTCGTTGTGTCTGCCTCTCATATCTTCTTTGTTGGAAGTGAAAGGAAAGAGGAACCTCATGACTATTTATTGAACAGATAACTGTTGAAAGAACTAAAATTGATAGTAAAGATGAAAATACAGTACAATTGGAGAAATGGCTGATACTAGGATTAGGGCAAGGAATAATACATAATGAGCCTGTGACGTTTTACAGTGTCAGGAAGTAAGGAAATTCTGAAAAACAAAACAAAACAAAAAAACCCGCATTGATGTGCATGTCAAAGGGGCACAGGAGCCAATTGAGAGAGCTGCCAATGGCCAAAGTGGGAAAAATTTGAGCAACAAGATAAATAAAATAGTACTGGATTATAGCTCAATGTACAAAATAAATATCCACGAGTCCACACTGATATACATACATTGTTGAATAACTTAAAAAAAGGTAGAGAAGAGACAAATCTCCCATGCAGAAGAATTTCAAATAAATCATGTAGATTCTCCATCCTAAAGGGGAGGAGCATAATCCTTCATTCCTTAAGTGTGGGCCAGACATAATATGTCCCAAAATGTAGAGACATTATGGAAAGAGGAAGAAAAGCTTAACTTTACAGTGGATAAACCCGACAAGCACTGCTTCAGCTAGGTGATCAAGGTTGACATCAATAGTGATAAGTCATGTTGATAGTATGTGCCTTGGATATGATGTAGTAAGAAATGATCTTTTGCCTCTGTGGTCTTCCTCCAAAAATGCATAACTCCAGCCTAATAATATGAAAAACATCAGACAAATTCCAATACAGGATCATCCTACAATATGCCTGACCAGTACTCCTCAAAATTGTCAAAGTCATCAAAAATAAGGAAAGTCTGAGAAACTGTCACAACCAAGAAGAGCCTAAAGACACTTCATGACTAAATGTGATGTAATATCCTGGATGGAATCCTGGAACAAAAAAAGGACATTGGGTGAAAACTAAGGAAATCTAAATAATTTATGGACATTAGTTAATAATAATGTATCAGTATTGGTTCATTAATTGTGCCATACTAATGTAAGATGTTAATAATAGGAAAAATTGTGTGTCAGGGAGGCTATTTGGGAACACTGTACTATTTTCTCAATTTCTCTATAAATCTAAAACTGTTCTAAAAAACCTATTTTTAAAATTTTATTTTTAATTTTAATGGGTACATAGTAAGTGTAAATATTTATGGTTTACATAAGATATTTTGATACAGGGCATATAATGTGTAATAATCACATTAGGGTAAATGGGGTATTCATTACCTCAAACATTTATCCTTTGTGTTGCAAACAATCCAATTATATTCTTTTAGTATTTAAAAATACAATTAAATTATTATTGACTATAGTATTTGTGCTATAAATACTAGATCTTATTAATTCTTTTAAACTATTTTTTGTACCCATTAACCATCCCTACTTTCTCCCTATGTCCCTCACTACCATTCCCAGCCTCTGGCAACCATCCTTCTACTCCCTATCTCCATGAGTTCAATTGTTTTAATTTTTAGCACCCACGAATACATGAGAACATGTGAAGTTTGTTTTTTTCTGTGCCTAGCTTATTTCACTTAACATAATAACCTCCAGTTCCATCCAAGTTATTGCAAATGACAGGATCTCATTCTTTTTTTATGGC